>NC_000011.10:19435000-20060000 GCF_000001405.40 Homo sapiens
TATGGTATAATGTTTCAGTACATATATACATTGTGGCATGATCAAATTAGACTAGCATATTCGTCACCTCAAATATATATCATTTCTTTGTGGTGAAAACATTTAAAATCCTCTTTTTAAACTATTTTGAAATGTACAATACATTATTATTAATTATAGTCACCATGCTATGCCTATCTAACTGAAACTATATCCTCCGACCAATGTCTTGCCTTTCCCTGTCCACCTTTCCCACCCCACCACCAGCTTCTGGTAACCACCATTTTACTCTTTCTTCTATGAGTCTGGCTTTTTTGGATTCCATATATAAGCGAGACCATATCGTATTTGTCTCTCTGTGCCTGGCTTATTTCACTTGGCATAATGTCCTCTAGGTTCATCCATGTTGTCACAAATGGCAGATGTTTCTGTTTTTTTAATGGATGAGTAATATTCCATTGTGTATACATACCACATTTAAAAACTCTATTCATCTGTTGATGGGCATTTCAATTGTTTCCATATCTTGGCTATTGTGAATACTGCTACAGTGAACGTGGGAGTGCAGACATCTCTTTGACATTGATTTCAATTCCTTTGAGTATATACCCAGAAGTGGATTGCTGGGTCATGTGGTAATTCTATTTTTAGTTTTTCAAAGGACCTCCATACTGTTTTCCAAAATGCCTATACTGATTTACAGTACCACCAACAGTGTACAAGCGTTCTCTTTCTTCCATAGTCTCACCAACACTTGTCATCTTTGCCTTTTTGATAATAGCCAGCCTAACAGGTGTGAGATGATAGCTCATTGTGGTTTTAAGTTTCATTTTGCTGATGATTGAGATGTTGAGCATTTTTCCTATATCTGTTGGCCATTTGTATGTCTTCATTTCAGAAAGTATTCAAGTCCTTTGCCTATTTTTTAATACGGTTATTTGTGTTCTTGTTATTGAGAAATTTGAGTTCTTCATCTATTTTGGATATCAGCTCCTTATCCAATGTATGATTTGCAAATATTTCCCCCCAGTCTCTGTGTCGTCTCTTCATTCTATTAATTGCTTCCTTTGTTGTGGAGCTTTTTAGTGTGATGCAGTCCCATTTGTTTATTTTTGCTTTCGTTGCCTATGATTTTGGGGTCACATCCAAGAAATCATTGCCCAGACAAGCATCATAGAGCTTTTCTCCTATGTTTGCCTCTAGTAATTTTTCAGTTCCAGGTCTGATATTTAAGTGTTTAAGTCTTTAATCCATTTTGACTTGATTCTTATATATGGCATAAGTCAAGAATTTAATTTCATTATTCTGCATGTAGATGTCCAGTTATCCGAAAATTGTTTATTTAAGAGACTGTTCTTTCCCCCATTGTGTGTTCTTGGCATCTTTGTTGAAAAGCAGTTGATCATAGATATGTGAATTTATTTCTGGGCTCTGTAGCCTATTCCATTGGTCTATGTGTGTTTTTATGCCAGTAACATGCTGTTTTGATTACTATAGCTTTGTAATACATTTTGAAATCTTGTAGTGTGATGCCACCAAGCTTTGTTTTTTTTCCTTTGGTCAATATTGCTTTGGCTATTTGGGGTCTCTCATGGTTCCATTGAATTTTAGGATTGTTTTTCCTATTTCTGTGAAAAATGACATTGGAATTTTGATAGGGATTTCATTGAATCTATAGATTGCTTTGGGTAGTATGGACATTTTAACAATACTAATTGTTCTACTTCATGAACATAGGTTAGAAGACATGGAAACACCTTTCCGTTTATTTGTGTCATCTTCAATTTTTTATCAATATTTTATGCTTTTCAGTATACAGAGCTTTCATTTCCTGGGTTAAATCTTATTTTCTTTGATGCTTTTATAAATAGGATTGTTTTCATAATTTCTTTTTTCAAATAGTTCATTGTTAGTGTATAGAAATGCTACTGGTGTCTGTATATTGATTTTATATCCTGTAACTTTACTAAGTTCTTTTATAAGTTATAACACATTTTTGGTGGAGTCTAAAGGATTTTCTATACATAAGATCATGTAGTCAGCAGAGACAGTTTCACTTCTTCCTTTACTATTTGGATGCCTTTTCTTTCTTTTTCTTGCCTAATTACTAAAATGAGGTAGGCAAGACTGTGAAAGCAGCAGTGCATTTCTAGATAATGTGATCTATCACAAAGGAAACTGACCACTCATGAGATAAAGCTACTACTATCAACTCATTTAACTGGAAGGTCCCAGGTTCATTAGTTTCTGATTACTTAAGGCTAACCAGACAAATACTTTTTTCCAATCCTTGGAAAACTTTCAACTCAAAACCCACTATCTTCCCAAATGTACATGGTAATCTCTGCTTGATGACTGAGGATTTCACAGTGTCTTGGTGTCATCCTTTAAATATTTATTCCTATCAATCAGATTAAACCTGTATCCAAGTGTTAATATATACAATCTGTTTCCAACCCCACCCCACACTCTGCTTCCCTTTTCTCTTTTCCATCCCCTTCCTTCTGTCCTCTTGTCTTTCTTTGCACCATTATTTTCCAGCAAAATTAACTCTGGAAAATACTGGGGACAATAGTCTTTTATACCTTTGGCTGAATTCCTTCTTTAGGCAGTTAAAGCTCACAAATGGGTCAAATATCCAAATGTCTATTTGTAAAAAGGTTGTTGCATTTCATCAAATCTCAAAAACCATTGGTTATAACATTCACTATGATTTATGTGCCACTCAGAAAAAAAAGTTACTGCCAATTAAACTATGAAACGATGCATTCTCATCACTTCAAATGTTTCTACCCATTATAAAGTTTTCTTATACTTAACTAGACATAACTTTCTATCATATAACTATTGTGCAAGCATAAAAAAGACAGGCAAAATACATTGAATAAGTATTCCTCAAACATCTCCAATTAGAGGCTGAGTTTTCAGAATCACTTCTGAGTCATTGATATGTGTATTTTTCTCCATAATATCACCCTCTGTGCCAACATAATCACTGGTGATTTAATGTCTCTGGAATGAATTCTTAAAAGAATGAAAAGCCTTCACTGGGGCTAGGTTCCAAGCCGCCTCCTTGGCAATGACATAAAGTGCTTCTACTTTTGACTCTGGCCTCACCTGACTTCTGATCCACTATCACCCATCCCTTGTTCTATAGTCATTTCATTCTCAGGGTTAAAAGAGGAGTTCCCTGTGGCCTCATCGTTGTGCTTTAATGTGCACCAAGGTACTCTCCATGGACTGTCTTGTCAATCCTTAACAGCAACCTCATGGGTACTATTGTTATCCCAGTCTACAGGTGAAGAAGCTGAGGCTTCCGAAGATTAAGTAGCAGTCATCAACCACTGTGTGTGGCAAGACAGGGAGCAGGGGAAGCACAGGTTTGGATGCAAGCAGCCCTATTCTCAAATCTTGTCTTTAGCCCTTGTCACCTGTGCAATCCTGGGGAACTTATTCTGTATCTCAGAGTCTGTTTTACCAGCTACTATGATCTGTTTTTAACTCATAACACTTCTAACACCAAATGTGAGGGTTTTCCACACCAACAACCAATTTTCATACTCTCCAGACACCAACCATTCCAACAATTCCATTCAATTCTGACTCTAACTACCCAGTGACATTGACCAATCAGCTATAAATTAGGATTTTCCACACCTCCTTCCTTGGGTTTGATAATTTGCTAGAATGGCTCACAGAACTCAGGAAAGCATTTTATTTACATTGACTGGTTTATTATAAACGGTACAGATTAGTAGTCCAAAGGAGAGTTGCATAAGATGAGGTCTGGAAAGATCCTGATTGCAGGAGTCTCCATTCTGTAAAATTAGAGTGTGCCACCCTCCTGGCATGTGGATGCATTCCAACCCAAAGGCTCTCTAAACCCAAAGGCTGTCTAAACTTAGAAGTTTAGAGATTTTTTTTTTTGTAGAGGTTTCATTAAGTGGCATAATTGATTAAATCATTGGCCATTAGTGATTAGCTCAATCGCCAGCCCCTCCCTCCTCCCTGGAATTGGGGAGTGGAGAGGGCTGATTGCTCCAATCCTCTAATTGCATGGTTGGTTCCTCTGGCAGCCAGCCCCCATCTTGAAGTTTTCTAGGGGCCCACAAAGGGTCACCTCATTATCATAAACTCAGGTGTGGTTGGAAGGGGCTTGTATGAATAGCAAAAGATGCTCCTTTCACTCCTATGGCTCGGGAAGTTCCAAGCGTTTTAGAAACTCTCTGCCAGGAACCCAAGACAAAGACCAAATATATATTTCTTATTGTATCACAATATCATACCAGCTAAGTGGCAGTGATACACACTGGGGTCTATAAGAGGGTGGAGGGTAGGAGGAGAGAGAGGATCAGAAAAAAATAACTAATAGGTACTAGGCTTAATACCTGGGTGATGAAATTTTGTACAACAAACCTCCTGAAATGAGATTACCCTGGATCATCCAGATGGGCACCACATAATCACACCGGTCCTTAGAAAAAGGATATAGGAAGAGTCATTCATTTTACTTATGTAACAAACCTGCACATGTACCCCTGAATTTAAAAGTTAAAAAAAAGTGGCAGTGATAATATTGACCTCACAGAGAGGTTGCGAGCTGTGGATGGGATAACCTATGTAATAGGCCCAACATGATACCTGTGTTTATTTTCTATGTCCCAATGTGCTCATTCACATATTTGGCTCCTTAATCATTCATACATGACATGATCAAGAAATACATTTTTATGAATGAACACTGTGACTGATGCAATTTCCTAGGTAACTGAGGGTTAATTAGAAATCCTCTTTTGTTTCAACCCTTGTTAAAAATCCTTAGAACATGTCAGAATTCATTTTTCTTACATGCGCTGAGCGTGATTTAATCTTCCATTCATTCTGAACATCAGTCCTCATTACCCAGGGCTGCAGGTATAGCCAAGGATAATGTGGGATATTGAGAGTAACATACAAATTGGTTTAAAAAAATTAATTACAAGTACAATTTTTAAAAGTAACTTACCCTTTTGACCAGACCTTCAGCAAAACGCCCATGTATTTGAAGTTATATAATTAAAAGCTAGATAATAGAAGCATTCTTTCTTTATGTTCAATTGCCACTCAAATGTTTAGTCGATCACACACGTAAAAAATAATCTTTCAGGGCCTACTATGTGTCAGGCAAATGGCTGGTATACCAGATGGACGTGGTTGCTGTCTGCATGAAGCTACTGTCTAGTGGGGAGGACAGACAATTAGCAGGGGAGATAGTGGGTGCTATGGGAAGCCATGGCAAGAATCCCAACTCAGTCTTAAGTTGTCAGTCTTGGGTCTAGTGAGGGTGGTGGTGGTGGTGATGGTCAGGACAGGGAAGGCATCCTGAAGGAAGTGATGGTTAAACCAAGTGCTTCAGGATGAGTTGGAGTTAGGCAAAGGGAAAGGTTGTAACCTGTACAAGGGTGTAACTAGTATTGTCCAAGCTGCTGGGGTCGGTATGGTTGGAATAGAGGGTGGGTCTGGGAAGTTGAGAACGGGGTAAGGAGAGGGGCTAGGTTATGCTCCTGGCTGATTGTCTCATGGGAGTCTTATATAACTCTAGTCATTCATTCTTGCATTGAACATTTATTTGGTACTGAGGATGCTGAAAGTACTGACTGTGTTAGGTTAAGTGCAGTCAAGTATGGTAAGGGGGTGAGAGATGGGCACAGAATACCAAGCCATGGCTGTCTTGTTAACTGTTGAACCTGACTGCCCAGTCTACACACCTCCTGGCATCGACTAGGCATTCAGTGAACTCTAGGTGATTGACTAACTCAATGAATGAATGGAGGCTTGGTTTAACCTTCACCCTCCCTCAACAACTATTCCCATTATTTTCTTTGTGCAGGATAAACATCTTGAAACACCTCTGCCCCATCGCTAAGTAGGCCAATCTTCCACAGCGTCTAGAAACCAGTACAGAAAAAATGCAGTTTGACCTTGCTGTCATTGTTTGCAGTGTAATGAGGAAAACAGGCATTAAATAACTAACCATACAAATAATTGTGTAATTAAAACTGTGGCACATGATACAAAGAAGATGTACAGGATGATGGAAGGGCACATAAAGGAGAAAGCCCAGGAAGCCTTTATTGAGATATTGATGTTTAACTAGGTTTAGAAGGGGCAAAAGGAGGTGGGAAGAATGTCTCATGCCGGGGGAGGAATACGATGCAAAGGCCTTGGCAGGACAAAAGGCCAGTGTGGCTGGACCCTGGGGATCATCTAGGAGAATGGCTGGAGATGGATGGGTCTAGAGCCTGGAGGAGATTCCCCTACAAGGTCTCTCAGCCATGTTGGAGATTTTGGTTTTTGACTTAAGAGTCCTAGTGAGATATTGAAATGTTTTAAACATGAGAGATATGTGATCAAATCACATTGGCTGCTGTGAGGAGAACAGATCGGAGAGGTACAAGAAAGGACACTGGGACACACACACACACACACGCACACACACACACACACACACACACCCTTCAACAGGCTGACAATGCCCTGTGTACAGATAGCAGTAAGAGCATGAAACTGAGATCTGATTCAGAGAAGACTGAAGTCATTGCACGTCATTTCTTCCTAATCTTTTAGAAACAACCCACTCCTTCATTCTGTCTTATGGTGGGCACTTGTAAGTGGGCTGCTACTTCTTATTTATTTTTTAACCAATTTTGTGAAACAACAGATGTGGTGCTTCTCTTGTGGTTGTTATTCTCAAAGAGAGGATGTTGGTTGCAGCAGACAATTTATCGGAGCCCATTTTCTCCCTTGGCTTCAGCAGGGAGCCAGGGGCTGGGGGTGCTAAGTTGGGCAGGAGTGGAATCCACCCTTCTGTCAGCCGCTGGCTTGAAAGCAAGCATTAGCACGTATTCAATTTGGTCTGGGAGCTCTCCTCTGGACACCGAACCTGGTCCTTATCTATTTTTCCCATTAATAATGAGCTGTTAAATCACATTGCTCATGCCATTTGCAAGATAGCAACGTGTGGTTTAATTGTGCCTGCTCTGTTCCCCCATCATCTCAATCCTCCTCCTAATGGCTTGGCAGGCGGGGCAGGGCTGCTTGGGAACCACTGGCTCAGGCCTGCCATTTCCTGGTCTAGCAATCTCCAGTTTTAGAAACAGGGACTGCTGTGGCGGAAGTGGAGTGGAGCTCCGAATGTGAGGGCCCTGGGGAGGGGAGACTGTGTGCACTCACACCTGCACTCTCCCTCCTCCCCATCATCCCAGAGGCCCTCTCAGAAATCCTAATGGTTGAGGAAAGGGGGCTGGCCTGGCAAGAGGCTGGGCCTCCATTCCTATTTCCCCTGCTCATTGCCTGAGGCTTTCAAACAGTTCCCGCTCCTATCTGGTTTTTGCTGGCGGCACAGGCAAGTTGCTGAGTTCTTGTGATAAGGCTGGCTGATACATAAGGATAATTACGTCTGTGGGTTTGGAATCACTCAAAACCAAAGGTGAAATGACTCAACACAGAGGAGGGCTTTCCCCAGAGAGGTGACTCATGCGCTGGTGGTGGATATGGCTAGAAAGGAGGTGCATTTCTCAAATGTGAGAAGTTGACCTTTCTCTGCTGTTGCTGGGAGAGCCCAGGTGTGGGAGAGCTGGCCAGGATCAGAGGGCAGGGCTCAGGTGGCCTGCAGAAGCCTGCAGTGATGTTGGGAGATGGTGGCATCATAGCAAGGGCCCAGGGCTCTGGTTCCACCCTGCCACCAACTGGCTGTGTAAACTTAAACAAGTCCCCCTGTGGCTGCCTTGGCCCTAGAGTCCCAACCTTTACAGCAAGTGTGACAATAGGCTATATAAAAAGTATCATTCTCTCTCTTCCAGTAGCTTCAAGAATGTGCTTGTTTCCCTTGACTAAAGCAGCTTAGAAGTGGATTGTCCTGTGTTTTTGGTGTTTTAATTTCAGCTGCCCCTTCCACCATCGGGAGAAATGTGGTCCCTTTTAGGATAAGATCTGAGATGCAGTCCCGCCCAAAGAGGTCCCCCTACCTACCCATCAAGGTGTCTGAAACACCCACATTTAGATCTAACTGGAGAGGGAGGCCAGGTAACGTAGTAAAAAGAGCTTGAGCTTTGGGAATGAGACATGAATCTTGGGCATCATATTCCTCATACCACTTCCTTCTTCCTGAAGTCACAGTTACCTTGTCCTGCTGCCACCTATGGCAGCATCCTTGCTAGAATCTCTGAGCTGAAGCCCTGGGACAGCATGGCCTTCATGCCCTCTATGCCAGGCCTTATCCTTGCTGAGTTGCTCCTCCACTGCGACACTTGGATGAAATGCTACACTGCAGGATATGGTTTCTGACCTTCTCAGTGGCCACCAATGGTCTGCAATGACGGAGAAGTATACAGTCAGCTCTCCATGGAGTTGGACCAATGAGAAGGAAGAAACTTGAAAGAGATGGGCAGTGCATCCCCACTCTCTCTCCCTGCCATGGACCACTCTGAGATACAGTTTGTCCTTGCAAATCTTTTGCAGAAAGTCCCACATGCTGAGCAAGGACACCTGTCAGGTGACCTGCTGCATCTGCCAGCAGCTTGTGGTAAAGCAGTGGCCAGCACACTAAGGCATCTCTTTGCATCCTTTTGCTCCTTTCTTCACATGGGTTTTCTTCTCTCCTCTTTCTCACTGTCCTGGGCTTGCACTTCCCAAAGAGTGTTTACACTGCTCAAGCTCTGCTTTCTACAAGACCCAGACTAAGACATCTGGCTTGGAATTTGGATCTGCCCCTTGATAGGTGTGTGAGATTGAGCAAATTCTTCACATCTTCTAAAATGTCAGTTTTCTTCTCTGTAAAATAGGCATAATAACATCTATGTTTTAGAGTTCAGAAAAGTAGATATAATTGTATCAAGTACTTAGCACAGAGCCTAGTATAGATGCGTAGTGAGTGTTCAATAAGGGACAACTCCTCTTATTATTATTATTATCGTTATTATTATTTTTTTGAGACGGAGTCTTGTTCTGTTGCCAAGCTGGAGTGGAGTGCAGTGGCGCAATCTCGGCTCACTGCAACCTCTGCTTCCCAGGTTCAAGTGATTCTCCTGCCTCAGCCTTCTGAGTAGCTGGGACTATAGGCACCAGCCACCATGACACCACGACTGGCTAATTTTTGTATTTTTAGTAGAGACGAGGTTTCACCATCTTGGGCAGGATGGTCTCCATCTCTTGACCTTGTGATCCGCCTGCCTGGGCTTCCCAAAGTGCTGGGATTACAGGCATGAGCCACTGTGCCTGGCCCTTATTATTATCTTTATGGTTGCTGCTATTGTTGTTTGTGGTAGAAATGGCTAGCTGTCTCCAAAGATTTGGGCTCCCCCTCCACAGTGAAGAGTTATTGCTCAGAAGCCCTGCCCAGCCAGGAACTCCATTCCTCAACCTTTCTTGCATCTAGGGAAAGTCATGTGGCTAAGTTCTGGCAAATACAGCGTGGATAGAAGTGATGTAATGCCTCTTCCAGATGGGCTCATAAAATGTTCTTGCTGTGGTTTAACCATGTGCTGAAGATGGTGCAGCAACCATCAGCCTGGATCCCTGAATGGCTGTAGAACCGGCCCCCCACTGCCCACCTGCTCCTCCCCTCACTCTATCATTGAACTCTGTATGAACAAGGAATGAGTTCCCTTTGTGTTGAACCACCAAGAGTTTGGATCTTACCTGTTAAAGCAGCTAATACTACCTTAATAATTACATTGTTATTGCTGTTGTTCCTTTATTATTATTATTACTAATTATTATATTATTACTAATTATTATAAAATATAGAATAAGATCTCCCCTGAGAGGTCGTTTTCAGGCTTTTCTAGTGGTTAACTGTGTAGACTCTGGAGTTAGAATGCCTAGATGTGAATTCCAACTCCATCACTTAGCCCTGTGAATTACTTAAACTTTTTTATAAATAGGCATATGGATATTATGGGACTTGGAGAAAGAAATCTATATGAAGAATAGGAAAATGTCTGGCCCAGAGTAAAAGTTCAATAAAAGTTAACTACCACAACCACCATCTCTGCTATCACTGCCATCATCATCTCCATCTTCATCATCACCACCATCATTATTTATCAATGGAGAATCAGGCACTGGGTGAATGGGAGGTGGACTGTGGTCTGGTCCTGGGGTTGAAGAGAGGCATGCAGAAGATTGAGAACATGGTGCACAGGTGCAAAACAGACAGTCAAACACGGGAAGAGGAAATAAGGAATGTGGTCCTGAAGATAGACAGGGCCCCCTTTGAATTTGGTGACCAGAAGGCTACATTTTTCTGGCAGGTGGTTTTTTTTTAGTCCTACTGGCCAACAAAGATCAGAATACATCCTGCAGGTAGAGCACTGTGCTGGACACTGTGGGAGATACAGTGAAGAAGGAGCTGAGGGAGGGGACTCTGAACTCCTGGGAGGCACCAGGCATGGGACTAGGCACTTTATTCATGTTAACTTGTTTAATCCTCATCACAAACCTTATGAAGTTGCTATGATCCCCACTTTATAGATAAGGAAGCTGATACAAGGTACTTGATGGAATTATGCCATATTCACATAGTAAATTTTGGAGCTAAGATTTGAATTTTAACTGGGTAGGGACTCTGGTCTCTCGAGCCACATCCATTTGCCAAGGGTAATTCAGCAGAATGTCAAGATGTAGCTAGGAAAAAGCAGAAAGTGTTAGGAGACTGATACTTGCCCATTTCCACTAGCTGGATCTAGCTCTGTGGCTTTTGGCAGCCCTCTTTATTGTCTCTGGGCCTCTGATTTTTTTTTTTTTTTTTTTTAAATAAGAGAGAAAGGGAGATGGAGGGAAGTTACATGTGCCAGGTACCATATTAGGCTCTAAACAGAGCAACCATATCATTTAATCTTTCCAATAGTTTACAAGGTAGGTGATGTTATTATCCCCATAGTACAGGTGAGAAATACTGAGGCAGAAAGCGAGATTAAGTCACTTGCCCATTCTCTGTTGTAGACTCAACTTCTTAGCTATGTCATCCTGTCATATGTCCTTGTGTCAACAATGTCTTTGTGGTGCAAAGCCCAAGTCATTTTGCTTTACCATGCTGTGCATCTTCAAGACTTTTTCCAGATCTTAGTTTGCTCAGTCTCATCTATAGAATTTCTTCAGGAAACAACACAAGAAAAACAACGATTTGATTATCTAGCTCTACATTCACCTATCCTCACTTTCCCAGACTAAGGTAATGAAAGTGGAACCAAGTAGCCTCGTTTGAAGCACAGGATCAGGGATCTTAGTTCTCTTGGCTAGAAAACCCCTCCCTCCCACCACCAGAGAATCATAGCTATGGGTTCCTAGATGCCTCCATGTTTTTAAGGATTGGGGAGGAGCAATTTAAATACAAATTTTGCATCCTTTCTTCCTTCCCTCCCAGTTCCTTTTAGTATATGTTCTGTGACATTAACCAAGGCTCAGCCGACACAGAGAACAAGGCCAGAGGTTGTTTGGGTTTAAATGAAAGTTGACACAACTCAAGGTTTATCTGCCTCAGTGGGCAGCTCTCCAGAGAATGGAGTTTTTGGACATGTTGGGGAGTTTTCTGCCTCTTAATGAGCTCCTTCTAGCCTGCCAGGTGATAGCAGGGGGTTAGCAATTGCTTTAGGGGATTCGATAACAAGAATGAGGACTGCATCTCAGACGGTGTGCCTGCCTGCCTGCCTGCCTGCCGCCAGAGTCATCATTAATGCAAACAGCTGAACCGCTGAACTGCTTGGAGCACCTCAAATGTGGGAGCCAGAGCCTGGTGGGGAGGGAGAACCAGGTCATTGTAAAGGCCATTGTCCTTTTGAATATGACCATCCCATTACAGACTGGAGGTCTCATGACCCCCAAACAACAGTGTGGAACAGATGTTGATGTAGCCTGGGACCAGGGAAAGGGGAGCCAAGCGTCAGCCTGGTCTCTCTAGTGCCATGAAAGTCCTCCAGGCACCTGTGATTCTACTTCTCTCCAAGGAGGGGAGACAATAGTGAGGAAAAGAACATTGCATGAGGAAGTGAGGTTACTATGCTGCCTGCTGGACCAGAAGGGAGTTCTATGTATCCCCTCCCCGGAATCAAGAAGATTTTGCCCCACTCACAACTTGGGATACTGAGAGCCACTGTTGCTCAGAGGCCTGCGGTAAAAGAGGTTTATCTGCTTTCTAATCCTAACCTGAATCCTTTTCCAAATGAACAAAACTAGTTGGAAACATGATACTGCCAATCTCTTCCAGATTACTTGAGTCATCTCTGAAATTGAGTGGGCTGGTTCTTTTCAAGATAGATTCTCCATCAGTCTGTCCTATGAACCCAAATAATCATTGGCATTTGCACCTTGCTTCGTGGTTTCCAAAGCATTTCCACTCACCCTCATCTGAACCGGTTGTGTGGGGTGAAGGTTCAGAGCCTGGGCTCTGGGGTTTGGTAGAGTTGGTTTGATTCCAGCTCCACCACTTCCTGGCTGAGACACCAGGACAAACGTGCTTAACCTCAGCTTCCTGCTGTGGAAAGTGAGGATAGTAATTCCCACCTCACAGAGGTTTGGGGGAAGGCGAGACGATGCATTTAAAGCCCTTAGCTCACGGTCTAGCATTCAGTGAGCTGCTATTGTTATTACCCTGAATTCTTACAACACTATGACATAGGTGGGGTAAATATCAAGCACTCCTGACTTAGAATGTAAGCCTGCCTCATGGGCAGAGACCGTATCTCTTTCACTTACCCACAGAATAAGTCACAGAAGGTCCCTTTCTGGACCGGGTAGAACTGGGTTGACTTGTAAGACGTGCTGCTTCTGGAGAAGTGCTGCTTCTGTCTTCCTTAGCCTTGACGTTCCATCAGCAGGTCCTTCTGCTGGATTCTTGCAGTGAGATATGAGAGATGAGGCACAGGGACCCCCGCCTCCATGCTCACCCCCAGCTCCCAATGAGCAGCTCAGAACACACAAATCCAGACCCTCCCACCTTCCTCTCTCTCCTCTGACCAAACACGCACCCTGGTTTAGCTTGAGCTGTTGCCCACCACAAGTGGTTAAAGGAAGAAGGGTGCTGTCATGGCCCAGCCCTGCCCTCAAGGGACACACAATCTGGTAAGGGAGGCAGACATGGAAACAGACTATAATAATTAGGGAGCTATAAAAGCACCCCACCCTGTGCCCCTACCCCACCCCCCATCACACTCCCCCTGAATTCTTCCTTTGCCCTCAGTCAGGCGCAAGGTGGGGGCCAGCCCTGGGAGGTGGCGGTCCCTGCCTGAGGAGGTGTGGGCAGGCAGGCTCAGCATAGAAGTGCTTTCCCTGAGCACAGCAACCCTCCCCGTGGGGTTGGTACCAATGTATTCTGCCTGTGGCTGTTACTTCTCAGCTCCCACCTTTCAAACTAGACCAGGTTTCAAACCTGAGTGTTACCTTAGCGCTCTCAGCAGGCTTGGCTCTCTCATTGCGTGGATTGGAATATAAGCATTATCCTCAGAAGCAACATCAGAAATGCAGATGGCCAGGACATCCTGGGAAGTCTGGCTCCTCCCAATCCCAAGTTCATCTTATACTGGGATCCTGGCACGTGGTTCTTCATGGGGAGACCATTTGCTATTTAGTCGGACATTTTGTTTTACGAGGTCTGGGCTGTAAGTATTCATTATGTGAACTTGAGTTAAGTTCCCTAACCTCTCTGATTCTGAGTTTCCTCATCTGTAAAATGGGATTACATTCCTTACTTCATATTATGAGCATTGAATGCAATGATATATGTAGGGCATGCTGGATATTGCCTAACATATAGTTAGCACTTAATAAATGCCATCCGTTTTCTCTTTTGTTCACGTAGTGATTAGTTTGATAAATAAAGACTCTTTGGCAATGAAGTTATGGTCTGTGAAGGAGGGAGAGAGGAGAGCCAGAAAGTCAATGTGCTCTCTAAGAGTGATTGCTAAGGAAATAGAGCTGTTTAGAGTGCAGTTATTTATTTGTAAAATAAACCACCCAGTATTCTACACAGTGTGAGACTATTTTTTTTTTAAACTGTGAAATGCAATTTGTATAGCATGATCTATGGATTATTAAATTCACTTAGCCTTGAGCAAGGCCTGAAATTGAGCGATTATTTTTGGTTCTCCACACTCCCTCCCTTCCAGCCCCAGCTCCTGGTTCTGTTAAGCCATCATGAACCTGGCCTCCAGTTTGGGGAGCATGACCCAGCTGGGCTCTGAGCTGAGGAAAGACAAGTGTGGCCTGGTCCACAGTGATATAAGTGATGTAGAGGGCTCTTGAAACACTCCCCAAGAGAAGATTCTGACGAATGTGGAGGCCTGATTTGAAATGTGGGAGCCAAGCCCGGAAGGCGGAGTTTGCAGTGAGCTGAGATCCTGCCACTGCACTCCAGCCTGAGCGACAGAGCGAGACTCCATCTCAAAAAAAAAAAAAAATGTGGGAGCCGAGAAGGAACAGCCACAGGCCCACAGGCAGAATGCATTGGTACCAACCCCACAGGGAGGGCTGCTGTGCTCAGGGAAAGCACTTCTATACTAAGCCTGCCCATACCTCCTCAGGCAGGGACCGCCACCTCCCAGGGCTGGCCCCCACCTTGCACCTGACTGAGAGCAAGGGAAGAATTCAGGGTGTGTGTGTGTGTTGTGGGGGTGGGGGGGTAGGGGCACGGGGTGGGGTGCTTTTGTGACTTCCTAGTTATTATAGTCTGTTTCCATGTCTGCCTCCCTCACCAGGTTGTGTGCCCCTTGAGGGCAGGGCTGGGCCATGAGAGCACCTTCTATGTCCGCAGTGCCTGGCCCAGAGCAAGTCAATGGCTGTGCTAAAAACAACAACTGTGGACTCCGGTGACCCCCCTCCCACCCCCTGGCCCTTCCTTCTGCAAATCTTTCTGGTGCTCTGCCCTCCACCTGAAGATTCGTGGCTTCATTCGGTTATGGTGAGAACTAACCAGACATCCATAGCAAAGGGCAGCAAAGAGCCTTTATTCACTTTTCTAGGGAAAGACATGACAGGAAGGGATGCCGATCTGAAAACTGTGTTATTTTCAATTCACCACTGGGACCTCATTTTAAAAAATGAACTGCCTGAGTGTTTGGAATGGGGGAAAAGACCTTCTGGGACAACAGTGACAGCCTGAACAAGGAATTTGGAAATCCATGTACCACTGTACAGTGGAGCTGCAGGGGTGAGCAGCCGCATGGTACACATGGATTTTTAAAACCCCTCTTCTGAGCACCTGGGGAGTGGCTCAACACCTAATTTCCCTGCACAGCGTATGATTTGACTCCTCAGTGGTGACAGGTCACTTAAAATCAGCAGTATTCAGACCTGCAGGGCCACCTATTCCCTTCCCCTCTCATTTTTCTCTTTGTCAGTGTCTAAAGACCAGCTCCTTGAGCCATGGAGTGCTGGATGAAAACCATTTGGTAGCAGGAAAATGGCTAGGTCTATCCTTTTCTCACCGGAACCAGCCTAGGCAAATCACTGGTGCTAAGCCCTGAAGTCATTTGTTACATCCTGTAGCATGAATGGCAAAAAACTTTCCAAATCCATTAATGGCTTATTCAAAACAGCACATAATTCAGAACCTTTGCCATTTCCCAGCTGACAAAAATGTCCTATTAATAAAAATATCAGAAACCACACATGTATAGTTTCACTTTGACTTTTGAATTAATGTCTGATCTCCTGAGTTTTAAATTAACAAGATTTCCCTGCATAACCTATACAACTTCGTCATTCACAACTAAATCAAGCAGCTGGGTTGGCTTAATCAGTTTGGTTTGGCAGGGACGCGTTTGTGTAGAGTTTTCACCAAATGGCATGGATTTTCTTCCCTACAGAACAGGGTTGTGCGTGTGACAGGCTTGTGCTTGGTGTTTCTGAAGCCTCCTCATTGAAGCCACCTGTGCATTATGGTGCCAACTGGTGGGTGATCCTGTGGGTCTGCTGGGTGAGGTGGAGGTGTGTAGCAGCTTCTGAATGAGGTACAGAGTTACTTTTAGGGAGGATGAAACAACTTGGAAGCTTCTGATCAGAGTGGCCACTTAGTAAATCACCACCCAGTAGGGACTTCTCTGATTACCTTCCCATAATATACTGGCATAGAGAGCTTTAGCTGTCCCCAGGTTAACTCCACCCTGGGTCACATAGTATGAAAGAAGCTGACGGGACAGAGGGACATAGCTCTGTCTGCCCCTTGTTTGTATCTGCATCCCTCCATCTCCCCGTTGTTCCAAAACCGAGTCCCAAGCCTGCTGCCTATTGTCTCCACCTCCTCTCATTTCTCTGCCCCTCCCTCATTCTCTTCTTTCATGACTCCAAGATATTCCTAGAGATTTACTTGTATCCCCCAAGCAGCACAGAGTTCGTCACATCACAGAAAAGGAAGCAGATCTCACCCTAATAGATTCATTGTCCGTCTATACCTCTCCCCAAATGGTACACATTCTCTCTCCTTCCTTCCCTGCATCCTTTCCTTCTTTCCAACAGATATTTATTGAGGACCTACTATTATTCAGCTCTGTGCTGGGCTCTAAACAAACAGCAGTGGGGCTTACTGTCTAAAGCTGGAGACAGAGATTTTAAAAACCAAGTTCGCAAATACTAAAATAATTACAGGTGACTTGGGTATTGCACATGAGAAGTGTAGGATGCTAGGAGGACAAGTCACAGTGAGACCTGGTCTGGAGAATTGAAAGGCCTGCCTGTCCTGAGGATGTTTTAGCTGGGACTGAACATAAGTCTGAGTTTCCTAGCAGGAAAGAAGGGAAGAGGGAGAGTTCTAGAGGAAGGAACAGCCTCACAGCTTGTGCAAAGGCCCTGAGGCAGAAAGGTGTTAAGCAAATGTAAGGACATGGAAATAGAAGCTGGCTGGAGTCTAGAGAGTGACAGAGCAACAGCAGCTGCTGAGGTGGGCAAGGACAGATCAGCAGGGTCTTGTAGGCCAGACCAAAGGTGGGTGTCTTTATCCTAAGTGGGAGAGGAGGCATTGAAGAGGATCAACAAGAAATGTGTCTTTACCATGAAGTATCCTCATAACTACGGTATCAGCTGTTTCATCCTCACTACGTGGTTCACGTCATTATCCTGTAACTATGCAACACCTGGTCAGTTCTATTAGGTTACAAAAGTGTGTGTGTGTGTGTGTGTGTGTGTGTGTGTGTGTGTGTGTGTAAAGATTAATATTTCTTCTTCATTTCCTTTCCAGTCTTTTCACCTAAGTGGATAACCCTCCAGAGATCAGTTGAACTAAAGGCAAATTTAAGAGATTGCTTTTAAAAAATTAAGAATCAAATAGTTATGGAAGAACTGCCATGTGCCAGGTATCATGTTGGGCCCTGACATATGGAGACGAATGAGGAAGATAAAGACACAGCTGACAGGTTGGGAAGATGACCATAAACAAATGACCATATTGACCATGCCCTCTCTGTCTTCCAAAAAGACCTCTAGGACAGGTTCCTTGTCTAGCCACCATCCTCTTCCATAGCCCACTGTCTGGGTGAGAAATCCTCCTCTCTCTTCCACAGTCCTGTACTGATGCTCCTTGATTTACCGTTGGGTTACATCCCAATAAACCCATTGTGAGTTGAAAACATCCTAAGTCAAAAATATGTTAATACACCTATGCTGCTGAATATCATAGCTTAGCCTTGCCTACTTTAAATGTGCTTAGAACACTTACATTAGCCTACATTTGGGCAAAAGTATCTAACACAAAGCCTATTTTATAATAAGGTGTGAATATCTCATGCAATTTTTTTGAATACTGTATTCAAAGTGAAAAACAATGTATGGGTACTCAAAGTACTGTTTCTAGTGAATGTGTATTGCTTTTGTACGATCATATAATCAAACCATTGTAAGTCAGGGACCCTCTGTATTTCGACTTTCATAATAACAATAAGATAGCTAACACTTAAATAGTGGTTACTATATGTAAAAGCTTTTTACATGTATTAATCCAATCCACAACAAACCTTTGCTATATCCCCATTTCACAGATGTTGAAATTGAGGCTCAGAGAAGTTAAGTAATTCCATCAAGATCACATGAACCCAAAATCACATGGCTGGTAAGTGCGAGTTAGGGTTTGAACCCAGGCAATCTGACTCCAGAGACTGGGATCATAACTGGGATTGCTACATGACATTGCTCATATTCAACTGTCCACTGCTCTGAGTTCCCCTCTCAATTTAGACAGCAGACACCTCGTGTTTTTTGTGCCCTGTAGATCCCCAGTGCTCAGCACTGTGGCTGGCTCATCATAGGTGTTCAAAATAAACAGGTGGATCCCAGCTGAGTACAAATGAGGCAAAGCAAAATACTGGGCAAGATATGGGGCCCAAGGAAGGAGAAAGCCTTTCAGGATTGGAGGCACCAAGAAAGGATGCGTGTCCTTAAGAAGGGCTATTCTTGGGACTCTGACAAAGTGCTACCGGGCAGCAAGATTTAGATCAATTCAGGAAAATTAATCTTTAACCTTAAACTGATGTTAGAAATGTGTTTAAGGGATCCCTGACTATGCTAACAGTTTTTGGAATGTGAATTTCTTCCCTAGACACCTTCTGGAGCCCCCATGGGCTGCCTGGATCAGCCTGAAATGTATGTCATCTATGTGGCCTTGCCCAAACTGCCCCATCTGCTCCTGAACCTGCAGGGGCTTGGAGAGCAGTCTAACCTGGCCTTGGAGCGGAGGCCATGTCTCTCTGCACAATCCTCAGGGCCCCCACAGCTCTCTCCTCCTCCTGAAATCCTTCCAGCCATGAATCTAAACCCTTCGCTGATAAATCCTTTATCCTTTTAAATGACTCTGTTAGGTTTTGTCTCCTGCTCAAGGCCAGAGTCAGCCCTTTAGAAAAAGGAAAGAGGCCATCCAGAGCCATCCATTGGCCTTCCTGTCACTATTGTGCCTTAATTGAATGCCTTTATGTTGGGGGAGGCCATTACGATCATTTTTCCTTATTAATTGCCCATCCATTTTTGCCTCTGAATAGCCTTCTTGGGCAATTTTGGACACCATCCGCTGCCACCGCCTTGGACGTAGATTCTGCTCACGGAGATGTGCTGGCTCCAATGAAACAATGGTTACCGGGCTCTGAGTCTGCAACTTAAAGTGAACACTCCCCGTCCCTGGAGGCATTGTGATTCAGAGCACTGAGAGGTGAAGGCTGGGTCAGACTGCAAGTCCCAAGTTGGAGCACAGGGAAGCTGGAAGAAGGGCTGTGTCTCTAAATGGTTAGGTTTCAGCAGCTCAGGGTTGTTTTGATGATACTGGGGCCTGTGGTGTCTGCAGAGGGAAAGCAGTCCGCCTGACCTCATAGGGTTGGGGGCCACAGTCAGCTGCAAATAGCTGCCTCAATGCTGGCTGAAAAAGTAGGTCCCCAAGGGGAGCTAAGAGGACACAGCCTGTCTGTGGCTTCTATTGAAGGAGAATGGATGTTTTCTTCAGGCCCATCACCCTGAGCATTGGAGGTTAATGTTAATTGACATTTACTGTGTGCTGGGCCTGGGGCTTTAGACGAAGTGTCCTGGACTGGAAGATCCCTGAGGACAGGGATCCTGTTTGTTTGCAAGTTTGTTCATTCTGAGCATTCTTATTGACTGCTCACTGTTTGCCAGCACTGTGCTGAGCTGGGAGGCAAGACAGACCCAGTCCTTCTGTCATGGAGCCTCCAGGAAGGTGGGCCAGGCTGATGATGGAACAGACCAGAGACTGTAACCGTGAATTAATGGGACACGTAACTGAAAGTAAAGGAGGTCAATGGCTAAAGATAATATTTCTAAGGAAAGGGCAATTGATTTGAGAAGGAGCTAGCAAGGGGAGTGTTGGGAGGTGGGAGCACCTTCCAGAAAGAGAGAACAGCATGTACAAAGGTCCTAAGATAAGACAAAACTTTGTGTCTTCAGGGAGCAAAAAGAAGGTCCTGTGGCTAAAACAGTGGTTCTTACTGTGGGTCTCTGGGCCAGCAGCAGCAGCATCACCTGCGAACAGGTTAGAAATGCAAATTCTCAGGCCCCAGCCCAGATTTACTGAATCACAGACTCTGGGGGTCAGGGGTAGGCAGCAAGCCTTCCAGGTAATTCAGATGTACCTGAGAGCTGGAGAACCACTGGACTTAAGCAAGAGGCAGAGTGACTTTAGAAGACTCAGAGAACTGGTAGGTCTTGGTAGGGCCAGGTTGGGTCAGGTAACTGCCATAGCGAGATTAGATTCTAAGTGCAATTGGAAGACACCAAAAGAGTTTCAGCACTTGGGTGATATAATGTAATATTTATTTACAAAAATGTTTATGGCTGCTATGTGGAAAAGTGATGGGTTGGAAGGTTGGAGACCAGCTTGGAGTCTGTTTACCATATCCCTAGCACCTAGAACCACAAGTAGTATATAGTAGGTGCTCAGTAGCTGTTTACTGACAGAATCATCACATTTTAGGCCACTATATGCTCTCATAGCACCCTGTAAATTCCATTCATAGTATTTGCTACATATGAAATTGAATGAATTGTACATAATCTCTCTCCCATTCTGCTGTAATTTCTACAAGGCAAGAATAGCTACTAGATATAATGCCTGGCACTTAGGGCCTCAGTGAATATTTGTTGAATGAATAACTGAATATAACCACAGCATCTCTATGAATGGGCACTATTATTATGCCATTTTACATGACAAGAGGTAAGTAAATTGTCTCAGGATCCCAGAGCTAGGAAGTGGAGGAGCTAGAATCAGAACTCATGCTCTTCAAAACTATGATAATTCCTCCCTCCTTTGTGCATTTACCTCTGTGCTATTTAAGGAAAACCATCAGTAGAATTCCAGGGTAATGTCTGTGCTGGCGAAACAGTCCCAGAAATTGCTCTTGAGCAACGCACCAGAACCTACTGCATCAAAAGGCTGTGGATATTTGGGGGCCTGCCCGGTTGCCATGGTGTTTGACCTATAGAAGGCAGAGGCATCCTTCCTCCCCAGCTGTGGCTAAAGCCTGACCGTGCATATTCATGGTGGGGCCAGCCCTGCAGAGGGGGAGGGAAGGAGGCCAAGCCAGGCAGCACTAGCTTCTTCTGCTATTCAGGGTTTGAGCACCAAGGAGGTATAACAATGTCATCCAAGCAACCTGGATTGCTCCCACCAGCTCCTCCAAGACAGTTGAGGACCCAACTCTGAAAAACATAACCGGAAGCCCCTGATTTACCAATGGAAAGAGGAAAGTAAAAGAGCGTGCATTTAAAGGATACCTGTGATATACCCAGTGTTCCTGGGATATTCCTTCATGTGATCTTGAAGCAGCCATCTAAAGGGCACTGACTGTGGGCAGGTGCCATGATAGATGCACAGTCACTGTTTCATTGACTCCTCGAAGTCCTTCATGAAATAATGACTATTAATAAGTAGTGTCTATTGTGTGGAACAACCTTGCAGAGTAGCTATTATTATCCCTACTTCACAGATAAAGGGTGATGGGCCTAGAGAAAATGTCCATCCTCCCTAAATAGGAGCCACAGAGAGGCTGTGTTCTCACAGCTCCTCCCAATACCTACTTTCTTTCTTGGCCAGCATAGAGGCAGCTGTTTACAGCTGGCTTTGGCCCCCAACCCTACAAGGCCAGGTGGACTCCTTTCCCTTTGCAGATGCTACTGACCCCAGCATCATCAAGTCAACCCCAAGTCACTGAAGCTTAACTTTTTGGAGGCTTGGAGAACAAATAAATAACATGTCTGACCTCCCAGGTAAAATTGTTAGAGGTGGGATTTGAACCCAGGTCGTCTGACCCCAGAGCTCATGCTCTCTACCCCATTCTCGCTCTCCCTTTGGTGCAGTTTCCTGTTATGGCTGGACTGCTCCTTCCCAGGACTAGACTCTCCTGGACAGATGCTGTCATCTGCTTAACAGGCTGATGTGAGGGAGGCAAACAGGAGATGAACCCAAATCCCTTCAGACTAGAGGTCCTGTGGTGCCATACTTGGACATGCCTTTTGCTTCCCACCTCTTAGGACTCGGCTCTTCTGTAAAGTACGGTCAAGGCAGGGTGGGAGTAGTTAACCTATTAGATCTTTTCATTTATTTTTAAATACTTAGTGAGTTTTCATTATTTACTAGACCCTGCTCAAGGCTCAGGGATACAGGGATAAGTGAGACAGACAACATCTCTACTCTCATAGAGTTTATACTCTAAATGGAGAAGAAAAACAATAGCAAAATTTAAAAGGAAGAAAACAACAGCAGCAATGTCATTTTAAGGAAGTAATGATAAATACTGTGAAGAAATCAAAATAGAGTAATGTGAGAGGAAATGCAGGGTTGACATACTTGGCTAATTCACATTGGGTGGTCAGGGAACACATCTCTAACAAGGTAGCTTGTAGGCAAGAAGGAGCCAGTTGTGTGAAGACCTCGGGACCTGAATGTAACGCAGAGGGGACAGCAAGTGCAGATGCTCTGAGGCAGGATCTGACCTAGTGAGGACGAGAAAGAGAACAATGGTCAGGGCTGGGAAGAGGGATGGAGGAGGGGCAAAGCCAGATTGTGGAGGGCCTTATTGACCATGGTAAGGAGTTTAGGTTGAATTTTAATTAGGATGAGAAGCCATTTGAGAGAGTTAAGCAGGAATGACACCCTCTGATTTGCATTTTTTAAAAGGTCACTAGGGCTGCCACATGAAGTGAAGGGTGAATTGTAGGGAGTGGGAGAGAGGAGAACAGGAAGGCCAGTCATCCCTGCAGGAGATGCCAGCCTGGGGTGTCACCAGCAAAGTGGAGAAAAGGAGACAGATTTTGTAACAAGTTTTGGGGCACCACCGTCCTGGGCAGAGGGGAGAACAGAGATGCACGTGACAAAGCCCCCACCCTGAAGGGTCTTGCAGATGAGTTGCAAACTCATGTTTTGCCCCCAAGAAATAATTACAAAGAATTGAAGAGAATGAGGCACAGAAGTGGGTTGCTGGGACATGCACGGAATAGGGCACAAGGAGTTAGAGAAGAAAGATGGCAGGGGGTCCTCCCTTCCAAGCCCAGTTGCCACTCCTTGCCTTTCTTATGGCCTCAAAACCCCCATCTGGTCCCCCTCCTATGATGGTTTGGCAGCAGGCAAGTTCCCTATATGACAGGCATCCTGCTTTCACCAGTCTGCAAGCCCAGCCAGACGACTGCATCTGGGAAATGGCAGTCTCACTGGCGGAGGAGGTCCTGAGGAGTTCTTTGGGCCTGGTGCCCATAGCTGCCATCCTCCTGAAGCATGTGGATGAGAGGTCAGCCCAGTGACAGCCACACTGTAGCAGGGAGTAGGCAGTGCTTGTGCTGGGTGACCAGCCAGCTGTGGCTGCTCCCAGAGCCCCTTCCCACAGATGTCTGGTCAAATGTAGAGGAAGCATTAGGTGGGGGATCCTTTACTTGCACACGGAATGATTCACCAAAGCCTTCCTGTGCCTAAGCCACACATTCATGTGAAATATGATAAAGTCTAGCCATGCATATGCCTTGGGAAATTGCCCAGGACCATTCCATGGCTCTCTGTCTCCTACAAATGAATTGTGATAATAGCTAAGATTTAGATTGTACCTACTATGTGTCAGGCACTTGTCTAAGTGCTTCATCTTTGTTAACTTATTTAGTCCTCATGATGACCACCTTTTATAGAAAAGGAAACCGAGGCACAGAGAGGTGAAGACTCCAAGTCCCAGAGCTAGTGAGAGGTAGAGTCAGGATTTGAACCCAAAAAGCCTTACTCCTGAGCCCATGCTTTTAACCAGTTCTCTACACATGTGAAGAATAATGCTCAGACTCCTGTGCTAGCATGGGGTGCCCCTTGGCCCCTCATACCACCTTTCTAGTCATACCTCCTACCTCTCTGAGGCAGTCCTTCATGGCTGTTGAGGTCAAATGCTGAGATGGATGAGTGTGGATTCAAATCCCAATCTGCCACCAACTACCTGTGAGACTGTGCAGGCCACTGTTGCAGAGACAGCATGAGCCACAGCAGGGAGTCTTGAGTGTGCGTGAGCACAGGTGGTGATGTGGTGCTTGGGGCTGGGGAGAATAAAAGGAGATGAGCGTGGGAAGGCGGGCTGGGGTCCTTGTTGCTCAGGCCTAGAAAATGCTAAAGGCAGGGAAGAGCTACATCAATTGTAACTTCTGGTTATAAGGAAATTTCCAGTTGTAAGTCATAGAAAGCCCAATCTATACAGGCTTATGCATAAAGAAATGCATTAGCTTGTGTCATTGAATTGACCGGGGGTAGCTGTCTTTGCAGGCCAGGCTAGGTCCAGGGGCAACACACTATGCTTTTAAGACCTTGTCTTTTTGCATCTTTCCTCTCTGTGAGCTATGTTCTTAGATACTGGTGGCAAAGTGGCTGCCAACAGCCTTATGGTCAAAATCCTCAGTCTCCCAGAACAGAGAAAGTTTCTGCCTTAGCCAGAGTCCTGGGATTAGCTCTGAGTGGATTGAACAGACTTCACTCAGGTGATTTCCTTATACCTAACCCAATCACTGTGGCCTGGGGGAGGTGATCATCTGATCAGCCAGGCCTGGTCATGAACTCCCTCTAAGGTAGAATGAGTGGAGGACAGTCATCTCTATTACCAGGAGAAGAGCTAAAGGGTGGCAGCAAGTAGGACAGATGTTTCCATAGAGCCATCTAAGATGTTCAAGGAATGGAGTGGGATAATCAACCAGTATTCTAGAGAGAATGCTATGATGGTTGTGTGGAGGTGAGTTTGAGACAGAGGATATAGGGGGTGTCTACTTGTGCTAGAAAAGATGCATTGGGTATAAATACTGGAAAAGCCTTTTGGAATCAGATTGAGGAGCCAGGGTAAGGAATTTAGGCTTTTCTCTAGGTCTTGGGAGCCACAGAATGTTTTTGAGCAAGAAAATGCTATAGCCTGAGTTGTGTCTTAGGATGATTAATACTGCAGGAGCAGTTAGGGTGGATTGCAAGTGGGGAGAAGATGCCCTTCCAAGACTTATCAGCATGGTGTAGTGGATAAAGCAAGAAGTTTAGACTTGGAGAGATTAGGATTAAAATCCTTGTTCTGCTACTTTTTGTGTATCTCTGGGCAAGATACTTAACCTTTCTTTGCCTCAGTTTTCTCATCTGGAAAATGGGATAATAACCTGAAAGGAATAGTGTGATTTAGAAAATGTCTTTAGAGCACTCAGCATGGTGTTTCACACATAGTCAATACACAACAAATACTAGTTTCTTTCCTTTTTCCTTTCTCTTCTTGTGATCCAGGGACCTGATTCCACTGAAGAGTTTGAGGAAGTAGCTGCTGACTTAGAAAGAATGTGGGGTTGGGCTTTGAAGTCAGAGATCTGGGTCAAATCCAGCTTTCTTATTTACCAGTTCTGTGATTTTGGACAACTTAATTAACCTCCCTGAGCCTCTTTTCACATTTGAAAATTTTCCTTTATAATCCCACTTTACCTAACAAATAAAGTACTCAGCATGTTGCCCACCTGGCACATGGTGGGTGACCCCCAAATAGTAGTTATTAGATTTCATCATTTAAAAAATTCCTTTGGTAGCTTCTTCCCTTGCGCTTCCCAGGTGAGCAAACTATCGCAAGGACAAAAAACCAAACACCGCATGTTCTCACTCATAGGTGGGAATTGAACAATGAGAACACTTGGACACAGGGTGGGGAACATCACACACTGGGGCCTGTCGTGGGGTGGGGGGAGGGGGGAGGGATAGCATTAGGAGATATACCTAATGTAAATGGGTGCAGCACACCAACATGGCACATGTATACATATGTAACAAACCTGCATGTTGCGCACATGTATCTTAGAACTTAAAGTATAATAAAAAAAAATTCCCTTGGGTTGGAGGGAATCCAAGATGAACTTCCTAGATAAGTAAAGATCTCATCTGGCAGCCCTGGGGTAGATGTTTTCCTTTGCCTGCTAGGTGGGGTCCTGTACACTCATCCCCTTCTACATGCAATAGACAGAGTTGAGACATAGAGCATGCTTCTGGTGGGATTCATACTTCCAGGTCCTTAGAATTAAACTCAGGTCTGATTTTCCAGGAGGGGACTATTAGCACTGCAGCAGCTTCCGTCTACAGAGTTCAGGTGCTGCAGTTGTAATTTGTAACCAGCACTTTCCCATTTGGCTCCTTTGTGGCCATCTGGTCCCCTTAGTGGAGATCTGTTTTGTTGGCAACTACAGTGCTGAGTAAATGCCACGGGAAAGTTGAAATTTACTCACCAGAGCTCAGTGCACCATGGAGATTCCCTTCTCAGCCTGCACAGAATGATCATCTCAGACCCCGCCTCCCCTCTCCCTGGTCCATTGCCAACACTCCTCCACAGGGATTTTTATAGTGCTACGATTATTTTATTGCCAAGAATCAGAGTAATTATAACTTTCGGAGGGATTTCCTAGGAAAAAATGAACTTGGGTTTATGCATAAGCACATGTGAAAGAAGAGGTTTGGGACTTGTGCGTTTTATGTGGTTTTAGGCATTAACGTGAGTTTCATTTCACTTAAAATACTTAATAAGTTTCTACCCACTGTGTAATTTGTTAATAAGGATGATGATGATGATAGCTGCTGTTAATTGAGAACCTGGTATGCAACAGCCAGTAGGCCAGGTATTTTACAAGCATCTCTTCTGGTCAGTCCAACTTGGAAGGGACCGTTTAGATCATGTTTCTTTTCAAATCATAGCTTGAAATCCATTAGTGAGTCATGAAATCAACTTAATGGGTCAAAACTAGCATTTTAAAAATGAAATAGGACAAAATTACATGGAACAAAATGGAGTAGCGAGTATCAGAGAGTATTTTGAGAATAAAGAAGAATGTTTTATGAACCTTATATCTCGGTTATGAACAGATGTGTGTGTGTGGAAACTAGACTGTGCTGGAGTGCAGTGGCGCGATCTCGCCTCACTGCACCCTCCGCCTCCCGGATTCCAGCAATTCTCCTGCCTCAGCCTCCTGAGTAGCTGAGATTACAGGCACCCGCCATCACACCTGGCTAATTTTTTGTGTGTTTTTAGTAGAGACGCAGTTTCACCATGTTGGCCAGGCTGGTCTCGAGCTCCTGACCTCACGTCATCCACCCGCCATGACCTCCTATAGTGCTGGGATCATAGATGTGAGCCACCGCACCCAGCCGAAAAATAAATTTCTTAATATGAGTTGTGCTGAAAGGTTTGAAAGCCACTGGCTTAACTGAGTGGTTCTCAAACTTCATCATGTATCATAATCACCTGAAGGGCCTATTAAAACACAGAATACTAGACTCTATCCCCAGAGTTTCTGATTCAATAGGTCTGGGTAGGGCCTAAAATTTTGCATGTCTAACAAGCTTCCAGGAGGTACAACTACTCCTAATTCCATACCACATTGGAAAACCACTGGCCGAATTATTCCTATCTTATAGGTGGGGAAGCTGAGATTCAGAGAGAGAATGAAAGTCACCCAGGGTTCACAGCTGGTGTAATTAAGAGCTAGGATTCAGACACAACGTGCCACCAAAAGAGTAAACTATGCTATGCCCACTTTGGTTTTAGAGATAAGCTATCTTCAATGAGTGAATCAGCAATAATTCCTCTCTCTATGTTTCATGTATGCTTTTGTATTTCATCTCCAAGTCATATATAAACTGCCTGAGATAGAAGAAGCACTGGAGCTTACAAGGCCAAAGCTCATAATATTTGGATGAGGACCTAACACCCAGAATGGGGTAGTGATGACCAGGTTTGAGTAGCACAGGTTTGAGGAAGAGCATCCTTAGCCTCCATCAGTCTTTGAGAGACTCCCAACCTCACTCTGTCTACTCCTTCTTTTGTTCTCCTCTCTATAGACACCTGAGTCTTAGTTGGAGTCTTGATACGTGCGTGCTAGGGTTCAGAAAGATCCTGAAGCCAAGAGAAAGCCTCACTGCCCAGAAATTTTCCCTATATCAGCTCTGTTTCCAGGTGGGCCTCTACAGAGTCCAAAATTTGGCACTTTCTGGGCTGAGGTATTCAGTATAGTATTCAGAGGATACTTCTTTTCTTCGATAGTAACTGAGCTGAAAGAGCAATAGCTATGGGCTTAGACAGAGCTGGGTCAAATCCTGTGTCCATTACTATGTGATTCTGAGCCATTTACCAAATTATTTTCCAGGTCTGGATTTGTTGTCTTTTATATAAGACTCCAAATATCTATAACTTCATAGAAATATTTTGAGGATTAATAATGCAAATAAAGCAGCATGGTGTTAGCTTGGTATTTAATGGGTCCTAAATAAGTAATAGAGATCATGTTCTTCATCCACTCACAAATATTTATCAAGCACCTACTATGTTTCAGGCATTGTGCCGTGTCTAAGAAAAATACAAAGTTGCCTTCGAGCAGCTCACAATCTATTGCTAAACTGGCCTACCCGTCTCCACTCTAATCCCATGCCTGTGTCAGACATGGTTAATCAATTGTGGTATCATTTCACACTGAGCTCAATGTGCAACTTTAGCCTCCTTCTCCATACAGCCATTCAGACAGCACTGCCAGGCAGATGGAGTGAGCACAGACTCCTAACTTCTTTGCTTACCTTAGTTTGGTGAGAGAAACCCAGAAATGGACAATTACTTTGGTGAGTGGCCAATGCCACGATAAGGGAAAGCAGAGGTCCCCAGGAGCTGTGTGAGGGCTGCTAAATTTTCTGGAGAGGGTGTGGTGTCTAACCAGAAAAAGCTGAGTCTGGAAGGACAAATAGTAGTTAATTATGTTCAGAGGCGAGCTGGTGATGAGGGAGAAGGGCAATCCAGGCAGGGAATACAAGGTTTTGGAGGCAAGAGGGAACAGGGAGCACTTGGGGGAACTGGAAGGACAGAGTGTGGGGGCAGGGGCTGGGGAGAGCTGACACAGTGGCAGTAGGGAAGGGCTGGGCTGGGGGTCCTTCCTGGCCATGCTGAAGTCAGGGGACCCTCACCATGCCCCAGGGAGCAGGCAGGTGAGTGTCTGCCATGCTGCACCCGGAAAGAAGGTTGAACTGATACAGATTAACCTGGAGAAAAGAAGCCAATAGGCAAGAAATGTTTCTCCTCTGTGTGAAAATCCTCGAATTCAGTGAAAATATTTAAGGGATAATGGAGGCATTTCTCTATTTCATACGGTAGTAATCCAGGTCCCTCAGGATCAAGCGCAGAACCTGATTAGTGCTGGGCCAGAGCAGCCCAGAGCACCCGTTTCCATCACGAGCTGACTGCAGGCTACACTCTAGTGGGACTGTTTGTTTAAAAAAATGCCATCCCTGCTTTAAAAACCTGTCTTTCTCCCTGAGCCAGAGCTCTGTTGCTATTGTGAGGGGCTGGGGCCCGGAAAAATAGCTAAGGCCACACTCTTGGGGGTCATTGGCTTTGAATTTTAGCTGCAGAAGTTTCTCGTTAATAAGCTTTAGAGTTTCAGGAATATGAAAGAAGTGAGAGGGGATACAGGATAGATCCTGCTGATGAGAGCAGAATGAAGCAAACAGGCAATATCCCTCTAAGAGAGGGCCTGGCATTCAGACTTGTCCTACTCCTGGGCAACCTTGGGCAAGTCCCTTCTCCTCTTTAGGCCTCAGTTTTCTCATCTGCAGAATGGAGAAGTGGGAATCACACTATCCAAATTTCCTTTCATCTATAATATTCCTTGTTTAGACAGTGGTTGCCCAGGAGATGTGGTTCATAGGGATTTCAATCAGCAAATTTGTCAGGCTCTGTCTGTTCTCATCTGTCAGAGGGATGTGCCTTGTTAACATGCCTTGTTCAAATTTGCTGCTGTGATTGGAGACAAACTCGTGCAAAAAGGTTAGGCCTTCCTGGCAGGCCCACACTTGAAAATGGACTGCATCCCTACAGTTTGCATTTAGGACTTTTGTGTTAGACTCAGAATGCACTTTTCAGGGAGCATTTAATTTGAAGATAACTTTCATGGCCAATGCACAGAAACCCTGTTTAGTCTTTAATGGAATTAAAATAATATTAGCTTTATAGAACCAAGCTTATAATATTACTATTTTTACGGGCTAGCCTGGAGTTGGGCTCTTTTGTGAGCTAGCCTGGAATAGCACTGTTTTGAAGGGGCTCCTATGCAGTAGTTCTGTTTCTATGGATTGGTCTGAGATAGTGTTGATTATTGACAAGCTAACTTAAAATGGAGCTATTTTACAGGGGAGCCTGGGAAACCATCTGTGAAGGGTCACTTTCCACTTTCCTTAGGTAAGAGGGCACTGGGAGTGTCATTGCTCCTGAGGTTGTGTCGGCGTGGATGGGAAGGGTTCAGGGTGCTCCTGATCCGCCAAAGAAAAGACAGCCCCCTGCTAGAGGAGAGGACTACCCGGCCATGGTGGCCATGGAGATGTTATCATTTCCATTCCAAGATTTTCCCATATCTACAGGTAGAGTCGAATCACAGATCTTAACTTTTTCTTTTATAAAATAGCTTCTTTGTATTAAATAACCATTATCATCCCAACAGATTTTAATTATTTTAATTGTTATTAAATAAATCAAATTTAATTAGTTCAGAGAAAACTTCTGTAATTTCCAATTCATGATGAAAGCCTAAGTAAAAATATCTGACCTTTTTGTGTGTTGGAAAGTTATAGAAACAGGAACTCGAGAGAAAGTCCCCTGATTAGGGCTTTTGAGAAAGTGACCAGACCAAATTTATAGCTGAACTGTAAGGATGAAAGATGATATAGCATAAGGCATAGTCATTTGAGGATCCACTATGGGCCACAGTTTATTCTTATTATCCCACTTGATCCTCAAAACTATCCCGTAATGTAGGCATTTTTAATATCCTTTTTACAGTTGGGGAAACTGAGGTTTAGCTAACCAGTAGCGGAGGCACAGTTCAAATTCAGCTGTCTGATTCCTTTGCTCTTTCTAATATTTTAGGATTAGAAATGATCTATGTCCTAAGGCATGAGCTCAGAAGGGAATCAGTAGAGAGGAATTAACCAGTTAAAGTGGTGGATCAGAGAGCACCAACTGTTTCCCACAAAGTGTGACACTTTCTAGAGATGTAGGGGTCTAGAAATATACATGAATGTGTTTCATTAAAATGCGGTTCACAGCACAGAGTTCATTTAGTTGAATTTCTTGTTTCCACGAGAAGAGTGATGACGATGATAATGTTGGTGCTGTGTGTGTTTGATATTTTATTTAAATTTTTATAGCGATGTGCCAGATGGGAAGACAGGCAGCATTTATAAAAGCCTTGTCTCTGTGTTGGGTGACAGGCCAAGGGAATGGGTTGGATATTTCATTTGTCTGTATTGGTGGGATTTCCCCTCCTGTGACCTCGATGCGGAAAATCCATTTGCACCTGTCCACAATCCCTTATTTTCTCTACCAAATGCCCCAATCGTGCCTGTCCCTGAGACGTGGCTGGCAGCTACACTCTTGGGAGAGATCATTTCTAGTTTGGGGGTGAAGCCTGCAGTTTCTCTTTGCTTTTGTTTCTGAAAGTCTGTGAACAAGGTAGGAGGTGTGCAGGTGCCAAAGCCAGCTGCTGCTCAGAGCAGATGAGCCTTTCTTGGAAATTGTCCCAGACGATGAATTGCTTGCATGATGCAGAGAGATGCTCTAGAAAATTGTCCATTCACTGAGACCGCTCTTCGACTCTTGAATGCACTGACACTTGCTTATTCTACAGCTCTACATAGCTAAGGAAGGAGCCACACACGAGGGCTCTGAAGAAGCCACGGGATGAACCCAGAGGAGTCTGTCAGTTGGGACAGGTCATGGACACATGCAAGGAGCGGCAAGGGTGGTGTGCAGGGACAGGTCACTGGGCAGATGCTCCCTGTCCCCTGCTTCAGTTATGCAAGTGTTGGCACTAATTGTTACAGAGATCTTAGAAAACACAGAAAGTTGTAAAGAAGAAAATAAATTCACTACGAGTCTTGCTACAAAAATGGGATTTTTAAATGTATTTCTCTAATTCTGAGAACTCTCTCTCTCTTTATCAGCCATGATTCACTCTTTCTATCTTGTTCTCTCTTCTCTCTCTCTCTACACACACACACACACACACACACACACACACACAGAGAGAGAGAGAGAGAGAGAGAGAGATAGATAGAGAGAGAGAGATGGATATCTATCTGTAATCCAAATTGGGATCACATTACATGTACATGTATAATTCTCTAGCTCAATTTTTCCTCTTAACAGTAGAGCATCCACTTTCCCCTATGATGTTACATTTTCTTCAGAATTAACATTTTTAATATGTCAGATATGATATTTAAATTTTTAGAAAAGCCATAACTTGTCTAGTCAATAAGGCATATTTCTTCTGTGAGTATACCGTAATTTAACAAATCTATTGACTACTGTCAGATATTTAGGCTGTTTTTAGTTTCTTCAAAATAATATTATTTTAATGTACATCTTTGAACACAAATCTTGGTGGTAATTTCTGATTATTTCCATAGAGAAGATTTTTAGAAGTAAGTTAAAAACCATGAACTTAAGACAAGAAAATCACTCGTGGTGTTCGCAACTGACTTGCTTTCTGGGTACCTTTCCATTGGAGGTGAAATAACTTGTTTTATCACATCCTGGATGGACAGATGTTTTTCCATGAGAGGCCGAACATTGAATTTAGAGTAAGTTAAAGGTAACTGATGCCCAGTGTTGCCAAAAACATCCGGGAAGTGTTTTGATCCTTGTGAGGATCTGTGGACCTCTCAGATCTGGGGCGAATCAGAATGGCATCTTGCTGCCAGAATCAGCGTCCTGTCTTTGGAGCAGGTTGTCTAAGGGCAGGTGAGAAAATACTGGGTGAGAGATGAACTCCCTGTCCTTAGTTCTGACAAGAGCTGCAGAAGATCTGGCCTGGTCCTGGCCAGAAAGAGCTTTCAGTCTGGCAGTGGAGGCTGGGCTTAATCTGAACTGAAGAAGTGGGCTGCAGAGAAAGGCATGAAGAAATGTGCTTCATAGCCATGGAAGCATGAGGCTCAGAGAAGGGAGAGGCCACATGGGTGAGAATCAACAGCGAGTCTTCCAGTGGGAGGTGGGCATAAGGAAGGGAGGCTTGGGTGGGCAGAAGGAGCTGATGAGGGTAATGGTACATGGAAGGCAATTAGCATGGCTGAGACTGTCCTAGGGAGAGGCTGTGGTCTTAGTGGTAGAGCATGGAGGTTCTTGAGTCAGACAAACTTGGCTTCCATCCCCAACTCCACTACTCACTTGCTGCGTGATCTTGGGCAAGTTAGTCAATGCACTTGAACTTCAGTTTTCTCATCTGTAAAAATATTTTTTAAATGCCTAGAGTTGTATATTAGTTTCTGAGAGCTGCTGTAACAAAGTGCCACAAACTGGGAGATTTAAAGCAACAGAAATTTATGGTCTCACAGTTCTGGTGCTAGAAGTCCAAAATCTAGGTGTTGGGAGGGCTACGCCACCCTGAAGGCTCTAGGGGAGGGTCTTTCCTTGCCTCTTCCAGTTCCTGGAAGGCATTCTTTGGCTTGTGACAACATCACTCTGATCTCTGCCTCCATCTTCTCCCTGGGTGTCTCTGTGTCTTCTTGTGGCATTCTCCTTTCTGTGTCTCTCTCCTCTTCTTATAAGGACATCACTCATTAAGAGTCCTCTCTACTCTAATGTGACCTCATCTTAACTAATTACATTTGTAATAACCTTATTTCCAAATAAGGTCACTTTCTGGGGATTAGGACTTCAATATATCTTTTGGGATAACAAAATTCAACTCATAACAGGAGGATTAAATTGAAATAAAATTCATTGTCTAGTGTCAGCATGTAGTAAATCTCAAAATTTGGAAGCTATTATTATTATTACTGCATAGTGAGGTCCTTCTCTGATGTTACTGTATTTTGAGGTAGCTTTTTATTTCTCATTTTTTAGAAGGGAAAATTGAGGTACAAAGGGGTTACATGAAATATAGATCAAATAATGGTTTAAGTGAAGATATTCTGGAGACAAAGAACTGAGGTTTGAGTCCCTGTGGAGCTGTAAAATTGAGATAACCAAACTTAACTCATAGGATTATCATGAGTTCTTAGGTTCTCATGATTAATCTCATGATTAAATGAGATAATTCGTGGAATGCACCTAGCATAGTACCTGGCATGTGGAAAGTATTCAGAAACTGCAGTCCTCTGGCATTGCCCAAGTGGCAGAGCTGGAAGCAAACCCTATTATACAAGAGTGATGTCAAAGTTTCTTTCCAAGGAACCCACTGCCTCCTAAAGATCAGTGGCTGTTCCTCTTGCTCCAGTTCTAGCACCAAGAACATCCATGTGTGAATGAAAGTCATGAATGAGCTGAGTCAGAGCCCCAGGGTGAAGCAGAGTGGTAGAGAAGCCATCTCTTTAGGCTGTGATCTTCACACTTCCCCATTAACTCTATGGGAAGAGGTGGAGAATAGCAAGGGGCTTATAAGTTTGGCCTCTATGTTCCAGAGGATTTCGTACACTCTGCCTTTCCTGCACAACTGGGTGGGAAAATCTACCATTCCTAGAGCCCATTTCCACTGGTCCTACTAATTAAAACATCTGATCCACCAGAACCATTTTCCCCATGTGGTTAGTGGCATTGGTTTCAGCCTTCACCCTCCTGAATATTCTGGCTCTAGCATTCCACTGTGGTCTCTCACCTCGCTTTCCCAGGTACACTCTCACTTGCAGGATCCCGGCAGCCTTTTCCCTGGAAAACCTGGCAGGAATTTGAAAGCGCAGGCAAAAAGAAGGAAAAAAACCACTGAAGTCCAAGCATCATTGTTTAACTGGGCTATGATATTTTCTGGCTATTCTGTATGTTCTGTCTGTTCTACATCTTTTTACTGGACTCCTTTCAGTTATTGTGTTTACTGTATTGAATTTTCTCACCTAGGCAGCTTCGGCTGGCAAGCAAAGCCCCACAAGAACCCCTCACTTTGCTCCTCTGTCTTCTTAGAAGGAGGAAAGAATGCAAAATAAGGCAGCCACCTGTGCCTTTTCATTAACACTAAGAGAGGAAGGTGCCAGATGACCTGGAGATAGCTTGACTGTGGCCACAGGCCATGTCAGGCAGCCCTTGTGGTGGTTTCTGTGAGCTTGCTTCTGCAAAGACTCCCTGCTCCACTGGGGCTGAGGTAGGGGTGGAAGACCTGGAAGAGCCAGTGAATTAGTGCTAGTGGAGCTATGGGGCTTCAAGGACCTGTTGGCTTCCCTGATCACTCATGTAGGTGTTTAGACCATTCCCTAGACAGACTCCAGATGATTTTTCATGACTCCAGTAACATTCCTGTACTATAAGCTCCTTGGAATCTTATAAGCCTAGATCAGGGTTCCAGTAGGAAGCAGGTGGAACACTGGAAAGGGTGATTGGAGAGGACTTAATCAAGGGACAATTTACCAAGCCATGTGCAGGTGTCTCAATCAATGTTATACTGCTGTAAAAGAATACCTGAGACTGGGTAATTTATAAAGAATAGAGATTTATTTCTTACAGTTGTGGAAGCTCAGAAGTCTGATATCAAGAAGACGGCATCTTGTGAGGGCCTTCTTGCTGAATTATCCCATGGCAAAGGAGAGAGAGACTGTGAGCCAAACTCACTTTTATAACAAATCTGTTCTTGTGATAATAGACCTATTCCCATGACAATGACAATAATCTATCGTGACCATAATGACCTAATCACCTCTTAAAGGTCCCATTTCCCAACACTGTTACATAGGGGATTAAGTTTTCAACACATGAAACTTGAGGGACATATTCAAATCATTGCAGCAGGGTTAGAGGAACCAATGGGGACTGGCAAAAGCAATAATTGTTTCAATTCTTCGATCCAAAGATCAAAGTGGAAGAACTACAGACTTGGATAAGGGGCTCCCTTGGCTTTGGGGAGAGCAATGAGACAAGCCTGAGGGACATAGGGGATAACCACTCAATCTCCCTTCTCTTCCTTCTCTTGTCAGTGTCCCTCATTGACCAAGACAGCAAGGGAGCCCAGATAATGTAGTCTGTAGAGTCAGCCTCCCAAGCCACAGAGCATAGCAAAGTGTCTGGAAGGGATCTGGTGGGGCAAAGAGATAAAATCAACCACCTCTAAATTCTCTCTTTCTAATGAAGGACCATTTGGTGTCCCCCAGACTTACAGCAGTATTCCAGCACTTTCATTGAAGTCTGCCTTCTGTGCCTTTCCACAAATGACCCCTAGCACTCCTGGCCACATCCTCGTGTTACCAGTGGCCTTTTGAATACTGCACTAAGGTAGGGATGGGGATCCATGTCAACCATACACACCAAGGAGGCAGTTGGTTCCTTTGTGCAGGTCACTTAAACTTCCCAAGTCTCCATTTATTCATCTGTGAGTTGGAAACAGTAATACTCACATCAGCAGGTGGTTGAGGTGAGAACACGCTTATAATGCCCTTAGCCAGTGTCCAGCACATACTCAGTGCCCAACATATAGCAGTATTAATAAGAAGCGACAGCAATAACTATTTCTTGAGTGCTTCCTCTGTGCCGGCCATGTGGTGTGTACTTCAGGACTACCTGAAATCTCTTCAGTAAGATTTCCTTCTCACTGGTGAAGGAGGTGCTATTACCATCACAATCTTACCAGTGCAGGACCTGAGGGTAAGTGGGGTTAGGCAGCTGTCCATAATCATGCAGAGAGTAATGATAGAGCTGACTCAGGCTCTATGCTTGCAACCATTACCTTCCATTACCTCTCAATACTGATTACATCGCCATCCTCATCCTTATTAGGTGTTCATTTTTGATTTTCAACCAGCAAACAGTAAGTATGAAGAAGGCAGTGCTTAAACCGCTAAGTAAATCTAGTGGAGCTGCGGGCCCTACTGCACCTCCCCTGGCACCCGCGTGGCTGCCAGAGCCACCAGAGCCTTGGCTGCTCCAATTGACTTCACCCCACTGCTATTCCCACAGATGCTGCTCTCAGATCCTCCCTCCTACCTGGGCCTTCACTGAATATCACAGTTAGGCCTGCCAGAGTCCCCAAAACTTCAGATCTGTTGAAATAAGAAACAGATCAAGGGATAACGTGTACTTATCCCAACTAACGGGTTGCTTTTAAACTTAATTATGTATATCTTAATTCCTTAGTCCTGCTCTTAGCTTCATTACTCCTGTCTGTGTTGTTGGGCAGGTATTCTTTCTTCTCTGGGTCTCAGTTTGTTCATCTGTAGAATGGGAGATTAGACTGTGTTTTCTGCAATCCCTTTCAGTTCAAATTCTCTTATAGTAAGCTGGAGGTATAGACAGGAACATGGGGCAGAGAGGTCCTACGGTATAGAGGATAAGCACATAGATTCCAAAGTAAGGTTCTTGGTTTAGGTCCTGGCTTCAACTTCTACCTGCTCTGTGATGTTGGACAATTATTTCACCACTCTGTGCCTCAGGTTCCTCATCTGTAAAGTGGGGATAGAGTATTTACCTTATAGAGTTGTCCCGAGAATTCAGTAATTGATACATGTAAAGTGCCTAGAACGATACCAATAATAGATGTATCATGTAAATATAAGTCATTAATATTATTATGAGTAATAATGCTGTTATTATTGAGCCTGGAGTAATACAGGGCGGGTGTAGTAGCCTCACGCTGTCAGGCTGGGCAAATTCCTTAATCACTTTGGGTCCTCATTTCCTCTTGTGTAGTCAGAGTTAGATCTCACTGATTGTCAAGAAGATTAAATGGGATGATACTTGTAAACTCCTGGCCCCTAGCAGGCCTCAGGAAGTGTTGTTACCTTCCTCCCTTGATGCTGTTTCCCCAAGGCTTGTTTCCTGGTTGATTTAGGCGGTGCTACTAAACTGAGCGGTAGTTGCCGGGAAGATGAAGCACTGCCTGAAGTTTCAGTGGTAAAACCATCATTTACTCAGCAGAGGCAGCCAAGCCTGGTGCTGTCTACTCACAAATAGGATTCCCCAGCAGCTTGGCTGTGCAGTGCATTAAAGAACCACAATTAACTGGAGGTCTGCCAGGTCTGGGTGAAGATCCCATCCTTTGTGCTGCAGGCCAGCAAGCACCATTTTCCAGATGAGAAGACAGAGGATCCATGGGAACTTCCCAAGGCTCCTGAGAGAGCAGCCATGCCAGGAATGGATGGAGCCCAGGTTCCAGAGTTCAGAGCTCTGCCTCAGACCCATACAGCTTCTTTAGTCCTTGCTGATTTTCCCAGCCATGTTTTCTGGTGGCCAGAGCCAACTGAAGCCAGAAGCTATGTGGCTTAGTCAGGTGTACTTGGGTCTTTTTCCTGCCAAGTTAAGCTTGCTTCTTTCTATGAGTCTGATCAAACCCTTATCTGCTGCTAGAACTCTTGAAGATAGGTCAGACATAGGCTCAGGCTTTAGATGGTACAGATGGATGAGTACAAAGTCATTTCCATGCTCATACTCTGCAGGAGGGGGTGGGGGGAGAGGCTTGGTAGTATCATAATTATTAAATTTATTTAAAAGTGCATATCCAATGACCTCATAATTCGTAAGTCAGCATATACTTTCAGGTTTTCTTTTCCAGAGAAACTCCAAGTAAAATTGGTTTAAATGACACTGAAGTTCACTTTCCTTTCCTGCAAAAGCGAAATGATTTGGGATCACACCCCTTCCCTTTAAGGTACAACCTGGAAGTTTTTCACCTTTCTGCCCATGTTCTGTCAATCAGAACCCAGTGTCATGCATATAGCTGTGAGGGAGGCTTGGAAATGGAGTTGCTCTTCTGGCTGTCACACTGGAAGTGGGTGCATGGGATGCTGTGGTGCCTCACCCAGGTCCCCTCTTAAGGACTGATAGGCCTATCCCCCAGCTGCTGAGAGCACTGATGACTGATAGTACATAACTCTGTCCCTTTCTGATTATTCCTCAGAGCCACAAAGAATTGTCTCACCCAAGATTATACTTGCCCGAAGTTTCAAGCTTCCCGGAGGAGACCATTTTTGCCAAGAATTGCCTTATGCTGACATAAAAGGTTATGACCTCCTTGGCTGAATTTGAGACAACTCTGAAGGGTCGTTCTAGCTCCAGGGGTCCTCATCAGGTCCGCTGGGGCCTGCAGGCCCACTATTCCTTCTTTTTAGTCCTGGACATTTCCTTACACATAGCCCTCTCTAGAGCACTGTCCCATAAACTGGTCTTCATTGCTCTGTGCCAGAAATAATTTCAGGGAACCCAAACTAAGAAATTGGGGTTCTAGCCTATGGAAGAAGTAGAAGGGTATGAGAACCAGCAGTCCTTTTTGCCTGCAGCCATCCCACTTCTCATGTCAGCTCTGAAGAAATACTTGTAAATGTGTCCAAAGAAGCAATGCAAGGCCAGCCCAGTGGCATCGTTTGTGAGAGTGAAAACAATGAGACGCTAAATGAACCATAGTGAGGCTGTATTTTGGGGCATGTTAGAAAGACTGAGAAAGTTCTTGATCTGCTGCATTCTGTATTCTCCAAATGTTGACTGTAATAAGGAAAGTGTGAAAGATGTGTACACTATGATACAATTTTATTAGAAAGCATCAAACAATACACGTATGTGTAGCCATAGAAAATGTATGGTTTATAAACAGGAAACAAAAGAAGGCTACTGTGGGCGCTGATGCTAGCAGCTGCCTTTGGAGAGGACAGGAGAGCATGTGAGGCTTTTAAGTGTAGCAATGGAGTGAAGGAGTGGATGAGGGTGATCTATAGAGCTGCAAGCCTTATCTGTAATGCTGTATAAAAACAATATATTCATGGATTATTTGCACAGTTAAAAAATCTATATTAAAAAAGAAAAATAGAAATCCATTATTGCTCACAGGACTAAAAATCAAAGTCATCTCCAGAGAACCGATGAAAAAAGCCAGCTTTGCTGTCCAAAGAGAATCCTTTATTTTTATTTCCAGGAGGTCTTGAGACCTCAGGCAAATCACTCTGCCTCTCTACACCTCAGTTTCCCCATCTGTGAAGTGGCAGTCACAAGCCCCGTCTCATCTGCTGCAAGGCTGAGACGCGGTAAGCTTTACAAAGCTGCCAGCCTGGTGCCCAGTACTCCATTAGTGGTGGTGGGTGGTGGGGAATGAGTTGGTCAAATGAACAACTGTCTCATTCAGGATGCCCAGCCAGCTGCTTAGACAACTTTCCACTGGGCCTTGGGTCAGCAGCCACAGAGAAGGGGAGGTCTCTCCACTCCCTGGTCACAGCCTGCATCTGGGGAAAGCCGGAAGGCTAAGGACAGATGATTCCGGACCATTCCAGGTGTTCTGGGATTGAGTCTCTCTTTCTGATATATGAGCAACGGCGTGTGTAGCTGCTGGGCATGTTTTGTGTTACGTCAAAGGATTTGGGTGGTTTTTCTGTCCTCTTGTTTCTCAGAATGAAGAGGACAAAGCCTTTCTTTTCAGTGAAGCCCAGCAGACCAGAAAGGCTTTGAAATCATGAAATGCAAATACTGCTGCCTTTGAGCCACATGGAAGGCGGAGCTGCTGAATTAAATTAACATGGCCCATAAATAGAGAGTTTAAAAAAATGGGAGGCCAAGTGTTCAGAGGCTTTTGTCCAGGGGAGAAATAATCACAGGACAATGGTCTATTTTGTTTGGATTACAGGCTGGTATCACATTAGCTCAAACCTGGCAATATTTATGTTGAACACTGCTGTTTGTGGAGCCGCTGCTGTCCCAATTTATCTCTCTGGGGAATCCCTGGAGGCAAAGCAAACTAGGAAGGGAATCTCCACCTCCTGCTGACCTGCCTGGTTCTGCCTACCACTGCCAGAGAGTGCCTAGTGCTTGGCCATCCATGGAGAGGAAAATGTCCCACAGAGAAAATGAGGACGTGCAGATAAAAGTCAGCCTGAAAAAAATAGTTGTTCAGGAGATGTGCCATAAAAATCGGTCTGTCCTGCCTTTCTTGAGAAATCAGAAGAACCAACAACTTTTGTCGTGCATGTTCATATGGTAAGAGCCACGAAGTGGCTGCCCCTTGGCTCCAGGCATTCCTGTTAGCCTCAGTCTTCACCATGACCTTTCTGCCTGAAGTCGAGTGTCAGTTGCCCTTAAGAGCATGCCATTCTTTTTTTTTGAGACAGAGTCTTACTCTACTCACTAGGCTGGAGTGCAGCGGCGGGATCTTGGCTCACTGTAACCTCCGCCTCCTGGGTTCAAGCAGTTCTCCTGCCTCAGCCTCCCGAGTAGCTGGGACTACAGGCACGCGCCACCATGTCCAGCTAATTTTTGTATTTTTAGTAGAGACGGGGTTTCACCATGTTGGCCAGGATGGTCTCGATCTCTTGACCTTGTGATCCACCTGCCTCGGCCTCCCAAAGTGCTGGGATTACAGGCGTGAGCCACTGCACCCGGCCCATTCTTACACTATTGTTTCTCTTACAGTCAAAAATAGTTCTCTAAACCCCCAACATTATTAAGATGTAAGATAATGCAAGCTAGACCATCAAGAGACTTTTTTTTTTCCCCTATAGCCAGCCTGCCTTACTCCTATGGGTATTTGTATTGCCAACCACTGGGCTACTGCTAGAACCTCTAGGCCTGGATCCTGATTTCAGTTTTTTACCAACTGATCTGATCCTAAGCAGCCATTCCTGCACTCTCTTCCACTTTGATGCCACTACCCTCACATGTAAAAAAAGGTGGGGGGCAGTTTTTCCCCCTGAACTATGTTCTGAGTAACATTAGCTCTGTGGAACATGATAGGATCCATGATCCAATACACCGGGAAGCACATGTTAGACAGAACAAGTCAATCGCTGTGTGCAGGACTTTCCAAGCTGATGTGCATCTGTTTCCCAAATGAATTTACTAGGAAAGCCTATTTCATGGAGCCTCTTGGGACACTAGTGTTCTCTTGCTTAGACTTGGGGAATCAAAAGGTGATGTCCAAATTCCTGCCAGCATGAAAGCTCAGTGCCCAGGATGGTCCTCCCGGTACTTAGCCCTGGGTCAGGGCATCTTGCCCTGGACCAGCAGCCCCAGTTTCTACCACCTTCCTATGTGGTTTCCTTCTCCCACCCTCCACTCTCCCTCTCCTCTTCATGGCCCCCTCAGGTGTCAGGTGGGAGGCTTAAAGGAGAGGGGTTATCACAGCCCCACCCTCCATCATATTGCATTCCCAAGGGGTCCTTTGCCCCCACACCTGGTCACAAGGAGATAAATATGGCCAGTCTTGGGTCAAGCGAAATGATTTTTTTGGATAAGACTATCCAAACCCTTCCCAAGGTAAAGTCAGGTTCTCAGGCAGCTCTCTAGCAAAGCTGACAGATAAGCATTGATGAGGGTATTGCTAAGAAAAAAATGCAAACCCTATAAAACCTGTCATATTTATGGGCCTTTTATGTCCAACTCTGCTGTTCTCTGTTTTCTGCAATTTTTGCCACTTACATTACACCAAAACCTCCTAGAAGGCAGGGAGCTGCACTGATTTTGTTTGCATTATTTATTATATTTTGTGCATTGAAACAGTTTATCAGCAAGGATTTATTGAGTGGGATTACTGCCCTCTGAGGTATAAGTTCCTACCTTACAGTCCTACAAGTAACAAAATCCCCAGTGTGACAGAGTGGAGAATTGTGAATTTTGCATTCAGACGGAACTGGGTCTATGTGGTCTATATGGTCTTGGTCACATTACTTCTTTCTGGGTCTCAGTTTTCTCATCTCTAAAATGGAGACCATATTGGGAAATTTACAACCTTCATGAGGGTCCCCAGCATAGAGCCTGACATACGGCAAGCAGTCCATGGGAATTTACTGTTATTGTGATGGCTGAAGGTTTACCTGAGACTTCCTTTCATGTACATAATCTCATTTTATCTTCATGGCCTCTCCTTGAGCTCAGTGAGGCTAGGATTATGAACATCTTTTACAGATGAGGAAACAGGAGTTTAGAGAGATTAGGGCATTGCCTGAAGTTTCTCAGCCAAAAAGTGGGGAGCCAGAACTTAAAGTTTGAGCAGGAATTAAATTCTATACCCTGGGTGGCCTTCAGAATATAGCACTAGATCCCAAAATACAATGCTTTGCCAAATGCAATGTCATTCAATACAAAGGCTAACTTGCTGCTATCATGGCAAATTCAGCAGGTATTGCTATAAGCAAGGATCTTCCCTAGAAAGCTATCCTATAGCCTTCAAAATGCTCAAAGAGCCCTTATACGGGTAATAAGCTATATATGTTAAAAAAATGTTTCATTGGGCAGAAAATGGTCAGGGTCAATTAGAGAAAGTGGGCAGGTGCCAGGGGAGAGATAGTAGGTCACAGGAACAAGACCTCCTTTTGGCAGGCATGGTGGAGGTGAGATTCAAATATGGGCAGCAGAAGAGAAGGGCGGAGAAAATTGCACAAGCAAAGCTCTACATCAGCAAAGTGAAGGGGAGTCCCAGTCACTGAGGGTGACTGGACAGGGAGACCCGGAGCCCGGTGCCTGCAAAAATTGCTGATGGAAGGTTTTAAATGTGAGAGGATGAGGTGAGGGGAGTTGGCAGGAGACGATATCAAAGCAACGGACAGAGCAGGCCAGTTTGGAGTTCACTGAAAAGAAAAACAGCAAGGACCTTGCAGACTAAAGCAGAAGGAAAAACAAGAAATGGGGAGGATATTAGCTAATTAATTAATTCATCAAATATTGTAATCAGCCCATTAAAATTTGTAGAGCACCTACAATGTGTTTGTGAGTTCTTGCTTCTGCAAATACAAAGATAAGTGCAACAAGGAGATAGTGCCCAATCTAAGCCTTGACCAACCAAGACAAAAGCCTTCATCTTGCCTGCTATGCTAACCCCTATGCTGTGCATGTGTGCACGCACGCTTCTCAGCCCCATCTCCACTTTCTCCTGGCTTCCATAAACTTTACCCAGCATCTCTCTGCTGTCCCAAGGCAAGTCCCCTTCACTTGTCAGGTGAAAAACTCTGATGCAAATACAATGTCTATTTTAGAAACGAGGCTTTCCCCCTAATGAGTTAATTAAAAGGAGGCTTTGCCAGGCATCCGAGGAATTATTTTTCATTACACGAGACAGGTGCACATTTTTAGCATAGTTCCTAGCTTCCAGAGGTCTCCCCTGATGTCGGCGGTCTGGGCAGATTCTACAGAGGTGGGGTAGATATTTTCATGGGGTTGCCCCAGCCAGCTGGGTGGGGTTGAGTCTGGAGGGTCGCTGTGAGTTGAGCTGCAGTTCATTTGGTGGCCCAGTCACTGTGTCGGGTATAATTAACCAAGCTGAAAGGAATCTAAAGAAACTTCTCTGACAGGGAGGTCAGGGAAGATGAACTCTGATGGGAAATTAATGATGAGAGTCTGGAAGCTCCACAAGGGGCTTTGCCACCGTGGCTCTCTCTGGTGGCATATTAGGAGCTAGTTTTCCCCCTCCTCAACTCGTAACAGAATTCAAGCACCAAAAGGGACCTTTTCGGAGATTGCTTCTTTTGGGTGTTTAAATAATGCTCCACTGCTGGATAGTAATGTTAATAATAAGCTGTCATCGGCAACCATGAGCAGTTATTGAGTACCATGTGCCAGATGCCGTGCTAAGTGCTTTATGTATATCCTTTCCATAAACCGTCCTGTTAATTCCCACCACTCAGGAGGGCAAGTGCTATATGCCAGGAGCTGTGACAGAGCTTAAGTCATTTACCCAAAGATTCAGAATCACTAAATGGCAGAACTGGGATTCGGAACTAAGCTCCTGCCTCTATGTTAGTTGGCCTGTTTGTAGGTCTTTCATAGAAAATATATTAGCTAATTAATTAATTCATCAAATACTGTAATCAGCCCATTAAAATTTGTTGAGCACCTACAATGTGTTTGTGAGTTCTTGCTTCTGCAAATATGAAGTGCAACAAGGAGATAGTGCCCAATCTAAGCCTTGACCAACCAAGACAAAAGCCTTGATTTTGCCTGCTACGCTAACCCCTACACTGTGCATGTGCGCACACACACTTCTCAGCCCCACCTCCAGTTGAAAAAGAAGGCCGAGGCTAGAGGGCTCATGCTGTAGGGCAGATTGGCAAACTGTGGTCCATCTGCAGATTGGCAAACTTGTTGTAAAAATAATTGGGGGGAAAACATAGTCACTCCCTTTCATATACATATTGTCTATGATTGCTTTTATGCTAGGACAGTAGAACTGAGTAGTTACAAGAGACTGTGTAGCCTGCCAAGCCTAAAATATTTACTATCTGGCCCTGGACAGAAAAAAAGCATTGTCAATTCTCACTTAAGGAAACCCAGAGTTAAACAAAATTAAGCAGGTTTATTTGCTGCATGACTTCTCAGAGCCCTTAACCTGCTAATATGTACTCTGAGAGTCCCAGAGGATGTAGTGTATCCTGATATACTTTACCAGGCACCCCTTTTTCTTGAAGCATCTTTGAGGCAAGCTTTGGGGGACACTACCCATTTATTTGTTCAAGGAGGAAACAGGCTTAGAGAGGAAAAGTGGCCCTAGGGCATGTAGCTTGTGTGGCTGACCAGGACTGGATTTGGATTCCAGAAGCTTCTCAAGGTGGTGCTGGACTCTGTTTGCCATTTGCCAACTTCAGTCAGAGGGATGGATGCCCCTTCTCCTGAGCGGTGGCGGTGGTGGGAGCCGGTGCAGCCTTTTCTTTATTCAGTTGCCTGTTTACAATGGTGTTCAGCAATTCTGTCTTTATGGGGCCTGTTTGTTCTTCAAATCCAAGAAGAGAAGGGAAAATCATCATACTAATCATGAATGTCAGTTTTAATCAGCATCATCTGACATTATGAGAATTGAATTTCCACCTTTCACAGCATACATTAAATATGGGGCTTTATCTCCTCATGCAGAATTGATTTGCCATAATTCTCTCCTTTGGCCCTTGTCATGTAAATTGTGGCATTTCTTCCCCATTGACTGCAGAAACCAAGATTAGAGGTGAGGGTCCAGGCTCCCAGACCAGCTGCTGCTGAGCGCTTTGTCTGTCTGTCTTTCTTTTCCCACTCACGTGTTCCCTCTCTGAACTTTCTCTTTTGGGACTGCTTACTGGCTAATCATGCCTTCTGCAGATAGAGCCTGAAGGGGAGGAATAGAGGGATGATGTTGTGGGGCTGAGCAGATGGCCTTCGTGAGACATCAGCCATAAGGATCCGTAGCACCTGCAGCCCGGACAGGTGACTGCTTGGTAGGTTTTAGGGGACAGATCTTAGGGCCATTTGTAACTCATGTCCACTACTGAATCAAATCACCAGTGTCTACAAGAGTGACATACATTCAAATACTCCCCACAGGACCCTGGAGAATCTCTACCTCCTGGTACCTGTACTGGATGGATAGGGACAATGGTGGCTTCTGGTTGGTAGAAAAGCCAAGGGCCTGAGGAGCACCTGGCCCCAGGCCTGGGCTTATGAACTGTGGCCTGGAAACCAGCCCCAAGGACTCTGCAGAAAGAAAGTTCTTGGAAGAGCTTTCAGTCACTCAGTGACACCCCAGGTGAGGACATCTATACCAATGCTCTGTAAAAGCCCCTGAGCCTCATTTTTGTCTTGCAACTATTTTCTGCTAAATATCCAAGCAGTGGTTAAGAGATGACATGCTGAAGGCAGAAAGACTTGGGTTCAAGTACTGACTCTTCCACTTATTAATTGGGTGTTGCAGGGCAAAATACTTAAGCCCTCTAAACCTCTGCTCTTCCATCTGTAAAACAGGATAAATAGTAATAGCTATGTCCATGAGGTTGTTTGGAAGATTAAATGAAATAATCCATGTAATGCATCTGGGGCAGTGCCCAGCACATAGTAAACAGTCTGTATGTAGAGGCTGCTCTTCAGATTGTTAAACATTCCATGCTGGCTGTGCCTTGAGATACACAAAAAATATACTCTGTAGTTGAGTGTATTGATATTTCATGCATACCAAGGTGCTTAAAGGCCACTAAATATCTACAATGTCTCACAGTTGGCCCACAAAGGTGGGGAGGGACAAGATGGAATCTATCCCTTACTGAACGCTTGTTGGACCTCAGGCACTTTAATAGTAAAAGGTCAGTTAAGATGACTTTCATACTGTCATCCACAGCATGCCCCTTCATGTTACTTTCAAAGACAGAATCCCAGGCAAATAAATAGGAGGTCTGACTCAGGTGGAAGATTCTTACTGCTTTTAACAAAGAAGGATAATAACTTTATGTGTTTGTAATTTTAAATTTATAATCCATTTATTGAAAGTCTGCTGTGGGTAAGCATTATGCCCAGAACTTTACATTTAATATAATCTAACTAAATTACATTTTCACAACAACCCAAGAAGGCAAGTACCATGATTATTGCCATTTTATAGATAGTGAAACTGAAGCCCATCTACGTTCCCTACAAAAAGGAAGACATCAGCTCCAGGATCAACTGCAAGATGAATTTCCTCCATGGACCCTTGCTGCTCCTGTGTTGAGCCTCTAGTAATGAGAATATGCTGCTGAATTAGTCTCCTGTTACCTGAGCTCTCTACAGTGAAACTCAACTGTCCTGGACCATAATGAATGTTCTATAGGACCCCGGGGTTATTGTTGCCTGTGGAACTGGAAAAAGGCAGTTTTCCACGAGTCAAGCCGGGGCTGACTCAATGCTTGAAGACATATGTGAATTCACTGTAAATGGAGAGGGCATGTTGCTGTTGATGACTGGGGAAGATAGAGTCTTAGGGGAGTTAGTGTGAGCTACTCTGACCACACCAGCACCGCCCTCCCCAATAGTCTTTGCAAGTCAAGGCTGTTGTCATAGGCTGAGCAAGGTCCAGAGAGGCTGAGAAGTCATCTGGAGCTGGTCGGATGGGCAGTGGCATGGAGGAGAATGCATATCAGGACCACCTGAGCAACGCCCAACATACCTTAGTACTGTTTAAGACATGGGTAAATGGGTATTCTCTTTAAGGCAGTTGGGATCAATTTCAGCCTTTCCCTAAGTGCCAGTGTGCTGGAGAGGTATGGGGACTCCACAGATACACACTTGCATATGTGTATATGTGCATGCATGTATGGATTGTAGGGAGTTGTTCATAGGGAGAGATGAGGCAAGGCAGCAGCTTACATTCCCACCATGTCTCTCTTGGCTGTTGTGCACCATTGCCTTTCCCACATCCCATGTCTTAAAATGAATACCAATTTCCATTTATTGAGCCAAGCTTGCCACTTGCCAGACACAGTGTTAAGTCCTTTAGTCTGCTCTCTAATTAAACAAGATCCTCAAAACAATTTGTTGTAGGCAAGTAAGTACTATTAGTATATAGTAGCCCCCCACTTATCCATGGTTTCAGTTACCTGTGGTCAACCACAGTCTGAAAATATTAAATGAAAAGTTCCAGAAATGAACAATCCTTAAGTTTTCAATTGCATGTCATTCTGAGTAGTGTGATGAAATTCTGCCCAGAACATGAATCCTCCATTTTCCCAGTGTATTTTTTCTGTAGATGCCACCCACCCATTGGTCACTTGGTAGCTATCTTAGTTATCACGTTAACTGTCATGGTATTGTTGTGCTTCTGTTCAAGTAACCATTATTGCACTTAATAGTGACCCCAAAGCACAAGGGTAGTGATGCTGGAAATTTCGTTGTGCCAAAGAGAAGGCTTGAAATGCTGTGCTACCTTTAAGTGAAAAGGTGAAAGTTCTCAACTTAATAAGAAAAGAAAAAAAGTGATATGCTGAGGTTGCTAAGAAGGAGGAAATTGTGAAGAAGGAAAAAAATGCATACTAGTTTTGCTGTCCCACCTTATACTGTAAAAGTAATGGCCACGGTGCGTGATAAGTGCTTCACTAAGATGGAAAAGGTATTAAGTTTTTTGGCAGATGACATAAACAGAAACGTGTTCTGATGAACAGCCATCAGGTTCTGTACTATCCACAGTTTCAGGCAACCACTGGGGGTCTAGAAATGCATCCCGCAAGGTTAAGGGGGGACCACTGTTCTTGTCTTTCAGAAGACAAGACTGGGGCACACAGAGGTAAAATGACATGCCCCAGGAAGCAGCAGAGCCAGAATGAAAACAAAGTTTCTTGATTCTAGAACCCAAATTTTAACTCAACGGGCCTTATCCATAGGGCCCCACCCCTCTGGAGTGTCACAGACCACTGGGAGGTGTGCTCCGCGTGCCTTCTTGCTAATTAAAGTACTGCCTCTTCTGCGTCTTGGGTTCTGCTACACTGATCTCCATCTCCTCCACGCCCTGCATGACCTTGGATTTGTGACTGATCACAAACACACACACACACACACACACACACACACACCCCAAGTCTCAGAGCTTTCCAAGACCCCTAAGGAATGAGTATGTTAATTAAAGCCTGGCTCTTTCTTCTGCACTGTGCTGCTTCCTATCTTGAGAGGTTGGAAGGTACTTTGGGGTCGGTGACCTCTGCAGCATCCTCAGATACTGGTTCAATTGTTTCTTATACATCTCTGATGACAGGGAGGTCACCTCCTCCAAGGGAGCTTGTTCCACTATTCCAAAGCTCTGGCTGTTAGAAAGCATCTCTTCTTAGGAATCATATATTCCCTGGAAAACAGTCCCCAAAAGAGCAGCTTAGCCAACTGACACTTCCTGTGCCTAGAGGCAGGGACACTTTGGCTCTTGACACTGAGAGGCCTTTGCCTAGACCTTGAGGTCCATTCTCCTAGACCTTGGGATGACAGCATCCTATTCTCAGGGTTGGATCCCTCTTGGAGAAAGTTCCAACTTCTGGTATTCTTTCTTTCTCAGGAGGAGGCAGAAATAGGCTTTGTCCATCTTGACCCAGACCCCTTCCTCATCAGCCTGGCCAGCCCCTGAGCCCCCAGCTCTCCACCCGACATCCTCTCCAGCCCCACAGCAACAGGCTGCTGGGGTCAGGCAGAGAAAGTGTTGATGGATGGACCCACAGGTGTAAGGGAAAACTCTTAGTTGCAATGCTGGCTCTGGCACCTGGCATGGGGTCTGGCTTTAACCTGCCTGCTTTCCTGCCCCAGCCAGCACCCATCCAGACAGATCTGAGGGAGGACCCTGTGTGGTGAATGAATGTGCAGTTCCTCAGATGTAGAACAATCCTCTATCCATGGGACAGCTGTGGCCCCAAGACCAGGAGAAATTCCTGTGTCTTGGGATACCTTCAGTCCTTCCTGTGCACTAGAGGCCCAGAGGCCCAGGCTACAGACTCAGTTATTCCATTCCCCACCTTGGCCTTGCCCTAGAACATATCACAGGCAACTCCTGTGGACCCCTGGAACTATCATAGTGCAAAGGTCCTTATCTAGGGGCCTAAGAGCTTTACTTTGCCATAACTGTGTCCTTAGGCAAGTTGCTTTCCCTGCTTGGTGATGTCTCCTTATTCACAAAGTGTAAATGTGGATATGTGGAGGGGTCAAGATGTGGTGTTATCCAAGGCTCTGTCTAGCCCTGACTTTTCATTCCCAGGACCTTTGACTTGAGATATCCAACTGGGTTTCAGGTCCAAGTGGGAGGTGAGAGAATAGAGAATCAGAAAGAGCAAGTTGCTTCATCTCTACCCTCTCTTCTAGCCTGGGACCAGACTAGCAGGAAGTTACCAACACACAGGGCTTGACTGAGGGACATTTAAAGGCCCATCCACTCCCAAATATCTTCACTGACCTTATTAATTCAAAAACTGCAATCACTCCTTTGGGGAGACATAGTCTCCAGAAATCAACTGTGAATATTTAAATATGGCACCAGGGAAGGCAATTCAACAAACTCATTCCCACCCATTAATGCCCATTAGGTTAAATTTTCTTCCCATGGAAAAGATTCTTGAAAGGACAGTAAGAGGTAGGATGAGTTTTTATATGGGAGGATCTATTAAGGATTTTTTTTTTTAAAAGGAAAGAAAGAGACCAAGAGCTAGTGTGGGGAGACCAGGGGATGGATCCGAGTTACAGGGTAGAGTGTCCAGGGGTGGGATACTATGGAATAAAGATGCCATGGAACAAACATGACTTGTTTCCCAATTGTGCCATTGCCAGGCTTGTGTTATTACAGTATACAGGGAAAGCTTGAACCTGATTGCAGGGCAGGAGAAAAGAGGCTGGGCAGAAATGAATGCAAGAGCCTCCTCCACCATGCACCCTCCACCTGATGCCAGCAGACAAGCTTGGCACTGCCCTTGAGGTTTGTTCCTCTCAATAGGGTGAGGCAGCCCTTCAGGAATGAGATACAGCAAAAGCATCACCCCACAGTAGCCCTGAAAACAGGTGCAAAACACCCTTCCTCTGATGTTTGCCCAGTATAGCCTCTGGACTACAAAGCCAACCAAGCAAAGGTGGGTGGTAGCAGAGTAGCTGTGGGTGGAATTGAGGCTGGCTGCCCGGAAACAGGAAGGTCTTAGGTGCATCCATTTATAGTCTCTTCCTGGGACCCTGTGCCTCTGAAGCCACTAGGTGATGGCCTTCCTCGTCATTTTTTCAATCCTTCAGGCCTTTGGTCTTTCTGGTACTTCTGCCTTAGCCAATGATATGGTTTGGCTATGTCCCCACCCAAATCTCATCTTGAACATATTGAACTGTAGTTTCCATAATCCCCAAATGTCATGGAGGGACCCATTGGGAGGTAATCACGGGGGCGGTTACTCTCATGCTGTTCTCGTGATAGTAAGTAAGTTCTCACGAGAACTGATGGTTTTATAAGGGGCTTTTATCCCTTTTGCTCGGCACTTCTCTCTCCTGCCACCATGTAAAGAAGTACGTGTTTGCTTCTCTTTCCACCATGATTGTAAATTTCCTGAGGCCTCCCCAAACATGTGGAACTGTGAGTCAATTAAACCTCTTTCCTTTATAAATTACCTAGTCTTGGGTAGTTCTTTATAGCAGTGTGAGAATGGACTAATACCGTCACTCTCTCTATCTTTCATCCTTCAAGACTCAGCTCAGGCATCATCTTCTCTCTGAAGCCACCCATGAATTAGTGAATGAAGGAATGAATGGGTAGTTCTTCAGATGTGAAACAATCTTCTATCCATTGGAACACCTTCTGGGATCGTTGAGTCAGCAAGAAAAGAGCTCCTGCAAGCCCCACAGGATGCCTAGGGAAAGTTGCAACCAAGTGTTTTCTCCTGGACTTAAGAGGATGATAAGGATAGGAGTGGACTGCCTCTACCATTAGAGGCTCTGGGGCTAAAGACCAAAGAATAGGGCTCAGGCACATTACCTGGGTAAGTGGCTTTCCCTCACTGGGCCTCTTTATCTAGAAAATACCTAGAGGGCATTGAGGTCCCTTCCAGCTGTCCTGCTCTCTGAGCCTGGGTCTGAAGCAGAGAGAGGATGCAGCCAGTAGAACTGACTTAACAATTTTAGAATGTAAAGACTCATCACTTGCAAGGTCACCTTGAAGTGGATCTGTTGATTCAGTGCTGAAAGGCATTCCTGTTAAAAATGTTCCTCATAAGGTAAAGTAACAGCTTCTCAAAATGGGAAAAGGAGCTGATACTCTGTAATAAGCAACATTTGACACGTTTCCAATGATCCCTGCCTCCAGTATTCACCCCTCGGGTAATCCTCTCCCCTATTGACTTGCTTCTAACTTGCTTCCATATGAGGAAGGATTGAAAAAATGATGAAGAACATGGTGACAGAGATGGGATGTCACTTCCATATTAGGTTTCAAAAGGCTGTGACTTGCATCCTGCGGAACTCTTTCTATAGCCTTCTTGGACTGCTTGCTTTGGTGAAGTCAGAAGCCATGTTACATAGGTCCATGTGGCAAGAACTGAGAGCAACCTCTGGCCAACAGCCAGTGAGAAACTAAGACCCTTAGTGCAACAGCCTGCAAGGAACTGATTCATGCCAACAACCATGCAAGTGAGCTGGGAAGTGAATTTTTCCCATTAAACTTTGACAGGGTTTAGATGCATCCACTTATAATCTCCCTCTGGGACCCTGTACCTCAGAAGCCATGACTGTAGCCCCAGCCAGTACCTTGATTTCAGCCTGTAAGAGACCCCAAAGTACAAAGTAGAGGACCCAGTTGAACTGTCTTTGGATTTACTGACAGACACAAACTGTTGTTGCTCCAAGCCACAAAGTTTAGGGATAATTTGTTGCACATCAAGAGATAGCTAATGCATGCTTCTAGAGTTTAGGGGAGTCATGGATGTAAAAAGCCAGAGACATCCTAAAAATTAGGAAGTACGTTCCCCACCTCCTCCAGCTTCAGGAAAGCAAGATAAATATCACATGCTGTCACTAAGTGATCCCAGACATGGCAGTGCCCCTCTTTCTCCCACAATTTCTCCATGTGTAAAATAAAGGGGTTGGGTTGGTGAATCAGAACTGCAAGGTTTCTGGGACCACTGCCCTCCTCCACCTTAGTAATTTTGCTTTTTGTATCCGTTGATTGAAAAGATGCAAAATGAAAAGAAGCTACTCTAAATACAGTGATGTTATAACTAGCTTTATTAGTCGCAATAACACTTCAGTGCATTTGAGACTGTCATCCTTTATACTCACTCAATGTGCAGGCATTGCTAAACAGGAATGGCTATGGATAGAGAGTATTCTCATTGAGAACAACTAAAGCAGCGCATTATGAATTATGCTTAATCACGTGGCACAAATGTATAGATGGCAAGATAAAGGTGAGGGAGGGAAAGCTGGGGTCAGATGGCCTTGGGTTAGCATCTCACTTTTGTCCTTCCCAGATGTGTACCCTACAGGGAGTGATTTCATAAATCATCAGTTGCTTTACCTCTAAATTGGGGATCGTAATACTTATTCCACAGCATTGTTAGAAATATTAAATTCAATAATGCATAGAAAATTAGCAGCTAGTTATTGCTCAATAGTGACACCTAATAATAACAAATAATAAATTCCACCTTTGCATTATTATTGACATAATTATATACAAATACCTGTACAAATACAAATAATGTACAAATGAATGACCAGGTGTGGCCATTTATTGAGTACTTACTATGGGCAAGGCATGAGTCCAAACTCTTCATGCAGTATTTCACATGCCTACTGACAGGTCTTCCAGTCTAGAGGGTGACCCTGTCTGTCCTGCTTTCTTTGGGGTAAAGCAGACAGTTTTCTCCCCCAGGATGCTTTGAGTCACTTGGACAGACAGTGACTCAAAGGACATTGGGAATCTGCTCTCAGGAGTCTACCATTCAGTCAATCCTGGCCTGGGCCCAGAACTCAGCATCTCTTCTACTGTCTGAGGGTCTGTTTCTCCATGGACAGAGAAAGAAGTATCCAGAAGGTTCCCTTTACCCCACAGAAGAGGTGATGAGACTGTCTCAGCTGAGGGGGGGTCTCTGATACTGTGAAGATACAAGGTCCCAGTGTCCCTTTCCCAAGGGTCTACACCTTAATTGAAGCCGCATCTGCAAATAATTCAAACCCTGAGACCCAACATTGTTGTCTTAAGCTTCTATGGGAGAGAGAGGGGAAGAAGAAGGGCAATGTGAAAATTGTGATGTCTTTCTACCTCTGCTGTCACTTCTAATGATACATTTCTTAGAAAATAAAGGAACACTGTGTACTATGATGTGGGAAGGCAGAGACTATAGTTTCATACAGAGTAGTGCTTAATTCCAGTTTTACTACTCACAGGCAGATTTGAGTAACTTTTATCACTTCCTACATCTCAGTTCTTCATCCATTAAATGAGGGTCACAGTCTCTGACTTACAGGAGCACATCTTGTGAGGCAAAACAACAGCTTGGATGTCAGAAGTTAAAATAAATTACACGGAGTTGGTGCTCAGCACATGCTAGAGAATCACCTGTGCCTGATTCTCAGCTCTCTCACTGTAAGATCAGAGATGACATATGAGAATTGTCTTGTGGAGTATTGGGATATACTACGTACTGAGTCCATCTGGCTATTGTTATAATATTTCTAACAAAGATAGATGCTTCTCCCCCAAACTGTTTCCTGACTTCCACTGCTCCATGAGAGGAACACTGTCACGGGATCCACAGGAGGCTGGGATATACATTCTTCTTTATTCCACAGTCCCAGAACCCCAATATTTAGCTGGACACATATTCCCACCCAGTTAAACACTATACAGGCATACATTGGAGATATCGCGGGTTCAGTTCCAGACCAGCGCAATAAAGTGAGTCACATGAATTTTTTATTTTTCCAGTACATATAGAAGTTATATTTATGCTATATTATAGTCTATTAAGATGCAATAGCATTATTTCTCGAAATAATGTATATACCTTAATTGTCAAATACTTTATTGCCAAAAAGTGCTAATGACCATCTGAGCCTTCAGTGAGTCACAATCTTTTTGCTAGTGGACGGTCTTGCCTCAATGTTGATGGCTGCTGACTGATTAGGGTGGCAGTAACTGAAAGTTGGCATGGCTGTGGCAATTTCTTAAAATAAGTCAACAATGAAGTTTGCCACATCAATGGACTCTTCCTTTCACAAAAGATTTCTCTGTAGCATGTGATGCTATTTGATAGCATTTTACCCACAGTAGAAATTATTTCACATTGGACTCAGTTCTCTCAAACCCTGCTGCTGCTTTATTAAATAAGCTTATATAATATTCTAAATCCTTTGTTGGAATTTCAGTAACGTTCTCAGCATCTTCACCAGGAATAGATTCTATCTTAAGAAACCATTTTCTTTGCACATCCATAAGAAGCAACTTCTCATTCATTTAAGTTTATTGTGAGATTGCAGCAATTCAGTCACATCTTCAGGATCCACTTCTAATTCTAGTTCTCTTGCTATTTACACCACATCTATAGTTACTTCTTCCACTGAGGTCTTGAACCTCTCAAAGCCATCCATGAAGATTGGAATCAACTTCTTCCGAATTTCCATTAATGTTGATACTTCGGCCTTCTCCCATGAATCATGAATGTTCTTAATGGCATCTAGAATAGTGAAATTTTCCAGAAGGTTTTCAATTTACTTTGCTCAGCTCCATATGAGAAATCATAATCCATGGCAGTTATAGCCTTTTGAAATGTATTTTTGAAATAATAAGGCTTCAAAGTTGTAATTATTCCTTGATCCCTGGGTAGCAGAATGGATGCTATGTTAACAGGCAGAAAAATAGCATTAATATCCTTGTACACCTCCATCAGAGCTTTTGCCAGGTGCATTGTCAATGAGCAATAATATCTCGAAAAGAATATTTTTTTCTGAGGAGTAGGTCTCAAGAGTGGGCTTAAAATATTTAGTAAACCATGCTGTAAATGAATGGGGTCTCATCCAGGCTTTGTCATTCCATTTACTGAGCACAAGCAGTAGATGTAGTGTAATCCTTAAGGGCCCTAGGATTTTCAGGGTAGTAAATGGGCATTGGCATCAACTTCAAGTTACCAGCTATATGAACTCTTCACAAGAGAGTCAGCTCGTCCTTTGAAGATTTGAAGCCAGCCATTGAGTCTCCTCTCTAGCTATGAAAGTCCTACATGGCATCTTCTTCCAATAGAATGCTGTTTCATATTCACGGAAAATCAGTTGTTTAGTGTACCCACCTTCATCAATGATGTTAGCTAGAACTTCTGGATAACTTATTGCAGCTTCCCCATCAGTACTTGCTGCTTCACCTTGTATTTTTATGTTATGGAGGTGGCTGTTTTCCTTAAACTTCATGAACCAACCTCTACTAGCTTCAGACTTTTCCTCTGCAGCTTCCTCATCTCTCTCAGGCTTCGTGGAATTGAAGAGATTTAGGTCGTGTCTCTAAATTAGACTTTGGCTTAAGGGAATGTTGTGGATGATTTGATCTTCTGTCCAGACAATTAGAACTTTCTCCATATCAGCAATAAGGCTGTTTTGCTTTCTTATCACTTGTGTGTTCACTGGAATAACACTTTTAACTTCCTTCAAAAGCTTTTTCTTTGCATTCACAATTTGGCTGTTTTGTGCAAAAAGCCTATCTTTTAGCTTATCTGGGCTTTCAACATGCCTTCCTCACTAAGCTTAATAGTTTCTAGCTTTTGATTTAAAGTGAGAGATGTGCGACTCTTCCTTTCACTTGAACACTTAGAAGCCATTGTAGGGTTATTAATTGGCCTAATTTTAGTATTGTTGTGTCTCAGGGAATAGGGAGACTCAAAGAGAGAGAGAGAGAGAGAGAGAGAGAGAGAAAGAGAGATGGGGAAAGAGCCATTCAATGGAGAAGTCAAAACATATATAACATTTATTGATTGATTAAGTTTGCCATCTAATCTTGGGCACAGTTTGTGGTACCCAAAACAATAGTAACATCACAGATCACTGATCATTGGTCACCATAACAGATACAATAATAATGAAAATGTTTGAAATATTATGAGAATTACCAAACTGTGACACAGAGGCATGAAGTGAGCACATGCTATTGGAAAAATGGCACCAGTGGATTTGCTAGACATAGGGTTGCCACAACCTTTCAATTTGTTTAAAAAAAAAAAAACTCAATACCTGTGAGGCAAATTAAAACAACCCACAATGAAACAAGGTATGCCACTATTTCTCAGCTTCCCTCGTAGCCAAATGTGGATATGTCCCTAAATTTACTGTGTTAAATATCAGCATGTGTCTGAAAGAGAGGGAGCACACTTTCTTCGTCTCCTCATCCATCTGGCTGCTTGAAATTTGGATGTGATGGCTGTAGTTCTAGCAGCCATCTTGTACTATGAGGATAAAAACCGTATTCTAGGGAAATCAGAGGGTAAGCTGGAAGGGGCCAGCTTCCACTTCATGGGGCACAGTATCAGCTCTGCCCACCTCCCAACTTCTTATATAAAAATAAACATTTGTCTATTTAAACAATTGCTATTTTGACTTCCTCTGTCCTATTTAGCAAAAGCAAATCCCAATAGATATAAAGGCTCTCCTTTATAAAAACTTAAAAATTTTGTCTTTCAGGATTTTATCCAAAGGCTATAATAAGACAAATGCTTAAAGTCACATGGACAAAGATATTCAATACTCGTATTATTACAAAAGCAAATGGATGCCTATATTTTCACCGAGGGAGGAGAGGTTAGATGTGACACGGTACATCCTAAGTCAGTGGCTTAGAGTTCCGGAGGTGAAGCCTGGGGCTGGACCAGATTCTAAGTCTCACCTCAGCTCCTTAATGTCTCTATCACTGGAGCACCTTCTACTTTACCTCTCTGAGCCACAGTTTTCTTATGTACAAAGTAGGCTGATAATAATCGTCCAGGTCGATAATGTTGCTATATGGGTAAAATTAAAGAATGTACATAAGGCACTTCACACAGTGCCCAGCTCAGGTTAATCACTGGGTGGAGGCTAGCAATCCTTCTCTACTCCCCTGCCCCCTCCCCTCTCTCCTCCTCCTAATTGGTTCTTCCCTCCCCCCATTATCCTTCTCCTCCAATAGAATACTATACTGGAATTAAAGGTATCTGCACCACTACCACCACAATGAAGGTGATTAAAGGCACATTAGCGGAAATTTAAAATCATATCACATACATATTTATACAGCATGATCTCATAACTATGTAGGAATCTATTGAAAAACTTAGGAGAGAGACACGCCAATAGCTTTTATCTCTAAGAGGTGAATTTTAGTAATTTTCCCTTCTTCTTAAAGCCTCTCTGTAATGTCTATGGTATGTCCATGAGCATGAAATATTGTTAAAATTTATGATTAAACATGATTTGTCATTCCTCTATTATAAAAAAGCTCGGCATCCCTGAGCTATACCAATCCCTGGAGAGGCCAGTTCTGCAGGGCATTTGTGAACAGAAAGCACCTCCCCTGCCAGCTGGCTGACGAAGTCCCCTGGGACTGCCACCGGATGGAGCCTTAAGGGTGAGGCATGTGGCAGGTGGGATTGGAGAGACAGATATCCCTTTAGAGCTGCCTGGGACAGTTGCTGCATTCTCTGCCATCCCTCCTGACCATTCCCTTCTAGCATCTTCTCTGACCTGGAGGAAGTGCTCTGAACTTAATGAATGCCACCCAGAGAGTGGAGTTCAATTCTCTATTTGCAGTAAGAAAAATTATTTTCCCTCCTTAAAAAGAAAGGCCCGAAAGAAAGCAATGTATCAGACCAATAGCTGCCTATGCTTAATGTGCTGTGTATTTTACAAATCCTCTTAGCAGGAGAACTGTTTGATCTCCCTCTGGCTGGATCTGTAGCTGTGGAGATGACTGACACTGGCCTGATCCCTGCAGACCAGACTGAGCTCTGCAGAGCAGTGGCCCCTGGGACACAGGACCCCAACAGATGCACAAGTGACTGACCCAGGTGCTGTGGTGTGTGACTCTCCTGGAGAAGGAACAGACCTTCTTGGAACAGAAGACAAGGCAGCTGAAAGAAGTGGCAAGAGGGCCATGGATTGAGCCAGTTAGGTCACTGTGGGTGGAGAAAACACTGGCTGGGGGCTTCCTGTCATAAATAGGTATGCATTTAATTGTCTAGGGACTCAGGATCTCTTGGGTCCTCTGAACTCTTGGCTCACAAGTGACAACACTTTGGCCCATAAATTTTTCTTTCCCCCTAGGCCCCAAATCATTCTTCTTTGAGCTGCCACTTACTAGTATTTACTACACACTAATGAATATGTGCTCTTTGTTAGGAAAGGCTGATATGCCATTTAATCCTCCCACTTCCCAGTAAAGTTGTCCCCATTTTACAGATAAAGAAACTAAGACACAGAATTAATGCCACACATATCATTGTAGCTGAGCCAGGGGTGAAACCTATATGTGTGTGGTGCAAAACTTGTGATCTAAATGTAGACGTTCTCAACGCAGGTCATGCATCAGAGTCATCTGTGGAGCTTATTAATTATAAGGATACAAAGACCCCACCCCGGGTTTCCTGAGTCTCTGGAAGATGTAATACTGATGTGAAACCTGGTGGAAAACCACTGGATGACCTAGATTCCTGAACACTTGCCCTGCATAGCCTGCCCTACAGGAGGAAGGCTGCTGAGTGTAGAATGAGAGCCTGCATGGCTGGTCTTTGGGGCTCCACTACCCTCCTCTCCCCATTCTGGGTTAGCCTCCAGCAGCTGACCCCCCGGGCTGTTGTGGTGCTGCAGGCTTCTGATTAGGACTAGGGCAACTCATTCTTTTCTCTGCCCCTGGTGGGACTGACCTCTGTCCTCAGAGGAGAATCCTGGTGGGCACAGGTCAGGAACCCCCTGACAGGAAAACTCATTGCTGCTTGAAGCAGGCAGGCCTTAGGGCCTGGGTCTCCAGAGGACCCATGGATAACTTGTGGACTGGACAGTTTGGAGGGGACACTTATCAGCCCCTTAGGTCACAGCATGAACTCAGCTGTCAGCTCAGCCTGTGACAGCTGAGTTCCCTTGGAAAAGCTCTTTTCATTTATGTATTTGTTCTTTCCTTATCTCACATTGGTGGTTTCCTTCATTCAATTCAGCAAGCAAGCACCAGGCTCTCCATTAGGAATGGGACATCCAGAAATGAAGTAGTCCCTGCCCCTGCCATCCAGATGCACAGACTCTAAAGGGAGTGACAGGCTATAAACAGACCACTGTAGTGTGGTGTGTTTCCTGCAATAAGAGAGGGAAGCAAACCTGGCTGTGAGCAGAGAGAGCCCTCAATTAAGCCTGGTAAAGGGAAAGCTGCCCAGAGGTGGTGACACTGGCTGGTGACATACAGCTTACTTAATACATTGCCTAACACCTCTAGGTTGCAGAACTTACAGAAAATACTTAGAAATGAGCTGTCATTCATTTATTCTGTTATCCATCCATTCATTCAGCAAGCATTTATTGAGCATCTCCTGTGTTCCAGGATTTATTCTAGGCACAGGTATATCTGCTCTTATAAAGCCTAAATGCATGGATGAGAGAGGGAATATAAACAAAAAAATTACATATATCTAACTTTATATTGCATGTAAATATACATATTTTTATGTGTAATTTTATATATTATATATAGTAATAAAACTTGTAGAAAAAAATAAATCAGAGAAGAATAGATTGCTAAGGGAGAACAAGTGGCAGATGTTGCTGTCCACTTCTCTGATAAGGTGATGTATAAGCAGATGTGGGGGTCAGTGACAGCGGGAGAGGAGATGGGGAAAAAGGACAGAGGATGCGGGAGCAGGTCTAAGGGAGGCTAATGTTGGATTTGGGGATCACATCATCCCACCTCCCTTCTGACACAGTGGATACAGCTGAGACCCAAAGAGTGCAGGAGGCTTCCAGAAACGAAGAAGCAGAAAAGTAGGCATCTCTCTATAAACTAGGGGTAAAGAGAGTGAAAATGGGGGCTCTAGCATTGGGTGAGATTCAGAGTCACAAAGTGACTATTTTTCTCAAGATATTTTTCTCTGATTAAAAAGCCTCCCCAAAGATTGAAAAATTTATATGTAATGATTTGTTATATGTTGCTTTGTAATAAATTACCCTCAAAACTTCATGGCTTAAAACAATAAACATTTATTATCTCACCATTTCTTTGGGTCAGGAATCCAGGAGCAGCTTAGCTGCGTGGTTCCAGCTCAAGGTCTCTCATGAGGTTGCATTCAAGATGTTTTCTGGGGCTGCATTCATCTGGAGGCTTGACTGGGGCTGGAGGACCTGTTTCTGAGATGATTTACCCACATGCCTGGCAAGTTAGTGCTGATTGCAAGAGAAGGCCTCAGTTCCTTGTCAGGGCTGCTTGAGTGTGCTAACAACATGGTAGCTGACTTCCTCCAAAGCATGTGCTTCAAGAAAGAACAAGGCAGATGCCCCAGTGTATTTTATGATCTAGCCTCCAAAGTCACACTACACATCAGGTCAGCAGCATCCTGTTTGTTACACAGGTTAGTCCTGTTCAGGGTGAACAGTGCTACACAAGGGCCTGAATGTTAGGTGGCAAGGATCATTGAGGACTGTCTTAGAGGCTGGCTGCCATAATGCTATCGAATGAACAAGCTATTTTAAAATGACATGAAATTAGCATTATTCCAAAAAGTTTACAATGTGATCACTAAAAAACAAAAAACAAAAACAGAAACAAAACAAAACAAACAAAAACAGTTTTCTTGACTATTTTTGCTTAAGGCCAGCTTGGCTCTCAATGACAAGGGAATGGCATTGAGTTCATCGAGACCTGGGGTTACCCTGGACTTTTACCATTTGTGTGTGGATACGTTACCTAATCTTTCTATGCCTTGGATCCCTCATCTGTCAAGTGGAGAGTATAATAGCCGCCATTGCATTTGCTCTTAGAATTAAAGATAGTACCCATCCCAGCAGGTACCCATTCCAAAGTGCAGAAGTTAAGGGGTTAAATCCTGGTGTTATCACATATTGGCTGTTTTACTTTGAGCAAGTTTCTTCACCTCTCTGTGCATCTCCTTCTACTTCTGTAAAATGGCAATAATGACAGTCTCTGCCTCACAGGTTGTTATGAGGATTGAATGAGTTAATGTTTGGAAAGTGCTTAGACTGTGCCCAGAACATTGTAAGTGCCGTATAAGAATTTGTGAAGTAAAACATAGTCTGGTGTATAGTAGGTGCTCAGTAACGGGTAGCTCTCTCTCCCCTTCATCTGGGATTTGGCCCCTTGACAGAGATAGAAGATGCCAGAACATGATGGAAGAAATGGTTAATTCCCCTGGTGAGTGGGAGTCTTTAGAATGTGAGTGTGGGAGCCTCCTTAGAGTGGTCTAGTGTGTTTGCTATTCCTTGGCTTTTCATGGCCTCGCATTACCCAGGCTCTCTTCCTATTTTCAGTATATTGTCCCTACTCATCCATGGTTAGACAAACAGCTGCAGGCCTTGGCCTCAGGGTCCACATGGTTCTGAGCTTTCAGGAATCATTAATCATGAGGTGGGAGTGAATAAATTTTGCTAACCTACAGGTGAGCCCGCCACCTGAATTTGTGACCCTAAAGCCACAGACAGAAAATGGAATTCCCTTTTGGAGTGTCTCGGTTAGCCCAGCTCTGTGCTTCCAAGCACACATCAACCAGCAGAAAGTCTTCTGCTCCATCACTGTGTTAAGTCAGGGATTGCCAGATTTGGGAATGCAAAATATTAAAAGTGGCTTGGAACAGCAGACTCTAGGAAGAAGGGGCTAATGCTTATTACTTGCAGATTCTGAGCCAGACACTATCAGAGCTCATTTTGTGCTCACAGTAATTCTGAGGTCGTTTTGTCATCGTCGTAATTTCACACATAAGGAAACTGATGCACTGAGAAGTTAAGTGACTTGCACGAGGACATGCACTTAGGAAGTGATAGAGTCAGGATTCAGACACAGCAGCCTGGCTCCAGACTCCAGGCTCTGAGCACTCTGCGTGCTGCCCTGATGGCTCCAGTCTCTCTGGGCTATCCCTATTCACCATGTGGCTCCTCCAGAGAAGAGGACAACAGATCTAGGCAGCACCCCCTGATCTTATTACACGTGGGCCACTGATGTGGTCAAATCATTCTATTTCTCCCTGCCTTGGTTTCCTCATCTACCACACCAGGAGGTTGGTCCCCAAAAGGGGGAGGGCACAGTCTTTAGAAAATTGGCAGACTTAGGTTTGAACTGTGGCTTTTTTGGCCAGGTCCCCTGAGGAATCTCTCTGAGCCTCAGTATGCTTTTCTTGAACAGAAGATGATGAAGGCATCTCTGGAAAGGTGCAGTTAGAACTCAGTGAGAAAATATATAAATGAAGTGTTGACATACAGAAGGTATTCAAGAAATGTTTTCTTCCTTTTCCCATCCACCCCCATAACTATCTTGTAACTTCATTTTTTAAAACTCACAAATCCATTTGTTTATTGAACAAACATTTATTCCTACCTGTTCATTCCCATATTTTATTCTGTTACATTCTTTCGTCTATCCATCTGCCTGCCCATCGATCCATCTGTTCACTCATCCACATATTTACTTACTCAAATATTTATTGAGCTACTATTGTCTGCTGTGTTCCAAAGATGGAAAGCTTAGGTCCTTGCTCTGAAGTAGATTCTTCTCAAGAATCTGGGTTCCGCATGTGCTGTTGGATGTCACATCATAATCAGATGTACAAAGCTTTGTTCAGCCAGGTTTAATTCACTAGGTTGACAGCTCTGTTATAAGCTTTTCTCCCAAGGTTTGTCCTCACTGAGTAGCAAAGTACTATGGTTAAATCATTAGTTTAAACTTCTCACCATGTTCCAGTCTGTGTTGTTGAAATTAAGTCCACGGTCAACATCTGTCTATAGCTCATTCATTTCATGCAAGCCATACAGCCTAGCCAACCTGTTCATACGACCTCTGGGCTGTTATATTTCTTAAAAGGCAGAGCCAGTACACCAGGCAGGCACAGCTGCCTTTGCCACCTGTGTGGGCTGATTTACCCTGAAATTCTAACCTCATCTAATTGGCCTAAATGGCGAGCAATTAATGACGTGGAACCTCTTTGAAGGTACTATAAATAAAAGGCCAGGAACCTAAGATTGAAGTGAACCAGGGGTTACAGTAATGATGATAAATTGTTCCTGCTAGAGGGTTGTTGTTGTTGTTTTTAAAGGAGTTACTTAGCATCTCTTAACCATGCTGACCCCACACAGGGGTCAAGGTGGGAAAGGGCAGGTATTCTGTTTGCAGTTGGTGAAATCTGACAGATAGTCAAAGGGAGAAATGTTGTGAGTCGTTTCTAAGGAGAGGTGAGCAGTGCCTGGCACAGGCACTTAAGTATGTGTTGAGTCAGTGAAGGAATGCCTTCCAGAGTGTAGCAGAATGAATCTGGGGTTTGGAATGAGATAGTTGTATCTCTGTATCTTGAACTTGGGCATGTAGACAGCTTAACCTTGCTCAGCCTTGGTTTCCCTGTCTATTAAATAGGGATAAGCATAACACCCATCTTTCAGGGTTATTGTGTAGAGTAAATGTGATAATATAAGGTTCACAGCTATATCCTCAGTGCCTGGCCCAGGCCTGGCAGGTTATAAGAGCACATCAAATGTTGTTCTTTTGCCCCTTAGGCACTCATCTCAGACACTATTAGAATATAAATTCCCTGCATAGGGTAGATTATGTTTATCTCCTATCCCTTAGATGAGTTCTAGCATACAGTAGGCCCTTAATAAATTTTAAATAAAGCAAATTTCCTTTGCTTTTCTCTGTAGTAAATTGACTCTATCAGTGGCCCTGATTCTATATATATATACACACACACACAACCACACACACACACATCCACACACACGCACACACACACCCTCTCCATGCCCTTTTGCCACATCACTTTGCATTTTCTTTCACTAAAGAACCACTTGGTTCTGAGTCTGGCCAAGTGATATGTCTTAGCCAATGGTATTTTCGGAGATATGTCATATGCAGAGGCTTACAAAGACCTTGGCACATTTCCACTGTTGCTCCTATTCCGTGGCCATGAGAAGCTCCTCAGGCTGGTCTGATGGAGGGTGAGAGGCATGTGAAGAAGGAACCAGTCACCCAACAGCCATTTGACCATGTCATAAGAGTGAGCTGAGCCACAGCCAGCAGTGTCCAGCCACACTCACCCAAGATCACAGAGCTAGACTCATAAGTGAAATAAATACTTCTTGTTTTTAGATACAGACTTTTAGGGTAGTTTGTTACATACTGTTAGTGTGGCAATAAAAAGCTGATACACCCATTCCTATCCCCAATTACTATCCAGGATAGAGCTTGAAAAGTGTCCTGAAGAAATGATTAAGCACCTCTTGTCTTTTTTTAAATTTACTTTTATCACATCTGAAAAATATTTGGTCAGGAGGAAGATAGTATTAGTTGCTTAAATTACTTTTAAGCATTATGAACTAGAAAATTCCAGCCATCCCTCGTGGGCTATCCCTTGAACAGAGTATAATTGACTGGAATAACAATACTAATGATATTAAAATCTTATCTCTGCAATGCACTTTAAGACTTATAAAACTTTCAGATGCTTTATCTAATTTGCTCTGATTCCCTGAGGAATGCTAGTTCTGATGGGTAAGGTTGCTCAGGCTGGGTCACACAGCTAGTGAGTGGCAAAGATCTTTTGATACAAAGTATACTAATTTTCAATGGCTGCTGTAATAAATTACTACAAACATAGTGGCTTAAATCAACACAAACTTGTTATTTTACACTTTCATAGGTTAGAAGTCTGACAGCGTCTCACTGGGCTAAAATCAAGGCATCGGAAGGGCTGTGTTTCTTTCTGGGTGCTCTGGGGGCAAAATCTGTTTCCTTGACATTTCCAGCTCCTAGGGGGTGCCCACATTCCTTTGTTCATGGCTCCTCCTTCCATCTTCAAAGTCAGCAACCTTGCCTCTCTCTGAACATTCATCTGTAATCACATCTCTCTCTGACTGTCTACAGTGGGGAAAGTTTCTCCACTTTTATGGATTCGCATGAATAGATTATGCTCACCTGGATAATACACAATATTCTCCCCCATCTCAAGGTCCTTAATTTTAATTACATTTGCACAGTCCCTTTTGCGTGTAATATATTCACAGATTCCAGCAACTAGGGTGTGGTTATCTTTGCAGGACCACTATTCTCTCTATATACATGGAGTCATCTACATTTCCAGTACCTCATCTAATTAGGATTCTGTTGGCTACCGACCTGCCTACCTTTCTTCTTCTTTTTCTTTCTGGTTGATGGTACAGTAGCTATAATTCCACAACTCCACTGGTTGTAAAACCTCAGTGTTTGGCCAAGCAGGAAGAAATGCTAAACACATTCCCAAAAACAGATCTTGAGGCAGAGTCGCCTTTGAGTATGTTGAGCCCAAAACATTTTATATTCTTATAAAATCACTTATTGCTAGCTACAGACATGTTTCTGATTAAAATGGTCCAAAGGGTGTGTTCTTATAGCACATATTGCTTACTCATTTCTCTTAGTGTAAAGATACTAGATACTGTAGGAGAAATGGATTTATTTTATGGTAGGGTAGCAGCAGCAGAAATTACTTCATGCAAATGAAGCTTGGCAGTGTGACTTCATGAATAAGAAATGAGCCGGCGTCTCTTCTTTCCACAGGCAATATTGCGCTCTGGGAAATTAATTGTGGCATTCGTTGGGTGGCCCTGGCTTCTCTGTTGGAGTTTCAGGCAGACAAAAAGATGCTGCACCCAACTGGATATAAAGCAGTTATATCCTTTTTAGCTTTGCTCCGCATTGTAAGTGAACAGTCGATGGGTCTCAAGTCTCCTAAAAGCGTCTTGAGACCTTTTAGAAATTACTCATGGTGGAAGCCATACGAGGCACTGAGCCACACATAGTGGCCATGAATTCAGATCATCTCTATTAGAAGAGATCTATCTAATAAATGGAAGAGATCTAAGATACTCTAGGTTTTTTTATTGAGAATATGCCTCAGTAGTTAAGCACATGGTCTCAGGAACAAAAATATCTGGGTTCAAATCCCTGCTCTGCTCCCCTCCAACTATATGACCTTTGGCAAATTACTTAATCATTCTGTGCCTCAGTTTCCCTATTTATAATTTAGAGATTATAATTGCACTTACCTCATAGGCTTGTTCTGAGGATTAAATAAGTAAATCGACATAAAGCACTTAGAATAGAGCCAAAGAACTCTACTGACACCAGGCTACAGAAGTGCCAGATAATGTTACCTTAGTTAAAATTAAAGGCAGGTACGCTTTGCTGATGACAGCTATAGGTTTTCATAGTGCAATTAAGATGAAGCAGAAAAATGGGGCTAAGAATAAGAAGTCTTGGAGTCCAGCCTCACTTGTTGCCCAGCTATCTAGGCAAGTCATTTACCTCGTTATACCTCTGTTTTCCCATTTGTTGGATGGGGCAAAGGTTGTTTCAGTTATCTCTTACTGCATAACAAATCACCCCAAAATTTAGTAGTTTAAGATAACATCATTTTATTATGATATAACTTTGTGGGTCAGAAATTCAGGCAGGCTTTCAAGCCATCCCTCCAGCAAAGCAACTTACATATGAGTTGTAACTATTGGCTAGAACACCTACATGCAGCCACATTAGCATGGTGGCTTCAGAGTTTGAAGTCCATTGCTCCCAGAGACAGTATTTCAAATAGCGGAGAATACAAACTGCCAGCTTCATAAGTCCTGGCTCTGGAAACTGGCAGTGTCCACATTGTGTTAGTTGAAGTAGGCATGGAACCTATCAGAATTCCAGGAGATGGGACCTGGACTTCGCCTCTGGATTGGAAGACTGTCAGGTAATTTTCTTTCTTCAGTTTCCAACATGATTTTGGTCTTATGATCATGATGTGTGGACACAAAGTACTGTGTAAACATGGTCTTGATTAAATTGATTAAATTGAGTTATATAATGCCTTTTTGAATAGACCTCTTTTTAGAGCAATTTTGGATTTACAGTAAAATGGAGCAGAAGTTAACAGAGATTTCCTATATACCCCTTGCCCCCCACACATACACAGCCTCCTCCATTATCGATATCTGTCACCAAAGTAGCACATTTGTTATAATTGATTAACCTACACTGGCACATCATAATCACTCAAAGTCCATAGTTTACATTAGGTTCACTCTTGCTGTTGTTCCTTGTATGGGTTTGGGCAAATGTGTAATGATAAGTATCCACCATTATGGTATCATACACAGTAGTTTCACTGCCCTAAAAGTCCTCTGTGCTCTGCTTATTCATCTCTCCCGCCTTCCTACTCCCAGGAAACACTGATCTTTTTACGGTCTCCATAGTTTGGCCTTCTCCAGAGCGTCATGTGGCTGGAATCATACAATTTGTAGCTTTTTCAGATTGTCTTCCTTCACTTAGTAATATGTGTTGAGTTTCCTCCATGTTTTTCATGGCTTGATAGCTCATTTCCTTTTAGTGCTGAACAATATTCCATAGCCTGAACGTACCACAATGGATACAGTCACCTACTGAAGGATGTCTTGGTTGCTTACAAGTTCTGGCAATTGTGGATAAAGCTGCAATAAATATCCATGTACAGGTTTTTGTATGGACATAATTTTCAAGTCTTTGAGGTGAATGTCAAGGAATATAATGGCTGGAAATTAAAAATTTCTGCTCTGTGAAAGACACTGTCAAGAGAATGAAAAGACAAGCTACAGAAGCGGGGAAAATAATTGCAAAAGACAATCTGATCGAGGATTGTTATCCAAAATATACAAATAACTCTTAAAACTCAGCAATAAGGAAACAAACAACCTGATTAAAAGTGGGCCAAAGACCTTAACAGACACCTCACCAAGATATACGGATGGCAAAAACACATATAAAAAGATGTTCCACATCATATGTCATCAAGCAAATGCAAATTAAAATGACAATGGGACAGCACCATACATCTATTATAATGGCCAAAATCCAGAACGCTGAGAACACGAAATGCTGGTGAGGATGTGGAGAAACAGGAACTCTCATTCATTGCTGGTGGAAATGCAAAATGAAATATCCACTCGGGAAGACAGTTTGGCAGTTTGGTACAAAACTAAACATACTCCTACCATATGATCCATGTAGTATCTTTTTCAAAGATCTCTTTTAGGCTCATGATGGTGACATTAAGATCTTTCAAGGCTTCAATCCTACTGTCATAGAAATCTGGAGTTTCCAATCTGTCAAGGACTCCAAGCCTGATGGAAGAGGGAAACTTAAACCTTTATTCATGTCAGAGTTATGTAAAAATGTAATGCGCTGCTTTGGGGAGGGAGGGAGGTTCCTGTTAGGAGACATATTCAAGTCCAAACTGAGTGACCACTCTTTAGGATTTTCAGAGCAGCCCAATGTGAAAGGTGGAGCTATCCTATCTGAGAGATACGCTTCAGGGATGAAAGTTTATGAATCTCTGATTTCTGGGGAAGGCCTCTAGGTCTTGTTTTCCCCTTCCAAAGTGCTGGGAATGAGGACAGTTTATAGTAACCAACAGTGCTTTCTGACCCAACAAAATGGGGTCTGGGGCTGAAGCAAAGCCTGCCTTTAGAGATAGCCCCTCCCCCTGGCATGTAAGGTAGGAAAAAGTAATTCACATTTTTGAGCAGTTTCTGTGTGGGGGCCCTGTGCTAAGAATGTTATTTGTAAAACTGGTCCCAATTCGATCCTCACATCTGCCTTGAAACATAGTGTTATTCCTCTAATTTTCAGATGAGGAACCTCAGGCACAGAGAGGTTAAATGACTTGTCCATGGTCCACAGATAGAAAGTGATGGAGTTCGAGACTGAAACCCAGGCCTGTTGGAGTCCAAAACTTAGCCTCTTCCCATCTTCCCATTCTCTCACCCCTTGGGGGAATACACTGTGCTAGCTGTACTTCCGTCTGTCACAAATGGCAAAAGCATAATTAGAATAGGATTAGGCCACAAGGGACATTTAATGGAGGTTACTGCGTGAGCACACAGAGCAACTGAACCTTGGGGAGGGTGGAAGAGCAGTTGAGCTTTGGAATGCAGAAAGCCACATACCTGAGACTGCCATTAGGACATTCTCTGTAGCTCCTGCCTCTGTTTCTCTCTGCATATTGGTGGAATTCTTCTCTCATGCTGCAGATTGACATTACCCACATAACAGAAAGGATGTCCACTGACCACTCCCAGGATTTCTTACTTAGAGCTGTAGACACTGCATATGTGGTTTTGGAGAGAGTATGTAGAAAGAAGCGGAGATGGAATCACTTAGTCCTGAGTTTAAAAATCCCAACAGAGGGAGAGATTCATTGGGTCAACTTGGGCCAGGTGTCACTAATGAACAATTAACCATGCCTTGAGGTGGGGTGGGTCGGGTCATGCAGATGGAGTGGGGAGAGAGAGAAGAAGGAAGGCCTGTACTGGCCAGCAAGCTGGAATGGCCATTGCATCTCTCAGGTGGGGGCCATTCCTACAGCAGTTGGACAGTAGAGAACCACAAATCACATTTACAGCAAAGCAGGTGGCCAATTTTCACATGCAGCCTAAATGAAGTTCCACCACACCCTGGGCTGAGTGGGAAGGCTGCCCTTCCTATATGTATGTTAGGCTAGCTTCTCTAGAAGATAGAGCCTGGGGCAAAAATTGAAAGTGAGATGTTTCATTTGGAAGATGCAAATCCATGGCAGCAAAGGTGAGACACAAGGAAGCGAGGCAAAGAAGGATGCAAAGCCACACTAAGTGGTGTGTTTCCTTGATGGCTATTATGTCACAAACAGCCATGGAGACACCCAGAAGGTCACTGCACAAGACCTTTCAGCATGACACGTGGGATTCAGCTGGATGAGCGGCAAGGCAGACTGTCATGAAGCAGTCCATGGAGAGAGGAAGAAGGAATGTATGTGTCCTGCTCCCTCTCAACTCCTATTTTCCACTGGTCAAAGTTTTCCTAGTGGGGGTTAACTCTTCTGCACTTCAGGATTGTATCACCCAGTCCTAATGGCAGCCTCTCAGGAGACCAGTTCCCACCCCATGCTGGAGAGTGTTTTCATCCAAATCTGGAAGAGGTAAGAGGAGCCAGAAACTATAGGCATGGGGCTAGGAAGGGCCCATACTCCAGGACTTGTAGCCGATCTGACCCAAGTGGCAGAACTGCCTGAGCTCAAGTCAGGCAGGGCAGCAGCCTAGGCAGAGTGAGTGGCAGAATGTTCTGGAAGCAGGTGGCATCAAGAGCCTTTGAGAAGGCTCATCAGATTTGTGTTTGATGCACTGTGTGACCTTGGACAAGTCACTGAATCTCTCTGAGCCTCAATGTCCTCAACTGTGAAATGGGGCTGATCATACCTATCTATCTCCCAGATCAGAAATAATATTGGTCCCAGTTGAGTGTTGTGCCTGGCACCTAGCAGGCACTCAATACAGAGGAGCCATATTTGTAGAGTTAGGAGTTCTGACTCAGTTCTGGTGGCATTAGCATAGCTGGATTTCCTGAGGAAAGGCCATTGAGTTTTGGTCAGGTAGAGCTCTTGAGCTAGAGTGTGGGGTGACTTGGTAGCTCTGAAAGGAAGGAGAAAAGAAAGAGAAAATGCCACCCAGAAAGGAGCTTCATAGTATCTGTCCATTGCTTTGTCCTCACACAAAACTGGCTATATAATTTGAGGGGCTCACTGATAAATGGACATGTGGAGCCCCTTGTTCAAAAATCATTAAGAATTTCAAGATGGGGCCAGCAGAGTATTGAATCAAGCACAGGGCCCTCCTGAGCATGAGGCCCTGTGTGATTGCAGAGGTCACACACCCACAATGCCTGCCTTACACTTACACGTTGCCAGAGTGCAGTATTTGGCGCCAGAGCTTGGCAATGTTCTATTCTCCCCAGCAACCTCTCTGCCTAAATGTGCCTGGCTTGATGGTGTCTTGGAAACATCCAAGGAAGGAAAGGGATGTTGGAGCTGATTGAAAATACCTCTACCTGAATTCCAAGTGGTGTCATGAACAAGTACATACATAATATAGCAGTTAAGTGCAAATTTGGAATCTGTATGTATGTATAAAGTTGCTGTTGACATGGTTCTAGTAGTTACAGGAGTGTTGCCATGGTGACTGGCAGGGCCAGCTGTTGTTTCATTTCCCCCAAAGAATTGTATGGTAATAATAGACCCCTGGAGAGTCCTCCTGGGACAAGGAATGATGTTAAAAATCTGCCAATTAATGAACAGGTAGTATAAACTGACTTCATCCTCATTTGTTGTAATTAACAGGATTTTACAGGATTTTGATGAGAAGTGGCTAATTTGGTATAGAAATGTGGAGGGTAGACTACTTTTGGAGCCTGGGTTTGAATCTGCACTGTGTCACTAAATAGCTGCATCACTTAATTTCTCTGAGCCTGTCTCCTTATTTAGAAAATGGGGATCATTAAACCAAAGTTGGAGGAACATTGAAAATAAAGGATGTGAAATGCTTAGCTCAGTTTCTGGAGCATTATAGACAGATACTACATGGTTTCTATGATGCCGATGATATTAATGAAATCATCATCATTATAATCATCATAAAGCTTCCATTTATTGAAGGCTTCCACCTATATGTCCCTATGTTGTGTACATTATCTCATTTAATCTTTATAACAACCCTATCAGTGAGTCCATTGTTATCCTCAAGTTATAGATCAGGACACGGAGGTTCAGAGATTTGCCTGAGGTCACACAGCTAGTAAATGACAATGTCAGGATTCAAATTCAGGCAGTCTAACTCCAGAGCCCAGGCTTTTAACCCTTATACACAGTGCCCCTGGGATGAGGATTAATAAATACGTGAAGCCTAAGAGACATGCATTTCTGGATTTCAGTTGGCTCTGAAAGGTTGGTCCTTGATGAAATGGAAAGTATGTTTCCTTTTATAGCAAGGGCAGTGGTGGGGTGGGATGAAGGAGGGAGATTGTTTTAATAAGCACATGCTGATGGGGGCTGCTCTGTGGACCAGCCTTGCTCTGTCTCAGGGGTTCAGCCTTCTCTTCCTGAGGCTGTCCTACTGATTCCTCTGGAGTTGCAGCAACTCCTACCCTGACCTGATCCATGGGTCAGAATCAGGGTCAGGATGAGTCAAGGCTGACTCATTGACTATCCACTCTAATGGCCCTTCCTCCCCAGGGCTCTATGGATGCTGACCTTTGTCCTCTTCCAAACTAAAGAAAAACAAATAAGCATACAAGCACAAAACCAGCCCCTTGGACTTCCTGCTAATCCTATTTGGTTATTTAAGTGTGGCAGGTACCTTCTCTCCTCAGGGCCTTTGCATATGTTTCTACTCCTTCCTCCTGGGCTTCTCTTCGCAGTTCTCATTCTCAGTCCCATTTACTGTTGGGCGAGTTCCTAATCACCTTTCATACCTGCATGTAAATGTTACCTCTTCAGGGAAGCCTTCCCTGATTATCCTCCACTCCAGTCTCTAAGTTCCCCGTCCTGTACTCCAACAGCCACCTGTCTGCCTTTTGTATCACTTAATCAGAATTTTAATTAAATGATTATGAGTATAATGATTTAAGATTTATCTCTCTCAATAAATGTTTTATTCACTATTGAATCCCCAAATGCCTGTAACAGTGGCTGACTCTGAATTTGTTAAATAAATGAACTAGCAAGTAAAACCTCCGAAATCTCAACATCTGCCCTGGGGGAAAAGCTTATGCTTTGCAAGGTGAGCCCTTCATAAATTTCCTAGCTTCCTTAATATTGTGGTCCTACTAAGTGTTCAGGAGAAAGCAAACAAAACAAAATTATTACATAACTGGGTAGTTTGAGAAGGAAGAGCAGAAAGTAAAATTATTAAGCATCTACTACATTTCAGGGCTTGTGTTTCTCATTGTATCCTCAAATACCCTGCAATATAGAAGAAATTATTTGCATGTGACAAATGAGGAAACAGAAAAAGGACAGAGCATTAGGACTTGTCAGTCCCTTACTCTGGACTTCAGTGTCCTCTTCTGTAAAATGGGGTTGGGGATGAGTGAGCGAGGCAACCCTTAAGGTCTGTGCCAACTCATTCACTTTCCTTTGGAGGTTTCGTCCCCTATTGTTTATTAGTGTGTTTGTGTGTGTGGGTGTGTGTGTCTGTGTGTGCATGCGCATGCAAGTGCACAAAATCATCTTGGACAGGAACTACGTCATTAGCATGAGTGCTGGGGCCCCAAACCCTCAAAGGAGGCACCTTGGATAATTACATTATGGAGTTTGAGCAAGGGTGTGTGTGTCCTGTGCACCCAGGGAAGGCTGGAATGTCTTGCTCAGCTTTTACTGCATTCCATAGAAAGGATTATAAAGGGATTAGATGCAAATGCACTGAAGATTTGGCTGATTTGGGCTTGTATTCCCGCACCGATGGTTGGGATATTTATTCAACCCGATATTGCAAGATGCTTTTCCTAGGTGAGAGCAGGCACTGCGATAAATGATAATGCAATCAGCAGCAGCAGGCAAGATGAGAAGATAATTGTTTGCCCCACCTTCTCTTTGCTGGTTCTTTAGATTTCATCAATGTTTCCCCCCTAAAGCCTTAGAATCACTGCCCCTAAAACTCTAAGGAGAAAATGAAATTTTATTCTAATGCACTGGGCAGTTGAGCCCCTGACATTTGCTAGAATTGCTTTAATCTCACCCAAAACATCCAACTGGAAAGAAATAGGAAAAAAAAAATGTTATGAGCTGGGTTTAGCAGGCAGGGACCCACCTTCAAGGATGGGTCTGAGGTCTTTTCTCATTCCTGGGGTCATTCTTTTACTGGGCATTAGCATTTTTCCAGGAGGATCTATCAAATATTTCAGTTCTTTGACTTTTGCAGGTGCAAACAGACTGTTCGATGAGATTGGAAAACTAGAAGCTATTATGCAAGTTGGAGAAATACCAGAAGAACCTTTTAAATGGAAAACAGGGACCAAGAGAGATTGTATAGAGGAGAACGTGAGAGGAAGAAACACAGGAGTGGTTGTGGATCTGTGAGGGGATGAGGGAAACTGTCTTAGGAGATCCAGTGATAAATCCATAGCTCTCTGTTCTAAGCACATTAAGTGTGTGAAGTCATTAACCCTCACAGTTACACTATGAGTTTGCTACTATTTTTATGTCTATTTTAAACATGAGGAAACTGGGGTCCAGAGAGGTTGTGGATGCTGTCCTGAAACCTACATGAGAGCCAGTTCTCCATACTGATTTCTTGTCTCCTTCTCTGATAACAGCAGTAATCATTACAACCATGACAGCATTAATCACAGTGGCTGCAATTCATTGTTTATCATTAGCCAGGCTCTGTGCTGAGCCCTTATGTCGGGCGATCCTAGCAGATGCCTCACAAGGGTGTAAATATTTTTATTCCAAATTGTACAGGTGAGGAAACAGGTGAGAGGAGGTTAATTACGTTGGCAGAGATGGCATAACAGAGCCAGCGCTTTACCCAGGACTGCCCCAGCCCGAAGTCCGTTGGTCATTGCATGGTGCCTGTGTATTGTGGCAGGGCCAGCACTTTTCGGGCAACAGGTTACCCAGCCCAGGGCTGATCATTTTGTTTTTTTCATCTAGGGACACTGGACTGGAAAGTAGTCAGCTCTTCTCTTCTTGCTTCTCATGGCTGGGTCTCTTGAGTTATCCTTGGCAGCTGTGTAGTAGGCACACAGACCAACGAGCACAGAGGAATAGAGGCAAGGAAGGGGAGGACTTAGGGTTATGAGGTTTTCACTTTTATTTATAAACTCAAAAAGGGCTGGAGTTACACGATATTTATTTGCATACAGCTTCGTGATGTACAATGTGTGTTCACATGCTCCATGTTTTTTGATCCCCACGTAAGGCTGTGAGATAGACTTGATTTATTAGTCTTGGTTTTTAGGCTGAGGAACAAGTCCAGGAGGTTCAAGGGACTCATCAGGATCACACAGCCAGAAAATAGCAAAGTCTGTTCCTGACTCCAAGTCAGTAGGTTTTGTCAGTCTGTGTTGTTGTTGGAGAGAACAGTCGGGAGACACATGGACTAACACAAAAGGAATGGATGGGAGAGCAGGCAAAGGTTTGGACCTGCCTTGTCATCCCACAGGACAGGTAGCCCCAGTGGCACCATGGCTCTGGCAGGCAGACAAACCCCAGGATGCTTAAACTGGGATCCAGGGAGGCTTATGTGAAATGTCCAAAATAGACCAGTTTATGGAGACAGAGAGTAGATTAGTGGTTGCCTAATGTTGGAGAGGGGTGGAAAGGGGAAAGGGAGTGACTGCTAATGAATACAGAGTTTTCTGGGGTCAGGGGTGATTAACTCTTCTAAGACTGATCATGGTGATGGTTGCACAATTCTGTAAATATGCGAAAAACCATCAAAATTGTAGCAGGGAGGGCTAGTGCATGAGGACCTCCAGGCTGGGAAGCAGGAGCTATTTCCTGTGGGCTTTCTGGTCCGTAAAGCCTCTGGAAGCAGACGCTGTTTACTTCTCACTGAGCAGTAATTGCTGTTTCTCTGCCAGTCTCCGTCGCCCTTCTTTCTGTTCTGGCCTGGCAGGTGGTGCTGGAGGGAGAAGCCAGAATGAGAGAACCTCTTGTTGCCCGGGCCTGGGTTCCCGGTGGTGACTCCCTTCAGCCCGCACCACTGCTGGAACCCTGCCAAGCTCTGCAGCCTCCCCCCAGCCTCAAGCCCTGTGATCCAGCATGGCCACCAGCCTTTCCCTCCTGACCCAGGACACATCAAGCCCAGCCTGAAAACCAAACGCCTGTCCAAAGACTGCTTGCCAAATAAGAATGGACATAGCCAGTAACAACACATTCTGGGGGCTGTGGCCAGAATTCTGCACATTGCCCTCTGGGTCCCTGCCTAATGCCTTTTGTACCCCAGCCCAGTCTTTGACATTGCTTTGCATGGACAGGTTCCAAAGGAAACAGATAAACTCTCTGTTTCCCTTCCCATCAGGAAACCACTTCATTCCCTGGAGAGCTCTCTACCTAGGAGGCTCTGTTGGGACTCTGAGGGGTGGAAAGAGGGGAGGGTCTGATCAACTCTGAGAGCTGGGGGCTGTAGGAAGGGTGGCAGTTTGTCTTGAGGGACAACAGCCTTGCATGGGCTGTAAAGTGAAACTCATAGCTGGCAGTTTGCTTTCTTGGGAAGATTCTGGGTACAGAGGCTAGGGCTTAATTAGAGACAGAGACTAAAACTGGCCTCCATGAGAGGAGACTGAGCAAGGTGGGCAGTAATGGTAAATGCCTCCGAGGTGCCAACTACCAATGGCCCATGTGTCTGGGGAGAACCAGAGAGGGAGGCTAGATGACGGGGAGGGAGGCAGGGAAAAAATTAAAAAGGAAGGGTCCCATCCCCTGCTGGTAGGCTAAAACCACAAGGTAACTGTTCTGCATTCACATTTTATTTTAGGATCTTAGAGTGAAAGCTCAATTAACTAGAATGGGGCAAAATGACTAATTGGAATTGCTGAATAACTCGGGACCAGGTGGAAGCCACTTTCCTGTTTCACCCTTTGCCAGGAGAAAAGAAAATGTTTGAAAATAACTTGGTCTCCTTCTCCTTGTCAGTGCTGGAGAGGGTTTCCCAGCAGTGTGTTTTCATACTGACATGCCACACAGCCCTTCACAGGCATGCCACCAGACTATGCAGATCAGCACGATATTGCATTTTGCAATAACTGAATATTTGTGCTGTGACACTGGCTTGGATGATGCTGCAAAGAGAGGGATACAACCTGTAAAGAAGTAAAATAGTGAATCCCTTTGATTTTCTTGAGATATGTGAGAACTTTGCTTTGGAAATATGTAGGGGAGCCCAAGAAGGACGATACGTAACTCTACCTGCACAGAGACCCAGGCTGGGGCAGGGGCGGTGTGGAGGGCTGACTAGAAGCTTGTGATTTCTGCAGTTGCATTTCTAGACCATGTGTGACAAGTGTGATGACCGGGCATTTTTATAGAAAGGGTGAGACTTGCTTCTGCTGCAGCAATGGTGATGTTATTCTTGCTGACTTGTTTGGTGGTGTTTCACGTTTCTTTATCTCTTCCAGTGTGTCATCCACAGTTTTTGCATTCAAAGGGGTGTTATTCTCAACCAGAAAAAGTTGAGACCCACAGGTGTTGAAAAGCAAGTAGAATGTCGAATGACCCCAATCTTTGCAGTGGTTATTTGCATGGAAAACTGTAGAGTAGGGCTACTTTGGGAAGCCCTGCTGGTTACACAGTCAGATCCCAGGGTGATGGCACCCTGATGTGGCTGCCACACTCCTTTCATTGTGCATCAGCAGCAGGGCATCTCTGTGGAGGGGACAGAGTGGTGTCCTGGGCCAGGGTGTGGCCTAAGGGGATCTAGTGGTGTAGACAGTCATGGGCCCTGTCCCCATGAAGCACAGGCATGCTTGGCACACTATGTAAATCTCTCCCTTTTGATGCTCCCATTATTTTCGTTTCTTTTGTGGGCCAACTATTATGGGTTGACTTGGATCCTCCAAAAACCTATGTTGAAGTCCTAACCCCTAATTCCTCAGAATGTGACCTTATTTGGAAATAAAGTCATCACAGATGTAATTAGTTAAAATGAGGTTATTGGAGTGGCGTGAGCCCTTAATCCAATATGACTGGTTTGAGAATAGGAGAGAGACACACATGGGATGGGCAACTCTGTGCAATGAAGAGGCAGAGATGGGAGTGATGCAGCTGTACACAAAGGATGCCAAGGCTTGATGGCCACTACCAGAAGCTAGGAAGATGCAAGGAAGAATTCTACCCTGAGCTCCAGAGGGAGCATGGCGCTGCTCACACCTTGATTCTGGACTTCTAGCCTCCAGAAATGTGAGACAATAAATGTCTGTTCCTTTAAGCCACCCAGTTTGTGGCAGCCCCAGGAGACTAATATGCCAGTCTCTACCCTGCCCCACCATTTCAGCCTAATCTGTATATTTTCTTTTACAATGCTAAGATTTGCACCAAAGTTGGCACCTAGGTCTGCAGGCTGGGGGCTATTCTGCCTCATCATGATGCTTTTGTGCAGCTCTTCTCTAGGGTGTTTTGTGTTTGTCTTGGAGGGTGCCTCTAGCAGGAAAATCTTAATGTACTCATTTTCAAGCTTGGAGGGAGACTGTTGTCCTCAGTACTAGAACAACAATTCTGTTCACCCAGGGTTTATGTAACATTCTCTCACCAGATCCTCTCAACACACATTCTGCAGCTCTTTAACATTGCGGTTTTTCTGACCTTATTTTTACCGACATTTTAGGTGAAAATATTTATCAACTCCTCAACCCAATTCTCCCCTTTAGGCCACAGGATTCTCCACACAGCCTGGAAGCTGCGGAAATGACCAGAGTACACTTTCTCCGCATCTCAGAGAGACCAACTCACTAACTGTTTTTATCCCTGACATTTTATTTGAAGGTGTGTTTGACATTTAACCTTAGGGGATGGTCCCTAAATCCATTATGCATTTACTGCCTCGGTGGGGCTCACAAAGGAGAGAATTCTGGGTGGAAGGCCAGGCTCTGGGAGAAACTTCCAACGCCAGGCCAGTCTCCAACACTGATTTACTTCATGTTCTCTGGAAGTCTCCTGCCCGCAGCAGCTGCTCCTTCAAAGAGGGAAAAGCTTTGGACTCATGAGTTGAACCAGAAGAGATGGCTGCAGCCCAGGCAGGCCCAGGCTGTGCTCTGGGCTGAAGCAGGGGCATGAGGAGGAGTTTTTGGGGCCTCTGAGCTGTTTAATTCTAATCATCCACCCTTCGTTTCAAAATGGTGCAAGGTGACTGGGAGTTTGGAAATCTAGGTTCTCCTTCCCAGCTGAATGTCTGACTTTGGAAAGTAGGAAAACAGTGATAGTTAAGAGCATGACCTTTGGGGTTTGGGTACCGGCTCTGAATATGACTAGCCATGTGATTTTGGGCAAATTATATAACTTGTATAAGCATCAGTCTCCTCATCTGTAGAATGGATGGAGTGGTAGAGGGAGATATTCTTAACCTCATATAGCCAGTGTGGAGAATACAAATTTTCATATTTATAAAGCACATAGCACAATGTCTGGTACACAGGAGTAAATGAAAGCAGGCATTATTTTTCTGGGCAACTCACTGTGTATCTCTGGACCTCTCTTTTTCCATCTATAAAATGGGGGTTCACAGCACTTACAGCTCAAATATTATATTCCATGCCTGAGAGGGAACTTGCAGCCTCTCTGTCCTCTACATCAACCATGTATTTTCTCTACTTCTGTCTTTTACTTTTCCATCATTTTATTTTTAATTGTATTTTTTCCAAATCATGAACACAATTTTTTAAGTGTAAAAAGAAATTTAAAATTCTACAATTTCAGAACCAGAGAGCATTTTCCAATATAACTTTCCAGTTTCTACATATCCTTTTTTCACTTTGTAATTTCATGTGAACATCTTCCCAGATGCTAATTGCTCTTCAGCAGCATCTTAAATAGTTTGACAACCCAGAGTACAAAAGCCTTGAAAATTAAGAGATAAAATATATATTATGGATACTAGAATAGTTTCCAGTTTTCCCTTGATACAAATAACTCTGTAAGGCAGTTACTGCGATTCAGGAAGTGATGCTGGAGGCTTGGACCAGGTGGAAGCAGGGTGGGGTGGGAAGTGCTAGGACTGTGGTTGCTTTGAAGGTAGAGCTGGGAGGATTTGTTGGTTGATGGGATGAGGCATGTGAGTGACAGAAAGGAATCAAGGTTGATTCCAAGTGTTTCAGCCTGAGCAACTAGAAGAATGGGCTTGCCATTGACTGAGATGGGAAAGGCTGCATGTGCAGCAGGTTTGGGAGAGAATAGCAGGAATTTGGTTTTAAAGTGTTACTGTGGAGATTTCTTTATATGTGCAAGTGGAGAAGTCAAATAGGCAGCTGGAGTTATGAGCATGTAATTCAGGAAGATGTCCTGGCTGGAGATATAAATTAGGATGTCATCAATGTGTAGAGATGGACTTAAAGACTTGAGATCAAATGAGATCTCTAAGGGACTCCAAGAGCTGCAGAACTCAGAACAGCTTCTACCACATGATGGGGATCTTTTGTCTTTTTGCTGCAAGTAAAAGGTGACATAGGCCCCTCTTTCTCCTAAGCCAATGGTGTAGTATTGAAGTTTGAGCCCCACAATACCGAATGAACTGCCACCTTTCCTAACAACTCCCACCCCCAAAGTCCAGAACTGCCACCCTTACTAACAACACCGTGGGCGGGAAATCACAGAAGGCTTTCTCAGCTGAGGATAAAAGAGGCTTAAGTTGTGAACACTTTTAAGGCTGATTTATTTACAACCTATAGGATTGTGCTAATTTATGCACCTTGGTTAATTCTTCACCACAACTCATCTCTTTGTTACAAGCAAAATGAGCCATGTCTACTTTCCCTGTTTTGTTTTCCTTTGGCTGATGTTGTGGGACAGGAGCATGAGGGTTCGGGGGAGATGATAGAATGCACTTGCAATTTTGGCTAGCTCTATTTTGGTCCCTCTGACTGTTCAACAATCTCTGCAGACAGAGAGTAGGAGAAATGAGGACGGCAATAAAGCCAAGGGACTTCCTGCTGGGCTGGTGTTTCCACCTGGATGAGGACCTGAGTTTCCAGAGGCTGGGCAACAGACCAAGGTCACCATATACAACATACCCAAGTATTCATGTCAGCAGTGGGGTTTTATGAAATTTCAGTGAACAAACAAGAAAGACACAATGGTAGATGAAGTTATTAACAGAATTAAAAAGATGAAATTTCACCTGGGCATGGTGGCTCACACCTATTATCCCAGCACTTTGGGAGGCTGAGGTGGGAGGAGCAACTGAACCCAGGAGTTCATGACCAGACCAGGCAACATAGCAAGACCCTCTCTCTCCAAAAAAAAAAAATAATAATACGATGAAATGGGTTTTGCAGAAGAGAAAGGATGTGGATTGGTGAGAAAGTAGTAGAAGGAATCACTGCTAACTCCCTTCTCCTGGCCTGCGCAGTCCACTTTCTTGGTTTCTCATGCCTGTTACATGATCCCTTTAGAGCCAAAGTTTGCAAAAACTCACAGCCACCCTAGTGAAAGCCTGGAGGTTCTGCATGTGAGCGTGCCCTGGCATGGTGTTCCTCCTTTGGGGCATTTATCTCCCTGGTTTAAGTCTTTCTGCTTCTGATTCTGAACTCTCACACATCCTTGAGTGGAATCACCAAACCTCTAGAGTTTTGATTTCTTCCACTTTTAAATGAGAATAATGACACCTCCTTGCAGAACTTTTGGGCGGATTAAGTAAAACTGCCCCCAAATTGCCCATCTGTACCTGGCACTTAATTCAGTATCATGCACCCCAAACTGACACCAGTCATGCCTGTCAGGAAGTGGCCAAGTTATTTTCAGCCCTGCAAAGAGGAGGTGGTTGAGCATCAAAGGTTCAGAAGTCATTCCAGAATTTCAGGATAAGCCCCCAGAAGCAGACTAGGCTCTTGGCCAGGCTTATCCAGATATTGCACCATGCACCAGTGGTACACCAAACAGCCAGAGGAGGCTCCTAAAGGAGTGGTTCTCAGTCAGGGTTCTGTGGTTCCCACCCTGGTGTCCCCTAAGACCCTTTGCAGGTAAGAAAGCCCACTAGGATCAATGGGTAAAAATAATCTTGTTATAGCTGAGGATTTCTACTGATAGAGACATGGCTGCAAAACCAAGCATGGACTGAGCCCTAGCATTGGGGAACAACTTTGCATTAAGATGGAGGTGTAGAATGGCGTCCAGCCTGTGCCATAGAAAGATACTATGTTTGCTGGGAACAACAAAACTGTGCTTTGTAAAAATACAAGAGGGCATAGCTGGGACAGCAAACAATTCCTCTCAAACAGCAGCACAGAGCTAAAGAGGGACAGAGAAGTAGGGTGAATAGAGTGGGCTATTGACTTCTTCCTTCTGGGCTTCAATTTCTTCATTTGGGCTTGGAAAGATTAATGGATGTTCAACTTTCCTGGATAACAGACTCCTAGGGGAATTTCATCAAAGCTTCATTCATTCAGTCATTCAGCCATCCATTCATTCAACACATTTTGTTATGCATCTGTGATGTTCCAGACCCATGCTAAATGTTGAGATTCACAGGAAGTAAAGGGGAAACAGCCTACCCTTGCCTTGGCTCAATTGACTTCAATTCTGTTATTTAACATTCAGCCCAGGAAGCTCTCCTGACCCACCCCTTCTCTGTGGTTAGATCAGGTACCTCTATCCCATGCTGAGTGCAGCTGCACACCTGCCATCTCTCTGTGCCCAGACTGGACATTACTCCACCTCCAACCAGATGTAGAGTTGTTCTCCCCGCTGCACTGCCGTCCGTGGTCTGCTTTACAGCTTGGCTGTGTCAGTAGACATCCTCAGTTAGAACAAAGTACCCTGCCTTTTGTTGGGCTTTTCCTTCACAGCTGTAATTAAATAATCATGTAATTAGTTCATTCGCTTGATCATTCAGCAAACATTTATTAGTTGTTTAACATTCCTCTCATCTGATAAATGAAAGCAGAGATCACATCTGACTTATTCATTCCTGTGTTCCTGGCATGACGTGTAAGAGCTTACAGAGTATAACGGTAATAATTGCCCTGGACGGGGTGTTTGCGCCCCTACTCAAAATTCCTATGCTGAAATCTTAACCCTCAGTGTGATGGGATTAGGAGGCGGGGCCTTTGAGAGGTAATTAGATCATAAGGGTGGAACCCTCATGAATGGGATCCACATCCTTATAAAAGGGACCCCATAGAGCTCCCTCACCTTTTCTGCTGTGTAAGGAAACGAAACAATGAGATGAGAGTCTGCCACCCAGAAGAGGGCCCTCACCAGAACCTGGCCATGCTGGCACCCTGATCTGAGACTTCCAGCTTCTAGAACTGTGAAAAATAAATATCTGTTGTTTATAAGCCACCCAGTCTATGGTATTTTGTTATAGCAGCCTGAAGTAAGCAATATTAACAACAATAATAATAATAACAAGAACAACCACTCAACTTCATTAATTCATAATTCGTTCCCAAAATCTTTGTGGAACACCTGCCTTCTACCACCAAATACCAACTGGGCCTCTCAGGGCAGGCTTCCCAGGTGCCTGGATAAAATGATGAACAAGGCAGGTGCACAGTTCTGCCTTCATGCAGCATGGGCTCTCGTAAGGTGCTTATTGTGTGCTAGGGGCTGTCCTAACTCTTTATGCCTTATTTAATCTTCACGTTTCCTTTTAACATGTGTGCTTTCATTATCACCATTTTATGGGTGGAGCAACTGAGGCACAAAGCAGTAAGTCCCTTGCTCAAGGCCACAGAGCTCGGAGACGGTAGAGCCAGGGTTTGAACCCTGATGATGTAGCTCTAGCTCCCTCTGCCACCTAACAGAGAGTGCGTGCTCTGTAACTAGTTGCTGAATGAAAGAAGGAATGACAGAATCCCCCTTTTCCAGGTTTGACATTCAGGAAGGCTGCCCCTGCCTTGGTTTGAGATTCAGCCCAGCATGTCAATGCACCATGTTACCCCTCCCATCTCATTTAAGCAGACCCTCCAGGCTGGGGCTGGCTGGCTGGAGCACTGACCTGGAGGAGAATGTCCTTTAGCAAAGAGCTCCATGGAGAAAGTGAGGCAAACTGCGTGATCACCAGAGGAGTGATGATTCCACAAACACCAACTGGGCCTCTCAGGGAGATCCTGGGCCTTCTCTGGGAATGCTGAGGCTGGAATCTGTGAAGCGCGTTTGAGAATTCAGCTGCAGCATGAACCTGCTAATTAGGGGTTGTGTTTATTTTGTGCTACATAAAGCAGATTAGATTAACTAAGCAAGACGGAAGCATTTGGAGGGATAACTCTTTCTCTCTGGCCCAGGCTTTCTTTAACTTTACTCTTAGGGCCTGAGGGCACTGAGGTCCTTTCTTTGCTGGACCAAAGGAGACAGAGTGTTTCCTGGCAGGGTGCCCAGAGCTCCACTCTCCTCCACGCTCAGGCAGCCACTGACCACAGGGACCCCTGGAAGGATATGGCTGCCTCTAATCCTTTTATTGCGATGCACTCATAAACAAACACTCATGGGCATTTTACTAGACAACAGCCCAGGAGCTGACACCAGCTCATTTTCAGGCACGCACGGCCAGCTACAGATGAATTTTAAAATGCTGCTGAAAACTAGAAAAGTATTAAATGACTTGCCAGGGCAGAAGGGAAGAAGCCATGGGATGCCCTGCCAACCCTGAGGCAAAATCCGCCCCGTGGCCTGTGGGGCCCACCTGATTGTCTCTGCCTCCCTGTCCCATACCTCAGTGTACCTGACTGTCTTTGCCTCCCAATCCTGTACCTCACTGTGTGTTTCAGCCACGCTGCCTGCTTTCCATTCAGTGACAGCTCCTTCCTGCCCCAAGCTCTATGCAAATGCTGTTCCCCCTTTCCCTCCTTCCTCCTTTCCCATCCTCTAGGGCCCCCTCCCCTATTTTACCCTATCTTTGGAGACCCTAAGCTAAGGCCTCTCATAGAGGACATGAGCTCCCCAGGAATATCAAAGACAGCTCAGATTTCAGGAAGGGGGAACAGGAAGATGCACTTTGCCAAGCGAGGGCCCAGTGGTGTGTCTCCAGGTACCTCTGGGTACCAGGTGCTCTGCTGGTCTCAGTCCCAAGCTGGCACTCACAGGAGGCAGGGGCGTGGGCCTTGGGAGAGCAGAGGCCACTGCTGGCTGCCATTACCATTTCATTACTCATCTGCTAATTGTGGCAAATGGGGATTTTACAGCTCCCCTGGCCCTCGCTGTGGGCTGAGGCAGCGGTTTGATGGAAAGGGAATGGAAGAACAGCCTTGGAATCTTTTAAGAAGGCCCATGCGCCTGCCTATCTGGTTTATTTGGACCCTGCAAGCCTGCATTTGGGTCCAACAGCCATTTGGCCATGAGGCGGGGCGTGGTGATGGGCCTTGGAACCCAAACACTCCAAGCTGAACCCTGCGTCTCCCCATCTGGAGAGAACTCTTCCACTTGGGTCATTCATAGTGGGTGGCCAGTGGTTGCCACTGGGTTTAGAAGAGTGATTGAGTCACGTGCTACTGCTGGGCAGACCCTCTGAGAGGAGGGTGAGGGGGCTGTGAGGAGACACCAGGCTTCCTCTTGGAGACCATGGACCCAGAGGCCAGTCCCCAAGTCCTAGGTAGCTGTGATCCACAGCAGCAGAGAGCCAAGCTTTGAGGAGCACAGGCTTTAGAATCCACGGCCAAATCGGAGCTGGCTCTCTAAGTGATGGGACATTTAGTTTCTGAGTTTTGGGTAAGATGAAATTAGATAATGTACATAAGTGCTCAGCAATAAAGGATCCAGTTATCGGGGAGGCAGAAGAAAATTCTCACGCCCTGTGCAGCTCACAGTTTCATTCTTGACCTATCTTATGCGTTAGTGGGGATATTTGAGGAGCTCCTTACCCTATCTGCCACTCTGTAATAATAACCAATAATTATATCTGATATCAGTGAGCACTTATTGAAGTCCAAGGGCTTCAGTCTTTTGTGTCTGGTCTTCACAACCACCCTGCACATAGGCCTTCTGAGATCCATTTTCCAGATGAGGAAGCAGGAATCAGAGGGAATAAGTAACGTGCCAACGGTCGCTCCAGCAGAAATGCAAACCCAGGACTGTCCCTCTGCATGGCTCTGGACCCTTCCTTTCTCTTTGGCCACTATCATTCAATCACTTTTGTGAAGAACTGTAGCCAACTACTCTCTCTCCCACCCTCTGCTCTGAGAGGCAGAATTTGGCAGGGGCTAAAACTGGGGTTTTAGAGTTTAGGCAGATGGGTTTGGATCCAGCTCAGTGGCCTACTAGCTGCATGGCTTGGACAGTCATTTGCCCTTTTGGGGCCACATTTTTGTTTGTAAAGTGAGGATAAGGCCTGCTACATAGAGAGGTCACAAGACAGTAAATGAGCTCAAGGACTTGTTGGTGCCCGACATACGCCAGATCCCACTTGCCTTCCTCAAGGATGGCTGTGCCGCTTGGAAGCCACCACACAGCCTCCCTCTTCTGCAGAACAGCAAGAAGGTGGGAGACAGGCTCAAAATGAAGCCACATTGCACCCCTCACAAGGCATTCGCCTCCCTCCATCGTCTCCAAGCCCACCACTGGAGGAGGAGCCCACTGCCTTATTCTTTTTGATAGAGAGAGGAGTGGTCCAGGGAGCATCTGCTTCTGTGTTTACAGGAGTGTGGCCTCCAGAGGTTTCTGATTTTCAGCGATAAACAGCTTAGAGGATGAGGCCCCACACCTTCAAGAGGCTCATAGTGTCAGCAGTAAGGGGCCAGCAACAGTGACCCCGCCTTCTTCCCTCCTCACCAGCCGGGGGTATCCAGAGTGCCCCTGGCCCCTGCTGGAACCCATGAGGCCCTCCTGAGCCTCCTCACCACTGGAGTGCCACTGGTGTGTGTCCAGCCTTCAGATGGTCACTGTCACCCCCACTGGCACCTTGTGGCCAGCATTTGAAGTGTTGGGCATGCCTTTCTTCACTGTGATACAATTTTTCTGCATAGGAGAAAAATCATGACACTTCTGAATAAGGGAGTTGCTGTGTTATTCTGTAGAAGAGAACATGCTCTGTCCAAGCTGTTATTTCACGTCTGTTCTTAAGAATTGTCACTTTAATTCCCCAATGTCAACAGAATCCTGATGGCATGGCTGCCTAGAGCTCAGCGTCCTCCATATACCAGCCCCAACCTACCTCCGGGGTCTTACTTGCAGTTATTATTATTGGGAATAATGATGGCTGTTGATTAAAATGATCATATCATCCACAGTTGAGGACTCACAAGGCATGAGGCCATCTCCTAAGCACTCGACTCATTATCTCACTGGGTTCTCATTGGAGAATTCATCCAGAGGAAGCAGGTGTTAGGTCCCATTTTGCAGTGAGAAGTCTGCAGCCAGGAGAGGGTACCTCACTTGTCCCTGGGCTCCTAGACTTCAAAGCTGAAGCTTGTGCTGCTCTGTTGACCATCACTCCACACCCAAGGCCCCCATCTCCTCCACACGAACTCCCTTCTCCAGTGAAAACCGCCTCCTGCCCGGTCCTCCTGTGTGCCTTTCACATGCCTTCCCCATGCTTGTCAGGCTGTTCCCTTGACCAGGAAAGCCTTGGGGAGCAGCAAGGTGAAATGGATGGGGCACAGGCTCTGGAGTCAGGAACAGTGCATCCCTCCTGTTCCACTTCCCAGCTCCCAAACTATTTAAGCTTTCTGGGCCTCAGTTTCCCTACCTGGAAAATGGGAAGATGTCATGTCATCATTGATTTGGTGAGGCAACATACACAAAACATCTGGGTGGTGGCACTGGCTCACCTGTTGAAGTTCTGCCTGAAGCTGGAGGCCCAGTTCTGCTTCCTCTAGAGCGAGGCCTTCTCTGACTAACTCAGTCTGGTGACATTTCTTCTTCTTCCGAGCCACTCTTCTTCTTTCTCCTCTAGGAAGTCCATGTGCCATGAGGGCAAGGGCCCCCACATTGACTTAATGCCATCGTTTGCACATTGCAAGAGCTTGATCAAGGTTTGCAAAGCAATTGCTCTTCAGGACTCGTCACCATCTGCACCCCACCTTCTTCTCCAGCATCCTCACTCTCTATACCCCAGTGTCTTCACTCTTCACCTCCCATCGCCCACTCTGAGCCTCCTGTATCTGACTCCCTGTGTCCCCAGACACTGAAGTTCTCTCTTACCTCCTGGCCTCTCTGTTTATAATGCCTTCCTTCACTTCTTTCCCTGGGTAGCTTCTGGTCTTCCTTTAAGATTTAGCCCAGGTGTTTTCTCCTCCTTCAGGAAGTCTTCCAGATACTCCAGGCTGGTTAGATACTCCTCCTCTCTGTTCCCACAGCCTCTGACTTCTCTCTTAGCACTTGTCAACCTGTATTTGTCCTGTTTGTTCACCTCTCTATCTCCCCTGGTAGGATATGATCCCCTGAGGGTAGGGACCCTGTTGTTGTCATCTCTGGAGCCCTGGCATTTGACATGGTGGCCACGACCAAGCCAGTATTTGTTGAGTAGATGGATGACTGGAGGAATGAGCACCTAGCTGAAAAATTCTGCACATCTGCCACTTGGAGTATCTGCTGGTTGGGTTATGCAACGTCTGTGTGTGTGATGTCACTTGGCCACCTTTACCTTTGCATCCAAGAGACTGTGCTAGCTTGTCAGGGAATGGGACACAGTACTACAGAGCTGTGTGTAAATCTGCATGTGCGTTTCGTGCCTCCAGTTCAAACCTTGTTCATTAGCACAGCAATTAACAGCAGAGCCTAATGACAGATGGCCCGGCTCTGCACCTGAACCCCTGGCTCCTTGGCAGGCTTGGAGCAGGGCAGGCACGTCTGGCATGGTTGATGTTTTCATTGATCTAGTGAGTTCAGCTCCCAGGGCTGCCGGCTATGGAGACAGTGAGCTGACGTCAGTACTGGCTTTGGTGGGGGGCTGGGCCTAAAAGGGCCAGGCTTGTAACAGACTCTTGGAAAGCTTGCAGAAGTTTGGGGACTTTATTGTTTTTATCTTTTTTTAAGATATTAATTTCACATTGGGAAGTCCCAGCACCCCACTCTCAAATTTTCCTAAGCTCTAAGGACTTCCCTAGGAGATGGTGTCTCTTTCCTGCTAATTCTTTACAAGCTTCTAGGCTTTCTACAATTGTTATTTAGGATTGTGATATCCAGGCCCTTTGACTTCAGCTAACAGACACAGCTTCGTGTTTAGAGTGGCATATAAGATCAGTGTTGTGTAAACACAATTATATTTAGCAAGTTTGGAGATGTGGGGTTTTTTTCTTCCTGTTAATCCCGGGTTTGAAATGGCTTCCTAGTTATTACCCTGTGAATGTCATTCATTTCTCCATAAAAGAAATATCAAATTTGTGTTCAAATAGTTGTCTGGGTCATAAATTCAAGCTAAAGTGCAGTGTGTCCTAAGCCATAGCAGATTTCACAGAACTGGAGTTCATTAGAGCTAGAAAGGATCTTACTGTCCAACCTGTGTCATTGACAGATGGGGAAACTGGGCCCCAGAGAGGTGCACTGATTTGCCCAAGGACACATGGCAAGTAGGTGGCAGAGCTGAAGCCACGTGTTGGTCTCCAGTGGCCCCTTTCCTACACCATGTTTCAGATCATCAGAAATGCTCAGGCTTTGCTGTGTGCCAATCCCAAACCACTCTAGAATGAATTTCTTAAGTGGTGTTGGATATGCTTCCTTGAGCCTGCCACCAAACTTGGTCTGAGTGAAATAGAAGAGGGGGTGCAGGCAGAGGAAGTGAGGACTGCGGTCTGTCGTTAGTGATGTGGAAACCACGCATCTTCTTTACGAAGGTGTTGACAAGTCTGTGTGCCCAGGGAGCCACGCAGGGGAAGAAGGTTAGAAGGCTGGGTAGTCCCTGAGGTAGGAAGCAACTTCAGCGAGAACCTGCCCATCTTTGCAAAGTGGGCACTTCTCTCAGTGAGGGGGTTGCAGGCAAAACTGCGGGGATAGTCTTGTTCCCACAGAAGAAGTGGTTGGAGAAATACCTATCACATCGTGGAACAGTGCCCTCATTCTGCATTTTCTTATCTAGGAGACAAAAAATGCCTCCTGGAGATAACCTACCTGCCCTCCCTTCCTTTGAGGAAGTTTAACCTTTCTCCCTCATTGATATGGAATCCCAGGTATTTATCTGATGACCTGCTGAGATTGGTAGTTCAGAAAAACCAGTCTTCAGGCTTAGGGGAAGCTGGACGTGTATCCTAGGGTGGAGGCCCAGGTCTCGGGGACAGGTCCCACCTCTCCTGATAATGTTCCCCGCCTCCCTGTCAGGAGGTGCAAAGGTTTGGGTGGGCATTGTGAAATGTTGCCCCAGAAGAAGGTTTCCTTCTCTTTCAGCATCATGCTGAGAGGTCCACACATGGCCCTACTGCCACAGTGTCACGAAGGCAGACCTGTCCTTTCTGCCTTGTCTTTTTAAAAAAATCACCCCAGGGCCATTACAGCTCCTCCTGGTTCCTGATTCACTGTGTTTTAATCAAGCATAACTCTTAGAATGAGCAGAACATGACTTCATTTTTGTCTCTCAGTGTTTTCTTCTCCCCTGCAGTGAAAACTCAAAGAGGCCCCACAATGTTTTCGTCCTCTGTTAGGTAATATCTTGCATAACTTGAAGTCACAAAACACAGCCTCAGTTCTGTAATTGGAATTCCCAGTCCTGTGTGCTAATTCCAACTCTGCATTTGAATTGGAGATCAATCTTCTCCCCTTCTCTTTCTAAAGTCAGCTTCAGAGTCAGCCTTGTCTCGGGGGAATGAATATGATTGGCCTCTTATCTCTTTCTCTGTTCTTTTTTCACCCATTGTTTACTCACTGCACACTCCAGGATTGGATGAAGAAGAAGGGGAAAAGAGGGAAAGACAGTTCTTACTTGCCTGGTGTGCTTGTGCTTATTGGCAGACATTTAAAACCCACTCTGCAGTAGAGGTCTTTCCCACTTTCTCAGAGTCCCCAGGATGGCTGGGGAAGCTCTCCTACAGTCCCCTGACCTGGCTGATTGCACTTGATCATGAGGCCACCACTGGCTTGGCAACCCCTTAGGAAATCTGAAGTTCATTCCAGCTTTCTGCTGAGGTCCATTACTTCCCTGGGCCAACTTTCTGTTACACAAAGTCCATATCTGGAAAATACCATTTTTGTACCCACAGACCTTGGGAGTAAGGTAGTGGTAATTCTTCTTCATCCCAGCTTTCCTTCTCAGGCCAACATTCCTGAGGACATCCTAGGTCCCTGGGGTTCATGGCTCCTTGGCTGCTGCTGGGGAGGGAGAGTTGGTTTATTTCTCCATGCTATGGCATCTTTCTCCAACCCTCCCACCCCCACCATCTCTATTGTTTATCTCTCTTGATATGGTTTGGCTGTGTCCCCATCCAAATCTCGTCTTGAATTGTAGCTCTCATAATTCCCACGTGTTGTGGGAGGGACCTTGTGGGAGATAACTGAATCATGAGGGCAGTTTCCCCCATACTGTTCTCATGGTAATGAATAAGTCTCACGAGATCTGATGGTTTTATAAAGGGTTTCCCCTTTTGCGTGACTCTCATTCTCTGTAGTCTGCTGCCATGTAAGATGTACCTTTTGCCTTCTGTCACGATTATGAGGCCTCCCCAGCCATGTGGAAATGTGAGTCCATTAAACCCCTTTTTCTTTATAAATTACCCAGTCTCAGGTGTGTCTTTGTCAGCAGCATGAAAATTGACTAATTCATTGCTCTTTCTCTCTCTCCATCTTTCATTATCTCCCAGCCGATAGCCACACTCCCTTGCCTTTAACTTTCCCAAGTCTGTATCAGGCACCAGTCCAATGAGCTTCAACTTTCCAGTGGACAGACATCAGGCTCTCCAGCCCATTGAAACTGCTTTTCCTAGCCTGGACATGGTAGCACCAGCCCCACCCCCACCCCGTCCACTCAGCAACTCTCTCCGCATCCAGCACTCTCTTGAATTTATCAGATGCCAATCATGAACTTCTGCAGCTTGATCTCTCACAGTATTTTGCAAAGTATATGATGTCTTTTTGTCTGTCTTAGGGTCCACACACTTGGAATGCACTCTGACTTAGGCTCTTGATTTGCATCTGGGGTGGTCCCTTCTGACTGGTCAAGCCCACCTCCCACCAGCACTCCTACAGAGGGGAATTCTACAGACCTCCCTGCCACTTCCCTGTGGGGTTGAGGGTGCAGCCAAGTCACAAGGAGATAGCTCCCTGCCCTGACACACACACACACACACACACACACACACACACAATCCTGGGAATCAGGCTGCAATTGTTTCTCTTAACAAATGGTAGGGACATGGCAGTGGGGAAGTTTTCCCAGAGCTTTGTGAAATCAAGCCACGTTCCCTGCTGTGTGGTACATGGCAGGCATGAAGGATTAATAATTTTTGTATCGAGGAAACATAGCACACTCCCAGTGCTTCTTCTCCCACCCCAGTTTCATGTTTTTAATCTGGGAGGGGACCATGGAGGGACAAAGGGAAAAGAAAAATGGTAGCAGAAAAGGAGGTGGTTTGAGGAAGATCTTTTGCATAAATCTGCTGTAAATCAGCCATCATGGACCCTGGGCAGTTCTTTTCATGACCTTCTGGTCTTTGCCTTCCCTCATCCCCAGTAATTTTTAGTGAGAAGGAGCATTTTGCAGTTTAGGGACACTGCTGAGAGAACAGTGCGCCATGTCTCTTATTTTTCATCCTTTACTGAAACTGCAGGTGAGTCCATTTCTCATACACACTGTCTGACTTCCAAAGACCTGAAACCCCATCACCTCACTGCCAAAACAGGGATGGACTCCGGCAGGTGGGCAGAGGCGGCTGGAAGGCATTTGCCAGCTCCCTTCCAAAATGAAGCTAGCTTTCCTTTAGCCTTCAGGCTGCCAAGTAAAAAGTCTATAAAACAGTGGTTCCCATTTTTTAAGAATGGGAAGGCCGGGCACGGTGGCTTATGCCTGTAATCCCAGCGCTTTGGGAGGCTGAGATGGGCAGATCACGAGGTCAAGAGATCGAAACCATCCTGGCCAATATGGTGAAACCCTGTCTCTACTAAAAATACAGAAATTAGCCTGGTGTGATGATGCACACTTGTAGTCCCAGCTACTCGGGAGGCTGAGGAAGGAGAATCACTTGAACTCGGGAGGTGGAGTTTGCAGTTAGCTGAGATCATGCCACTGCACTCCAGCCCGGTGACAGAGTGAGACTCCATCTCAAAAAAAAAAAAAAAAAAAAAGAGTGAGTAGAAACTTATTTTGCCAAGAAAAAACATTAAAGAAAAAGAAACCTAAAAAGTGAACATCCAGCACCATTATTTTATAGAAGAAAGGGCGTTTTGGCACGTGCGTGCACACACACACACACACTCCAGGTCGGAAAGAACTTAATCTCAGAATAAACACTAAAAAAATTAGATTTTTGTATAAAAACTCCCAATATTGTCTTTATTTTTCTCATGTTATTGGTGCCCCATGAAAACTTCACTGTAGTCTGTTCCTTGGATTAGCTCTTGGAAAGCAGGAGCTGAAGTTACTGAGTTAGTCATAAAGTTAAGAAGCATTTAGATCCACAAACAGCTACATCTCATTGCATTGATTAACATTTAACACATACGCATGGTTGTCTAGTTCTTGCTGGGCAGTAGATTTAGTGCTGGGGGTACAGCTGCTCCCTGAGAGAGTGTGTACTTGTGTGAAAGGACATGGAAGTGACACCTCCTCTGGGAGGCCCCCCAATACCATCCCAATTACAGTGTCAGTTGAGACCCGCCCCACCCCATCCCCAGTAATTCTCTAACATGTCGCCTTTTTCTTTTTCTTTGGAGCCCTTACCCGAATGGAAGTTACCTTGTTTATGTCTTTATGTCCTTTGGGGCCTGTCTCCCCACCTGGGATATAAGTCCCAGGGGTACGGGAACTTTTCTGCCCTAGGGACCACTGGAGCACCAGCACAGAGGTCCAGGGTTCCCCTTGGTGGCTGATGTGGGGTGGAAGTTGCTGAGGGAATAGGACAGGGCACCCCCTTGTCCTGAGCCCCTCACACAGTAACCTCTTCAAATCACTCAGTGACCGGTGAAGAGACCAGCGGGCCTCCTGCCCTACATAGGTGTTCTAACTTCTGAATTAGTTGGGTTCCAGTCAGAAAGATAATTTAGAGTGGAACACAAAGCGTCATTTTTCTTTACAGAAGGAAAACAAAACATCTTTTTTACTACCATTGACCTCCTCCTCTAGGGGTGTGGGAGGTTGCTGGAAGGTCATGGGATATTTCGAATGGAAAAATCAGCATTTGTCTGTCTCCCTTCCCCCAGTGGAAACCATCGGCCCAACAAAGCACACTGGTGGCAGCTGGAGGGTCAGAAGTCCCCTGAGCAAGTCACCATTGTCACCACTGGAAGTGGTGAGGAAGATCACTTGCAGGCAGGACCATAGCCTGGCATTAGCATTCTGGTGACCCCAGCAAAGAGGCGGTGTGGGGACTGCCTCTGTGTGGGGTGGGGTGTGATTGTTTCTTAGGAGGTAGCTGTAGTTACAGGACAGCCTTTGCAAGCTCCTACCACTGTGTGTATCCACAGGCAGGCAGGGTGGCATGAAGCTCAAAGCAGCACCCTGGGCATCACGAGGCAGGGACTGAGCTCTGTCAGGTTAGATGGTAATAATGCAAGGTAGCATTTGCTTAGAATTGGCTATGCCCTATGTGCTTTACACGCATATCATGCACACCAGAAGGGCTCACAGCAATTGTATGAAATAGATGTGGTCATTATTTCCTCTTCATGCCTGAGAACACTGAAGCTCAGAGGGGTTAAATGGCATGCCCAGGGTCACCCTGCTGATGGATGGTATCACGTGGACTTGAATCCAAGTCTTCCCACCCCCAAAGCATGGACACCGCTGTGCTTCTGTCTGAGTTCACCTGCCACGGAAATGTGCTGTGGTTTTGTGACAAGCTCCAGAGCTCCGTGGCTAAATGTAGAGGTTGGAACAACAGTAATAAAGTAATAAACGATAAAAAACCAAGCACCTGCTATGTGTCATGGACTGTGCAGGCACTGTATGCACATTAACTCAAAACAGCCCTGAAAGGTCGGCCTAATTCTTCCAATTATACAGATTAGAAACAGGCTGAGAGTTTAAATGAATCTGCCAAGTCCCACAGCCACGAAGTAGTATATTCAGAATTTGAACTCAGGTTAGTTTGACTTCAAAGTCATTGCTCCCTTGAAAGCATTATCCTGTGAAAACTGATTCACTCAACAAATATTTATATATACTTCATTTACCAACTAGTATTTATTTATTAAATATCGGTATGTATTTCAACAAATATTTATAATATTCATCCAACAAAGATTACTACTATTTCTATGTATTTATGTATTTATTGCCTGGCATAGAGTAGGTATTGAAGAAATATATAGACTATGCTAGAGAGTAGGGATTAGGCACTAAACATGACAGATAAAATCTTTGCCTTCATGGGGCTCACATTCTGGTAGGGGAAACAGAAGATAGACATGGAAAGAAAGAAATATATGTAATAGCACCTAATTATAAGTTACTTTAAAAATGAACCAGAGTAAGGAGGCAGGGAGTGATTTGGGCAGGGAGCTAAGGCTGTTTTAATCACAGGCTCACTCTGGCTGCTGCTCTGAGCCAAGACCGTAGGTAGTCAAAGAAGCAGGGGGCCAGTTAGGAGGCAATGGAGATAATCTAGGTAAGAAACAAGAAGTTCTTGTCTCCAGATAATGGTAGCAGATTGGTAGGAAATGATTGGACTCAGAATTTATTTTTAAGTGAGCCAGCAAAATTTGTTGACAGATTGGATGCAGATTACAAGAGAAAGAAAGGAGTCTATGGTAACTCCAAGATTTTGGCCTGAACAACTGGAGGGATGGGATTGCCAGTTGCTGAGACAGGGGAGAATGAAAGGTTGGGAATTCAAATGGACTCATTTGTGTTTGAGATGTCTATTACTAGTCCAAGGGACATGTTGAAAAGCCATTGTGATTTTTGAGTTTGGAATTCAAGGGTGTGTTCTAGGGGTAAATATGTCCAATATTTAATCAAACCAAAGAGGCCACTGACTATAAGACCATTATTTTATTTACTACCAAGAAAAAGCACTGTCCATTAAGCTAGGATACACTGCAACTTCAGAGATATTAAAATGTGGAAAAAATGTGTGGTTTAGAGTCAATGGGATTTAGTAAGTTTGGGAGTTTCCAGTATATGGATGGTATTAACAGCTGTGAGAGTTGAGGAAATCACCAAGGGAGTGATAGAGGATAAAGAGAAAGAAAAAAAATTAGGTTGGTGCAAAAGTAATTGTGGTGTTTGCCATTAAAAGCAATGGAAACTAATAGAAGTATAAAGGACTGAGCACTAGCATGGCAAATTTTTGAGCAGGGAGATTCATGGCCCATTTCGAGCCCAGTGGAAAGTTGGGCAGTGAAAGATCTTTTCTGGAATAGGAGCCACTGTGGAGCTGCTCTGCAGGGCTTTGGTCTGGGGACTCAGGACTCACAGATGGCCAGAATTGTAACACAGGGCATCACCCAGCACTAGCTGTGTGGCATTGCCCAGAAAGGCCAAGCTTTTCAGCTCGCCTGGTTCACTGCTGGACTGTTTTCTCATCAGTAATATGCAAGTATAATGTCTACTCTATCATCTCAAAACCCAGAAAAAAAGTCCATCTGTTTCTTTCTCTGGGCCTCAACATCTGCCCCTATAAAATGAAGAGTCTGGACAGGGTGATTTCTAATTCCTCTTCCAGCTCAGGCATAACAATACTACTAGCTGCAGTACTTTGAACATCTACTAGGTGATTTATATTAATATAATCACTAATCATCATAAACGGCCATGTATTATGATTCCCATTTCACTAATGAGGCAACTGAGGCCAAAAAGGGAGCAGGCTACTCACGGTGGTGGAGCCAGGCTGCAGACTAGAGTATTTCAGGCCATTGGCTTAAAGCCCCCTGCCTCCCTGCTGGGATTGATGCATAATTCTTGAGCTAAACTTAGTAGCATGTGGCTGGAGCCCAAGGGCAACCCCTTCTTATGACACGAGGCAACTTCAAAGGGTTGTCCCACATACAAGGGGAAGATAGTTTGTCTCTGGGGACCCTCTACTTTCATGGGAATGGAGTGTTCCTGCAAAAAGGTCAACAGAAAGGAAGGCAACTGATGTTGGAGTGTAGAGGTAACTCATCCCCAATCCTGTGGACTCTCGGTTTAGTGCTCTTTGACCATATTATTTGCTAGTCAAGGACCAGTGTCCACACATAGTGGTACTGAATGGGATTCCTTTGGTCAGGTTGTTGTGAGAACGTTTCCTGAGCTAGAGGTGGAAGAAGGGGAAAAGTGGGTTGGAGTGAGTTTCAGTGATGGGAGAAAGCTTGTTGTCAGTCTAGGACTAATCAAGGAGCTGAGTAGAGTCAGATGCATCAACATTTCAACCAGGAATATAGTGTAGACCGGGGTTTCTTAACCTCAGCACAATTGACGTTTGGAGCTAGATATATCTTTGTGATGGAGGACTGTCCTGGGTATTGTGGGCTATTTAGCAGCATCCTCGGCCTCTACCTACTAGATGCCATTAGCGACAACTCCCCATCCCCAGCTGAGATGACCAAAAATATCTGCAGTCATTGTGAAATGTTCTTGGGGTCAAAATTATATCCACCCCCTTCTTCAAGGCTGACAAACATTGGTGTAAACAATTCTCTCTCCCTCCTACAAAGGCCATCAGCTGACCATGTCCACACATGTCCTGGGCATGTGTGTTCCTGGGCATTTTCCTCCCTCTGGCATCCTCCTGCAGGGCTGGGTGAAACCCCAATGAAACCAGGTTCTCCCTGTCTTTTCAGTCATTGTCCTCCTGGAAATATCACATACTGAAACCTTCTCTGAGACGTGCACTTTCTCTACCCCCACCCCCTCTGTTTCTGTCTGTCTGTCTCTCTCTCTCTCCCCTCTGGGAACTATCTTTTTTTTTTTTTTTTTTGAGACGGAGTCTCGCTCTGTCGCCCAGGCTGGAGTGCAGTGGCGGGATCTCGGCTCACTGCAAGCTCCGCCTCCCGGGTTCACGCCATTCTCCTGCCTCAGCCTCCCAAGTAGCTGGGACTACAGGCGCCCGCCACTACGCCCGGCTAATTTTTTGTATTTTTAGTAGAGACGGGGTTTCACCGTTTTAGCCGGGATGGTCTCGATCTCCTGACCTCGTGATCCGCCCGCCTCGGCCTCCCAAAGTGCTGGGATTACAGGCGTGAGCCACCGCGCCCGGCCTCTGGGAACTATCTTATCCACAGACACACTGAATTGTTTTATCTCAGGACATTTGCACTTGTCACCCCATGCCACCCTTGTGGCTCCTCTTCATTTGGGTCTCCATTTTTACAGCCCCATGTCATAGGCCACCTTGCTTATCATTCCAGTTACTCCTTACTGCATCTCTCTGCTTAGTGCCTGCAGAGTGTTGGCCAACCCCTGGTAGCATCGTGTTTATTTGCTTATTTGTTTATTGCTTGTCTCCCCCATTAGACTGTGGGATCTCAGAGGGCACGGACCTGATCTAGTGGGACCTGATCCAGTTTGTCCCCTGCTGTACCCACAGTGCAGACTTCAGTGCATGGTTGTAATCATGGGTCCAACAGCTTTGGTGAACACATGTTGAGCACCTACTCAACAGCACCAGGCTCTGTGCTAGGAGCTGAGTTGAATAGCACAGTCTCTGCTTCCTACGAGCTCAGTGTCTCATGGAAGGAGAGCAATAAAAGAGGTGAGAGAGAGAGAAGTGAAGGAGCACAGAGAAAGGAACAAGTGAACCTGTCTTGCAGATGAGGAAAGATCTTCAGTTTGAGGAAAGGAGGATCACACAGTATCTGCAGATGCAAGAAGATACAGGGGATCATGGATGGCTCCCAGGGAGCAGGGAAGGAGCAATGGCATGGAACTTGGAGCAGCAGGGCTCCCTGTGCAATGTTTGAAGCAGCAGAAAATGAGGGAGGTGGAGTAGAGGAGGAAAACTGAGAGACCTTGCATTCCATGCCAGGAAACAGACCCTAACCTATAGCAAACAGGACCCAAGAGGCAATGTAGACTAGTAGTTAAGATGTAAGCTTTGAAGTTAATTTCAGACCTTGGTTCAAATCTTCACTCTGCCACTTGTGCACTGCATGACTGGCCAGCAATTTCACATCTCTTAACTTCAGTTTTATCATTTTGGAAATGTGGTTAATATTTCCATTGTAGGGCTGTTTTGAGTGCAAAATAAGTCCTTAGCACAGTGCCTGGGACATAATAAGTGCTTAATAAATCATTGCTATTCCTGTTGATGTGGTTAACAAGGAGCCAGTAGAGATTTTCCAAGCAAATGAAGGACATGATAGATTTGCATTTTAGCAAGATTGTGCAGGCAGGGCTGTGGAGAGTGGCTTGGCAGTGGCTCTGAGGAGATCAGGTGAGACAGGAACCAGGGAAAACAGGAAGCTGCTGGAATGGAAAGAGAGGCAGAGAAGGGGGTTTGAATCCTGGGACTTGGAGCAGCTACTGTGGGAACCTTGGTAGCAGGAGATGCACTCATACTTTGCCCTCTGAGTAAGGCTGCAGGGGAGTAGAAGAGGAGTCCCCAGGCCCAACAAGTAATAGCCTAGAGGAGGCCCAGGTGGGGAACTACAGCTCAGCCTGACCTGGGTTCACTCACCAGCTCACAGCCTTTGCACCTGGGAAGATGCAGCCAGCTTTGCATTTCAGGCCATCCTCATGGTGAGAAGGGGTGGCTTGCCATTTGTACCGGGTGATATACTTTTAATTAAAATGGTAATTATTTGAGCATTCCTTAAAGGTTTACTTTGGGAATTTGCCGTCTTGAAAGCTCTGCCTTAATTAGTATTCTATTTATCCCTTATTAATAAATTATCTCTCAGCGGTTTCTTCCACCTCCTTTGATCACAGGGTCTCATCATTCCTGAGCTGAACTCCATTCCCTGTTGGCCTTATGGGTTCAGTGGGCCCAATCAAGCCTGATTCAGGGGTTTGAGAATTAAAGTTCTCAATTAACGCCCAACAGCGTGGGGATCCATCTTCTTGTGGTCCAAATGAGCCCCAGGAAAGCACACAATAAATGTGCCTCCCAGGGTTGAGTATGGGGACCTTCTGGGTGTAGATCTTTTGCTGAAGCTTCTAGAACAGAGCAGACTGGGCCAAGGCAGTGGCCACAGATACATTAGGACCCAGTATCATAACTAGGAAAACAGAAGCAGAAGAGCCAATGGGTCAGCTCATAGGCTTCAACCCAGGCTCAGAGGGGGTTAAGTTACTTGATTAGAGTCACAAAGCCAGGTAGTGGAAGATTAGAAAGCTACAATTTACTTGGCAATGTTACGTGCCAAGTCTTATGTTGAATGCTTTACGTACATGGTCCCTGTTAATCTTCCAAGCCATCTAATGAGGTGTAAGCAGTTTTGTCTCCAGTTTCCAGAAGAGAAAGCCAAGCCTTAGTGAAGTAAATCAACTTTCCTAGAGCTATCCAGCTAGTCAGAGGCCCAGCTGACATTTTGGTCAAGCTCTGTTGATTTCAAAGATCTCTCTCTGTCGACTGCACTATGCTGGCTGGATTAGGACTGAAGTGTCCCCACTTGAACACCACTGTACTTTTTTCTAAGCCCCGTATGGAAGGTGCATTAGATCCTTGCTACTGATTGTGGTCCAGGGACCAGCTGTACCAGCTCACTGAAGTACATGTTAAAAATGCAGAATCTCAGGCCCCACCCCACACCGTGAATCACAATCTGCACTTTGACAAGACTCCCCACCATGTGCCAATACCCATTAAAGTTTGGAAAACAAACTGGAGCTTTGATATTTGTTCAGCACTTACTACTAATGCTTACAAGCCTTCCAAGATCAATGTTATTCCTATTGAATTGATAAGGAGAAGTTAAGTGACTTGTCCCAGGTCATATACCCAACTGGTGGGCAGACTCCAAATGTGGTATCTCTCCTCCCTGACCTGGAGTTCTAGAAGCCGAAGTCTAAGATTATCCACTAGTTCCAGGTTTGTGTCCTTCACAACCTTCAGGAAATGATAATGGGGGCTGGGAGCCATTCTTACCATTCCCAAAAGCCCAGCTGGTATATTCTACTTGATCATAGTCAGACTAGAGGGACATGAACTTGGGCACAAACATCTTTTCCATTGACAAGAATTATAGTAGACCAGCATGGTAACTGGTTATTTACTGAAGAGCAGGAGTTCAGATTGGCAATTATATATGCTTTTGATTAATAAAAAATAGAGACATTAATTAGTTGCCTTTCAAAAATTCAACTTGTTTAAGAGACAATGTCCTTGTGAGGTCTATGGTGGGAAGGAAATTATAAAAAGGGTCCCTGGGGATCTAACAATTCTTCACTTGTGTTGAAAAAGAAATCGAGGAGAACTGCAAGAGAATGTTGATGTAGGCACTACTATATGTGATATTTTATTTAATTGTATAATAATAATAACTTTTCTAGAGCTATCCAGCTCTAGGTCAATAACAACAACTAATAACAATAATAATAATAACAACACCCACCATGAATAAACTGCCCAGTGTGCTAGGTAGTGTTCTAAGCCAACCTCACAACAACCTCACGAGGAAAGTCTAATATTATTATCTCCATTTTACAGCTGAGGAAACTGGGACTCAGAGAAATCAAGTAACTTTCCCAAAGCGTACTACAAAATAAATGATGAAGCCTGGATTCAAACCCAAGTCTACCAAGACCCCTTTCTTTTCTCAGTACCAAGCCCTTCCTGCTGCATGGATTTGATTTGCTGTGCAGTGGAAGCTGACAGTCAGTTTCAGTTTATTATTTCAGTGACAGGCTTTAGAATTGGCTCAGCAGCCACCAAGTGGACTGTGTTCTTTTGCTTCTGCTCTTAAGTGTATTCTAGATATGGTCGCCTTTACTATCCACTTCCAGACTGGCTTTCCTTAGTTCTAGACACAATCTCACAGGTATATCTGATCTAGTCTAAGTGCTTTTTAAATAAAATAGAACTGGATTCCAGTCCCTGCTCTGCTACTTTATTGTGACTTGGGCAAGTTATTTAATGTTTTTAAGTCTCAGTTTGTTTATCAGTAAAATGGAAATAATAATAGCACCTGCCTCATAGGATATCATGAGGATTAAGAGGTGAAATATTTGTGAAGGACTGGCCTAGGTGATGCATTTTGCAGGGAAAGCACCTGAGTCCCAAAGAAATGAGTAACTTACCAAGGTCACATGACTGTTATGAGAAGGAGAGTCCAGAACTCAGACCTGGGTTCCTTACTCACAGTTTCTTCTGCAGCACCTATGCTCTGCAGCATGTCTGATAAGAAAATGCCAGACAGAAAGCAGCTCAGTCCAATAGACTCTCTTGGTTTGTTTTTTCTGGTTCCTATATCTTCAAATGTCATTGATATTGGAAGGATCCTGGTGAGGTCCAATAACGCAGCCAAGCTGTGACACATCTCTAGAGTGGCCTGGCCCAGGTGGCTATTGTCATCATTGAGCTTGACCTTTGCCTCTTCCCTGAGCTGTGAATCTGTGGAAGCTCACTGTTCTATTCTAGCACACTCCTCTGTTTCCTTTTTCTTTTCTTTTTTTGAGACAGGGTCTTGCTCTTTCACCCATGCTGGAGTACAGTGGGGCAGTCATGACTCACTGCAGCCTGGACCTCGTAGGTTCACGCAATCCTTCTACCTCAGCCTCCCGTGTAGCTGGGACTACAGGTGCACACCACCACACCTGGCTAACTTTTGTTTTTGTTTTTTTTTTTTCTGCTAAGATGGGAGTCTCACTGTGTTTTCCTGGCTGATCTTGAATTCCTGGGCTCAAGCAATCCTCCCACCTCAGGCTCCCAAAGTGCTGAGATTACAGGCGTTAGCTGCCAGGCCCAGACTTATTTTTCAATTATAACTTTCTTTTTTTTTTATGCTTTAGTGTCATAGTCTATGTGTTTGTGTTTTATTTATGTATCTTTTTAAATTGAACTTTTTAAATCTTGAAATAATTGTGGATTCACATACTATTGTAAGAAATAATATGGAGAGATTTTGTGTACCCTTTACCCAGTTTGCTCCAATGGGTAACATCTTGCAAAACTTTAGTGCAATATCACAACCAGGATAATGACATTTTATATATATATATATATCTTTCCACTATAATTTAAAGGCCACAAATCATGGACTTTGTCTTGTTCAATACAATATTTCCAATACTTAGAACAGAGCCTGGCATATAATAGGTACTTGGTAAATGTTTGCTAACAGTATGGCTAAAAATGTAATGCAAGAGCCCTCTGTCATTTCTCATCCCTCTCCCCTTCCCCTGAACTGTAAATGGTTCTGTGATGCCCAGGCAGCCTTGCCTCTGCAACGTCACAGTTTTCTCTAATTCTACGTACTGAGCCTCATTACGATCAGTTAGATCAATGGTCTTCAAACTGGGGGTAGATGAAGATTTTCCAAGGGGTGTGCAGGCATGAATAGTTGAAGGGAATCTATTTCCAGATCTCAACTTGTTTGTCTACTCGTTTTCAAAATTGATCTATCCAAGAAGAAGATCTGTCCAAGAAGGTTTCACAGAGGCCCTTCTCCCACTTGATAAAAAGTAGATCCCTCCTCCATCCCAAACCTTGTGGTGTGCTTTATCCAATTAGGGTAGCTCAGGCTTGTGTTTTTTTCTAATCACATTGTGAAATACTTATTCTAATTATATTTAATATTAATCTTATTTCATTGTAAGAATGTATACAATTTTTCACTCCCTGTTAACACAAAGTAAACTTAGGTACATACATCATGGTAAGTTTTAGAGAGTCGTTTAACAATGTGCAAAAGAGTCCAAATGTTTTTCAACATTCTTTTTCTTAGGGGATGGGAGCAAAAAGATTGAAGGCCACTGAGACAACACAGCCATTTGGAAAGCCATTATCAGCTGCCATTTTGATTCAAGATCGAATGTCATGGACATTTTGAAGCCTTTTCATTGCATACTGAATTTGATGCAATCAGTCCTACTCTCTGAAAAGTTATCAAGAAGCAGGCAGGCTACAAATGCTCAGGGTTGAATAGTTCTCTTGAAAGAGGCCTCACTGTGTTCAGCTGATAATCAAACGAATGGCTGCATTGAGATAGGTCGTGGAGGGGGACCCACTGCTTCCCCATCTCTTATTCAAGCTTGGGCTCTGTTTCTGTCCCGATAGGAGCACATAATCCCATCAGTGCCAATGGGAGTTATGTGCCTGCTTTACTGGAGACAATAGGCTGACTGAGAGGGACAATTGTTCCCAGCAACTGAGGGGGTAAACACGATTGAATATTCCTAGCCACCATCCCTGAAGGGCCAGACTGAGCCCCAAAAGCCCTTTCTTTGTTAGCTTGCAGAGCCAGGGGGCCCCGCCTGCCTTCATCTCCTGCAGTGGCTGCCACCACCCACCTTCAGTGGCAACTTGTCCCTGAGCTGCTCCTAATGTCCCACCAAGACTGGTTGCCGTCAAGGTCTTCTAGCTCCTCTCCTCCTTGCTCCTCACTCTTTCTAAAGACAAGCCCAAGGGCCCTTCTCTATTTCATTCTTCACAACAAAATTATCACAACATCAGCAAGAATAATTGCATCCATTTATTCTCCACTTACTATTTCCTAGGCACTAAACATTTTATATACATTTGTGCATGTAACTACAAGTACTCATGGTGATTCTGCAAGGTAACTATAATCATTCCCATTCCCATTAAATGCAGCAAAATGCAGCCTAAAGTAAGTCACACACCTGGTAAGTTGCAGAACCCAGATTTAACCCTCCAACCCTCCCCATCCCCTGCAGGGGCTATTAGCTCCAAAGTCCATGCTCCAAGTTCTGCTATTTTCCCAAAGTGTGTTTCCTTCAAGACACTCTGAGACAAAGCTTGGAAAATGCTGTAGCTGCTCCCCCTGACCCAATCCCTTTCTTGGAGATTCCCAATGCACTTTAGTTTATTTTTTAAAAGCTCTGGCCAGGCGTGGTGGTTCATGACTGTAATTACAGCTCTTTGGGAGGCCAAGGTGGAAGGATCACAAGGTGGGAGGCAAGGTTGAAATGAGCTGTGATTGTGCCTCTGCACTCCAGCCAGGGTTGCAGAGCAAAACCCTGTTTCTTAAAAGAAAGACAAGAAAAGAAGAGAAGGGAAAAGGAGGGAAGGGAAGAGAAGACAAGACAAGAGAAGAGAATACAAGAGAAAAGAAAAGAAAACAATTCTGAGAAATCCTGCAGGAAAGAATCCTGTTAATGTTGCTTAACTTGGTACTTCTCAAGTATTTGTCTTTTTAAATGTTTGCATAAAACACATTAGACTTTGTTAAATGCTAAACTATATTATTATGAGGAGGAGAGATGCTACCTAGAGGAAGTTATACATGTAATTGGTTCTTGCATTCACTGCTACTGGAACCAGAAGTGGAGGCAGATGAGTTGACCATTGCTCTGGATTTGGGGTGGTGGCAAGGGAATCATAGCAACAGCACATGGCTCCATCTTCCGGCATCTACTATCCCACCCTTTCTACCAAAAATGTGACCTGCTTTCCCATGGCAGGGAGAAGACAAATTGTTCTAGAAGACAGGAAAGGAGAGACAGAATGGCTGTGTTGAAATGATTGTCCTGGGATGGAGCGAAATTTAGGAAGTGAGAGTTTTAATATAGATGAAGGCGTTGGGCCATGTGGCCCATCTTTGGGAACTGCCAGCCGATGGTTGGCAAATGACAACCCATGTGACTCTGGCTGTCTCTGGGGCCTTCTACAGGAGCAGGCTGAGGCCAGGACTCCTCCACTGTGCCTGTGGTCTCCTCCTCCCACACAGGGGATGTACTCACAGCTGAGGCCCCTTATCTTTTTGACCCACTTGAGAGAAGGGACAGGGCCTCGGGCATCAGGCAGAGCATAGGCCCAGGCTGATGTGGGACATGCCACATGCCAAAATGACATGTCATGGGGATTTGTGGGCCTCGCTGGAGCCATTTCCTCCAGGGGGTCATTTTATTTAGTTCCAATTGGACCCTGTGATTGGTCTCAGCCCTGGGCCACCTGGTGTCCTGGCTCCATATGGCAATGACTAGGAAGATGCCATTTTTCAATTGAAATATGCCTTGCCTTACTGTGGATCAGTCTGTAATTGCCTTTGGCTGGAAAGGGGCTTTGATTTTTAAAACTAAGCTAGAAAGTAATTTTTCCACTTTTGATTTGCTGCACTGATGAGTCAGTGTCTTCTCTACTAATTCACACTGAGAGTCACAGCACGGAAAAGACAGTTAGAGTCTTAGAGGTCGGCAAAGCCCACCATTGACCTCATATGGGAATCCCTTCCACCCACCCTTAACAGATGGTCTTTTAGCCTCTGGCCCAGCACAGCCACAGACGGGGAGCTCACTCTCTCACTGTGCAGACCTGACTGCTGTTGTCCAATTCTTGGCAAGTTTGATCCCATATGGAGCTAATAATGGGTACCCTTTAAGGAACACTCACCACCTGCCAGACACTATGCTAGGCATCTTCCATGCCTATCTTATTTAATCTTCATAATAACCCTCTAGGGTAGATACTATAATACGATTATCCCCATTTCTCAGAATGAGTGAAACAAGTCATAGAGGGTTTAAGGAATTTGTTCATGGCCCCAAGGCAGTAAATGATGGAGTCAGTGAATTGAGGAAGGATCACTCCAGAGCCCGAGCTCTTAAGCACTTTGCTCCGCTGCCCAGAGTAAGAATAGCTAACATTTGTGGAGTATTTACTAGGGGTCAGGTTCTATACTGAGGGGTTCCATATATACTGTCTCACTTCATTGTAACAAGTCATGAAGTAGATTTTATTATGCTCATTTTAGAGATGAGGACCCCAAATGTCCAGAGGTTTTAATTCATCGAAGGTCATAAGCAGAGCTGTTACTCTAATCCAGGTCATTTTGACCCTAAACACATACTCAATTAATATCTCTAAGTGCTGCCTATAAAATATTCTACAGGTGAGAAAACTGAGATTCAGGAAACATGGAAGTTTGTCAAAGGTCTTGAGCTAGAAGGCAAGAGCCAGGAGGTCCGCCTGACTCAGACTGTGAGCACCACCTTGCTCTCCCCTTCACCTGAAACCCTCCCCTTCCTGGGTACCTCTCCTGCCACCAGGACCACAGAGGAGAAGGCAGGTTCCCTGATCAGGGATGAAGCCCGTTTCCCTTTAATAAGGTTTCCATGTCACTGGTTGAGCATGGGTCCAATCACCTAAGTGTGAGAACTGCCTGATTAGAGAAAGTTTATTATCTTTTCCAAATTCTGAGATTCTAAGAGTTCCTTCACCCATCCTTGGTCATCTTTAAGATAGGGCCATAAAAAGCAATATAAATTTGAAGGTCAGAAAGCCCTGGGTTCAAATCCCTGCTCTGCCATTTCCGATATGGGTGACTTAAAGCAAATTGATTAACCTCGTAGAAGCTCAGTTTCCTTGTCTATAAAGTAGAGATAAAAATGACTGCCTGGTATGGTAGTCAGTCTTCCTCTTTTGGAAGTTTGGGCTTCCTGCTGAAAGTCCTTTCAAAATATATCTATGAAGTTCCAGGAACTAGGGCTTGAACTGCCGATGATGCATGCTGTCAACCAACGTAACAGTAATCATTGCTATCATCAGTGAAATGTCACTGGGCTTTTTGTGTTTGTTTGCGTGGTCCTGTATCTATTCTTTTTCTTTTATCGCACCAAATCTCACCTTATCTCACTGACACAGCCTCTCCTCCTCATCTTCCTCTTTTGGGAAAGGTTCAGAATGGCATAGGGATTAAAAAACGTTCAATTTGGAGTCAGATATTTTGCCATTTTTGACTGTGTAACTTTATCCAAGATAGCTACCCTCTATGAGCTTGCCTTCCTTTGTCTATAAAAAAGGAGTGAAAATACCTACCTCCCTTCATAGGATCATTCAGCGTTAAATGAGATACTCATAGCAGGTGTTCAAAAGTTACTTCTCTTTCTCTTCCTTGTCCTCTCTTGTCTCACTTGGCTAACTCTGAGGCTGACCTCTCAACTGCATCAAATACTATTTGTCACCTCCTCCTCTTCCTCTTATAGCTCCCCAAGTATTTCTAGAGTGGCCATGCTCTCGGTTTGAGCTGAGGATAATCCATCAATTATTACAATGAATGTGAGTGTACTCTGTAGCCTTGTGAAAAGTATTGTTCAAATGTAAACTACTTATTTTGCTCTTCCTGGCCAAAGCTTGTGAATATATACTTACTACAACATGATTTGCACTGTATTCATTCAAATAATATTATTGAGCATCTTATGGGTTTGTGGTTCTCAATACTGTGCCTGGCACATAGTAAGTGCTCAATACATCTTGGATTGCTAAAAAATTATTGAGTGTATGAATGAATATTTCTTTGAAATAGCAATTATGTTGGCAGAGTTGATTTCCATCAAAACCGAGTGATTGAAGGAGAATGAGAACGAGATGGACTTTGGTCCTAGACTCTCTTGACTCTAATCTCGAGTTCTTTTCACTATCAGTCTTTCCAATACCAGCAGAATGGGATCCGTGCTGTAAGACAGACACAGGTTTCAAGGGTGACAGTGTAGACTGAGGCCACCATAAAGATCAGGTTCAGATCTCACATCCCCAAGGCTTACTGGTCAGTACCCCAGTTAGTAGAGTTTGGCATCTAGAGATCTGAGTAGGCATCAAGGCCTGAGCTTCTGCCTCCTGGATTCTGCCTCCCTGGAGTCCATATTCCACACATGGGAAATTAAAGTCAGGCAGGGATTAGCTGGGCCACATTCCACCCTTGAACACCTGTCTATGTTGACAGCTTGGAGTGGGGTACAGAATTCATCCTCTGGAAGAAACAGGGTGTACTGTGCAGCCTCTTCCCAGTTCCTCACCCCCTGGCTGCTTACCTGGCCACCTTATCCTGCTAGACACAGTGCACAGAAAGCATGGAAAGTAAGAAGGGAATTAGGGACATAAAAGAACGAGCCCCAGCTTTGGAGCCAGCTAGGGCTGGAGGTGAGCCTGCCCCTGCCACTTCCTAGCTGTTAAGATTGCTGGCAAATCTTCCAAACTGTCTGTCAGCCTAATTTCCTTGAGAGAGAGTAAAGCAAAGGAATGAGAATCGTAGTACCTGCCTCACCAAAATGTTGCTAGGGTGTCTGTGTCTTGGCTCCACACATGTGGAACACCTAGCAGATGGTTGGGCCAAAGTAAATGTCCCACTCTCCACCTCTCTACCCTGCTTTCAGCCCCAGAGACAGCAAAGCAAATGTACATTGGAGTTGAGCAGTTGCCTTAATCAAAGACCCTTTCCCTCCCATGAAGTCGTTCTGGCCTTGCAGTTCTCATTCATTTCTTGTGTACCTGCTGCACACCACAGCCCTCCACGCCAGTGTGGGCATTTATTATTGGGCGCTCACAGGAGGGTCAAGCTGCTACCCAGACCTAACTGGCAACTGCTGTAAGCTTCATAAGGTGGGCAGATTTGTGTCTCCATACTGCCTCCAGGGGAGCTTGGTTTGGGCCGGGCAGCCAACTGAATTATTCATGACATGTGTGCTCTCTGTCTTTTTTCCTCCAAGCCTCTTTGGTTTAGAGACTGATATTTGTCTGCATGTGGCCTCTAAGGACGGCTCCCTTCCTGTGGGAAGACTGCCAGGTGGATGGTGAAAGGAAGAAGGTATGGGGCAGTGGTGTCCCTTTGAGGTGGAAAGCTTGCCTGGAAGCCTCATTCACTTAAAGGGCTGGCATGGCGCAAATGGGAGTCAGTTTCTCATCAGACAATGTAGCTTGGAGTGAGTAGACTGAATCAGGAAAGTGGTAGTGCATTTTATTTCCTAGAGGGTACTAAACACTTGGTGAAATAGTAAGAAAACTAAGCACTAGGGAAATCTCCTAAGACGAGCTTGTCCAACCCGCGGCCCAGGGTGGCTTTAAATGCAGCCCAACACAAATTCTTAAACTTTCTGAAAACACTTTGGGATTTTTTTTGCAGGTTTTTTTTTAGCTCATCAGCTATTGTTAGTGTTAGTGTATTTTATGTGTGGCCCAAGACAATGCTTCTTCTTCCAATGTGGCCCAGGGAAGCCAAAAGATTGGACAACCCTGACCTAAGAATCTTCAGCCTTTTAAGCAGAACTTTTTGGTATTTGTATTGTATTGTAGTTTGTATTATATGCAGTTATAATTGCAGAGTCTATAATCTAATCTAAATGAAAGCAGAACTGTTCCAAGTAGGTTGGGGTAGGGGGTCTCTTCCTCCACTGATGAAATTTCCCTCAGATGCTTCCAGGGAACCCTAGAATTTCATGGAGCTCAATTTTAAAACCAAGCAGAGTCATTCTCCAGGAAACCACACCAAACTGTGCTCAAACAGGCATAGGAGACAAGTATGTAGATATTTTCTTGAAAAGACATCTCCTCCCCATGAGGGCTTGATGTGGGGTCTCGAGCAAGGCCTGATGGATTTCTGAAGAGCAGATGGCAGAGGAGACTTGAACCCCAGCTCAGAGATTCCCTCTCTCAACCCTGGCTGCCTTGTAACTGAGATCTTGCTGAGGGCGAGACAGACTGGTGGGGGTTCAGTGGTGGCTGTGACCAATGGAGGCCCCATGCTGGGGCCCTGGGTGTGGGGCCCAGATGGCAGAGGCTGAGCTGCTGCGGGAAGGTAGGAAACAGCCTGGCAGCTGGGCAGTGCGGCCACCTCCACTGCCCCTTTGCAGAATCCTCAGCTTTCCAAAGCCACCTGCAGGGTGGGGCGGCTTCATGAAGAATGGAGGGCTGTGTACAGAAGGAAGGACTGGTCACCACGGCAACCACCCTCTGATGTCCAAACTCCACTGTGAATCACCCTAGGCTTTTTGGGGGTGTTTTCTATTATTTAAACTGCCTTGGGGAATGTAAGAAGAGATTTTATTTCCCAGGTTTTGAGTACACTATCTCTTAACTTTCCCTAAAAGTAAATGTAACCGTTTTAGTGTTTTTACTTTCCACTTTTCTCCTTTTTCTCCATCTCTCTCCTCTTGAGATGTGAAGCTTCATTCCTAATACACAGCACTTTCTAACCCCAGCTGCAAACATTTTCTCACATACAAAATAAGGAAGCTCTAGGATTCTTCCAGCAAGACAACTTCTGTCTCATTTTTTACATCAGGGTCTGGGAGATGATCAGTTGGAGTTTAGGTCACTATTGATACCTGGATTCTGGAAGCTCAGATGTAGCCTCTTTACTGCTCTTCAGAATGGCAGGCATAGAATCAGAGTGGGTGCACCGGAACTGTGTCCTGCTGCCTTTGAATATTGACATGGGGGTGGTCCCTGCCTACCCACATCCAACAGCAGCCTCTCCTGCCCTGCACATGGCAACACTGCTGCCCCAGACATTGATGGCCCCACTGGAACTCTGGAGGCCAGCTCTCCAGGCGATGGAAAGCAGTTGTTCGTTGAAGTAGCCAGGGCTGCTGTGAAGCAATCTGCAGAGCCCAGCGGAGGGCCAGGAGCACACCCAGCAGATGACAGCTTTAAAGATGCTGGAAACACTTGGGTTCCTCTTACCCACCCCCAAATGTAATGCCAAATCAAAGCAGGATTTAACTATGAAACACAAAACTGCTGACACCAAAATAGCTTTCTTCTGGTTTTTCTAATTGCAAACTCTGGATCACCTCATTGAAGCTGATTTTTTCCCTTTCTTCCCTTTCCCACCACTGCTCTTTTCCATCCCCCCTTGGCTGCAGGAGCCTGAAGTACATCCTCACGCTGCACACTGTGTAATCAGGCAGAGAGGGAGCTGCTGGCTTCCAACTGCAGGTTTGATCTTCTCTACCTCTTGTTTTGGTCTCTCTAGTTTTTCTTTCATTTTCTTTTTTCTTGGGACCCCTTACTAATGGAAGGGAGTGGGGGCTGAGAGCCCGGGGGACAAGTAGGACCCCCTCTCTTCCATTCTCCTGAGCTCTAAGACTTGTACTTTCAGGGAAGTCATAATAATGACAATGATAGTGGTAGAATAGTGGTAATAATAATAATAAAGGATCTGAGAACTCACTTTTACTATAAGAAATGGGCTGGATTTTTAAGATGTTTCTGGGTTCCAATTCCATACTAATTAAAACAAAGCAATTGCAGTCTGGATAGTAAATGTTTCAATGTCTGGAACTTGGCGGACCCACAGAAATGTTTGAAGGATGGGTAAAGGTGATTTACAGATGGGGAATCCCAGCCTGCAAGAGGTTAAATAACCAGCCACACATCACCTAGCTGGTGAGTAACAGGGTTGAATTCAGACTCAGGGGGCCTGACTCTGCAGCTGCCATCTTTCCTCCTTAAATATCTTAGTTCGTAGGATAGGTTTAGCAATGATGTCTCCTGCATGACAATTTCATGGCTGTCGGTAATGGGTATCTCCAAAGAGCAGTTCACAGACAAACATAAAAGAAAGAAACTTAAAGAAAGGGCATAACAATGAAAGCAAAACCCTGAAACAGCAAAGATGTGAGTAGTCAAAGGAAAATCAGACGAAGAGAGAATTCGGTTATTACCCTTCACTTGGCAAACATTTCCACAGCCCTTACAGTGTGTCAGGCCTTATTCTAAGAGACCTGTGCCTATATACCCTAGGAGGGCGAGCCTGTGCTTACCTCCATTTCGCAGATGCAGTAGCTGAGGCAGAAAGATGTCAAGTCATTTGCCCAAGGTCTCACTGATGGTTACTGGAAAGGGGGGAGTTTATGAACCATGTGATCCAGCCCACAACCAAAGCGTGTGCCCTTGACCAATGTCCTGCCATCCACGAGTAATAGTAAATTTAAAAACACTCTTGGCCAGCAGCGGTGGCTCACACCTGTAATCCCAGCACTTTGGGAGGCCGAGGTGGGCGGATCATGAGGTCAGGAGATCGAGACCATCCTGGCTAACATGGTGAAACCCCGTCTCTACTAAAGATACAAAAAAAAAAAAAAAATTAGCCAGGCTTGGTGGCAGGTGCCTGTAGTCCCAGCTACTCGGGAGGTTGAGGCAGGAGAATGGCGTGAACCCGGAAGGCGGAGCTTGCAGTGAGCCAAGATCATGCCACAGCACTCCAGCCTGGGTGACACATCAGGCTCCGTCTCAAAAAAAAAAAAAAAAAAAACACCCTCAAGGTGAGTGTTTAAACTTGTAAACTTTTCAAAGCTATTAAGTAGAGGTGATGGATTCTCTTCATTCCCTTCTTTTTGTCTGACCTGGGGTTACAGATAAGAAAGGTAAGAGTGAATGTCTTCCAGATTATTGCTTCTCAGAGGGAGAGGGGCTTGAAGATCATCTAGACCCTAAACAGGTGAATGTCTCAGCTTTGGGGACTGTAACATGATGTTAAGAAGGACATTTCTTATTGTCTTGGAATGTGGCTGAGGTTCCAAAGCTGAAGCCAAGTGTCCACACATTCTAAAAATAGGGGCTAGGCCATTCTCATCAGACTGGCTAAGAGGTGACCAAGAGCAGCCCTGGGGCTCCTACCTCTAGAGTGAAGAAAGGAAACCTGGGATGGTTAAAAAAGGTGATCCTCCTGGAGCCACTCGGGAGGCTGCCTTCACGAAGAGAGGTTGGCGTCCTATTCCCAACTGGTGGCTTAATTGTCCCTGTGGGAACTCAGAGTGCCCCTCCCCCACCTTGTGCTTTCTCTTGGGGGATGGAAGGACAAGTATCCTCAGGAGCTTGAGGGTTCACCCGATGCAGAGAGACACTGGCCGGAAGGAGATAGTAGATGCCCCTGACTACAGAGGAAGGAGGGCAGGTACCGTGAGAGAGCACAACCCCCCTCCTACCAATCGTATGGCAAATGGACAGCTAATGGGAGCCAGGCTAAGCCATCTCAAAAGGACCCCAGCTCAGAAGGCTGCCTGCCTGCCAGGGTGAGGGGGCTCCTGCAGCAGAATTCCACGGGAGTGGTGTGCTGCAGGGCAGCTCACAGGAGGTGTCTGAGAGGTCTCAATCGTGATACAGCGTAGAGGCCCCAGTGGACATCACCCAAGAAACCAAGCTGCACCATGAGCATTAGGTCATCTGCCCCACCAAGGGCACCATAGACCAGATGACAAGAACGTTAGTCTGGTAAGAATCTGCTTTTTCCTGATAGCCACTTCCCATGCCCTGCCCTCGGCTCTGGAGGGGCCCATTAACAGGAGAGCAAAAGAAGGGGAGATGGAGCAGGGAAAGCAAAATAGGGGGGCCAGCCTCCCCCGGCTTCTGCTGGCCTAGAGTCCTGCAGTTTGCGCCTCAGCCAGGGAGGGAGGACATATGTGGAGGTGGATGGGAAATTCAAGTTTTGATTTAGATTGCCCTGGACTTTTTATTGCCTGAAAATGAGATTGTTCTAATACCCGGAGGCAGCCAGAAAAACTCTGGGACCTGTTTGAGATATTGTCTAGAAACGAAAAAGGGAAATTTGACAAAACAATATCTAAAGGAGGAGAATAAAGCTATTTCTGAAGCTCATTTAATAAAATGGCCATATGAAGAAAATCAGCTGAGAAACTCCACATTTCCTTCCAGAGCTCCCCAATGCCCCATCTTCTAAGGAATAAGAAGTTAAAGGGAATGCACGTTTATTAAGCACATACTGTGTACAGGACTCTGTTAGAACCCGAATACTTGAAACTTCACGAAATCTCCCCAATAATTCCATAAGTCTGGGATTGACAATTTCCATTTCGTAGATGAGGCAACTGAGGCCCACAGAGGTCAAGGGGCTTGCTTAAAGGCAGATCGATACAGGGTGGATTCTGGAGCAGAGATTGGAGCTCAATAGTCTGCAAGCAGCATTGCAAGCAGCATTGTACAAGGAAAGGGACTGTGTACGTGCACTCACTGCCACCTCTTCAGATGCTCAATGAATGTTTGCTAATAGATGCCCACAATGCTGTGGCTTCCTACGTGGGCCCTGTGATATTGCCCACTCCCCTTGAGGTAGGAGGCAGGACTCAACTCCTGAGATGGGGCTCGGACACTGGACCAAATTGAGGACTAGCTAAAACAGAGATGGGGTGGAAGCAGCTTTCCATAAAACACGCCCACCAGTGTGCCATGTCAGTTTACCATTGCTATGGCAACACTCAAGAGTTACTGCCCCTTTCCATGGCAATGTCCCAACAACCCAAAAGTTACCACCCCTTCCCTAGAAATTTCTGCATAAACCACCCCGTAATCTACATATAATGAGAAGTAGGTATAAAGATGACTGCAAAACTGCTCTGATGGGCTACTCTCAGCACACTGCCTATGCAGTAGCCCTGCTCTGCAGGAGCTGGCGCTGACTGCTGGAGCTGTGGCACTGCCACTTCAAATGAGCTGTCTTCTTCTACCCCAGCACTGGCTCGCCCTTGCATGCTGTCCTGGGGGAAGCCAAGAACCCTTGCAAGCTAAGCCCCACTTTGGGGTTTGCCTGCCCTGCAGCACCATCACTTTCTTTACTACAATTTATGCAAGAACATGTGCAGGTTGGCAGGCTCACTTGTCATTGAGATCAAGTTCCATGTCTACGCAAACAAGACCATAAGTACAGAGGGGTCAGGACCACGTATTTTCTTCTTAAAGTCCCCCCAGTCATCTCTGTGAGGAGGGGATCTGCAGATCAGGCTGAGCCTCAGAGAGGTCAAGGGACATCCCCTGGGTTCCACGGCAAGTCCTCATTGCTGAGTTGTGGACCCAGACGGCTGCTCCCCAGCCTGAGCCTGCCAGTGTGCCTGTCCCTGATCCACTTGCACCCCTCCCTCCTGGCCTCACAGCCCACCAGGTGTGTGCCCTGTCAGCTCCCTCCCTGTTATGTTGCAGAACATTGGAACTGGCAAAGCTGATGGAGGTTATACACCGCGTGGTTCAGAATAGTAGCTTAAGCAGATGTCTTGTCAAAACAGAATAAGAAACTGTGAAGAAATAGTCTGTGAAACCCAGCCACGTCCTGCTTCCTCTCATTTCTACAGTAAAATAGTGGTGGGGGAAAAAATGGTTAGTTCTTTCAGAATAGTGCATTTCACGTGTGGAGCATACCAACTTCCAGAATGGTTATCCTGGATGGGATTTATTTGCCTTCCTTTTCCTAGCCTTTCTTTCCTCTTTACTCTGCTCCTTCCCCTCCTTCTCCTCTCCTCTCCTCTTCTCTCTCTCTCTCTCTCTCTCTCTTTCTCCACATCTCCTCTCCTTTCAAGAGGACATTAGCTCCCTGACTGCAACCCTGGGGTCTTGGGGCTTCTGAGGCCTGCAGGCTCCCTTCCCTTTGTCTGAGGAGGACGGGGGAGGCAGTGAATTATTGATGAGGCCTGTGCTCTATGGATGCCCAGGGCTGAGACTGGGGTGGCCTGGGCCCCTGGAGAAGGCAGCAAGACTGGTCAGTTTGGGAGACAGGACAGAGCCTCTTGGGGTGTAGGTGGCAGGGAGGGGCGGGGGAAAGGGCTCATTGCCTTTTGGCTTTCATTTGCCTCTTTGCGGTGCCTGGGGCTGGGAAGAGCAAGAGCTGGAGTCACTGGGAATCCGTGGACAGATGGAGACACCAGAGGGGAGGCGTGTGAGGCGTCTGCAGGGAATTCACAGTTTACAGTCATTGAGTGTTCAGCCTCCCCACTCTGCCTCTCTACACTTCTCTGAATCAATTCCCAGAAACCCAGGGGTTGTTCCATCGGGGCTCAGGGGCATGGAGCCCAGGGCCTGTCCTGCTGGGCCCTGTGGCCACGGGCACAGGAGCCACCCTCTCCCCTCCTCCTCACTTTTCTCCCATCCCACCCAGACCGAGCAGAAGCTCCCCAGCCTGAATCCCATTTGGGTCAAAGAACACAAGAAAAACTCCATTTGTCACAAGGCCATGGAACAACATTAAGCGGAACCACTCTGTGACATGAAGGACGGTAGGACCATAAATTATTCAGCCTCACAGACATTATAGGCATTTTGGAGAGAAAGTGAAAAAAAGATTATTTCAGCGCTGTAGTGTAAAAGAGCTGAACAGCATTCATTGGCCAGCGTGCTGTGAGGATTTTCTGCCTTAAAGTAGCTCTCTCCGAGGGGCTGTTTCCTGGGCAGCAGTTCCACCCACCAAGGAATTTGCTTACTTCTTTAGCGTTAACATTGCATTGTGAGAGAGTGTGTGTGAGTGTGTGTGGGGGGGAAGGGGGGGAGCTGGATGGGAGTGCTGAGACCATCCTTCTCAAGGCAGGGAAAGGAACGCGTAAGCTGAAATTCTTTTTCTTGTCCTCTGCAATTGCGGAGTGAAAAGGAAGGCAGGTTTTGCAGCCTTGCCTCCAGTCTCAGCATGGCTGTGTAACATGCTCTCCATGGATACATTTGTGCAGGAAAATGTCCCTTGGTGAGGAGAGGCATTCCTGTTCCCTTGCAAGAGCCGGGCTCAGAAGGACTCTTGGGAGGGCAGCATTCTTTCAATGCATAGCCCCATCTCCAGCCCAGATGGACCTTCAAGCCAGAACCTTTGTCTAGAAAGCCCCAAAATTCCTGGAAATCTAGAGACAGAGATACAGGAGGTCAACAGCCCCACCCCTAATCTTGGGCTTCTCACTTGTTAATTTCATCGTCTTGAGCAGGGCTCTCTGAAGTCAGGGGAAATGTGCGGATTCTGTTCCTGGGGTTCTTCCCAGCTCATTTTGGAAGGAGTAAGAGAGATATGGGGGCCTACCCCTGCTTTAGTTCATCCTCCCTCTTGGGGATACCCACCCAGGCCTCAGAGCCTTCATCTGAGCACCAATATACAGTAATGCAGACCACACACACACACCTCTCTCCCCTCCCCATCACCCCAGGATGAGCCAGGGAAGGCACTGACCAGCTGATTTTCAATGCCTAGGAAATGGGAGCTTGGGCTGCGGGTGGCCTCAGGCTGGTTTGCATCTTCACCTCTGGGAAGGATTGTTTGTAACAAACTGATGTATTTAACAGAAGAGCACATGCAAATATGCCTTGGCATTGCCGAGATTGAATCCAGCCTTTGCTGCTGCAGAGCAGGTCTGGCCATTCCCTTTCTGGGGAGACACACCACAGCTGCCAGGGCTCCAGGGACCCAGACTGAGGAGAGGTACAGAGGCAGCACCAGCCTCTCTGTGCCAGCCGGGTAGTCATCAGATGGTGGAGGCCCAGAATGGGTGGCAAACCCCTCGTGGGCTTTTAGCAGAATTGTGCTGCCCTCTGCTGGCGAGTTTGGGTGGACTCAAAGGGCTTCACGCCCAGTAGAAAAAGAGGCTGCTTTCTGTTCCCCTAGCAATCAGAGAAGGGGACAGAGCATTTCATACTGAAAAGTTGTGGGAGCTCTCTCTCCTTTTTTGTTTTTGAAATTCTGCGCTCTAAGCCAGGAGGCAACACAAAATAAAGGTGGCCAGAGGGAACTAATGCTGGGTTAGAGTCTTCTAAGGGCCTGAAATCGTGCTATGACATCTACGTGCAGGCATTTACTTTATTCAGAAAGCAACTCTGATAATTAGAATTTAGAATTTTAATTTGAGAAATGAGGAGAGTGTGGCTCAGAGAGGTAAATCAACTGTGCTAAGGCCACACAGCTAGCCAATAGCAGAGCCAGGATTGAGTTTGGGCTGTCTGATGCCAATGCCCACACTAGGCCAACCTTACAGTTTGTGATTTGTCTCTGGATGTTAGAGAGCAGGAAGTGTCTAACCCTCTGGGGGAGACACCAGGCTCCATTGCCCAGCTCCTCCCCACTCATGGGGTAGGCTTTTGTTAGAAAATGCGTTGCCCTGAACCCAAAGCTAGTAGAGGCGCCTCAAGGAATGGAAACACTGCTGGTCTGGCTTTGTGTTCTAGCTCTGCTGTTTGTGGGCTTTGTGACTTTCAGGCCACTTGTCCTCCAGGGTTCTGTTTCTCGTCTATAAAATGAGGGAGTAGGTAAGGATGAATTAGATGGTTGTTTATGGTGGTGGTGTTTTTGCCAGCAAGGACATTTCTTAAAAATGGTTTTCTATCCACTTTGGGAGGCCGAGGCGGGCAGATCACCTGAGGTCGGGAGTTCGAGACCAGCCTGACCAACATGGAGAAACCCCGTCTCTACTAAAAATACAAAATTAGCCAGGCGTGGTGGCTACTCGGGAGGCTGAGGCAGGAGAATCACTTGAACCCGGGAGGAGGAGGTTGCAGTGAGCTGAGATCGCGTCATTGCACTTCAGCCTGGGCAACAAGAGCGAAACTCCGAAAAAAAAAATTAAAGATAAATAAATTTTTTAAAAATGGGGTTTCTATCTCATACATACCATGTTTTGCAAAAAAAAAAAAAAAATCTTATCTACCCATGTATGTATGTTGTAATAATTTATTCCTTTTCAGTTTTGAGTAAACAAGATATGTGACTATCTTAGATTGGGTTCCCCGATAAACAGATTCTGAGACAGGGATCAATGTACAGGAAATTGGGGCATGTCCTGGTAATGCCATCAATGAGGTGGGGAAGCAGAAGCTGGCAGAGGGAGAGGTGGAACCATGAAACATGCACGACAAAGGCCTCAGCTGGTCCCCAGGTAGGTCTGGGGCTGGGAAGAGCTGCAGAGTGATCCCCACTGGGGAAAGCAGGCCAGGTCTGTGCACTCCCACATGAATCAGGCAAGGTCTATCACCTTGGGCAAGGCAGCTCTTTCATCCAGTGCAATTCCTGGGGACGAACTAGCCATAAACCAACAGCAGCCAACACTCCCAGACCTGGGGGGGGCTCTGGGCAGCTCACCACAGCATCCACTCCAATCACTGTGTACTCATAAGAAACAACAAGCAGCAGTGAACTCCAACCCGTATGAGTTTTACATGGGGAGGCCTTATTGAAGGTCAATGTTCAAGTTTTATTAGCTGTTTTGGAAGTAAACATTGCTCACATTTTTGCCTTCCCAGATTTTTGCCTTCCCAGGTACTAAAGGTTCGGGGACTCTAGGTTGAAAATGTGACTCCTTCTTTCTAGCATTCTCTGAGGGTGTGGGGTTTGTATGTCCTGAAGACCCCAAGAAGATGCCACCACCAAGGAACAATAGTGAATTTCTCAGCAATAGTGAATTCCTCTGCTCCCATGGTGCCTGGAAGAAGATGTACCTTCCTCGAGCCCACCCAGCCCCAGCCCCAGCCCCAGCCCCAGCCTGAGTGCACAGCTTGGTAGCAGAGCCTGACTAGAGTTCAGCCTGTGCTTATCACCTGGCTGGACACCCTTGAGTGGGTCACAGCCTGTGCACCTGTCCCTACAGACCCTGCCCTCCCATTTATCTTTCTCCTCCTCAGCCTCCCTTCCCTCCTCCTTTCAAAGCCTTCACTCTTCTTCAATCCTCCATGTGCTGATTCCATGTGCTTGCAGCTCCCCGGGGACCAGGAAGGGTGTCAGCGACTTGAAAATGTTCACTCTACCACTGCTGGGAATCTTGCCTAAGGAAATAATCTAAAATACAGGAGATCCTTTATGAGAGAAGACACTCATCCTAATGTCATTTGTAAAAGTGACAGGTTCAAGCCATTGTAAATGGTAAACCACAGGGGAATGTGAATTATGGTGCATCAACAAAGTGGAATATCATGCCACCATTAAAAATTATGTGTGTAAGAAGCAATGTGAAAACATGTTTATGGTTAGCAACACAGGCTACAAAATTATACTATGCAACCTGACTGCAACAATATGAACGAAGTAAACAGTTAAAGAGTGGCAGGAAAATCTGAACTGCTCATGGGCTTGGCTGGAGGAACCACAGCAGGGATCTCTTAACCCTTTTTGTGCCACAGACACCTTTGGCAGCTTGATGAGCCTATGGGCTTACCAGCATGTTTTTAAATGCCTGAAATATAAACCATAGAATTTCAAAGAAAACCAATAATATTGAAATACAGATATCAAAATGTTAAAATAATTTTTCAATATATGTGCTTCTTTTTAATACCTTAAGTAACACGATCTAGCAGAAGATCAAATAATTACTATACCTATAAGGTAGTGATGAATTCAAGTAATATTTTAAATTACATGCAATAGCTAAAATGTGGTATAAAAATGTCTAAGTTTCTGTCAGTGACAAAGTTGTCTATATAGCTAAAACTACTGTTATTTGAAGCCAAAATTCATAATAAATGACCATGCTGTATTTTGGTTAGATCATGAAATAAAAACGTCATTTTTCCTATCCAAGTTCATGTACTCTCTGAAATTCTTACTAGTCTTCTAGGGGATTTATGGACCTTGATTTTAAAAATCTCTGTATCAGAGTTTTTTACTTCTTTCTCTTTATTCTCTCTAATTCCAAAATTTTACATAATAGACATGCATTGCTTCTATCATGTAAAATAACCAAGGAATTTTAAAATTAAATAAGCAAATGAACAAAGAAAATATAATTCAGGCTTATTAGATCACTGGATGATAAGGCAGTAAGTGCTCTCAGATGCCATATCATTTAACCCGCAGGTTAAATTCCACAAGAGACATGGTATTAATGTAGCCGTTTGGCAAGTGAAGACATTGATGCCAGCGGAGGTTAAGAGACTTGTCCAAGGTCACACAGTCAGCAAATGATGGAACCAGAGTTTGAACCGAGGTGTATCATTCAAACCCAGACTCTTACCTGTTAGATCCACTGAGCCTGGCAATCTACGGCTTACGATGAGTAAACTGAATGTTTTGTTTGTAGAATTGATTTATTTTAGCCACTGTGAAGTAATCTCTTCACATGAATGTTTCTCCTGCTGAAGTACATCTGCCCTTGATTAAATGTTGTCTATGCAATTCATGGACAATCGATGGTACTCTAGGCTCTGAATGAGAAAACTGGAACTTCTGGTTGCCACAAGTCTGCTGATGGCTTAGGCAGGGACATTCTGTCTCCCAGGGGCCCTATCAGTGCTCATGTGGTCACGTAGACACACTTCAACTTGAGCTTCAGGTGGGATGCTTCCCTATAAGCAGTGAACGCGAAAAGCCTTGGCTAAAATGGGATCCACACCGAACACAGAACAGAACTGGGGCTGCACTTCCAGGTGAGAAGCATAGGGTGGGATCAAGAGGTGGCTGAAGGGATGGCAGATTCTCAAGCTGCATTCCTGCAGTCAGGATGTGTCCAAACGGAAGGCTTGGACAGTCAGTGGCCACGTGGGGGCAGCATCGAGCCAGAATGACAGAGGGCACTTCGTCTGGTGAATATCATGTGAGTCCATGTGGAGCCTCCTCTTTGGAAGATGGGGTGCTCTTGTGGGATGAACGTTGGGGAGGGACAATCTCTTTAATAACTCTGAGAGGTACTGCTCTTTTTATGAAGGGGCAGTATAACGTGGTGCTTATAAACGTGGGCTCTGGATAGTTAGCCTATTTGTATTTAAAACCTGCTGTTATTTATTAGATAACTTACTTAAGTTTTCTGTGCCTCAGTTTCTCCATGGGGTTGATATGAGGACTAAATGAATACACATTAGGCACTTTTTCAGTTATCTATTGCTGCGAAACAAACCAAGCCGAAACAACTACGTATTTGCTCACGATTCTGCAATTAGGGCAGGGCTCAGTGGGACAGCAACTCGCTTCCTCATGTGATGTTGGCTGGGCACTTCCAGTAGGGCTGGATGAGCCAAGAGGGCTTCCTCAAATGCATGGCACCTCAGCTAAAGGCTGGCAGGGCCTCTCTCTCCAGCACGAGAGTCAGAATGGTTTTACATGGCATTGTGCCAAACCCCTACTCACCTCAATAGGGAAGTCATCAGGTTCAAGAGGTTGAAAAAGAGACCCAGAGCCAACAAACAAGACATGGGTTTTGACTAGGGGCTTATGTACAGGGGAGAGAATCCAGTGGCAGCGGACTGGACAGTCAAACCACCTTCCTATGGCCCAATGGCAGCAGGCTAGGCAGAAAAGCCACAGCTGCTTGTGAACAGCATGCAATTTATAGAGCATTTTCACTTAACACCCTCCCTGAATGACCTGAACCTGGCAACATTCACTTAACCCAAAACCTGGGGCTTCAATCCCCTGTACAGCCTGTGTTCCATGGGACAGGCTGGGGGCTCGGATGTTTTCTCATAGACAAGGAATGAATGTCTGTGTTGGCCATCCCTGGATTCCCTGTCTCGGAACACACATTCAAGTCCCACACAGGTGCCATACAGGGCCATTCTCAGGGTATGTTTATGTTATTGCTGTCAAGTGTGTTTGCCCTATACATGGTGGCGCAGGACTCCAAGAGAACTAAAGGCCGTTCCCAGCCTCTTACCGCCTTGCCTGGGAGCTGGCACAGCAGTCACTTCTACCATATTCCATAAGTCAAAGCAAGTTACAAAGCCAGCCCAGATTTAAGGAAGAGAGACACAGGCCTCTCCTCTTGATGAGATGAGTGACTTGCACATGCAAGAATGGGAGGAATTATTAGTGGCCATCTTGCAAACCACCTACCACAGGTACTTATAGTAGTGCCTGGCACACAGAAAGTCCTCCATACATGGAAGCCACCTTCACAGCTGAGGAGACTGAGGTGCCTCGGCTACAGAGATTGTTCCCAAGATCACATGTCAGGTAAGGACAGAGCTAGAATTGAAGCCCAGGTCTTTCTGAATTAAAAGCCCATTCTCCTATGGCACCATTGTTGTAAGCTCTGTGCCCTTGGCCAAGTCATTTAACCCCCGAGCCTTGTTTTCCTTGTGTGATGTCAGGTGGATATAGTAAAGACAACCACCAAATAGAATTATGGCACAGACTAAATAAGGAAATGCCCAAGAAAGCATCTTATCACCTATAAAGCATTATGGGAGCATGAATTATTTTGAGATTTTAATTTGAACTTCATTTGTTCAGAATGTGTCTACTGCTGGTAGAATCTGTATTCATGCTTCCTTTCCTTGGCACTAGGGTGGCTGAGGGTGGATGGCAGGAGGGGTCACATGCTTATCCCCACAGGCAATAGCCATTTTCAAGTCTTCAAGAAGCGTCTATTGATGTGAATGTTAATGACAAGCCATTCTCATCTGTGCAGTAAGGAAACTCCCAGGAACCTTGTTACAGGAAAGGAGCCTGGGGATGGGAAGTGCTTTCTTCGGAAGCTTCTGGCACTCTCCCTTTCCCAGGGCCAGTCTGGTTTTCATGGTCTGCCCCTGGTGAGTGTCTCCAGAGCCCCCTTCTCAGTAAGCTGCCTGAGCCCTTCTCCCCCTGGGGGCGGATAGATGGACAGCCTGGAGTGCTGCCTGGTGTACCTGGAATCCCGATTTCTCTAGCTGAGTCTGCCTTAGCCATTCCCCTCACGTGCCTGCTTCGCTCTAGCTGCAGGAACCAGAAGCTGTGCTTTTATTAAATTTGATCCTCATCAGAATTGCATTTGGTGGTTTTCCAAGTTATGACTTTCTAATTAGCTTTTTGTTGAAGCTGTTTTTCATTGCTTTGCTCAGAATCGGTGGTAAAAGAGACTATTTTCTTGATGTTGTGGCCTCCTTTGGTGATTTCTCCACTTAAAAAGAGAAAAAAAAGAGTAAGGATGTGCTTCCTGAGAAATCTGATAACTAATCACAAGCTTTAGACAAACCCTGAGATTCCCAGGTTATCAGCTATTGAGACATCTGCTTCCTGCCTGCGAGAAAACAAGTTCTCACTGGGGTGCGGGGCACTGGGGATGGCTTTGGAATCAAACTTTCTGGATTCAAGTCTTGGCTCTGCTACTTGCCAGCTGTGTGACCTTGGGCACTTTAATTGGAGTCTCTGAGCCTCAGTGTCTTCGCCTTTATAACGAGCAATGTGCCTCAGATGTCTGCTGTGAAGCGCCACTGAGGTCATACCTGTAAAAGCCCTGATGTGGAGTATGCCTTCAACAACATTGCAGCTCTTATCACATTTGATAAACAACATGCTGTGAATATAAGTTTATAGAAAACTCTAAAGCACTGTACAAATATGAGCTTTATTGCTATACAAATATTGGTTTATGACTATTAAGAATAATTAGCTATATGGCCTTAGGTAAGCTACTCCATCTTTCTGAGTGTCTGGTCTAGATAATGGGTTGCACATTCAGGTGACTTCAGGAACTACAGCTATACTGGGAATGAATAGAGTAGACCAGATAGAAGAAATGCTCATGTCAGTACACACTAAGTGGGCAAGAGGAAAGTGCATCAACAGCAAGGTCCCAAAGATAAATAAGTTTGAGAAACTCTGGGTTAAACAAAATTGAACAGGCTTCTTTCTTCAGGACTCTTCCAAGAGTTTTAAGTGCCTGGCTGCATAGTGAATTTCAAAGGGCAGGAAAGGATATATGTGCAATGTTTTCCAAACTTCCCTGACCTCAGACCCTCTTTTTCCGTTAAGACCAGTGTTCTTCTGAATACACCTGGCAAATTCTGGATGGATGACCTCAACCATCCCTTCCGATTCTAAATTTCAGCTTGGGTCTCTAAGGTCAGAAAGAGGCATTTCTGATAGAAGATAAAAGACAGAATGTGTGTTGGGTCTTCTTCCTTTGATTGTTCACTTTCATCAAAATGATGACTAATTCTGTTCACATGACGGTACTGCTCAGTGTGGTCAGCTGTGAGTGAAGCCGGATATCTGGGTGCAGCGTCTCCTAACCAGTCACGGAGAGTCGGGCGGGAAACCAGGGAAGGGGGACACTGCTGGGCCCACCTGTTATTTTGGGAAAATCAGGAAATTGTCTGGCCCTTGTGTTTGCTAGCCTCAACCTTCACATACATATATGAAATTCAGAAATCCAAGGCTTATAGCAAAGGCCACTTGAACTTGACCTTGCTTTCATCAGCTATTTAGTACAATATATTCAGTAAATTTCTCTTGTTAATCAGTGAACATTGTGTAAGCACCTATTATTACTAGATATCAGTAAGTTAATTATCTTCATCACTCTGTTTAATTTAGATATGTGTTTGGGGACTCCCTGAGATCTAAGTTAAATTGCCACGGATCCCAAATTCCATAGCCTGTGGCTATCTGAAGCCCTTCCTAAGATTTCTGCTTCTTATACCACTTGGCATTGAATTCCTTGAATGGGACCTCTGCCTTGCACTCTGTTTTAACCCCCTTGAGGCTCAGGGAGGTTAAGTGACTTGGCCAAGGCTCCACAGCCTGCAAGTCTGGCTCAGTTACGGTTGCCACTGGGCCTTGGCTAAGAAGAGATCCTGCCCCACTGCCCCAGGCTACCATCCCTGGGGATGATGAAGGGGGCTCCTGGAGATGAGGGCTGAGGTCTCCAACATTTTTCTACTTCAGGCTTTTCTTCTCTCCTGCCATTGATGGGCCTGGGTGTCACCCCATCCAGAGATGCAGGCACTAAGCCTCTGGGGGTGAGGGCCTCGTGCCTCCACACTGCATTCATTTAATCTTCCAACCATTTCCCTGGCAGTGGTAATATACCCATTTTACAGATACCCTTATAAGGATTAACTAGTAAAAATAACAAAAACCATCACAACAATCCACAGTTACAGAACTCTGACTGTGCCAAGTGTTATCTATATTTTCTCATTTAGTCTCGCAACATCCATATATAGAAAGACGGCACCTGCCTGTGAGGTGGATCATGACAGAATCAAGTTATTATGCCTGACCACCAACCCTTTGGGGCAAATCCGCTCTCAGAGGGTGGAAAGTCTTGTTGACAAGCAGAGTAGCCCCTGGGGCCTCAAGCTTTTGGGGCATCTCTGGGGGCTCCGGGCATCCTTTAGGGCAGGATAAGATACTTACAATAAACTCTCTCTTTGAGACATGGATTGGGTCTTCACTTAATGTTTTTGACTCTTCATATTTTTTTTTCAGTTTCAAGTTTTGACAGCCCTGGAGCTTAGGCACTAAATCAGCAACAGAATAGGATTCTAAGATGTTTGATTAGGGATTAGACCTCTGACACATGGCTTGCCCAGAGCTGGCTGATCTAATACATCTCAGAATCCAGGAAGAAAGGGACCATGTACCACAAAGCCTAATGCCTCATTGTGAAGAGAAAAATGAAGGCCCTGTGCTGGTGTGGATTTACGCAGCACTAAAGCAATAGTTCTCAGGTCAGAGCCCAGGTTTTATGTCTCCTAGTCTATAGATCTGCATCAGTAGCACCTACAAGACAGGGTTGCTTCATAACCAAGTTCCATTCAGAGCCAATCATATGTATTAATGGTGTGGTCAGTAAGATGTCAAGGAATCTCTGTCTATCCATCTAATCTCATGAGTTTTCTCTGGGTCCTAAAATAATGTCACCTTCAAAACATGGAGTAGGCCCTGCCAAGACACCTCACCTACCTAGAGAAGGTATTAAATACATTACCAGCAGAGACCCAATTAACATCTGGACCTATCAGAAAGCAGAAGCTGGGACACTGGATAGCTCAGTTTGATTGCTATGAGAGCTCTCAGGAAAACAAAAGAAATACAAAAGTTTGGATTGTGGGCAGATAGAATTTTCAAAATTTAGAGAAGATCCGAAATCTTTTCATTGCTTAGATGGACAAACCAAGACCAGGGAAAAGAAGTGAATTTCCCACGCCTGCCCAATAGTCAGGACAACACCTTCCCTACCAGCTCTCCATCACTTCCCCAGTCTCTCTTCCCAAACACAGCTCTACCAGTAATACAGAGTTGGGTGCCAGGACTCAGGAGTCGGAACCCCATTACACTTAGGCTAGATCTTTGTGAATATTGAGGCTAAGAGTGGAATTTAGTCATGGTCTCCTTTTGACACAGAGGGACCTTTATAGACCAGAGTCGATTTTTGTCTGTAACAACTGTAAAGTAAAATGAACACCTTGGTTGCTACTTGAGCCCTTGGATCGGGATGCACCTGGTGGGCTGCAGTAAATCTTGAAGTAGCATCCATTAATCAGCTACACCAGAATTCACCAATGTGCTTGTTAAAATGCTGAGTCCTGGGCTTTATTTACCCAAGACCCATTGAATCCCGGGTCTATGGGGCATTTTAATATGTATCCCAAGCGATTCACATGCCCCCAAAAGTTGGAGAACCGCCACTACAATGGAAGATCTGGAGTTAAGCTTGCCTGGGTTCAAATCTGGGCTCTGCCAGTTACCAGATGTATGAACTTCAGCATGCCTGAGCTTCAGACTCCTCCTGTAACATGAAGAGAATAGTAATAACTACCTCACAGGGTTATTGAGAGAGTTAAGGGAGGTAAAGCAGGAAAAATGCTTAGCATTGGGCTTGGCACCTTGCAAATAAATATTAAGCAAATCAATTAAAGCAAAGCAAATATATTTAATAAATTAAATATTGAACAAATAAATATTAGCTGCTACTGTAATGTCGTTCTTTAGATACATTCCCTGTCTTCACCTGTTCACATGGAGGCCAGCTGCAGCCTCTGCAATCAGGAGCCCGTCCCCACCTGAACCCCCGACCCCTACCCCTCCAGGGAAGATGAGCGGCTGTGAGAAGCCTGGCCTACCCATTCTGTGGCGGGGGCTTTGGGGAGTGCAGTGACAAGAGCCACCAGCAGGGGGAAGCATAAACACATTTCAGGGCATAGCGCTGGTGATCCTTGAGGGTGGGGCGCTCTCTGGGGGAATGGGCTGAGGCTGGGATCAGCGTTTCTTCTCGAATTTTCCCCCCACTGTGGACAGGAATATCTGGTGATGCTCACAAGACAGAATCCTGCTTTTCCTCTAATTGCTCAAAAAGTGAGACCCTGCGCTGGCTGACACTGGCTCTTCCCTGAAGCCTCAGGAAGCGGCTCATTAGCTGTTAATTTTATTTTCACCACCCAGTCGGGCTCTGGCAGGCCCTCGGCAGAGTGCTGGCTGCCGGGCCTTTCTAAGGAGACTCTTGGCAGAGCTCTGATCTGGGCGTCGTGTTCTTTTTCCATTTGGAGGAGCAACTGCGTGAGGTGCCTCACCAGACTTAGCGAGAGGGGCTGAGGGGCGGGGCGGGGCCTGAGTGTCCAGACCTGCCCTCTAGTTCCCTTCCTGCCGTCCCCTAGAAATCAGGGGGCCGGGAGGTCCGCCGCCGCTTGAGTGCCCACCGTGTGCTATTCTGTACCTCCCACCGGGCTCCCCAGGAGCATGTCACAGAGGGGAAGGCTGAGGCCCAAAGAGGTCGGGTGACTTGCTCAGAGCCACGCAGCCAATGAGCAGCAAAAGTAATAATGACACTGGGCCGGGCGTGGTGGCTCACGCCTGTAATCCCAGCACTTTGGGAAGCAGAGGCTGGCGGATCACCTGAGGTCAGGAGTTCAAGACCAGCCTGGTCAACATAGTGAAACCCTACCTCTACTAAAAAATACAAAGATAGCCAGGAGTGATGGCAGATGCCTGTAATCCCAGCTACTCGGGAGGCTGAGGCAGGAGAATCTCTTGAACCCAAGAGGCAGATGTTGCAGTGAGCCGAGATCACACCACTGTACTCAGTCTGGATGACAGAGTGAGACCCTGCCTGCCCCCTCTCCAGAAAAAGGTAATAATGGCACCGGCCGCCTAGTGTGTGCCCAGTATGTTGCCGGGATCCATCGCTGTCCTTTTACATATGTTTACTCCTACATCAATCAAATCTGTAAAGCCCAGTGGCTGAGGTTAAAGCCCATGCTTTTCTTCCTACTCCGCACTGCCTCGAAACCCTTGGAAGTACTCTTCTCCTATTTCCCTAATCTTTCAAATTATTCAAATTCCCATTTGTTCTCCAATTAAAGGTCCCCTCCTCCCTCTTCATCCAAGAGTCCTTTGGTGAGAGCTTCGGTAGTGGCTTGATCACATTCTGAATTTGAGATTTGCTTGTAATTAGCAGTCTTGAAAACACCAGTTCTTTGCTAGGCTCTGCTCCCAGGAACCCAGGAGTCAGGACATCTGAGGAAGGGCTACATGCATCACTGATCTCTCCCTTAACCACCCCTTTCATAGGTATCTGGAATAAGCTCAAATTTCATTGATTTTCCTATGGTGATAAATTGACAGCCCGCCTTTTTTTTCCACAGAAATTAATGCCAGTAAAATGACTACTACAGCCCACTCCCTGCTTTGAATACACCATTAAAATAAACCATGTCTGTGTGCAAACATGTGTGCACCCAATGAGATGTGCTTTTCAAAGACACTGTCATGCAATGTACACAACACTGTGCAGACATTTCAATTTTCCTCCTGGCTGTCTCGCCATCTAAAGACGAAATGCTCGATGTGGCCTGGCATCCAATGGCAGCTGGAGGAAAAGAACTTGCGACTTCGTGTTTCTCCTCTGGAGCTCTGGGCTTGCTCTCATTTGCACTGGTGAATTGTAATGTCAGCAACCTATGGATAGACCGCAGGACACTGGGCTGCAGCATGAAGAGCTATCCAAGGAGATTTTATTTTATTTTATTTTATTTTATTTTATTTTATTTTATTTTATTTTTTTGTGAAACAGGGCTTCGCTCTGTCACCCAAGCTGGAGTGCAGTGGCACCATCACAGCTCACTGCAGCCTCAACCTCTGGGGCTCAAGCAATCCTCCCACCTTTAAGCCTTCTGAGTAGCTGGGACTACAGGTGCACGCCAACACACCTGGCTAATTTTTTTTGTTGTTGCTGTTGGTAAGAACAGGGTTTCACCATGTTGCCCAGGCTAGTCTCAAACTCCTGGTCTCAAGCAATTCACCCACCTCGGCCTCCCAAAGTGCTGGGATTACAGGCATGAGCCACCACTCCCAGCCCAAGGTGGTCATTTTAATGTGCAGTTGTTACAGACAAGCAAATGATCTCCAGTTTGTAAAGATCTCTCTGAGTCAAAAGGAGACCATGACTAAATTCCACCTTTAACTTCAAGGTGATCCATAAACTTGAGGAGTTTTGCAAACGCCATTTGGCTCAGTTACTGAGATTCTTTGTGTCATTTTGGCAGCCACCCCTGTGCCTGAGACAGGGAGCTCAGGCAGCTGGTTGGAGCTGCTTGTGGATTCAGATATTCCAGAACTGCCGGTTATGTAGGAAGTTCATGCTATAGAGAGGAAGATGAGTATGAGACAGAGAATCCATATTTATGAAACACCAGACATTATCCTGGGCACACTCCATCCTCACAGCCATGTTGTGAAGATACTTACATATGCTCTGTCCAGCATCCAGGGAAACTAAGGTCTAGAGGGGCATGATAACTGGCCCATGGTCACCAAGGATCTGAAAGACACACCCACAAAGGCCTAACTCAAATCCATGTATTTTCACCATTGCCTGTGAGAAAGAATCTTCCATATATTATGTTTATTTGTTTGCATTTATTTGTTTTATGAAAAAGGTCTACACTTTCTGCAGCTGTCACTTTTGCAGGCAATAAGGATACCTTTCTGGAACGAGAAATCTACATTAGACCAGAGACTGGATGATGGAGGGCTGTTTCTGTAATATTTATCCCTGCAAAGTAAATATTTCTGTCTCCACCATGTTCCAGAATTTCCCTGCTGACAGCTTCACAGATACTTCTTTTTCTCCTCTCTTGAACATCCAGCTATTGCCGGGGACAGGATGACCGGGTGCAACTGGTTCTTTTCACTTTTGACTGTGGACTTCTTGCAGCCAAAGAAAGAAAGGCTGGCCAGTGATCCACACTGGGTGAGGATTGGAGGCCAGGGCTGTGGAAGGGAAGTGTAGTTTGCATCCTAAGTGGTGATCCCAGGGGACAACCGACCCACTAGAGAGCAAAACTGAGGCTTTCCATGCAATGTTTTGGACCAATGTATATGGTTCCCTGAAGTCATCTTGCAGATTTATTTCTGTAATGTTCTCACATTTATTCCCTTCTCTCTTTTCCCATCAGCACTGTCCAGAGAGGTTGAGTGATTTGCCCCAGGTCACACAACTAGTAAGTGGCTGAACAGGGCATTAATTCTAGGCTTTCTGCCTCCCTGGTTTGTGAGCTTAACCATTGCACTGTAGCTCTAAGACTCTTGGTGAGCCAGGCCCCCCTTTGTCCCCAGCCTTGGCCCTCAGACATCTCACTATGGCCCTTTAACCTCCAGCCCTGGAGCTTAATTCAGTCCCTCTGATAGACCACATTCTTCCTTGTCTTTAGGTCTTTCCATAGGCTATTCTGCAATCTGGAACTCATTTCCTCACTTTACCCTCTCTTTCAAAAAGAAAATCCTCCAGGAACCTACTCACAGTCATGCTCAGGTTAAAGTTCCTCCTTCCGAGGGGTCTCCCATCACTGACCTTCTCCCCAGGCTGCATACACCCTGCCTCATGCCCAGTCAGGGGCTCTGTGTACCCTCGCATCCTAACACCGATCACACTATAGTGTAACTTCATATTTCATATTCTGTCTCCCCCTGGCTGTGCACTCTCTGAGGGCAGGTGCTTGTTCACAGCTGTGATCCTGCAGCTGATGCAGCGCCTGGCTCACAGTAGGTGCTCGGTAAATGTTGAATGGATGAAACATGAATGAGCAAGTCAGAGAACCAGTGCCTGTGCCCATTTGCCCCTGTTGTTCCCTTGGCCTGGCACATTCTTCTCTAGGCTTTGGCACAAGCCACAGCTCACATTCTTCCTTTGAGTATCACTCTGTGAAGCTTAGGAGGCCACCAGGGCTGTCTTTGGGGGCTCAGAGATCTCTAGGCTCAGGCAAGGATGCCCAGTAAAAATAGTTTTTGTAGAAATGAGCTCCAGTACTGAGACCCTGAGAGAGGCTCTAGACGTGAGAGACTTGGGCTGTGGAATCAATGTGAAGCCTGGGAGGATTCACACTCGAGGAAGGACATGGAGCAGGCAGAGTTAGAGGTGAGGGTGTGTCTGGAGCCCAGTTCTGGATTGTGATTGTGAGTTCTGGATGTCCAAGCTGTACAGATGGATCTTTACAGTGGCAAAAGCCAACTTGACCCAGAAGTCCAGAGCATAAGAGGCTCTCTCCTGGAGCACTGTTTGTGTCAGACCCTGCTAAGCACTTCACAGACTTGATCTCATTGACTTCTTATGAAAGCACCTCCCAGGTAGGTCTAGTCCCGGTTCTTTAGTCCCCCATTGAAGGAAGGGGAGCAAAGATGGTGAGCACTTGCCCAAGGTCTTAGTTACATAAGGCTGAGCCAGGTCTCAGAACCCAAGTCTGTGCTGCTAACGTCACCTCCCCATTCACGTTGGCCACACTCTGAGAATGCAAAGGTGAGGTCTCTCTAATTCTAATCTAAGTGGATCTGATTAGGAGTTATTGGGCCAAAGTCATTAACTTACATTTCAGATGTACTGCCCTGGGTCTCCTACGCATCTTCTATGTGACAGGCAGCATTGGAAGAAAGCAAGGCTCTATCTCACCCAGCATATGCTTTTCAGGTGCTGAGCACAGAATGCTTGGGCCCAGCACTTCAGAGAAGTCAAATGGATCCAGCTTCTGCATGGTCATGAAACTTATTATCCTGGGTGAGGGAATGGTAAATGATTTTTCTTCTTGTTCTGTACTTTTTAAATTTATAAAAATAAAGTGTTTATAGTCATGGAAAAAAGTTTTAAATAATAAAGAAATTAGCAAATACACCTGCAAGATGTCAAGGAGCTGTATCCCTCCCTGCCCTTGTTCATGCATTTCTCTTAGTCTGGAATGTCCTTCCCTTCCTTGTCAATGCATTAATGTCTTACTCATTTTGCAGGGCTCAGCTCAAATGCAGCCTCTTCTTGATCCCATCTCAAGCTGGTTCCTTGTCTATTGTCTCTCTTTCTCACTGGAATGTAAACCCCATGAGGGCAAACGACCTTGTCTGTCTTTTCACTGTTTTATCCCAATATCTAAAAGAGTGTCTAGCATGTAAGAAAAACCCATAAAATTTTTTTAGTGAATAAATGAATATTCCCACATTTGATTCCTAATATCCATCTCGGTCTGTCCCATCCTGCCTTCTGCCTCAAACTATGGCAGCTGTTTCTCTCTCTCTCTCTATTCTCTGCTGGCCTACTTGAAAAACTTATTTCTGTGGCCCCCATAGCACAGAGCTTGGTACATAATAGACCTCAGTAAATGAACGTTTGCTGTCAACTTCAAGGCAAGGAATCAGGATGCAAAGGGCTACATCTCACCCCCTTCTCTGGGGAATGAGCTGCGTTGTCAGGAACTGATTACAATGTGATGCTCCCTGGGGAGGGAGAACTGCCCCTAACCACCCTGGATGGGGAGTTATGAGATGAAATGGCTCATGGAGGTTGTCCCACTGCCCCAGAGTTGCTGCTTTATAAGGAAGGAAAGTACAAAAGCACAACAAAGTCTACTAACGCTAAATTTTGAAAGGTAAAGATGACTTTCCCCTTGTATTCAACCAGGTGGCTGTCTCACCTGAGCCTTCCTCCCAGGCAGCAGAATTACTCCTTGTAGCTATCAGGGGGAACATCTGTATTTCTTCCATCCTTCCCTTCAAATTTTGGGGCCAGCATTTTGTTTGTGGAATCACTACCTATCACTACCTACATTATTGGAGATGAGGGGATAATGGGCAACAGGAGGCAGATCTGGAGAGGCTGAATGATAGGCATCTTGGGCTCCGGAGCTGAAGACACAGATTCAAACCCTGCCTCTGCTCTGCATGGCTGTGTGTCATTAGGCAGGTAACTTAAATGCCCTGACCCTTAGTCTCTAAGATGGGAATGGTGATGATGATGGAATTCACCCAGAGGATGTCAAGAAGATTAGATGTAAAACACTTAACACAAAACTTGTAGGATAAAACCTAGAGGTAAATTTTCATGACCTTGGATTTGGCAATGGATTGTTAGATACAACATCAAAACCATCAGCAACAGCAGGTAAAATGGATAAGTTGGACTTTATCAAAATTAAAAACTTTTCTACACCAAATGACAGCTTCAGACTTGGAGAAAATATTTGCAAATCATATATCTGGTAAGTCTAGTATTCAGAATATATCAAAAGCTCAATGTTAAAAAAGACCTGATTAAAATAAATAAACCAATTAAAAAGTGAGCAAAGGACTTGAATAGACATTTCTCCAAAGAAGATATACAAATAGCCCAGAAGCACATGGAAAGATGCTAACATCATTAGTCATTAGGGACAAACAAGTCAAAACCGCCATGAAATACCACTTCACACACGCTAGGATGGCTACAATTTTTAAAAAATTGAAAATAACAAGTGTTTCTGAGGACATGGGGAAATTAGAACCTTCCTATAGTGCTGGTGGGAATGTAAAATGGTGCAGCCACTGCAGAAAACAGTTGATGGTATTTCAAAAAGTTAAACATGGAATTACCATATGACCCAGGAATTTTACTTCTAGGCGTACACCAAAAAAGAATTGAGAACAAGTGTTTAAAAAATGTGGTCATGAATGTTCATAGCAGCAGTGTTCATTATAGCCAAAAAGTGGAAACAACCCAAATGTCTATCAACAGATTAATAGATAAACAAAGTATGGTATATCCATACAATGGAATATTATTCAGCAATAAAAAGAAGTGAAGTACTGACAAATGCCACAACATGGATGAACTCTGAAAACATTATGTTAAGTGAAAGAAGCCAGGCATAAGGTCATATATTATATGATTTCATTTCTATGAACTATCCAGAATAGGCAAATCCATGAGAGACAAAAGTAGGTTAGTTGTTGCCAGGGGCAAAGGAGAGGGCAGGAATGGCAACTGACTCCTTAATGGACACAGGCTTCCTTTTGGGATGATGAAAATGTCTTGGAACCACTTAGAAGTGAAGGCTACGCAGCATTATGAAAGTACTAAGTGTCACTGAATTGTACACTTTAGAAAACTTTTCGGCTAGGCACAGTGCCAGCCTGTAATCCCAGCACTTTGGAGGCCAAGGTGGGTGGATCACCTGATGTCAGGAGTTCAAGACCAGCCTGGCCACATAGTGAAACCCCATCTGTACTAAAAATATAAGAATTAGCCAGGAGTGTTGGCATGTGCCTGAAATCCCAGCTACTCGGGAGGCTGAGGCAGGAGAACTGCTTGAACCCAGGAGGTGGAGGTTGCAGTGAGCTGAGATTGCACCACTGCACTCCAGCCTGGGCAACAAGAGCGAGACTCCATCTCAAAAAAGAAAAAAAAAAAAGAAAAGTTTAATTTTATGTTATGTCGATTTTACTTTCATTAAAAAGAAACGTGTAGCTCAGAAAAGCAGTCAGTAAATGGTGCCTTTACTATTACTTATTATGACTATATCCCCTTCCCACTGGAAATCAGCTTTTCCCAAAGGCTGAATGATAAGATATGTTAGGAAGTCCCAAAATAGGAAGTGCAGAGATGGGAGGATGAAGAAGGAGAGGGGAGACTGTGGCAGGTTTGGTCTTTCCCAACCCTCTAAGCACTCACTGTGTTAGGGACATCCTGTGGATGAGTAGACTGGCAGGTAGAACCATCTGCCCCCTGCTACCTGGGGCAGGACCACAGGACAACACTGGCAGACACAGGGGTGCAGATGGGAAGATGCTCTTTTGGCCCAAGCCATGGACTTAGGTAGTATGGCCTGCTCCTCCCACTGCCTGGCAACACAGTCAGCTTGCCCAGGCTGCTGCCTTCCGGATGTCAGTTGAACACTCCTGACAATATGCTCCATGGCTTAGGTCAGGGTCCAGGGTCCGTGTCGCTGAACTCTAAGATCAGGGACTGGAAGAGGCCTTAAAGCCCTCCGTCCCTTCTTATTTGGCAGACGGGGAAACTGAGACTTGGGGATATGGCATCAGCTTGCCATATTCCTTGCTCAGCCACCCTTCTCTGCAATAGAGATTGGAATTTTGTCATCCCTTTGCTGTAGTACTCTATCTGCAACCTTTCGGCTTCAATATTTTATATCTTGACAAAAGGACTTGACCTGGGGCAAAAGATTAAACAGGAAGCTCTGGAGTGTTCATTTTGGGGAAACAGCATGGCTTTTGGGGAAGAGCAAGAAAGCTTGGACAGCCCAGGGCAACCCCGTCTTGTTAGTAATAATAATGACTTCCATGTTTTTAAGGTAGTTACATGGTGGTCAGCACATAGATGCCAGAACCAGTCTGTCTGAGTTTGAACTCCAACTCTCCCACTTATGAGCTGCATGACTTTGATTAAAAGGCTTAATCTCTCTATGCCTCATTTTCTTCATCTGTAAAATGGGAATCATAATGGTGTATATAAAAGCTTCCAGAATTTTGCCCAGCACATGGTAGGGACTTGATAAATGACAGGGATTATAATTCCTATTGCTGATATTAATTAGTATAATTACCTGGGGAAACCTATATGAATATGCTGAAGTTTGCCAAGGACCGCTTTCCAGAAACAACAAACCGCAGAACCAACAGGGTCAACAGCATGCCTTTTGAAAAACTGGCCACAAATTGCATTTTTACACAATCTAATTTTCTCATTAACCTCTTGTTTAGGAAATGCTTTGTCTTTGAAATCATGTGAGGACTCCGTCTTGGCTCGGCAGGCACTCCTCTGGCTTTCAGGCATGAGCTTGCTGTTTCCTTTGCCTAGAACATTCTTACCTCCCACCTCCACCCAGACATCTGTGTGGCTACCTTCATCACTTCCTGCACTTCTTTTCCCAGAAGTCATCTTCTCAGTGAGCCCATCCCTGGGCACCCTGTTCAGAATCTCAGCTACCCTGCCCCTACACTTCATACCTATCTTCTCAGCTTTGCCTTTTTCTTCTTGGCACCTTGTCTGACATACTATCATATTTGTTTTGTTGGTTACCCACTCCGAACTGGAAGGTCTTTGAAGTCAGGGATTTTGACCATTTTGTTAATGATGTTTTCTCCAGCGCTCAGCACACAGCCAAGCACATAGTATGGACTCAATGACTGTGGCATGCGTGAGTATATAGGTGGGAAGGAGGATTTCCTGGCGGGTTCTGATTTTAGAATTTACCTGGTACAGCTGAGCTTCACTGAGCTGCTACCCTGTGCCAGCCGCGGGCAGTGCCTGACATCTGCCATTTCACTTCATCTTCACAGAAGCCTTATGGATGGGAAAGCTAGGTCTTAGAGAGATTAAGAAACTTATCTGGTCACCAGCTTATAGGTAGGTGGTAGAGCCTGAGGACTGTGCTTTCTTCTCCTGGACAGAAAGTGCTGCCTGAGCCCTCCCCTGTACCCAGCCTGTCAGGGAGGCCTCCCTGGGTGGTTTCTGAGCTGGCTGCTTTGCAGGGCTAGAAGGCCCATCCCTCCTCACCTGCCTGTGTCTGTGGGAGGCTCTTGGCAAGGGTGCTGTGTCAGGCGGCCCAAGTGCTTTCAGCACTTGGGGGTGGCAGGCTAATTTACTGGCCTGCTGAGCAGCTGGTGGATGACTGGGGATTGTCTGAAGTCTGCCTAGAACCATGGCCTGGGGCAGGGCTCCTTCCAGCAACTTCCCTGGAGAGCTGGCTGCAAGGCAGGGCCAAACCAGCCATCATGATAGTGTGAAGGGCATTTTCTGTCAAAAGAGGATGTTGGACAAGAGTTGGAAAGACTTGAGTTCTGATCCTGGCTTTGCCACTAGCTAGTTGTATAAAACTGAGCAAGTTACTGAGCATTCCTGGTTCCCACTGCTTACAAAATGGGAGCAGTAATCATGCTTACCTCCCAAACTTGTTGGGAAAATATATGCAATGTGATTAGCCCAGGTGCAAAAATAAATGTTAGATATTTTATGTTTATTATGATTTATTATTAGCTACAGCCCCCCTCATCTGTAAAATGAGAGGTTTCATTCAGTAACCACAGGCCTGGCACTATTGAGCAGTAGGTGCTCAATAAATGTTAATTCCCTTCCTAGTCCCTTATTCTTCCTTTAGCATCAGATTCCTGGCCTGTGTTGTCCCTGGGGCTCCAACACTCCTGGCCCTGGCCTATAGGTTTTCCGTGGGCTCATGGGTAATGAGCCATCTTCCCAGGGCAGTGGGGCTAAGTGCTTTGGTGGACATTTTGGAGCCATTGTATTAGAAACCCCCTCTTTTTCCTTCTTTACTTCCTTCCTTCCATCCCGTTTATTTTTGTTGATCACCTATTAAGTGCCAAACATAGTGAATACAGCTGTGAGCAAGACAAGGTTCCTGCTACCGTGGAGCATAGGTCCAGTTAGAATTAGGTAGAGAGAAAGGAAATGAACAACCATGCAAGAAAATAAACTCTTTGAAAAGTAGAAAATAGAATGGTGGAACAGAAAGTGATGAGTGTGGGGAGAATAGCAAAGCCACCTTAGATGGGGAGTCAGGGAAGACATCACAAAGGAAACAACATTTGAAGCAGGACTTGAAAGATCAGAACAGGCCAACCATACTCAATTGGGCGAAGGGGTTTCCTGCCGAGGAAATAGCACAGGTGAAGGCCCTGAGGAGGGATGGAGTTTAGCTGGTGCCCCTATACTTCCTAATGGGAAGTGCCCAGTAAAGACACAGCTTTGCACTTCCAGCCCAGGCAAAGCAATCAGCCTGCATCTTCAAGGGTTGGCTGCACTTAAGATCCGGGGTGCTGCCAGGATGTTCTTTTTGCAGTTAATTTGCTGCAACTGGCAGAGGTTAATCATGTCCACATTCCTCAAGGCCCCTGCCAAAGCTGGCCCTTCTCACAGATGCTGGTTTAAATTAGAGGGGTTCTTAGCAGCAGACTAGATTTAGCAGTGATTAACCCCAAACTGGTCCTATTGCCTTGCCCTCCTGATGGGCAGGTGGAAGCATGCTGGGCGAGGCTGGCATCTAGCACAGGCGGTAGATGCTTGCTCTTGCCATTGCAATGAGAAAGGAGCCCATCAGCTCTCCTTCTAAGCCTGGGCTCCTACAGCAGCCAGAATGCCAGTCAGACCCATCCACGGTGCTCCACGCCTGGCCCTAGCCTTGCTCTTGCCTCTTCCTTGCTGTGCACATTCCTGCTCCACTCCACACCTTTGCCTGCCTTGTCTCTGTACCCGCAGGAGAAGCTCTACTCATTTTTCCAGACTGTGCTCAGATTCTACCCCCCTATGCAAGTACCTCCTCAGACACCCCTGGGGAAATTCACCTTTTCTTCCCCATTCTTCTAGTTTCTCTTTGCACATAAGCCCTTTAAGGCATTGGTCATCATCTATATTGTGTTGGGGAGACTGAGTTCCAACTAAAGTGGGAGCTCCCGATGGCCAGGGATCCATGTCGTTCATCTCTGCAGCTACAGGACCTAGCATGAGCTTTGGCATCTCATTCATTCAGCAAATGTGTATTGAAGGTCACTGTACCAGGCACTATGAGAGGTAAGGGAATCACAGCTGTGGACAAGGTGTGTTCCCTAGTTTTAAGTTGTAGCCCATTGTAACACAGAGGGCTGAGCAGATTACGGTGTGGACTCTAATAGATGCCCAGTTGAGCCTGGGTGGTTCAGGATGGCTTTTTTAAGTCATACAGAGTGAGGAATCTGAGGCTCAAAGGAGTGAAATAACTGGCCCAAGATCTCACATCTAGTGTATGGCAGAAAAAGTGCTCAAATCCAGGCCTAAGTGCCCTTTGCACACAGCCATTTGTGGAATGGGTCCTCCTCTGTCTACACTCTCCATTCCAAGCTAGCATACTCCTTTCTGATCCTCAGCCACAAAATAAACAGGTAAGGGATCAGACCCACTTGGCCAGAGACTGGGCAGCCTTGCCGCATTCTGATGCAAAAACCTGTTTTCAAGCTACTTCAAACTTTTGATGGTTCTTGAAGTCATAGAGAGGCTTTCAGCTGAATCCAAGGCAAGCGAACAGATTTCCCATCTGCAGGGTATTTTGAAACCACTCGCTTCTTACTCATGTTTCATTTGTTTGTTTTTCTATTACAAAAATAATGCATACTAATTGTAGAGAATTTGGGGAGAAATACAAATCACCCATAATTCCACCACCCAGAAATAACCATTGTTACTATTTTGGTATATTGAGATAGTTATTTGGGGATATTACTTAGAAATTGCTATAATATATAATTGCTGTTTATTAATTTATGCAAATACATGAATATGATTAACTTGTATATATTTAGCTTGTTGTAAAACTTACACATTCCGGTGCCTGGAAATTTCAAAGATCTGCTGCTCCCAAAGAGAGCTCTTAAACCTAATTCTGTATGGTCCTTTTCACGTGAATAACATATATCTGTTTCCCTCCCTGTCTTCTCTACCAGTCTGTGGGCTTCAGAAGGGAACCCTGAGCCTTTCTCATCATTCCCTCTTCAGTACACAGTGCATAGCAGACACACAGCATTGGATGGAATGGATGTGTCTGTGGCCTGGGAAGGTGTCCTGGGGTCCTTCCATCTGGCTGTCTTAGGCTGAGTGGTGCTGGTTATATATTTCTAAGGACAGCTCCCCCTTCTCTACTCTAATTCCTTGTTCACTAAGGAATTAAAGTATCTTACAGCAGGAATTTGTCTTTTACTTCAAGGAATCCCTGGGTTCCAGGAAGTGCCTTGCACAATGAAAGCCCTCAATCCATGTTTGTAAAAGCCTGAATGACCGGAATAATGCCACTGTTTGGTAAATAGTGTGCATGGATTATCACCACAGCCCTATGACGTGGGTCTAAGCATATCTTTATTTATCACATGAGGAAACTGAGGCTCAGAGAAGTTAAGCAGCTTGTCCAACGTCCGTGTGTTGCTAACTGGCGAAAGCCAAATGTGTGGTCAGCCTCCATCAGCGTTCTATTTGCTTCCTTCATGGGGCTGCTTTTCAGATACCTGTCCTCAGATACCCACCTGGCGAAGGAACCTGTTGGCTCGTGCCCCTTCACTTTTCTAAGGCTGGGTGAAATACCACAAGGGTAGGGCCGCTGACAGGGAAGATCTGCCACGAGGGCGCAGCCATCTGTGTGAGCCACCTGGCCTCTGGGCCCTGACCCCGGCTCCTCCTGGGCCCCCTAGATGCTCAGTGTAGCCACTTCTCCCTCTGTGTCCTTCACCACCTATCTTTTTCACAGCTCTGTTTCCCCTCTTGTCAGCAGATCTCTCAACAAAATGTTTTCCATCACTGCTGCCTATTTTTAGCCCTTTTATCACAGTTATTTCCTTTGGTAAATAGCTTCCTGGCATGGGGTGAGCAGCCTAACTCGGGAGCCAGCAAGCACTGTGTGGATGGGGGTGTGGGTTGGGTGGGCATCTGGGGTGAGAGGGAAGAATTGAGGAGCCATGGACCAGGCCCCACTATTGGGGGCTGCTTTCTGTTCCAATGGTGGCAGCAGCAGCAGGAGCAAGATGCTCATTCATTCCATTTCAATTTGTTAAAACCATTCTTTGAGAAGGCAGCATGTGCACAGGCCTCGGAAGCAGACAATCAGCGACAGGCGCCCAAAATAGACTCAAAATCAGCAGCATTTTGTTTTGCTCAAGGCTTTTCATGCCTGCAAGGGGAGGAAAGAAAGGATCCAGAGCATTTTCTGCTTCCAAACACACATCTATTTTACAATAAGACAAATGACTCGTATTCCTCCTATTAAATCCAGCAGCGTCCCCTCCCCACCACCCCTTCTCTGAAGCCCTCGCCAGCATTTCCTTTTGTGGCTGTAAGAGAAGCAAATAGCAGTTCATGCATCTCCAGTGCAGAGTGCCTCTGCCTCCTCCGGCTCTGCCTGCGAGCTGGGCTTTTACAAGCTGAGATTTTCATAAATTAACGCTGCGCGTGCTGCTGTAGCTGCTGTAATGGCTTTCCAGAAGGTGCTGTGAGCCAGGCCCTGCTGGAGAGAAATGAGCCAGTGATTTGCTAGTAGAAGGCTCTTGGCCACAGTCAGAGGTTAAGCCAGGCAGTTGCAGATGTCCTGGGCTGCTCTCTGAGTGCAGCCTGATGTCATTGAGCCTCTAGAAGGGACATCGACTTGGGAGATTCACTGGTGACCAAGGAGGCCACACATGCAGGGGGTGAGTCCCAGTGGGAGAATGGGATGCCTGGACTCCAGTTCTGGCCCTGCTCTGTGGTGACATTGTGACATTGTCCAGCCACCATGCCCTGGAGGTCAGTTCCTCCTAGTATACACTCTGAGTACACTAATACCTCCCATTTGTAGTACTTACAAAATGGGAATTTAACACTTATTTGTGCAATATGTTGACCATCTAGGTCAGGGGTCTGCATATTTTGGCTTGTGTGCCAAATCTGGCCATAGCATTGATTATACATTATCTATGGTTGTTTTTTGCACTACAGGGCAGGGTTGAGCAGTTGTCATGCAGAGCGGATGACCCTAAAGCCTAAAATATCTACCCTCTGGCTCTCGACAGGAAAGGTTTGCTACCTTTGGTCTAAGTGGTGAGTCCCAGGAGAGCAGAAACCCCTCTGAGAGGTTTAGGGACATGTTCACACACCCAAGATTACTCAGCTAGTAAGTGGCCTAGATGTAAATGTGTGTGTGTGTAAGTTTCAACATCCAGGACTATCAGGGAAGTGATCAGTGCAATGTGTACAAGTAGAGCCAGAATTTGACAAAAAAAGAAATCTCTCCCAAGAATAAAAGCCATATGATGTGTACGTAGGTGGGTAAGCTCAGTGCCTGACTTAATGTTTCTGAGCAAGGAGTCTATTCAGGCAGACTGTCCACCACTTCTGAGCCGTGTGGCCTTGGGAAAGTTTTTAACCTCTCTAAGCCTCAGCTGTCTCAATTGTCAAATGGATATAATAAGACTTATTTTGCAGGACTATTATGAGAATTCAGCATGATAATTTAAGTAAATGCTTAACATGGTTCCTGGCAAATATTAAGGATTCTCTCCCAGGCCTGGTTCCCTTCATTGGTTCCCACTGCTAGTGACAAGCCCTTCCTTGGTCTTCGTCTATCTGCCCTTCATAACACAGCTCAAGCAGCTGGACAGAGACGGAGAAAGGGCCCTGACAGTCATGGGTGGCAGCTGATTATAGAGGTTGAAGTGTTTTAGAATCACTAGACCTAAGTTCAAATCTTGACCCTACTACTCACTGAATCAGATCATCTTGAATATGTTGATTTACCTTTCCAAGCCTTGCTTTCCTCCTCTGGAAGATAGGAAGGAAATAGACACTTCGTTGTAAGGCAATAAGAAAGAGTAAATGCAATGATATGTGTTAGGTATTTAGAGCAGAACCTGGAATTCAGTAAGTGTACATAGTAAGCACCCAATAAATGTTAGTTGTTATTCCCCTCCTACATGACCTGGTCTAGGTAGATTCTAGCTTTTCTGGAATTCTCATGGGAATGATTGGCTTTGAGCATCTCTAGGCCCCTCTTGGACACCACCTTGGAGACAAGAGGCTCTGAGAAGGCCTCTGTCCTGTCTCACTTAAGTGGAAAGTACTATAAAACCCAGAGGCCCAGCACGTTAAACCAGCCCAGCTATGATCCTGGCATGGGGACCAAACAGTCTTTGAAAATATGTGTTTTCCTAGATAAAACCTCCAATTGGACAATTGTATCTTTTGGCCTTATGCAGACTTTATGACTTTGAAAGCTGTTAAACGGAAAGCTCTATGAATGGGATATATTTATTTCTGTGGCACTCTGACTGGTGCTGTTGACCCAACCGGGGGGTGGGGCTTCCAGGGCTCGCTAATTTCTCTTTGCCAGGTGGCTGTTACTGTGCCTGTACCCTCGGAGAGCCACAGCCAGTTGTCACCGAAACCCAGATGAAGGGCTTCTGGCTGCCTAAAAGATTGTCCTGTAGCCAGATTGATTTCCCAGGAAAAGAACATGGTGCTTGGGAATTTCTCTGGGAAGTATCACATTTTTCTTTCTTTTTTTTTTAATTTATGAAGAAGACATTTATATTTTACAGTTATGGGGGCTGAGAAGTCCAAGATCAAGGGGCCCCATTTGGACTCTATGAAAAGTCCAAAGGTAGCTCAAGGCATTACATGGGGAGGGCCTGAGTGTGCTTGCTCAGGTCTCTCTTCCTCTTCTTGCAAAGCACCAGTCCCACTCCCATGATAACCCATTAATCCATGAATCTCTCAATACTGCCACATTGGGGGTTAAATTTCAACATGAGTTTTGCAGGGAATGAATATTCAAACCATAGCAGCTACCATTTATTGAGTGTTTATTGTGTACCAGGCACTATCTTAGGCAATTTGATTTATTTTCTTGTCAGTCAGCATTTCAGCTGTTTCCACTTTTTTGCTATTATGGGGAGTACCGCATAGACCTTCTTGAACATTGTCTTCATGGGCATGTGAACAAGATTTTCTCTTGGGAACACACTTAGGAGTAAAACTGCTGAGTAGAAGGTATGTGAATGTTCAACTTTACCAGCAATGCAAAATTATTTTTCAAAGTGACTGTAATAATTTATCCTCCCACAAGAATGTGTAAGCCTACTTATAGGATACTCATCCTATCCTACATTTGGTTCTTATTTTTCCTAAGCTGATGAATACAAAATAGCATTTTGGCTGGATGTGTATTTCTCTGATTACTAACAAGGTGGATAATCTCTTCTTATATTAATTGGCCACATGTGTCTCCTTTTCTGTGAGATGTCTGTTCATGTCTTTTACCCAGTTTCCCATTGAATTGTTTGCTTTATCTTGTCGATTTGTAGGAGTTCCTTATATTTTGTATACTAATCTGTAGGTTGTTATATAATTGCAAGTATCTTCTTCCTGCATGTGACTTGGTTTTTTTACTTTCTTTAAAGTATTCTTAGCATAAGTTCTTGGTTTTAATGGCGTTGACTTATCAATCTCCTCTTTAACGATTAGCACTCTTTGTATCTTGTTTAACAAATTTCTCTGAATCTCCTTTAATTTCTTTTGAAAGTTTAAATTTAAGGTTTTTTTTATTATTATACTTTAAGTTTTAGGGTACATGAGCACAACGTGCAGGTTTGTTACATATGTATACATGTGCCATGTTGGTGTGCTGCACCCGTTAACTCGTCATTTAACATTAGGTACATCTAATGCTATCCCTCCCCTCTCCCCCACCCCACAACAGGCCCCAGTGTGTGATGTTCCCCTTCCTGTGTCCATGTGTCTCATTGTTCAATTCCCACCTATGAGTGAGAACATGCGGTATTTGGTTTTTTGTCCTTGTGATAGTTTGCTGAGAATGATGGTTTCCAGCTTCATCCATGTCCCTACAAAGGACATGAACTCATCCTTTTTTATGGCTGCATAGTATTCCATGGTGTATATGTGCCACATTTTCTTAATCCAGTCTATCATCGTTGGACATTTGGGTTGGTTCCAAGTCTTTGCTATTGTGAATAGTGCTGCAATAAACATGGTGTGCATGTGTCTTTATAGCAGCATGTTTTATAATCCTTTGGGTATATACCCAGTAATGGGATGGCTGGGTCAAATGGTATTTCTAGTTCTAGATCCATGAGGAATTGCCACACTGACTTCCACAATGGTTGAACTAGTTTACAGTCCCACCAACAGTGTAAAATTGTTCCTATTTCTCCACATCCTCTCCAGCTCCTGTTGTTTCCTGACTTTTTAATGATTGCCATTCTAACTGGTATGAGATGGTATCTCATTGTGGTTTTGATTTGCATTTCTCTGATGGCCAGTTATGATGAGCATTTTTTCATGTGTTTTTTGGCTGCATAAATGTCTTCTTTTGAGAAGTGTCTGTTCATATCCTTCGCCCACTTGTTGATGGGGTTGTTTGTTTTTTTCTTGTAAATCTGTTGGAGTTCATTGTAGATTCTGGATATTAGCCCTTGGTCAGATGAGTAGATCGCAACAATTTTCTCCCATTCTGTAGGTTGCCTGTTCACTCTGATGGTAGTTTCTTTTGCTGTGCAGAAGCTCTTTAGTTTAATTAGATCCCATTTGTCAATTTTGTCTTTTGTTGCCATTGCTTTTGGTGTTTTAGACATGAAGTCCTTGCCCATGCTTATGTCCTGAATGGTATTGCCTAGGTTTTCTTCTAGGGTTTTTATGGTTTTAGGCCTAACATTTAAGTCTTTAATCCATCTTGAATTAATTTTTGTATAAGGTGTAAGGAAGGGATCCAGTTTCAGCTTTCTGCATATGGCTAGCCAGTTTTCCCAGCACCATTTATTAAATAGGGAATCCTTTTGCCATTTCTAGTTTTTTTCAGGTTTGTCAAAGATCAGATAGTTGTAGATATGTGGCATTATTTCTGAGGGCTCTGTTCTGTTCCATTGGTCTATATCTCTGTTTTGGTACCAGTACCATGCTGTTTTGGTTACTGTAGCCTTGTAGTATAGTTTGAAGTCAGGTAGTGTGATGTCTCCAGCTTTGTTCTTTTGGCTTAGGATTGACTTAGGATTGACTTGGCAATGCGGGCTCTTTTTTGGTTCCATATGAACTTTAAAGTAGTTTTTTCCAATTCTGTGAAGAAAGTCATTGATAGCTTGATGGAGATGGCATTGAATCTATAAATTACCTTAGGCAGTATGGCCATTTTCACGATATTGATTCTTCCTAACCATGAGCATGAAATGTTCTTCCATTTGTGTGTATCCTCTTTTATTTCATTGAGCAGTGGTTTGTAGTTCTCCTTGAAGAGGTCCTTCACATCCCTTGTAAGTTAGATTCCTAGGTATTTTGTTCTCTTTGAAGCAATTGTGAATAGGAGTTCACTCATGATTTTGCTCTCTGTTTCTCTGTTATTGGTGTATAAGAATGCTTGTGATTTTTGCACATTGATTTTGTATCCTGAGACTTTGCTGAAGTTGCTTATCAGCTTAAGGAGATTTTGGGCTGAGACGATGGGGTTTTCTAGATATACAATCATGTCATCTTCAAACAGGGACAATATGACTTCCTCTTTTCCTAATTGAATACCCTTTATTTCCTTCTCCTGCCTGATTGCCCTGGCCAGAACTTCCAACACTATGTTGAATAGGAGTGGTGAGAGAGGGCATCCCTGTCTTGTGCCAGTTTTCAAAGGGAATGCTTCCAGTTTTTGCCCATTCAGTGTGATATTGGCTGTGGGTTTGTCATAGATAGCTCTTATTATTTTGAGACATGTCCCATCAATACCTAATTTATTGAGAGTTTTTAGCATGAAGAGTTGTTGAATTTTGTTGAAGGCCTTTTCTGCATCTATTGAGATAATCATGTGGTTTTTGTCGTTGGTTCTGTTTATATGCTGGATTACGTTTATTGATTTGCGTATGTGGAACCAGCCTTGCATCCCAGGGATGAAGCCCACTTGATCGTGGTGGATAACTTTTTGATGTGCTGCTGGATTCGGTTTGCCAGTATTTTACTGAGGATTTTTGCATCAATGTTCATCAGGGATATTGGTCTAAAATTCTCTTTTTTTGTTGTGTCTCTGCCAGGCTTTGGTATCAGGATGATGCTGGCCTCACAAAATGAGTTAGGGAGGATTCCCTCTTTTTCTGTTGATTGGAATAGTTTCAAAAGAAATGGTACCAGCTCCTCCTTGTACCTCTGGTAGAATTCGGCTGTGAATCCGTCTGGTCCTGGACTTTTTTTTGGTTGGTAAGCTAGTAATTATTGCCTCAATTTCAGAGCCTGTTATTGGTCTATTCAGAGATTCAACTTCTTCCTGGTTTAGTCTTAGGAGAGTGTATGTATTGAGGAATTTATCCATTTCTTCCAGATTTTCTAGTTTATTTGCATAGAGGTGTTCATAATATTCTCTGATGGTTTTTTGTATTTCTGTGGGATCGGTGGTGATATTCCCTTTATCATTTTTTATTGGGTCTATTCGATTCTTCTCTCTTTTCTTCTTTATTAGTCTTGCTAGCGGTCTATCGATTTTATTGATCTTTGCAAAAAACCAGCTCCTGGATTCATTGATTTTTTGAAGGGTCTTTTGTGTCTCTATTTCCTTCAGTTCTGCTTTGATTTTAGTTATTTCTTGCCTTCTGCTAGCTTTTGAATGTGTTTGCTCTTGCTTCTCTAGTTCTTTTCATTTTGATGTTAGGTTGTCAATTTTAGATCTTTCCTGTTTTCTCTTGTGGGCATTTAGTGCTATAAATTTCCCTCTACATGCTGCTTTGAATGTGTCCCAGAGATTCTGGTATGTTGTGTCTTTGTTCTCATTGGTTTCAAAGAACATCTTTATTTCTGCCTTCATTTCGTTATGTACCCAGTAGTCGTTCAGGAGCAGGTTGTTCAGTTTCCATGTAGTTGAGCAGTTTTGAGTGATTTTCTTAATCTTGAGTTCTAGTTTGATTGCACTGTGGTCTGAGAGACAGTTTGTTATAATTTCTGTTCTTTTACATTTGCTGAGGAGTGCTTTACTTCCAACTATGTGGTCAATTTTGGAATAGGTGTGATGTGGTGCTGAAAAGAATGTATATTCTGTTGATTTGGGGTGGAGAGTTCTGTAGATGTCTATTGGGTCCGCTTGGTGCAGAGCTGAGTTCAATTCCTGGATATCCTTTTTAACTTTCTGTCTCATCGATCTGTCTAATGTTGACAGTGGGGTGTTAAAGTCTCCCATTATTATTGTGTGGGAGTCTAAGTCTCTTTGTAGGTCTCTAAGGACTTGCTTCATGAATCTGGGTGCTCCTATATTGGGTGCGTATATATTTAGGATAGTTAGCTCTTCTTGTTGAATTGATCCCTTTACCATTATGTAATGGCCTTCTTTGTCTCTTTTGATCTTTGTTGGTTTAAAGTCTGTTTTATCAGAGACTAGGATTGCAACCCCTGCCTTTTTTTCTTTTCCATTTGCTTGGTAGATCTTCCTCCATCCCTTTGTTTTGAGCCTATGTGTGTCTCTACCCGTGAGATGGGTTTCCTGAATACAGCACACTGATGGGTCTTGACTCTTTATCCAATTTGCCAGTCTCTGTCTTTTAATTGGAGCATTTAGCCCATTTACATTTAAGTTAATATTGTTGTGTGTGAATTTGATCCTGTCATTATGATATTAGCTGGTTATTTTGCTCCTTAGTGGATGCAGTTTCTTCCTAGCCTTGATGGTCTTTACAATTTGGCGTGTTTTTGCAGTGGCTGGTACCGGTTGTTCCTTTCCATGTTTAGTGCTTCCTTCAGGAGCTCTTTTAGGGCAGGCCTGGTGGTGACAAAATCTCTCAACATTTGCTTGTCTGTAAAGGATTTTATTTCTCCTTCACTTATGAAGCTTAGTTTGGTTGGATATGAAATTCTGGGTTGAAAATTCTTTTCTTTAAGAATGTTGAATAATTGGCCCCCACTTTCTTCTTGCTTGTAGAGTTTCTACTAAGAGATCCGCTGTTAGTCTGATGGGCTTCCCTTTGTGGGTAACCCAACCTTTCTCTCTGGCTGCCCGTAACATTTTTTCTTTCATTTCAACTTTGGTGAACCTGACAATTATGTGTCTTGGGGTTGTTCTTCTCGAGGAGTATGTTTGTGGCATTCTCTGTATTTCCTGAATTTGAATATTGGCCTGCCTTGCTAGATTGGGGAAGTTCTCCTGGATAATATCCTGCAGAGTGTTTTCCAACTTTGTTCCATTCTCTCCGTCAGTTTCAGGTACACCAATCAGATGTAGATTTGGTGTTTTCACATAGTCCCATATTTGTTGGAGGCTTTATTCGTTTCTTCTTATTCTTTTTTCTCTAAACTTCTCTTCTCACTTCATTTCATTCATTTATCTTCCATCACTGATACCCTTTCTTCCAGTTGATTGAATCAGCTACTGCGGCTTGTGCATTCGTCGCATAGTTCTTGTGCCATGGTTTTCAGCTCCATGAGGTCCTTTAAGGACTTTTCTGCATTGGTTATTCTAGTTAGCCATTTTTCTAATTTTTTTTCAAGGTTTTTAACTTCTTTGCCATGGGTTCGAACTTCCTCCTTTAGCTCAGAGTAGTTTGATCGTCTGAAGCCTTCTTTTCTCAACTCATCAAAGTCATTCTCCGTCCAGCTTTGTTCCGTTGCTGGTGAGGAGCTGCGTTCCTTTGTAGGAGGAGAGGTGCTCTGATTTTTAGAGTTTCCAGTTTTTCTGCTCTGTTTTTTCCCCATCTTTGTGGTTTTATCTACCTTTGGTCTTTGATGATGGTGACGTACATATGGGGTTTTGTTGTGGATGTCCTTTCTGTTTGTTAGTTTTCCTTCTAACAGTCAGGACCCTCAGCTGCAGGTCTGTTGGAGTTTGCTGGAGGTCCACTCCAGACCCTGTTTGCCTGGGTATCAGCAGCAGAGGCTGCAGAACAGCGAATATTGCAGAACAGCAAATGTTGCTGCCTGATCGTTCCTCTGGAAGTTTTGTCTCAGAGGAGTACGCAGCCGTGTAAGGGTCAGTCTGCCCCTACTGGGGGGTGCCTCCCAGTTAGGCTACTTGGGGGTCAGGGACCCACTTGAGGAGGCAGTCTGTCTGTTCTCAGATCTCCAGCTGCGTGCTGTGGGAACCACTACTCTCTTCAAAGCTGTCAGTCGGGGACATTTAAGTCTGCAGAGGTTTCTGCTGCCTTTTGTTTGGCTATGCCCTGCCCCCAGAGGTGGAGTCTACAGAGGCAGGCAGGCCTCCTTGAGCTGAGGTGGGCTCCACCCAGTTCGAGCTTCACGGCCGCTTTGTTTACCTACTCAAGCCTCAGCAATGGTGGACACCCCTCCCCCAGCCTTGCTGCCGCCTTGCAGTTTGATCTCAGATTGCTGTGCTAGCAATGAGCAAGGCTCTGTGGGCATAGGACCCTCCGAGCCAGGTGCAGGATATAATTTCTTGGTGTGCCGTTTGCTAAGACCATTGGAAAAGCACAGTATTAGGGTGGGAGTGACCCAGTTTTCCAGGTGCTGCCTGTCACCCCTTTCTTTGACTAGGAAAGGGAATTCCCTGACCCCTTGCACATCCCGGGTGAGGCGATGCCTTGCCCTGCTTCAGCTCACGCTCAGTGAGCTGCCCCACTGTCCTGTACCCAGTGTCTGACACTCCTCAGTGAGATGAACCTGGTACTTCAGTTGGAAACGCAGAAATCACCCATCTTCTGCGTCGCTCATGCTAGGAACTGTAGACTGGAGCTGTTCCTATTCAGCCACCTTGGCTCCCAGCTCCACATTTTTCTCTAAAAGATTGAGAGTTCATTTTATCAGGGCTTTTTGGTCCTCATAGAAAACTCTTATGGTCTGGGTTGAAAGCATCTGACTTCAAGGGTTAATTCATGGCTGATGAACATTTTCTTTGGGTACCCAATCCCAAGAGCTCTTCTGAAAGTAAGCAATGGAGCTACAAAGACATTTCCAGACCAAAGTCACAATGAGACTGACTGCACACAGAAAATATGTTAATTAGGATAACACAAGCTTCTATAACAAGAAGGTACCACAATGTATAAAGGCACCAACACAATAGAAATTTAGTTCTCATCCACATTTTAGTCCAAGGCTAACATTTCTAGCCAGTGGATAGCTCTTCTCCACCCAATGATTCAGGAATCCAGCCTTGAGGCCATAAAAAATTAAATGTGATATGCAAATAGAGTGCCATTGGGTCTAGTACCTGGTCAACCATGAGGGCTGTCACCATCTTTGTCTGCAAATCTCTTGCCCTTAGATCAGTGTCTAGCATGTAATAGGTGCTCAGTAAATGTTTGTGAAAGAAATGAATGAATGATTATCCTACTAGTTCTATTCCTTTCTTCCCTGACTTGGGTCACCTGACAGAAAAGCCAAATTCCTGGTCAACTATTTCGGGCCAGTTCAAAGGTACATCTGTTGACCCCAGAGTCCACTGGTTAGTCAAATGTTCCTCCTCCTGCTCCCACAAAATCCTGAATTAGTTACTCATCCATTTTACAAATTGATTTCATTACAGAGAAATTTAAAATTATATAAATTTGGGAGTATCCAAAACAATCTGGTGTATGGATATTTTACCCAAGGATCTCTGATTAGAGTTTCCCTTAGAGGGCATCTAGGCCCATAGCTGCAAAAATGACCCAGCTTGTGAGCCAACCCACTTGACAGTGGCTTCCTGAAGATGAATTCTGACGGCAAGCATGCTGTGATTGATTAGTAATGTCTGCCATAGGCAGAGAAAAGGAAGATGATAAACAAAGTCCTGTGTAACCTGCTAGACCCTATCAAGTCTAAGATCCTCATATTTATAGGGCTGAGGTTCAAACAGAAGAAGTGGTACACAACTACCATTGGAGACATAGGTTGGAGGGCCTAGAAGATCACTGGAGGCAGAATGAAAAAGGATAGAAAATGGTGGAAGACCTGCTGGAAAATTCTCTTAGAAATAAAGAATTTAAGAGAGCTAACTGCTAGGAACAAGCCAACAATGGTAGCTATCTCTAAGAAAAAAGAAAGGAGTCAGAGCATGGGGTGTGATGTGGTTTGGAATCTTGCTGGGCTTGGTCAGCCTCATTTGTGCCAGGTTAGAGGGGGAAAAAGAAGCCTGCTGTCCTTGCCCATGTTTCTTTCTGCATATCATAAGGTAGTTTCATGAACTCAATGGGCAATTGGTAGATGGCTGGGGTTCTCCTAGGCCTCTGGGATGCCTCCCATGGAGATCTGGGCACAGAGGGCACCGTCCAGCCCCTGAGCACCATGACTCACCATACCTGGTCCTTCCTCTGTGCCTCCTCTGTGCTGGTTCCTGGGTGTCCAGAGACATTGAATCACGGCCCTCAACCCAGGTGAGCTCACAGTCTAGAGGGAGACAGAGAAGTCCTGTATTTCTTGGATCCTAAGATGATATGGTTACAAAACAGTTTATCAATTTAATGACAGAATTTCAGGAAGACAAAAAAACAAACAAAAAACCAACCAACCAATCAAACGAACAAACAAAAAAAACCTCCCAGCTTAACCAGAGGCAGATTGTAGGAGCTATCCTGACTTTACCAAAGGAAAAATGGGACCACCTGCATGATTTTTAATCAAGGAAATAAATTCAATCAGTGGTTACAATTCGGAGTGATCTGTGCTGTGATGTGGAGAGTGCTGGGGAAGGTGTGGTTGATTCTGCCTTGGAAGGGAGGTCAGGAAGGTCAGGGCCCTGGAAAAAGGACATTTGAGGAGGAGTACGCCAGGCTGACAAAGCGGGAAAGGGATTCCCAGCAGTGGGAATGGCATGGTCAAAGGAACAGGGCATATCCATATCCACAATAGCAAGAGCATGTGTAGGTGAGCCTGGATAGACAGCATGCAAATGGTGAAGGGCCTCTATGTATCTAGAGCAGCAGGTGGGAAGTGAGGCTCCAGCCAAGAGAGAGCCACAGCCCCTTTCAGAATGGGGGCCTAGAAGCCGATCAGCCATCACAGCTCCATCTCCTTCAGCTGCTCCCAGCGTGGGAGCACAGATGCTTGGTAACCAAGGGATGGTCTATTTAAAGCCACCTGTAAGTTGGTTCCAGAAGGCACACTGTAGGGTAGAGAAGGAGAGAGGGAAGGGGAATGTCAGGAGGAAGAAGCATCCAAGAGGGCACAGGAGGCGGGATTCCAGCCTAGGCTCAGCCCTGAGCTCACCGTGGGGCCTGGGGCAAGTTCCTGCCTCTCTCTGTGCCTCAACTTCCTCAGTCTTGTGTAGTGGTGAATTGTGTAGGCTCAGGAACCAGCTGTGTGGGTCCCAGGCTAGGCTTCCTCGCTTGTGATCTGCGAGCATTGGTCAAATTACTTAACCACTGTGCCGACGTTTTCTCCTCTGTAAAACTGAGATAATAATAGTACCTAGCTTTTAGAGCTGCTGCGAGGATTAGATGAGGTAATGCATGTAAAGCATTTATAACGGTTCCTGGCACACACTAAACACTCAAAATCAGCTATTTTTAAAATTATGATACGATGATGGTGTTGGACTAGCTTAGGGGGTTTTAAACCTTAAACCTTGGAATCTTTCTCCTAACAGATTTGGAACTTCAGTGGGTGAAAAAGGTCACATTGAGCTCTTCTGGCTGGAAGGTGGAGACCCTGAGCCTTGCCACTTTAGCATCCCCCTTACCCAGGACTGCCTCCCAGCTCCCCGCACCCCAGGCACCTCTGCAGAACCTTTAAGCTCCAGGAAACCCAGATTAAAAGCAATTGTCCCAGAGGATCTCTGAGGTCCTTTTCGGTTGCTCCTTTTAATCCAATTCTTGCTTCAGAAGCTTGAGTTTATATCTGGAAAAGCTGTCTTTTACAGCTCAAAATCCATTTTCCAAAAGCATCAACTGAGCCAGGCCCTGGGGGACAGTGTGGTAAAGGCAAACCAGGGCAGATATGGAGAAGTGAGGAAGGTATTTGAGCAACAATCCTGACTGCAAAAGCTCACAAACAACCAAATACCACCATTATGGTTTTTTCTTTAAGTCAATACATTTTTATTTAAGGAATTTTACATGTTGTCATTCGTTCCACTGCCCATCAGGGTCATCTTAGTTCCTCCAAATCTTGAGTCAAGATTTATCTTCAAGATAGGCCTTTCTAGAGATTCATGCTGAATCCACAGTCCTTCTGTCCATCTTAGTTGGGCTTCTTTTGTCTCCACTTCAATACAGACATACTGATGAAATACTTTAAAAACTTCCTATACAGAATCTTTAGGGTCTAATTCTTCAAATAATTCACTTTAGGGCCCTAGCAGTTGAATTGTAGAAAGCATATTGTTATTTTGGCTAATGAGCAAAAATGCATTATTCTTTAATATTTTTCTAATGTTGAGGTTGTGTTGCATCCCATTTTCACTCGTGACCTTAGCAGAAATGTTACAGGTCTCATTGTCACCACTGCGATGTGTTTGCTGTGAATGGAAACATAGCTTGTTTCTCAATGCAGCCCCATTAACAATCTCTGGATCGCATGATCAACAGTGCCTATTCTCTTTGAGAATGGGGCATCACCTTCACAGTTCTTAGGATAAGCTATGCATATGTGACTGCCTTCATTTGTCACGGTCCAGGATAGTTTCTCATTCTTTTTTGTCTAGATGGTCAGGCACTGTCATTGCCCTTTGTGCAGTGTGCCATGGTTGTCTCTTCTCTACTTAGGAACAGTCTTATTTCCTCACCTCTAACCTGAGAATAGCAGATGACCAACAAATCAATATTGGATCTATCAAAGGGATCTGAATATGGGCACCTCTATGTGAACTGCTTCAAGCTGGATTCAGTGATGTCCCAAACAGATGTAGATCCTGACCATGCGGATGTTATTGTCTAGGGGGAAAGATCAATTAGTGTAAGTGTGATAGGGATCAGGACTTGAAAGATAAAATTCCACGGTCCAGAACAACCATTGTGGGACCCTATAACCCACAAAAAGTAGGGGTTTGCCTTCAGTATCTGCTAGGGCTTAGCCTTGGGAGGACCTTGAGAAACTTTATCTTGAGGTCCTGAAATGGAAGATCTCTTTGCTTCCTGGGACCCCAAGACCCACAGCAGAGTTCTGCCTGGCTTTTCAGCATATACAGATGGCTGGCTGCTTGTTGTGGACGCTGTCATAATTGCACATGCACTTTAGACATTGGCCATTCAGCTTCCAAGGCAGGCTATGGAGGCCACAATGAGCAAAAGCTAAGGAGACAAGCCCCATCTACAGTTAAGTCCTGACCCCTATCACACTTATTGATCTTCCCTCCCAGAATAACATCTGCATGGCCAGCATCCACGTACGTTTGGATCATCATTGAATCTAGCTTGAAGCAGGCCACATAGAGGCACCCATATTCATCCCTTTGATTGATTCAATATTGATTTGTTGCTCATTCAGCGCCTATCTTCATTGACTATCCTCTGCTTGTCCTTCATCTGCATCTTCCTCTGGTCACATACCAGCTGCTTCAGCCACCTTGGGCTTGTTACTGTTGTTTAAGCACTCCCACCGCTTAATGATCAGGTTCTCTCTGCCTGGAATACCCTTTCCTGCATCACTGCCTTCTTTCCACACCTACTAATCTACTCAATCCTCAAAACAATTCCAAATGCCACCTCTTCTAGGAAGCCTTCCTAGATCACCTCAGAATTTTTTATTCCTCCATTTCCTGTCCTCCCATAGATCAGTATGTGACATTCCACTTGAATTTGAATTATATTTTTGTCATTGCCCCCACTATGTTATAAAGCTTGATGTGGGCAAAGATTTTTATCTTACTGGTCTTCATAGTTGAATGTTTGGGGGAAGTCCATGAACTTGGGCTTTTTAATTCCTAGGTCTCTCTGGGTAAGCAAACTTAGACAAGTTATCTAATATGTCTGAGTTTCCCTATTCCCACCTGTAAAATAGGGATTTTTAAAAACTTGTGATAACAAGTTTATTGTTAGCATTAACTAAGATGACTTGTATGAAGTAACAATGAAAATAAAATAATAGTAATGAGAGCTGATATTGACTAAGTGCTCATTTAGGCACTGCTCTAAGCTTTTTACAAGTAGTTCATTTAAAACATTTTTAAAAATGTTGAAATAATGATAGATTTGCAGGAAGTTGCAAAGATGGTACTGAGAGATCCCATGTAAAGATAGAACTGAGAGGTCCCTTTCACCTGGTTTTCTCCAATGTTTACACATTATGTAATTATAGTACAGTTTCAGAACCAGGCAATTGACTGTGTGAGTATTGTTCTGTGTCCTTTTCTCACTTGTGTAAAATTGTGAGAATCTTACACAATCACCACCGCAATCAAGATACAGAACTCTCCCCTGTCCACAAAGATCTCCCTTGTGCAGCCCCTTCAGAGTCATACCCACCCCTCTCCCTTCCGCCACCCCCAGCCCCTGGCAACCAACCATTAGTATGTTTTCTATCTGCAAAATGTTGTCATTTCAACAATGTTATCTAAGTAGAATGGCAAAGTATGTGACCTTTTAAGCTTGGCTTTTGTTTTTTTCCCACTCAGCATAATGTCTTTGAGATCCATTCAGGTTGTCTGTCTATAGTTCATTCCTCTGTTCCTGGTGAGTTCTGTTCCATGGATATGCCACCAATATACCACTGATACACACCGATATACCACTGATACATGACTGACTGACAGACCATGGTTTAACCAGGAAAAGTATCTGGGTTGTTTCCAGTTTTTGGCTTTGACGTATAAAGCAGCTATAAATATTTGTGTATAGATTTTTATTTCAAATATAAGTCTTCATCTCACAGGGATAAATGCTTGGGGGTGCCATTGTTGAGTTACATGGTTAGTATATGTTTAGTGTTTTAGGAAGGAAGTCAAACTCTTTCCGAGAGTGGCTGTACCATTTTACATTCCCACCAGCAATGTGTGAGTGATTCAGTGTCTCTACATCTTTGCTGGAATTTGGTGTTGCCACTATTTTAATTTTATCTGCTCTAAAAGGTATGTAGTGACACCTTTCATGGTCTGACTTTCCATCTCCCTAATAGCTGGTGATGTTGAACATTTTTTCACTGCTTATTTGCCATCTGTATATTCTTTTCAGTAAACTGTCTCTACATGTCATTTACCCATCTTCTGGTTGGATTGTTTGTTTTTTAATGTGGAGTTTTGAGTATTCTTTATATATGCTAGATATGGGTCCTTTGCCAGCTATGGGATTTGCACAATTAGCTCAGTTAATCCTCACGACAACTCATGAAGAAGATACTAGGATTATCCCAATTTAATAGATGAGGAAGTTAGGGCACTGAGAGGTTAGCACTCTGTGTGGCACACAGCAGGTTTCCAGGGAAACATCACAGTGAATTTCATGCAGATGGAGCTCAGACCAAAGGTACAGTAGCTCTAGGTACCTTGGTTGCATGGTGGGGCTGTTGGAGATAAGGAAGAGGAGCTGAAAGTGAAGGCCAGCAATGAGTAGAGGGACTTCGTACCAGGTCATCGGCCCATTTACCAGGTTGAGGAGTTGAGGCTCAAGCACTAGAACAGATTTCTATCTGTCTGTGTCATTAAGTTTCTGTAAGTTTCACTAAGTCTTTGAAAATTGTGTCTCTTTTCAACCGCATCCTACCTTTCTCCTGTGCTGCAAGGTTTGATGGTAGCTGGCTGGTTTCTACTTCGGGGACTTTTTTTTTTTTTTTTAAAGAAGGGATTTCTCCTGTGTCTTCTGTATCCAGGGCACATAGAAGCAGGCTGCTGCTGCTGCTGCTGTCATGGAAAGCACAGTAACGAGTCAGGATATGAGTTGTCGGTCCCAACATGGTAGTGAATAGTGCAGGAATTGAGTGCAAATAATTTCCCTGGGCTTTCCATCTCCATATCTGTAAAATGGGAGTGACCACAGTAGCTGGCTGGCAGAGTGATTGTATAGATTAAATAGAGAGGAGAGGTGGAGAACAGGGGCATTGGTAACACTCATGGGTTCAGAGTGGAACTCTTTCCTTTCTAGCTATGTAAACCTGAGCAGCGTGCTTAACTTTGCTAAGCCTCAGTTTTCTTATCTGAAAAATGGGGACAATCACAGTTCCTACTTTGTGGACTTGGTGTGAGGATTAAATGAGATATTGCACATAAAGCACTTGCAAAGATCCTCTCTCAAGATGAACGTGATTAGTAATAACTAACATCTATCAAGCACTTACTTTGTGTCAGAATCTGCTTAAGTTCATCAAAATTAAGATTAGACACCAAGACAAGGACTTAGGTGCAAGTTTATATGGGAGGGGATCCCAGGAAGCGATGTGAGAGAACAGGGAAGTGAGATGGGGAGGAGTCATTTTGGTGGGCAATGGGGGCTCAGTCCCACTGGACATCCTCTTAGAGACTGAGAAACACACCTCAGAATCTCCACTGCTGTGTTTATCCACCATCTTCCAGTCCTTATTGGTGGAGGGTCACTCCTGGGGCATTCATTCCACCACACCTTTGACCTGCCCTGTCCTTGGGCTAAGCATGTAACCATGACCAGGGAGCATCCTCAGGAGAAAGACTCAGGAAGGCATTGGCACATACAAGGAACTGAACTATCTGTATGGGGCTTTGAGATTGGCTGAGGGGAAATTGATGAATGCTAGCAGTGTCTGCTACACCACTTTAAGCACTTTATAATATTAACTCATTTACTTCATGCAACAACACTATGAAATGTTCTATTATTATCCCCATTTTATAGATGAGGAAACTGAGACACAGAGGGGTTTTACAACTTGATCAAGGTTCTCCAGTCAGTCTGATTTCAGAGCCTGCATTCTTTTTTTATTTTTATTTTTTGAGACAGGATCTCACTCTGTTGCCCAGGCTGGAGTGCAATGGCACGATCATGACTCACTGTAGCCTCAACCACCCAAGCTCAAGTGATTCTCCCACCTCAGAGCCTCCCGAGTAGCTGGGACCACAGACACACCACCATGAAGGCTAATTAAAAAAAAAAAATTTTTTTTTTAGTGATGGGGTCTCACTATGTTGCCCAGGCTGGTCTCAAACATCTGGACTTAAGCAGTCCCCCTGCCTTGGTCTCCCAAAGTGCTGGGATTACAGGCATAAGCCACCATGCCTGGCCAGAGCCTGCATTCTTTCGAGAAGTTTTGACCATAATTCTCAGTAAAAAATGTATTTTATATCACAATTCCGCTCCCAAACACACTTACACTAAATAAATAAAAGATTCCTAAAACAATACTCATCTGTACCACGTGCAGTGCACTCTGAAATTTTCTGTTTTTTTTATTAATCACGTTATTTTAAAAATGGTATTAGTCACCCACTAAATTGTTTTCATAACCCAGTAATGGGCTGCAACCCACGGTTTTGGAAAAGACAGTGCTCTAAAATTCTATTTTATAGGACAATGTTGATGTCATAAGGCTGGCATGGGGAATGATATGGGGTAGGTGCCCAGGGAAGGCTGGTTTCCTTGTGTGCCCTTTCTGGCAAACCAGAGCCTATGAGCTGCTACCTTCTAGGCTTGCATACAGAGGCCTGGCTGAACCTAGCACATTTCTTAAATCCTAGACTTGCCCTAGTGGAATCTGCTCAGCCTCCTCCCTGGGGATGGGCACCATCTTGGGCTGTGACCTTCAATTCACCGGCTCCCCAGAAGCCAGCTCCTCCTTGGGAGGTGAGGTTATACCCTGTCCCCACAACGTTGTCATTTCCTTCCCCTGAGTCTCTCTGTGTGAGGATTGTTCCCCTAATCAGGATGGAGACGCAGTTCATTACAAGCTGGTGAGGCAACGGCTCTGTGCTCCAGGCCCGAGACAGGCTGTCTGGGAGCTTGGCCAGCCTCCCACTGCCCCGGACACCAGGGCAGTGGCCTCAGAGCAGAACCAGCTCGCTGGGTTTGTCTGCCCCCTTCCCAAGGGACACAGGCAGACAGACACTGTTTGCTGAGACTTCCACAGCTTTCATTATTACAAAACCTCTGCCATGCTCAGACAATGAGTTTCAGCAAATGATGGCACTACTTCCGAGAGCATCTGTAGAGCACCTAGAATAACAACTGGACTTTATTGAGTGTTTACCATGCACCAAGCCCTGGGCTAAACACTTCATCTGCAGGCTGTTCGTCTTTACGGCAAACCCAGTAGGTAGGTATAACTATCCCCACTCTGCAGATGCAGAAACGGAGGCACAGAATGTTTTGGTAGCTAAACAAGCTCACCAGGAGGCTAGAAGGTGGCCACACCTAGCTGGCCCCCCTGACTCCACCAACTGCCTCCCTTTGCTGTATTGCATGCAAGAATGTGACTCCAAGTTTTTCCTTCCTTCTGGATCCAACTCTGGCTTCACTCTGCTCAGCAACCAGGTGAGTTTCCATAGGTGACTTTGTCTCTCTGAGCCAAGTTTCCTTATCTGTAAAACAGGGCCTAGTGGTACTTCCTTCCTCAGGCTGTTAGGAAGAGTAAATGAAATAATGTATATAAATGCATCTCCCAGAGCTCCTAACACATAAGAAGTGCTCAATAAATCTATTTATGAAAGAGTTGATTCAGCTGTTTTCCTACTGACTTGACAGTATCCCACAGCCATTTCCCAGAGGCATGATGTCACCATCCAGAGGATAATAGCAGCCAATCTAGAAACCTCCATGTGTTCCTGGGCTTCTCATATTTATGCCTTGTCTTGCCTCGCTGCCCCATCTTACTACTGACTTCCCTGGGGCAGAAATCTCCAATATGACTAATATCTCTTGGAGGGCTATGAAGAAGCCATTTATTTCCTCCAACAACAGTCCCTTCCACCCAGGATGAGGAGAATAGCCATGTGGTGGCTGCAGAGCCTGGTGCAGAAATTCTCATTAGCTGCAGTTTAATTACTGCCTGCCGTATAGGTTTTTAATAACAGTAAGTCCCAATTAGTTGCTTGTTACTTCAGAAATAATTACTGATAGTGGACCTTTGTCTCTGTTTTAATTCCAGCTTCATGCCCAAGCTGCGGAAGTCTAAACAAGTGGGCATTTTTAGCTGAAGGAGGTGGGGAGGATCGGGGATGCGTGAGGAATGTCTGCACAGAACTGCGAGTTTCACTGGGGTGCGTGTGTTTGTCTGAGATGAGTGGAGGAATGGCCGTGGCCATTTCTCACCTCTGTAAAGAAAATCCTGGGCCCCTGTCTTGAGCTAAGGACAGGGATGGGGCCCTGCTCTCAAGGGCAGGTGGGTCTGGGACATAGCATTCTCTGCACAGAGAGACCACGGGGCAGCTGGCCTCCAGTTATGACCCATGCCAATGGCATGCCCTTCTGCTGCCCTGGGGGGCCAGGCCCCAGCCACTGACCAGCTCAGAGGCAGATGCCGCCGCCCCCTGACAGTGACAGGCACAGCCAGATGGAAGAGCGGCTTTTGGGAGCAGGGAGAGGGGAGGGAGTGTGCCGTCTCTTCTGCAAGGGCAGTGCCCCAGCCTCAGCCACACTTCTGATCTGCAGTCCAACAGACCTTTCTAGCATGCCAAAGAGAACCTGGGGGTGCCAGGGGGTCCTCAGAGCTCACACTGCACTTGTGGCACCCACAGCGAGTAGCCATCCGTGAGCCGAGGAAACTGTACACAGGTAAGACGGTCACTGTGCTTTGTTTGAAGTAAGGTAGTTTCCTAGCTTCAGGGAATTCTTTTTCAGTCTGACCTGCTTTTATGCTGCTTTGTCTTTTTAACTTTTATCCTATTGTACCTGGGAAGCTATTGTAGTGCTGATGAGTTATTGTCTGCTGAAGTTATGTAGTGATCAGAGCTAACATGTGCTGGGCATGCCAGACCCTCTTCTAGGTGATGTATATGTATTTATTCATTTAACCTCAGACAATGCTCTGAGGTTAATATAATTATTACTATCAGCCCTCATTTGCAGATGAGGAAATGGAAGCACACAGAAAGATTAAGGAATTTGCCCGAGGTCACCCAGCCCATATGTGGCAGAGCTAGGGAGATTCTCTCCCAGGGAGTTTGACTCCACCACCAAGCTTTTGACCAGTAGGTTATCCGGCCTCTTATGGGAAGGACTTGACCCATTAGAGAATGGGATGCTTCACAATGCAAATATCCCCCGTGATTTTTCTTTAGTTGGCTCTGCATAATACGTTCTTTTATGGCCTGTGTGTGTGTGTGTGCATTTGGTGATCCTTGTGTTGATTTTTGGTTCCAACTGTGTTCTCTGAAAGCTTCCCCCCATTTGAAATGTCTGGGTCCAGTCAAATGCCTCTGTTCTTAGTGTTTGTGCAGTTTCCATGATGGATGAAATGGCAGGGGCACTTCTGAGCCCAGCCTAGGACTGTGGCCCAGGCCACCCACGTTTGGAGGTGACAAAGCCCTCTGTGCCATCATGCTGGCCAGCGTTGGTCCTTTTCAATGTGTCCTCATGCCCAACTTGTCTTTCTCTCTTTCCTCATGCCCAACTTGTCAAGGGAAGATGTCACACTGCTGAGCCAGTAATTTGCTTTTTTTCTCACCATGTTCTTTGGTTTCTTTCCCCCTGAGAATCCTTTCCAGTGGAATTGCAAATGGTTTGGCTGGAAAAACCTGCTGAAAATCCATCCTTTTTCATGTTTTCCTTCTTACCTCCTGTTCATTTCATCCATCCGGCCAACCTGCGAGGTTGTCTTATTGTTAATAATCTGGGCTACTCTGTGTTTGGAGGTTCATTTGGAAAATTGTGTCCAGCAGGCAGAAATGCTCCACTTCATCTCAGACACAAAGGCGTTCTTTGAAGGTACAAAGGGTTTAGTATTAAATAAGTAAGCAAACAAGCCTGGCCTTTGAGGAGAGAAGTGTGGAAGGGGTAGGGAGAAAACGAAAACTGCCTCATCAAACTGTACCTTGGTTTATTTAGACAAGGGGAGCTTATTTGTGTTTATTTTATGCTCACATCCTAAGGTTTCAAGGAATGCTTCTGTAATCTACTCCAGAGGCATCAGGGCTCTTGCCAGAATCCCTTGATGGCCAATCTTTTTGAAGTGTCAGGTGAAATGTGGGTGAAGGGGCTATTCTGTTTGAGAAACAGCATGAGGGAGGGCTGATCCATTTTTCTAGTTACTGGGAACGTTTCCCTTCACTACGAGGGCTGATGCTCTTCTCCTGGCAGTATCTGCCCAGAAAAATCTCAAGCCTCAATGGGTATATCTCTTCCTTTTCTCTCTCTCCAAACTGAATTGCATCCGTGTCTTAGTTTGGATCCTCCAACACAGACTGTGAAGTAAGTATTTCAGTACAAGTAGTTTATTTGGGAAGTGATTCCAGGAAGCACTGTGAGGGAGTGGGGAGTGAGACAGCGAGGAGAAAGCCAATAAAAGGTGTGCTAATGGGTGGGTTACTATAATGGGCAGCTGGGCTCAATCCCACAGGGGCCCTCTGAAGGACTATGTTGGACCTACCTCAGAATTGTCCCATGGAGGAACAAAGAAGCTGGGGTGTTTATGCACCAACTCATCTGCCTCATTGGGTGTGGTTTTCTCCTGGGATATGAGAACCCCAGCACTTCTGGCCTGCCCTGTTTGATGCACAAGAATCTCTCAGAGACAGGATGTCCCTAGGTGAGGGACATGCCTACTGTCTGTGAATGACCTCCAGGCTAAGCCAAGGGAACATGACAGGTTGTCAACAGCATCTGCTAAAGCAACCAACTGCTCTAACATTGTGTGCACTGGATAAAATTATAACAGTTGCCAATATTTACCTATAACCTCTAGCCAGTTACATGTGTATTAATCTTACTGATCCCCCAAAACTTTTGAGGAGGGGCTGCTGTCATCATCTACAGTACAGCATTGTGGCTAAGAACATGGACTCTGGAGCCAGAATAACTGGGTTCAAATCTCACCTCTTCTGCTGGGTAGTTGTGTGATTTGGGCGGGTTTCTTAGCTTCCTTGAGCCTCAATTTCTATAGCTGCGAAATGGGGATAACAATAGTAACTACTTTGTAGTATTGTTTTTGAAGATCAAATAAGTTAATACACATAAAAGCAATTATAATAGTAGGCATATACTAGGTGTTCAATAAACACTAGCTGGTGTTATCCTACAGATGAAGAAATTGAAGCTCAAGGAGGTTCTTAGCTGAAGGTTTTATAGCCAGCAAATGGTAGAGGCAAGATCTTAACTCAGGCTTTCTGCAGCAGCATCACTTTTTCTACTATACCATGTGACTTTGTAATCATTAATACATGAGAAAGCACTTTCTAAACTGTAAAGTGCTCCACAGAAGCTTTGTTTATATACTATTTCTCCTCCTTGGAACAGCAGATACAGTCTTGTTCTCTCAAGAGCTTCAGCCTGGTCTTTGAATTCTGCTATCTGTCATCTCTGTACACCTGGCACTGGGCACAGTGTCTGGATGGGTGTCAGCTAGGTGGATGAGTTACCCAAAGCCTAGGACTGGCCCAGTGATCCCTTCCTTCAGAGCTCCTGCCTGCAAACTTCTGCTCAAAGTCAGGCCCTATCTCTATCACATACCCCAATTGCTGCTGCTTCCTCCTCCCTACTGCCCCTACACCCTACTTGGAACATCCTCCCTTTTCCACCCTGCCTTCTGCCTGGTCCAGTGATCATCTCCCACACCCCACTTCTACAATTTCTCCTTCCCTTGCCTCCGCAGTGGCCCTCCGGCCTCCCCTCCTGGACTCAGAGCAGCCCTCTACTTGGTCCTTTTTGGATGGTGCTCTTGGGTATGTGTGTCAGTCTGGGCTTCCTACCCTGACCATAAGTTTCTTGTGGGCATAACTGAGTGGCATTTTTTCCTTTATTCATTTATTTATCCATTGTGGTCCCAGACATGGTACCCCATCTGGTAATGGGGAAATGGGAACAGGCAGAACAAGATTGATTCTTGGTTGAAGAGCTCAGTTTGGGGGAAAACTGGCATGCAAACATTGCTATCGGTGACAGTGAATCTTGGTGGGGACACAGAGCTGAGGTGCCCAGAGACTAGGATCTTCTCTCTCCATGCGATGGGGTCAGAGATGAAGTGACACTAAAGCTCAGTTGTTAGCTTAGGGATGATTTGGTTGCAAGGAAAATAAACTTGCTCAAGCCAGGTTATGGAAAAGTGGGAGTGGGAATCTTTTAGAAACAAAGAGCAGGAACTTCTCCTCTAGGAACTAGAAAATCATCAGGGCATATGATGTCTGTCCTGCTCCTCTCTGCATGGCTTCCTTTCTGCACACAATCCTACACTGCCCAGCTCTGAGCCTAGATGACCTGCCCCACCAGGGCCCCATGGTCCTGTTGTCCCAGTTTCGAGTCCCTGTGACACTCTGATTGGCCCAGCTTGGGCTAAGTGTTCATCCCCAGTCCAATCAGCTTTGGCCAGGAAATCGGGGACATCAAGTATGAAAAGGATGCACAATCCCCCAGTAGGGGTGGGAGGCAAGGAGTGCATCTCTACAAGTCTTTTTTTTTTTTTTTTTTTTTTGAGATGGAGTCTCGCTCTGTTGCCCAGGCTGGAATGCAGCGGCGTGACCTCAGCTCACCACAACCTCCGCCTCCCGAGTTCAGGCTATTTTCCTGCCTCAGCCTCCCGAGTAGCTGAGACTGCAGGTGCACACCACCATGCCCGGCTAATTTTTGTATTTTTAGTAGAGATGGGGTTTCACTATGTTGGCCAGGCTGGTCTTGAGCTCCTGACCTCATGATCTTCCTGCTTCGGCCTCCCAAAGTGCTGGGATGACAGGCATGAGCTACCGCACCCAGCCACTTCTCTGCAAGTCTTGAAGGGAGAGTATATTAGTTTCCTGGGGCTGCCATAACAAGTTACCACAAACTTGGTGACTTAAGACAACAGAAATTTATTCTCTCACAGTTCTGGAGGTCAGAAATATAAAAATCAAGGCGTGGGCAGAGCCATGCTTTCTTGGCAGACTCTAGAGGAAAGTCCTTCCTTGCCTCTTCCAGCTCTGGTGGCTCCAGGCGTCTCGTGGCTGTGACAGCATCACTCCAATCTCTGCCTCTGTTTTCGCCTGGCCCCCTCCTCTGTATCTTCTCCCCTTCTCTTCTCTTCTGAGGACATTTGTTATTGGATTTAGGGGCCACCCTAATCTAGGATAATCTCATCTATACCATTAACTTTATACCTGCAAAGATCCTTTTTCCAAATGTGGTTGTTTCTATGGATTCCAGGTGGACATATCATTTAGCGGACCACCATTCGACCCACTACAGTGAGAGTCTGAAAGATGGAGAAAGGGAGGAAGGGCATTCTAAGTTGAGGGAACAGCATGAGCAAAGGATCATTACTCAGGGAGCAATGACACATTTCTGCTCCGTGGGCAGAGGGTTCACTGATGGCAACAGAGAGGGCTGAGGTTACGTAGGACCAGACCACAAAAGGACTTCCATGTCACGTAGTAGCTTTGCCTTGTGGGCAGCAGGGAGGTCCACTGGTGGTTCTCGAGTGACAGAGGAGCATTATAGAATTTAAAATTTGTATTGTAAGCAGATCCTTCTGGCTGCAGCATGGAGCTGTATTAGAGGGGGACAGAAATGGAGGGAGGGAGATATTCACAGTTATAAACACCCACTATGTGCCAGGCATGTTTCTAGAGACTAGAAATAGAGCAAAAGAGGGCCAGGCACAGTGGCTTATGTTTGTAATCCCAGCACTTTGGGAGGCCAAGGCAGGTGGATCACGAGGTCAGGAGATTAAGACAATCCTGGCTAACACAGTGAAATGCCATCTCTACTAAACTTACAAAAAATTACCCTGGCATGGTGGCATGCGCCTGTAGTCCCAGCTACTTGGGAGGCAGAGGCAGGAGGATCGCTTGGACCCGGGAGGCGGAGGTTGCAGTGAGCCAAGATTGCGCCACTGCACTGCACTCCAGCCTGGGCAACAGAGCCAGACTCCATCTCAAAAAAAAAAAAAAAAAAGAAAAAAGAAAAGAAACAGAGCAAAAGAGAAAAGGGACTGGGCTGCTGCTATATTAGAGCAGCATATCTAAAGCAGGGAGAGAGGAAAAAAAGCAGAGGAACAAAGATGTATAACATTAACTGGTAATAAGAACTCAAAAGGAAAATCAAGCAAAGAAAGGGGTATAGTGAGTGATGGAAGGTTTTATATAGGAGGTTCAAGACGGCCTTTCTGATGAAGTGACATTTGAGTAGAGCCTGAAGGAAGGGAGGGAGGGAGCTATAAGGGTTCTGAGGGAAGAGTGTTCTGGGCAGAGGGAATGGCATGTGCAAAGGCCCTGAGGCAGAAGCATGCTGGGCATGTTCAAGGAACAGCAAGGAAGAGCGTGTGGCTGGGGGAGAGGGAGCAAGGGGAAGAGAAGTAGGCAGTAGCATCAGAGAGGCAGTGGGCTGTATCACATAGGACTTTCTAGGGCCCAGTAGAACTTTGGCTTTTACTGTGAGTGAGATAGGGGGCTTTGGAGGGTTTTAAGCAGAGGAGAAACATCGTGTGACTTAAACGTTTTTAAAGAGTTACTCTAGAGGCTGTGAGAAGAAGAGATTGTGGGCTGGAGGTGAGGGTAGGAGGAGGCTACTGCAACAGTTAGGATGAAAGTTGACAGTGGCTTGGACTGGGGGGGCATCGGTGGTGTGTTTAAACGTGGCCAGGTGCTAAATATATGCTCAAATTAGAGTTGATAGGATTTATTAATGGATGGTGTATAGAGTGTGAAAAAGAGGAGTCAAAAATGACTCCAAGCATTGGGGTCCGAGCAACAGGAAGGATGGAGTTGTCATTTATGGGGTTGGGGAACTGCAAGAGGACTGGGCTGGAGCAGCTAGGATTGAGAGTTTGGGGACATATTAGATATTGGTGGCTTGGGATGCATTAAATCGTTGAATCTTGCTTTGTGCCAGGCAATGCTCTAACTACCTCATGGCTATTAACTCCTGTGACACTTGTAGCAGCCTCATGAGATGGGCACTTTTATCCCTCTATTTTACAGGTGAAGAAACTAAGGCACTGAAGTTGGTTGATATGGTTTGGCTATGTCCCCATCCAAATCTCATCTTGAATTGTAGCTCCTGCAATTCCCATGTGTCGTGAGAGGAACCTGGTCTGGGATTGAATTATGGGGGCGGGTCTTTCCTGCACTTTCTTATGATAGTGAATGAATCTCATGAGATCTAATGGTTTTAAAAATGGGACTTTCCCTGCACAAGCTCTCTCTTTGCCTGCTGCCATCCATGTAAGACATGACTTGCTCCTCCTTGCCTTCTGCCATGATTGTAAGGCCTCCCCAGCCATGTGGAACTGTAAGTCCATTAAACCCATTTTTCTTCCCTGTCTTGGGTGTGTCTTTATCAGCAGCATGAAAATGGACTAATACATTGGTTAACTTACCCAAGGCCTCCAGTTGGTGAATTGCAGAGCTAGGATTGAGCCCACACAGCCTTTGTCCAGGGCTCATGTTCTAACTACTACATTGGACTGCTGCCTGTTTTTTGAAAGGTCCAGGGGAGGAGTTGGGGCAAGGGATATTTACTTAGGAAAGAAAAAATACCCACAGCTGGTTCTGATGTGCCTCCATCCAGCTGCCCCTTCAACCCTCAAACTCATCTAGATCTTTTGGTTTTGGGGGAGAAGCACTTAGTTGTCTGGCCCAGCACCACTTAAGATCCTCTCCCAAGGAGAGTAAAGGAAGATGGACTCCTCTGCACTGATCCTAAGTGTATTTACCGTTTCCTCTTGTCTGTGAAATGCAAGCTTTATTTCTATCTATTTTAAAAACATATACTGCAGGAAAATAATGGCTTAGTGGAAATGTTTAAGTTTCTGGGCCCCAAACAATTTCTAAATATTATTTAAAAAAAAAAAAAAAAGAAAGTCATGAAAAGCTGCATAAGCTCTACTTAGCTGAGACCTGTGCAAGGGAGCATGTGAGGATGGAAGGGTTAGCGGGGAGGAGGGTAGACACAGGCCTCCACAAAGCCTTCCTGGCATAGGCAGCCGCACTGCCTCCTGGACCTCATTTGTTTGCCTAGAAAGGACTCTTTCTCAATGCAGACTTTTTCTAAGGGCTTCTAGCAAGCTCCCTGCAAAATGGGTCATTTCTTTTCATCAGATTTGGGATTTGGAAGGTCCTGGTATTCCAGGCCCCAGACAGGATTTGGGCGTGGGTTGTGTTGTTTCCCTGGGACATCCTATTAATATGCAACCAATGCAACCCGCTGCTCATCGATGAGGAGATGAGGAGAGAGGGATAGTGGATTACTCCAAGAAATCCAGGGGCCTGTGGAATCATACCGTTTCAGACGGAGGCAAAGATTAATCGGGATTAGTGAGGGGTCTGCATTCAAGACTGGTTTTGAACTATATAATTTTATCTGTTTGAGTTCCACTTAAGTGCTCAGAATTACTCAGAGGCAGTTAAGCAGAGATCCCTAGGGAGAGCTTGCTTTATTGCAGTTAGGAATAATCTGTGACTGGCTTCTTGGCAGCAAAAGCCAAACTCCTTTGTTTGGCTGTGAAGACTCTGCAAAGCCTGAGCCTACTTACTGGTTTGTTATTTCAAAGTGTATTGGATATTGGATACTATTACATGCCAGGTAATTTGCTGGATGCTTTCACATATGTTGCTTTATTTAACCTTCACCCTAATCCTGGGGCTTAAATGTTACACTACTCATTTATAGATAAAGAAACTGAGGCTCAGAGGTGTCAGCTTGCCCCAGGTGTTAAAGCTGATGAGAGTAAGAGCTTTGACTCAGTGTCCAGTGCTCCTCGCTGACCTCACTTCTCCATTTTCCACTTTTTTCTCCCTTAACCGTCCTCTCCTCACCTGCCCCTCCCAACTGCTTCAGCTAAACTCTGCCCAGTCCCAGCTCCTTGCCTTTCCTCTTGCTGTTGTTCCAAGCAGGCACTCAATGTTAGTCTCATCCAAATCTCCAAGCCCTGTCCTATTCCCTGTTAATTCTTCAAAGTGCCCACAGAGGGGGACCTCAAAGGTCACTTGGAAGTGGAAGCACTCTAAATTACCTCTGCCAAGAGATATGACACCCAGAACATCATGGAAGCAGACAGAAGAGTCTCCTACAAGACCCTCATCTTGTTTCTGTATTATCCTTTATTTTTTATTGTTTTAGCCTGTTATCAAGCTAATTGCAATCCCAAAGGCAGGCCACCAGCATGGCCTTACCTGAGATCTTAGAAATGCAGAGGCTCAGGCCCCACCCCAGATCCATTGACTCACAATCTGCATTTTAACAGGATCTCCAAGTGATTCTCCAACACTTTGAAGTTGGAGATGCATTGCTCCAGCTGGCATGCACCTTCCACACCGTATGGGCCAGCTCCCAGGCCAGGGAAGGAAAAGAAGGGTCTGCTTACAGCTGGGCTCTAATCGGACTTGCAGAGCAGGCCGGTAACCACACTGGTTACAGGGCCGCTCTCAGTTTGTGTCCCTGGAGAGTTTGAAGAAGTTGCAGTGGAGATGGCTCCTACCATCCTTTCCAGTTGGATCTTCAGCTCTTACTCTGCATAGGCCCATGGGGGTGGCTATCACCCTCAATCCTGACTTCTTTCTCAGATCTTCCACTGTCTGCCTTTGAAACGGGGAGCCCTCTTGGCCCAGAGGAAAGCCAGGATGATTGGTCTCTAGCTGCCCTGTTCTTGCTCTGCTAGGCCTGGGGACCAGCTCTGTTCCACCTTGCCATCATGAGCTCTGGGGAAGGCAGCCCACTGGTGAGCAGAAGAGGCACTGCCTTTCTAAGTGGAGCTAGGATAGCTGTCATCTGAGGTTGCAGCTGGAAGATGGGCCAGTTCTACTTAAATGTTGTCTGACTGCTACTTAACCCAACACTGCAGGCTTCCTGCCACATCAGCTGATTGTACCCCTTGCCCCAAAGGAAGGAGTAAGCAGTTACTTCTTGCACACTGTCTCCACTCATGGCTCAGCTCTTTTCCTTGTCAGTCTTGGAGTCTCTAATGAAAGGGTATGGCTGGACTGAGAATACTTTTGAGGGACAGGGAAGTAAACAGACTCATGGAGCAGGATTTGAGATGGGAACTCAGATTACAGACTTCATAATCACAGCTTGGAAGAGAAGCGTCGTGTGTAAAGGGAACCAAGAAGAAAAGGTACATCATGTCCTTTCGAAACATTTCAGCAAAGATTCTTCAAACAAGATAACTGACCACAGAACCCTAGTCTTGCTTCTTTATTATTCTTACTATTATGCTAGATCAGGAGGCTAAATGCAATCCCAAGAGCTACTGTGTATTGATGGCTTACTTTGATCCAGGGACTGTGCTGTGCACATCAATGCATTATCTCAGTGCAAAACCAGAACCTCCCCCAATTCTCCCATTTTACAGCTGAAGAAAAAACAATAACAACCCTGGTTACCCATCAATAGCAGGCAGTTTTCAAATTCATCTCTGGCCTCAAAGACTTCTCTGCACCACCACGCTCTGCATTCCAGCAGAGCAAATGAGAGGCTTGGGGACTGTTCAGAGCTCTGTTGTTCAAATAAACAGAACTCATGCTTTCACTGCACGAACATAGGTGTGTTCATAAGTGGTAAGATGTTGTTCAGACCACTGCCTCCTTCCTAGGATGTCAGATCCCTTCATCTGCCATCATGTCCTCTCTTATGCTATGTCCAGATGCCAGCTGAAGCCCAGCAGATGCCACTATGAAAAGAAAGCACAAGAAAAGCAAATACACTGCCTTGCAGTGCTTATTAGTGCATGAACACAATGATACCCGTGATGTTTTTCAGAGGAAGGGGCTTGCAGCCCAAGTCCACTTCGGGATGTGAACTTATCTCCACACAAAGTTTCAATTGAAATGACAGTGTTTATTTATTTTGTGGAAACTTGTCCTGTGTCAACCATGATCTGGAGGAGAAAAGATAGCCATATGCCATATGGGCAAGTCCCACACACTCACACACAAGTACTCCCATAAAACCTAGTTGTACTGACATTAGGAAACGGAAATACTCCTGTAAGAAACAGGATTTCCTTCCCTTTCTTTTGGAGCCAGCTCTATTGGTTCCCTGTTGCTACTGTAACAAATTACCACTAACTCTGTGGCTTGAAACAATGCAAATTAATGACTTTCTGGAGGTCCGAGTTGAAAATCTAGGTGTCAGCAGGGCTGCATTCCTCCTGGAGGCTCTAGAGGGAGAATCAATTTCCTTGTCTTCCCCAGTTTCTAGAGGCTGCCCACACTGCTTGGCTGGCCCCCAGCTGCAATCACTGGCATCACTGTGACCTCTGCTTTCATGGTCTCATTTCCTTCTCTCATTCTTCTGCCTTCTTCTCCCATCTTTAAGGTCCCTTGTGATTACACTGGGCCCACCTGAATAATCCAAGATCATCTCCCTATTTTAAGATCCTTAATTTAATCACATCTGCAAAATTACTTTTGTCATAAATGTACCTATTCACAGGTTGAGGGGATTGGGTCGCAGACATCTCTAGATGGCACGATTCTGCCTAGTACACCAGTACAGGCATTTTTGAAAGCAGATAACACTGTGAGCTGTGTTAATTAAAGATAAGCTGCAGGCATATTTTAGCCATTTATCTTACTACTAAAAGGACAGTAACCAATTCCAAATATAAAAATTGAAACAAAAATTGAAATTGAGAGTTGCAAATTGAGAAAGAGAGGAAAGAGGGGAGGGAGAAAAAGAGAATACAAAATATATCAAGAATGAGTCTGTAGAAACACAATGAACACCTTCTGCAGAGGGGAGAGAGAGAGGTAGAGAGGGAAGAAGAGCAGGTGAAGGGAGGGTGAAGGTAAGGAAAAGTATTACAGGTGAGGGAATAGCATGGGCAAAGGTCTAAAGGCAAGATGGAGCCATCACCAGTTCATTCATCCTGGCGCTGCAGTTGGTGGTTTGTAGGTTAGTCTTTCCTGGAGACACTAAGTGCCTTGAAGACAGGAATCATGTGTACCCCAAGGGCTAAGCAGAGACTAACCACTGCATGCCTCACCCAGCCTTAACTGCGGAGGGAGGGGGTTATTACCATTAAATATCTAGAATCAATTGAACAAATGATTATTGGCCATGCAAGCCTCTGTGTTCTCAAAGGTTCTACTCTACACTCAAAGCTTGAGAGGAAGGTAGAAAGAGTTGCTCAGTGGGTCCATATTGGCTCTAGTGCCAAGACTGGACCTCTGTTTAAGTCATGCGTCACTGAAATCTACCAGTAATAACAGCTAACTATAACTGAGCCCTTACTATATGCAGAAGTCAACTAATCCTCTCAACAGTTTTGCAGGCTAGGAACAAGTATAATCCCAATTTTACAATGAGAACACTAAGCTAGGGGCTCTCCATCAGATGCCCAAAACCAGGACTGATAGGTGCTAATTGAAGGGCTGCCATTCCTCGAGCAGAAAGAATGTTAGAAAGAGCCATTTGACAGCAATCATATCCCCAGGCTCATGGGTGGGGGTGACAGAGAATGGTTGAACTCTCAGTTTGGGAGCTCAGCTCAGTTCCTGAAATAAATCCCCTCCTTATTTCATCTGCATTAGTTCAATTCAATCATTTTTTTTCTTTTATGTTTCAACTTGATTCCAAAAAAGGATTTGAGGAGGCTTAAAATATATAAGTTAACAAAAGATAATAACCTATATTTGGATGAGGAAGTCAGAATAAAGAGGAAAATAAAGGGATGGGGAAATCAGATTTTGCCTAAGGCAGTGGGTGCCACGGGCTCATTCATGCTACATAGATGTGGGCTACAGTTGCAGCTCTGAGCTTTCTATACAATGAATTCCCTTTGAAGTCTCAGAAATCTCTTACTGCTTTATAATGCAGGTATAAGCAGAAACAACTTTTCACAGGTAACATGCATCAGAGCTTGAAGAGCTTTGTCACAGCCTGTTGATATCCAGTTCTCAAATGACCATCAGTCTTAGGGAGGAAGTCTAGAGGTCAATCAGCTTCAGAGCAGCAGAATGTGGGCACTTGTTCCATTTCCAGCAAATGGATGGATGGATAAGTAGATGGATGGATGGATGGATGGATAAGTGGATGGATGGATGGATGGATGGATGGAGCAGTGGGTGGATGGATAAGTGGATGGACAGATGGATGGATGGATGGGGCAGTGGATGGATGGATGGATGGATGGAGGTGGATGAATTGGTGGGTGGGTGGATGGATGCATTCATAAGACCCCAGGCCTACTTGCCTAAATGCCTGTATGCTTAGCACCTCCTCGTCTTTCTCCAGGCTCAGCCCAGCCCCTTCCTGGGTGAGAGGGACTGTATTAGTCTGTTTTCATGCTGCTGATAAAGACATACCCAAGACTGGGAAGAAAAAGAGGTTTAATTGGACTTACAGTTCCACATGGCTAGGGAAGCCTCAGCATCATGGTGGAAGGTGAAATGTGCTTCTTACATGGTGGCAGCAAGAGAGAATGAGGAAGAAGCAAAAGCAGAAACCCCTGATAAACCCATCAGATCTCGTGAGACTTATTCACTATCATGAGAATAGCATGGGAAAGACTGGCCCCATGATTCAATTACCTCCCCCTGGGTCCCTCCCACAACACGTGGGAATTCTGGGAGATACATTTCAAGTTGAGATTTTGATGGGGACACAGCCAAACCATATCATTCCACCCCTGGCCCCTTCAAATCTCATGTCCTCACATTTCAAGAAACTAATCATTCCTTCCCGACAGTCCCCCAAAGTCTTATTTCAGCATTAACCCAACAGTCCACAATCCAACATCTCATCTGAGACAAGGCAAGTCCCTTCTGCCTATGAGCCTGTAAAATCAAAAGCAAGCTAGTGACTTCCTAGATACAATGGGGGTACAGGTATTGGGTAAATACAGTCATTCCAAATGGGAGAAATTGGCCAAAATTAAGGGGTTACCCATGCAAGTCCAAAATCCAGTGGGGCAGTCAAATTTTAAAGCTCCAAAATGATCTTTTCTGACTCCAGGTCTCACATCCAGGTCACTCTGATGCAAGAGGTGGGTTCCCATGGTCTTGGGCAGCTCCACCCCTGTGGCTTTGCAGAGTACAGCCTCCCTCCCAGCTGCTTTCACAGGCTGACGTTGAGTGTCTGTGGCTTTTCTAGGCACATGCTGCAAGCTGTCAGTCGATCTACCATTCTGGGGTCTGGAGAATGGTGGCCCTCTTCTCACAGCTACACTAGGCAGTGCCCCAGTAAGGACTCTGTGTGGGGGATCCCACCCATATTTTCCTTCTGTACTGCCCTAGCAGAGGTTCTCCATGAGGGCACTGCCCCTGCAGCAAACTTTTGCCTAGACATCCAGGCATTTCCATACATCTTCTGAAATCTAGACGGATGTTCCCAAACCTCAATTATTGACTTCTATGCACCCACAGGCTCAACACTACATGGAAGCTGCCAAGGCTTGGAGCTTCCACCCTCTGAAGCCATGGCCCAAGCTCTACATTGGCCCCTTTCAGCCATGGCTGGAGCAGCTGGAACACAGGGTGCCAAGTCCCTAGGCTGCACACAGCACAGGAACCCTGGGCCTGGCCCATGAGAGCATTTTTTCCTCCTGGGCCTCTGGGCCTGTGATGGGAGGGCCTGCAGTGAAAGTCTCTGACATGGCCTGGAGACATTTTCCCCATGGTCTTGGGGATTAACATTAGTCTCCTTGCTGCTTATCCAAATTTCTGCAGCCAGCTTGAATCTCTCCCCAGACAGTGGGTTTTTCTTTTCTATCACATAGTCAGGCTGCAAATTTTCCAAACTTTTATGCTCTGCTTCCCTTATAAAAAGGAATGCCTTTAACAGTACCCAAGTCACCTCTTGAATGCTTTGCTGCTTAGAAATTTCTTCCGCCAGATACCCTAAATCATCTCTCTCAAGTTCAAAGTTCCACGAATCTCTAGGGCAGGGGTAAAATGCCACCAGCCTCTTTACTAAAACATAACAAGAGTTGCCTTTACTTCAGTTCCCAACAAGTTCCTCATCTCCATCTTAGACCACCTCAGCCTGGACCTTATTGTCCATATGGCTATCAGCATTTTGGGCAAAACCATTCAACAAGTCTCTAGAAGGTTCCAAACTTCCCCACATTTTCCTGTCTTCTGAGACCTCCAAACTGTTTGAACCTCTGCCTGTTACCAAGTTCCAAAGTCGCTTCCACCTTATCAGGTGTCTTTTCAGCAACACCCCATTCTACTGGTACCAATTTACTGTATTAGTCTGTTTTCACATTGCTGATAAAGACATACCTGAAACTGGGAAGAAAAAGAGGTTTAATTGGACTTATAGTTCCATATGGGTGGGGAGGCCTCAGAATCATCCCGGAAGGCAAAAGGTGCTTCTTAAATGGCAGTGGCAAGAGAGAATGAGGAAGAAGCAAAAGCAGAAACCCCTGATAAACCCATCAGATCTCGTGAGCCTTATTCACTGTCACAAGAAGAGCATGGGAAAGACCGGCCCCCATGATTTCAATTACCCCGCCCCCGCCGTGGGTCTCTCCCACAACACTTGGGAATTCTGGGAGATGCAATTCAAGTGGAGATTTTGGTGGGGACACAGCCAAATCACACCAGGGACCCAGCTGGCAAATTTCCACAACTGACTAGGGTCTACCCTGTGTTTGAGCTGAGGATATGGAGGGGATGTGAGGCGTTAGGGAAAAAAAAATCATGTTTTTGTCTTGCTTTTATTATCATTCTAAATATGCTTTCCTGTTTCCTTTCCCTACCACCACCACTGCATCAGGCAGGCCTTGGGTATGGACAGATCTCCCAGGAGGGGCTGTCCTTGGCACCCCAGGCTGGAAAGGTCCTGTGTTTGCTAGGTGGTTGAGGAAGCAGCCATCTCATGCCCTAATCAGACTGTTGAAATGATGTCTTGATGATGTTGGAGGGGGTCTGAGCTGTTTGGGGGATCTGAACTTGGCTTCTATGGCCAATCCTCTCCAGGACTTGCAGGGGTTGCTACAACTCTCCCAACCTAGGTTTCACTGAGTCTAAAACAACTTTTCATCGTGGGCAAGAACCAAGCGGCCAGAGTTGGAATCCGCTTTTAACTAGCTATATGACCTTCGGCAAGTTAGTTTACCTGTCTGTGCCCCAGTTTCATCCATAATAATGTTACTTAGCTCAAAGGTTTCAAGGAGGATTATATGACATAATTCATGTGAAGTGCTTACTACAATGCCTAACCAATTGTAAGCAACTCAGTAAATGTAAAATGGATAAAACCTAAATTGCCTCATCTACCTCACAGGTTTGCTGTAAAATGCATGTGAGTTATTTATTCATGCAATAAATAATTTTTTAGCACTTTCTATATGCCCAACCTGATAATAGGGCTGAAGGGTGAGCTTCCTTCCTTCAGGGCCCCTTTCATGAAAAAGCTTTCAGAACTGCAGGGTGCTGTACAGATAAAGAGGGTTGTGGTCTTACCCTTGGTGGAGTCTCTGGTGCAGAAGGCCTTAAAACAAGGCTGGCAGCACAACTTTCTTAAAATGAAGTTGATGTGGAAGCCCAGTCGATAAAGCAAATAAAATCTGGTGGGGGTTGAAGAGGAGATGAGGCAGGGGGCTGGGTCCTGCTGGCTGTGTTCTTCTCCACTCCAGCCTAGTTCCGCGAGACACCTCCTGGAAACCCCTTGGCTGCTCAGGACAGAGATAAAATCCTCAGATGCAGTGGTAGCGTGTGCCTTTCTTTTGGCTCCACCCCACCCTTTCTCCCTTTCTCTCTCTCTCTCTCTTTAATTAATAAATTTTATTGTATAGAGTAGTTTTAGGTTTACAGCAAAATTGAGCAGAAGTACAGAGAATTCCCATGTAGCCCCTGGCCCTGCACATATAGCATCCTCTGCTATCAATATCGCACCAGTGTGTGGTGCAGTTGTTACACTCAATGAACCTACATTGACATATCATGGTTATCACCCAATGTCCATAGTTCACATTAGGGATCACTCTTGGTGTCCTGCTGTCTTTTCAACACACACATCTGGCCACTGGAGGACAGAGGGACCCAGCTCTATGGGCCAGTGGCATAGGTCATGCTGGTGGAGGCGTTTTCTCTGTAGCTGTGGTTTTCCTGTTCTGCTCAGGGCCTCTGTCAGGAATTTCCCCTAGAACTCTATAGAGTGAATGGTCATGCCCTCCAGGTCACCGTAAGGATTATGATGAGGACTTCCTTTCTTTAATCCCTATGTGCCTTCTGTTTTCTGGATCTTTTCCTTAAAGACCTCTCTAGCCACCATAAACTTTCATTTTTACTACCCAACATGGTACTCTTCTTTGTGACTTCTGTCCCACCCCCAGTGCTATTACTTCATGCTCAAAATTATGCCCAAGAGAGGGGTCATGATGGAGTCAACAGATGGCTGCCTGCCCCAAACTGAAGGAAGCTCAGAATGGGTACTTTATACCTATTGCCTGAGAGTCTGGGCTCACTAGTGCCTACTCACCTACTCAGGCTGACTTCCAACAATAACAAATATGTATATTAAATATACAGATGTATATATAATATACTAAAATATGTAAAAATATACTGTATATATCATACATATGATATATATATAATGACCAGAGTTTTTCACACTTAAATGGATTTATGTTCATATTCAAACTCCTCTATTTACTAATGGTTTGACTTAAAACTTGCTGAACTCCTCTGAGCCTCTATTTCCTTATTTGTAAAATGGGGATAATAATAGTATGTCCTCATATGGTTGTTGTAAAAGCCAAGTAAGTTATACGTAATGTCTTAGGCAATGTCTAACAGAGTGCCTCACCACTGTTTTGCGTTTATTATTGTTACTAAAAATGCATTTCGTATATGTATATATACATATACACCCATATACACATATATAAAATGCATTTTTAGTAACAATAATAAATGCAAAACAGTGGCTAGGCGCTCAGTGCTAGACATTCATTATATACATATACACATATATGAAATGCATTTTTAGTAATAATATTTCTGAGCCATAATGAATCAGCTCTAAAAGGGGAAGCATTGAAGATGGCGATGAAATGATTCATGTCCCCTTATTACCAGAGGAATTGTGAGCTTAATCGTAGCAGCCTCCATTTATTGAGAGCGTGTGATGTGCTAGCACCCTGCTCCTGCTTCAAATTCTCATTACACTGAATCTTAGCAAAGCAACCACATAGGGTAGGCTTGTTTTATTTTTCAGAAAACTGAAGCAGTAAGCCCATCAGCTCCGTCTGAGTCCACTGTTGGGGGGATCCTGACCTGTAGCCAGCCCCTACCCCTAACCCTGTAAGCAGAGCGCTGCCTCCCCATCATCATGCTCTCAGAGCTGTTTGTTTTCATGATGTCCACTTTATCTGACAGCCCACACACAGCCACACAGCTCAGGGGCATTGCTCCAGGGTGCAGAATTTTTACAAGCAGCACACAGTGGAAACATTCACGGGGTTTTTTTTTTCTTTCCTTTTTTCCAAAATAGAGCCCCGTAGACTGTATGAATGTGTATTCACATTTAGGCCTACATGTCCTTCTTGGAGTCCAGAAGTCCAGGGCACACCATGCTGAGTATTTCTGTGTTTGTAATTTAATGTGGGCCCACCTCTCATTATCAGTGTTCAGAGATAACCATTTTTGCTTCTGACTGTGTGTGTGTGTGTGTGTGTGTGTGTGTGTGCGCGCGCATGATCTGTGGCTCTCTGGGCTGGCCTCCCCTATGTGTGTGTATTGCAGCCTGTTTGTAAGCCTGGGTATATGCCCGCCTTTCTCCCAAGGGTGTCCATAGACACACATAAACTATCCTTCACTTCTGTTGTTGAGACTCTCCTAGGACACTTTGCTCCCGCGGAGCAGGGAGAGTTGGGAGAGGGAATGTTTAGTCTGGAAGGCAGTCAGGCAGGCAGCTGGAGACTCCCTGTGGAGCACCCAGGCTGGCGAGCTGGCCCCCAGGGTTGCTCCACGTGCCCTGATGATGGGGAGGACAGGGCTGTCCTGCATGCCCTGAGACCAAGGAGCACAATGCTTCTGCTTGGGTGACACTAGGCCTAGGATGGCTCCTCTGGCATAAGTGGTGAGAGGGCTCTCAGCAAACCCCAGCCCTATCAAGATGGGTTCCTTTTTCCTTTTCCTGGTTCTTTTCAGTCCTCAGAATAGGTTTTTATGCTGAATTGAGGCTGAGGGGTTAGCATAGAGATGTAGAAAGAGCATGAGGCTTTGGTGTCAGGCAGACCTAAGATAGAATTCTGCCTTTGCCATGTACTCATCATTTAATACTAAGACAGGGAAAATTACTTACCCTCTGAGCCGCAGTCTCCTCATCTATAACATGGGTCTCATAACGTTACATTGCAGGCTCATTTGGGGGCCTAAATGATAAAATCTGTGTCAAGTACCTAGCTTGTTCTCTCCTTTTTTCCCCTATTTTCTCCCTAGAAGTCTAGGTAATACAGATTTCTGACTGGAGCAGCAGGGCAACACCACATGTTTCTTTTCTTTCTAGGAAAAGGGCTATTTATTTCTGATGACCTAGTTGAGAGGCAGCAGGGTCAGGGAAAGGATGTATCTTTGAAAATGGTTTCTTTTAGCTTCCTATAACTTGAGGGTAATTTCTCATGCCCTAGTTAGGTGGGTGTTAGGAGGACATCTTAGGAGGATGTTGGCAGCTGGAGTAGGGGTAGGTTGGAATTCTGCAGAAAGCATACACCTTCCTTCCCAACAGGTTTATAAGCCAGTAATCAGCCCTCTGTGGGTATATCAGCTATTAACTGTCTGGTAATGGGGGGATAACAGGCTGCTTGCTGCTCTGCTTTGAGGATTCTGTACTAAAGAGGACAGACACAGGCCTGCCTTCAAGGGACTTCCACTCTCATGGAGAGAGACACATGAATCAAGAAAATCCACATTAGCTAATTTCCAGGCAGTAAGTGCTATGAAGAAGATTAAATATGGTAGGTGTGATAAGAAGTGCATGGTAAAGTGTGAGGGTACCACTTAGGTAAGGTGGTCCCAGGAATGGCCTCCCTGAGGAGACAGTTTTGGTTGAAACCTGAATGAAAAGAAGCAGTACAACAATGATCTGGGAGGGAGGACTTTTCACCTTCTCCTACCCCTGCATTCAGATTACAAATCCATGTCCTTATGGTGGCTAAGTCCCTACACAATCTGACTTCCTCTCCTATCACTCCCCTCAGGCCATGCTGCTCCAGTCACAATGGCACACACCCACTTCAGGGCCTTTGCACTTGCCACTTGCAGAACCCAGAACCCTCTTCCTACAGATATCCCCATGACTCACTCACTCTCTCCTTCAAGACTTGCCTAAAACTCCCCCATGGGCTCTGGATTCTCCATTACTTTACGCTATTTTTCCCTTAGTCATCATCTTCTCACATACTCCGTAATTTACTTACCTACTGTTTGTTGTCTTTCATTCCTCCCTAGACTATAAGACCCATAAGGCAGATATTTTTGTCTGATTTTATTCTTTGATGTAAATAAATACCTAGAATGGTGCCTCAAACATAGTAGGTCCTTCAATATTTGTTGCATGGATGGATGGATGGATAGATGGATGGATGGATGGATTGCTGGCTGGCTGGCTGGGTGGCTGGATGGATCAATGGATGGATTGCTGGCTGGATGGATTGCTGGATGGATAGATGAACAGACGGATGGATGGATTGCTTGATGGATTGCTGGATGGATGGATGGATGGATGGATGGATGGATGGATGGATGAATAGATGGATGGATGGATGGATGGATGGATGGATGGATGGACGGATGGGTGGATGGATGGATGGGTAGCTGAATGGCTATATGGCTGTCTGGATAGATGGATGGATGGATGGATGGATGGATGGATGGATGGATGGATGGATGGGTCCCTGGTGACTCAAGGCTCATCCTTGTCATCAGGAGAAGCAATGGGAACAGTCTGAGTCTCTACCATGGGCCTAGCCCTGTGCTAAGCTGTGGTGGTGGGGAGCCATAGATTTGACATGCAGATGGGGCCAGACAAAGAAAAATCAGCTGAAAAATCTAGAGTCAGGTTGGGGACGTGAGGGCTCTGAGGGGAGATATATGGGTGCTTCTAAGAACCATAGGAAATCTAAGAAGGAAAGATTGGGGAGGGGGTACAGGGAAAGAGATAAGTGGAGTAAGAAGGAAGATGGCCTCTCTGGGACCCAGAGAAGAGAGACCCACTTTGGCTAGAGCTAAGGGGCAGGGATGGCAGGAAAGAGTAAACCTCCCCCCACCCCATGACAGGCCCTGGTGTGTGGTGTTCCCCACCCTGTGTCCAAGTGTTCTCATTGTTCAATTCCCACCTATGAGTGAGAACATGCGGTGTTTGGTTTTCTGTCCTTGTGATAGTTTGCTCAGAATGATGGTTTCAATCTTCATCCATGTCCCTACAAAGGACATGAACTCATCCTGTGTTATGGCTGCATAGTATTCCATGGTATATATGTGCCACATTTTCTTAATCCAGTCTATCATTGATGGGCATTTGGGTTGGTTCCAAGTCTTTGCTATTGCGAATAGTGCTGCAATAAACATACGTGTGCATGTGTCTGTATAGCAGCATGATTTATAATCCTTTGGGTATATAACCCAGTAATGAGAAAGCTGGGTCAAGTGGTATTTCTAGTTCTAGATCCTTGAGGAATCACCACACTGACTTCCACAATGGTTGAACTAGTTTACAGTCCCACCAACAGTGTAAAAGTGTTCCTATTTCTCCACATCCTCTCCAGCACCTGTTGTTTCCTGACTTTTTGATGATCACCATTCTAACTGGTGTGAGATGGTATCTCATTGTGGTTTTGATTTGCATTTCTCTGATGGCCAGTGATGATGAGCATTTTTTCACGTGTCTGTTGGCTGCATAAATGTCTTCTTTTAAGAAGTGTCTGTTCATATCCTTCGCCCACTTTTTGATGGGGTTGTTTGAATTTTTCTTATAAATCTGTTTGAGTTCTTTGTAGATTCTGGATATTAGTCCTTTGTCAGATGGGTATATTGCAAAAATGTTCTCCCATTCTGTAGGTTGCCTGTTCACTCTGATGGTAGTTTCTTTTGCTGTGCAGAAGCTCTTTAGTTTAATTAGACCCCATTTGTCAATTTTGTCTTTTGTTGCCATTGCTTTTGGTGTTTTAGTCATGAAGTCCTTGCCCACGCCTATGTCCTGAATGGTATTGCCTAGGTTTTCTTCTAGGGTTTTTATGGTTTTAGGTCTAACATGTAAGTCTTTAATCCATCTTAAATTAATTTTTGTATAAGGTGTAAGGAAGGGATCCAGTTTCAGCTTTCTACATATGGCTAGCCAGTTTTCCCAGCACCATTTATTAAATAGGGATCCTTTCCCCATTTCTTGTTTTTGTCAGGTTTGTCAAAGATCAGATAGTTGTAGATGTGTGATATTATTTCTGAGGGCTCTGTTCTGTTCCATTGATCTATATCTCTGTTTTGGTACCAGTACCATGCTGTTTTGGTTACTGTAGCCTTGTAGTATAGTTTGAAGTCAGGTAGCATGATGCCTCCAGCTTTGTTCTTTTGGCTTAGGATTGACTTGGCAATGTGGGCTCTTTTTTGGTTCCATATGAACTTTAAAGTAGTTTTTTCCAATTCTGTGAAAAAAGTCATTGGTAGCTTGATGGGGATGGCATTGAATCTATAAATTACCTTGGGAAGAATGGCCATTTTCATGATATTGATTCTTCCTATCCGTGAGCATGGATTGTTCTTCCATTTGTTTGTGTCCTCTTTTATTTCATTGAGCAGTGGTTTGTAGTTCTCCTTGAAGAGGTCCTTCACATCCCTTGTAAGTTGGATTCCTAGGTATTTTATTCTCTTTGAAGCAATTGTGAATGGGCATTCACTCATGATTTGGCCCTCTGTTTGTCTGTTGTTGGTGTATAGGAATGCTTGTGATTTTTGCACATTGATTTTGTATCCTGAGACTTTGCTGAAGTTGCTTATCAGCTTAACGAGATTTAGGGCTGAGATGACTGGATTTTCTAAATATACAATCATGTCATCTCCAAACAGGGACAATTTGACTTCCTCTTTTCCTAATTGAATACCTTTTATTTCCTTCTCCTGCCTGATTGCCCTGGCCAGAACTTCCAACACTATGTTGAATAGGAGTGGTGAGAGAGGGCATCCCTGTCTTGTGCCAGTTTTCAAAGGGAATGCTTCCAGTTTTTGCCCATTCAGTGTGATATTGGCTGTGGGTTTGTCATAAATAGCTCTTATTATTTTGAGATACATCCCATTAATACCTAATTTATTGAGAGTTTTTAGCATGAAGGGTTGTTGAATTTTGTTGAAGGCCTTTTCTGCATCTATTGAGATAATCATGTGGTTTTTGTCTTTGATTCTGTTTATATGACGGATTAGGTTTATTGATTTGTGTATATGGAACCAGCCTTGCATCCCAGGAAAGAAGCCCACTTGATCATGATGGATAAGCTTTTCGATGTGCTGCTGGAGTCAGTTTGCCAGTATTTTACTGAGGATTTTTGCATCGATGTTCATCAGGGATATTGGTCTAAAATTCTCTTTTTTTGTTGTGTCTCTGCCAGGCTTTGGTATCAGGATGACACTGGCCTCATAATTAGGGTGGATTCCCTCTTTTTCTATTGATTGGAATAGTTTCAGAAGGAATGGTACCAGCTCCTCCTTATACCTCTGGTAGAATTCGGCTGTGAATCCGTCTGGTCCTGGACTTTTTTTGGTTGGCAAGCTAGTAATTATTGCCTCAATTTCGGAGCCTGTTATTGGTCTATTCAGAGATTCAACTTCTTCCTGGCTTAGTCTTGGGAGAGTGTATGTATCGAGGAATTTATCCATTTCTTCCAGATTTTCTAGTTTATTTGCATAGAGGTGTTCGTAATATTCTCTGATGGTATTTTGTATTTCTGTGGGATCGGTGGTGATATTCCCTTTATCATTTTTTATTGCGTCTATTTGATTCTTCTCTCATTCCTTCTTTATTAGTCTTGCTAGCGGTCTATCAATTTTGTTGATCTTTTCAAAAAATCAGCTCCTGGATTCATTGATTTTTTGAAGTGTTTTTTTTGTCTCTATCTCCTTCAGTTCCGCTCTGATCTTAGTTATTTCTTGCCTTCTGGTAGCTTTTGAATTTGTTTGCTCTTGCTTCTCTAGTTCTTTTCATTGTGATGGTAGGGTGTCAATTTTAGATCTTTCCTGCTTTCTCCTGTGGGTATTTAGTGCTATAAATTTCCCTGTAAACACTGCTTTGAATGTGTCCCAGGGATTCTGGTATGTTGTGTCTTTGTTCTCATTGGTTTCAAAGAACATCTTTATCTCTGCCTTCATTTCGTTATGTACCCAGTAGTCGTTCAGGAGCAGGTTGTTTAGTTTCCATGTAGTTGAGTGCTTTTGAGTGAGTTTCTTAATCATGAGTTCTAGTTTGATGGCACTGTGGTCTGAGAGACAGTTTGTTATAATTTCTGTTCTTTTACATTTGCTGAGGAGTGCTTTACTTCCAACTACGTGGTCAATTTTGGGATAAGTGTGATGTGGTGCTGAGAAGAATGTATATTCTGTTGATTTGGGGTGGAGAGTTCTGTAGATGTCTATTAGGTCTGCTTGGTGCAGAGCTGAGTTCAATTCCTGGATATCCTTTTTAACTTTCTATCTTGTTGATCTGTCTAATGTTGACAGTGGGGTGTTAAAGTCTCCCATTATTATTGTGTGGGAGTCTAAGTCTCTTTGTAGGTCTCTAAGGACCTGCTTTATGAATCTGGGTGCTCCTGTATTGGGTTGGTATATATTTAGGATAGTTAGCTCTTCTTGTTGAATTGATCCCTTTACCATTATGTAATGGCCTTCCTTGTCTCTTTTGATCTTTGTTGGTTTAAAGTCTGTTTTATCAGAGACTAGGATTGCAACCCCTGCTTTTTTTTGTTTGTTTGTTTTCCATTTGCTTGGTAGATCTTCCTCCATCCCTTTATTTTGAGCCTATGTGTGTCTCTGCACGTGAGATGGGTTTCCTGAATACAGCACACTGATGGGTCTTGACTCTTTATGCAATTTTCCAGTCTGTGTCTTTTAATTGGAGCATTTAGCCCATTTACATTTAAGGTTAATATTGTCATGTATGAATTTGATCCTGTCATTATGATGTTAGCTGAGTATTTTGCTCGTTAGTTGATGCAGTTTCTTCCTAGCATCGATGGTCTTTACAATTTGGCATGTTTTTGCAGTGGTGGGTACCGGTTGTTCCTTTCCATGTTTAGTGCTTCCTTCAGGAGCTCTTGTAAGACAGGCCTGGTGGTGACAAAATCTCTCAGCATTTGCTTGTCTGTAAAGGATTTTATTTCTCCTTCACTTATGAAGCTTAGTTTGGCTGGATATGAAATTCTGGGTTGAAAACTCTTTTCTTTAAGAATATTGAATATTGGCCCCCACTCTCTTCTAGCTTATAGAGTTTCTGCTGAGAGATTCACTGTTAGTCTGATGGGCTTCCCTTTGTGGGCAATCTGACCTTTCTTTCTGGCTGCCCTTAACATTTTTTCCTTCATTTCAACTTTGGTGAATCTGACAATTATGTGTCTTGGAGTTGCTCTTCTAGAGGAGTATCTTTGTGGCATTCTCTGTATTTCCTGAATTTGAATGTTGGCCTGCCTTGCTAGGTTGAGGAAGTTCTGCTGGATAATATCCTGCAGAGTGTTTTCCAACTTGGTTCCATTCTCCCCGTCACTTTCAGGTACACCAATCAGACGTAGATTTGGTCTTTTCACATAGTCCCATATTTCTTGGAGGCTTTGTTCCCTTCTTTTTACTCTTTTTTCTCTAAACTTCTCTTCTCACTTCATTTCATTCATTTGATCTTTAATCACTGATACCCTTTCTTCCAGTTGATCGAATCCGCTACTGAAGCTTGTGCATTTGTCACATAGTTCTCATGCCATGGTTTTCAGCTCCATCAGGTCATTTGAGGTCTTCTCTACACTGGTTATTCCAGTTAGCCATTCGTCTAATCTTTTTTCAAGGTTTTTAGCTTCTTTGCGATGGGTTCGAACATCCTCCTTTAGCTTGGAGAAATTTGATTGTCTGAAACCTTCTTCTCTCAACTCGTCAAAGTCATTCTCTGTCCAGCTTTATTCCATTGCTGGTGAGGAGCTGTGTTATTCCTTTGGAGGAGAAGAGGAGCTCTGATGTTTAGAATTTTCAGCTTTTCTGCTCTGGTTTCTCCCCATCTTTGTGGTTTTATCTACCTTTGGTCTTTGATGATGGTGATGTACAGATGGGGTTTTGGTGTGGATGTCCTTTCTGTTTGTTAGTTTTCCTTCTAACAGTCAGGACCCTCAGCTGCAGGTCTGTTGGAATTTGCTGGAGGTCCACTCCAGACCCTCTTTGCCTGAGTATCACCAGCGGAGGCTGCAGAACAGCGAGTATTGCAGAATAACAAATGTTGCTGCCTGATTGTTCCTCTGGAAGCTTCATCTCAGAGGGGCACCTGGCCGTGTGAGGTGTCAGTCGGACCCTACTGCGAGGTGCCTCCCAGTTAGGCTACTCGGGGGTCAGGGGCCCACTGAGGAGGCAGTCTGTCCGTTCTCAGATTTCAAACTCCATGCTGGGAGTACCACTACTCTCTTCAAAGCTGTCAGACAGGGACATTTAAGTCTGCAGAAGTTTCTGCTGCCTTTTTTTCAGCTATGCCCTGCCCCCAGAGGTGGAGTCTACAGAGGCAGGCAGGCCTCCTCGAGCTGCTCAGTTCGAGCTTCCTGGCCACTTTGTTTACCTACTCAAGCCTCAGCAATGGCGGGTGCCCCTCCCCCAGCCTCGCTACTGCCTTGCAGTTCGATCTCAGACTGCTCTGCTAGCAGTGAGTGAGGCTGTGTGGGCATGGGACCCTCTGAGCCAGGAGTGGGATATAATCTCCTGGTGTGCCGTTTGCTGAGACTGTTGGAAAAGCACTGTATTAGGGTGGGAGTGACCCAATTTTCCTGGTGCCATCTGTCACAGCTTCCCTTGGCTAGGAAAGGGAATTCCATGACCCCTTGTGCTTCCTGGGTGAGGCGATTCCTCGCCCTGCTTCGGCTCACGCTTGGTGAGCTGCACCCACTGTCCTGCACCCACTGTCTGACAAGCCCCAGTGAGATGAACCCGGTACCTCAGTTGGAAATGCAGAAATCACCAGTCTTCTGCATCACTCATGCTGGGAGCTGTAGACTGGAGCTCTACCTATTCGGCCATCTTGGAACCAGATCTTTCAAAATATTTTAACATTTATTTAAAAATTTTAATTGACAAATAATAATTGTACATACTCATGAAGTACATAGTGATGTTTTGATACATATAATGTATAGTGATCACATTGGGCTAATTAGCATATTCATCATCTCAAACATTTATCATTTCCTTGTGTTGGGAATGTTTAAGATCCTCCTCCTAGCTAACCGAAACTATATAATACATTATTGTTAACTATAGCCATCCCACAGTGGTATAGAACACTAGACTTTATTTTTCTTATTTAGCTGTGATTTTGTATTCTTCAACAAATCTCTCCCTATCTTTCCCTTCCTCCAACCCTTCTTAGTCTCTAGTATCCTCTGTTCTAATTTTTACTTCAATGAGAACAACTTTTTTTAGTTTCTACATATTAGTGAGAAAATGCAGTGTTTAGCTTGTTTCACTTGACATACTGTCCTCCAGTTCCATCCATGTTGCTATGAATGACAGAATTTCATTTCTTTTTTATGGCTGAATAGTATTCCATGTTGTATATATACCACATTTTCTTTATTGATTCATCTCCTGTTGAACTAGGTTGATTCCATAACTTAGCTATCATGGACTGTGCTGCAATAAACATGGAGGTGCAGCTATTTATTCAATATACTAATTTCCTTTCTCTTGGTGAAATGCCCAGTAGCAGGATTGCTGAATCATATGGTTGTTCTATTTGTAGTTTTTTGAGGAACTTCCATACTGTTCATAGCAGCTGTACTAGTTTTCGTTCCCACCAAAAATGTATGAGTTCCCTTTTCTCTGTATCTTTGCCAACATTTGTTCTTCTTTTTCTTTTTGATAATGGCCATCCTAACTGGGGTGAGATGACACCCCATTGTGGTTTTGATGTGCATTTCCCTGATTACTAGTGATGTTGAACATTTTTTTTCATATATTTCTTGGCCATTTGTGTATCTTCTTTTGAGAAATGTCTGTCCAGATCATTTGCCTATTTTTTTTCCTGTGGAGATGTTTGAGTTCCTTGTATATTCTGGATATTGACCCCTTGTCAGATGAGTAGTTCGTGACCATTTTCTCCCATTCTATAGGTTATATTTTTACTTTGTTGATTGTTTCCCTTACTGTGCAGAAGCTTTGCTATTTGATATAATCCCATATTTGTTTATTTTTGCTTTGGTTGCCTGTGCTTTTGAGGTCTTATTCATAAAATCTTCTCCAATACCAACATCCTGAAGCATTTCCCTTATATTTTCTTTGAGTAGTTTTATAGTTTTGGGTCTTACGTTTAGGTATTTGGCCATTTTGAGTTGATTTTAGTATAGGATGAGAGATGGAGGTCTGTTTTCATTCTTTTACATATCCAGTTTTCCCAACACCATTTATTGAAGAGGGTGTCCTTTCCTCAGTGAGTGTTCTTGGCATCTTTGTCAAAAATCAGTTGGCTGTAGATATGTGGGTTAATTTCTGGGTTCTCTATTCCGTTCCACTGACCTATATGTCTGTATTTATGCCAATGCCATGTGGTTTTGGTTGCTACAGCTCTGTAGTATATTTTGAAGTTTGATAGTATGATGTCTCCAGCTTTGTTCTTTTTGTTCAGGATTACTTTGGTTATTTGGGGTCTTTTGTGGTTCCACACAAATTTTAGAACTTTTTTTCCCATTTCTGTGAAGAATGTCATTGGTATTTTGATAGGGATTGCATTGAATCTGTAGACTGCTTTGGGTAGTATTGTCATTTTAAGAATATTAATGCTTCTGATCCATGAGTATGGGATGTCTTTCCAGTTGTTTGCATCTTCTTAAATTTCTTTCATCACTGTTTTGTAGTTTTCCATAGAAGTCTTTTACTGCTTCTGTTAACTTTATTCCTAGGTATTTTATTTTACATTTTTAATAACATAGGTTTTAGTGTCAGATCCAAATTCAAATTCTGGTTCCAACTTTTATGAGCTGTGTGTCCCTAGGAAAGTGACTTAAGCTTCTCTGACTCTGTTTTCTTAATTATAAAATGGGAATAACACCAACCTCATAATATAGTTATGGAGATTAGCTGAGACCGTAATTAGAAAGTGCAATATGTACCCAATATGACATGAAAGCACTGGGCATATGATCTGGCACATAGTTTACCCTCAGGTGCTAAAGTGGTGTTTGAAGAAGGTGAGGCAAGCTGAGGTGTGTATAATCAGTTGAAGGTCAAGAGATCCATGTGGGCCGGGTGCGGTGACTCACGCCTGTAATCCTAACACTTTAGGAGGCTGAGGTGGGTGGATCGCCTGAGGTCAGGAGTTCGAGACCAGCCTAGCCAACATGGCGAAACCCCGTCTGTATTAAAAATACAAAAATTAGCAGGGCGTGGTATTGTGTGCCTGTAATCCCAGGTACTCAGGAGGCTGAGGCAGGAGAAATTGCTTGAACCCAGGAGGCAGAGATTGTGGTGAGCCAAGATCACACCACTGCACTCCAGCCTGGACAACAGAGCGAGACTCTGTCTCAAAAAAAAAAAGAGATCCATGTGCCTGTTGGGCTGGACCAAGGGGTCTGTTGGCTTTGGGGTTGTTTAGGCCATGGAAGTGGGAGGTTTTTCATGCATGAAATTCTCTGGTCACAGCCAGAGAAGCTGCAATTTTGACCTCATCAGTCCCAGCAAAGAGGACCAATTTGTGTAAAGTCTAGTGTGCCACAGACCTTTAAGTGAGACCTTTACCAAATTGGGAAAGTTAGTCACAATTGTCATGTAGGTCCTTTGCCACAGTTACAGTCTGCCCAGCTCCAGGGCTTCTTAGGGGACATCTCAGAGCCGAAGGAAGCCTGGTAAGAGAACATGCCCCCTTCTGGACCTCAGTCTCCCATCTATGCACTGACGGTGATGGATGAGATGGGAGGGTTGGGCCCCGCCTGCAAAGTGAGAATATTGGCTCCAGAGACAGGAAACCTAGTTCTAATCCGACATATACCTCTCCCTGGGTGTGCCACCTTGGACAAGTTCCTCAACCTGAGCCTTAGTTTCCTTGTTTTCAAAAAAAAAAAAAAAAGAAGAAGAAGAAGAAGAAGAGATAATGATAATATCTGGCAGCCCATTCCACAAGGAGGCATAAACAAATATATTCATGTGAAATGCTCTGTGTTGGGCTGGCATGTGGCAAACACCCAATAGATGATGGCTACTTTAATCACCACTGGGGAGAATCTCCTGTTGCTGACACTCTTGGAGCCAGTATGTCTCCCTCCCACTCTGGCCCCAGGGTTTGGCTCCCTGGATGCTCCCCATCCGGTCAGGAAGTGCCTCACAGCCTGAGGCAGCAGAGGAGTTGGACTTGTCCGGTGGGAGAGGAGCCAGTGGACATTATGTTCCTTCCCAGGAATGGGAAAGGGAGAATGTTCCTGGGTGAGGAGCAAGGCTCTGGGGCAAGCACACCCAGGAACATCCACTCCCGCTTCCCCACTGCCCAGAGCCAAGCGTAGTGCAGGGCCCTGTGAGGAGGAAGACACCAGAGCAGAGGTGCCGGCCTGCCTCAGGCTCCTGGCAATCAGGGCACACTCGTACAGAGTATATGTTCTCACACATTCACAGATATCCCCACACCCCGTACACACATGGTGAGTGACACAGATATATATTCGAAAGCCTCTCAGAAATGTACTCATGCATCCACGCTCACGTGGCCATGCACTCATCTACATTCAGGTGTACACATGTAACTCACAGATCCTGAAGTCCGGATTCCTACACATACACTCACACATACACAAGGAAACTCACTCATTCCCATACACTTACCCATATTCACAAATACAGTTGCCAACACAATCACACAGGTGTCGACATTCATGAACACATATATAAAAATGCATACCAGAAACATGCACATATAATTATACTCAAAGAACCAGGTACACCAAGGTCCCCTACCCTTCTAGTCTTCTGGAATCATTGATTACCATCATATCCAAATAAAATGGCTCAAGCTCTATCCCAGCTACTCTGAGAGGCGCTCCCTCCCCGGTACTCCCATGGAGTTCACCTGCCAGGTGCATTTGCCACCCTGACCTTGCTGCAAGCACCTGAGACTACAGCCCTATCTCCTATGCCCACCTTTGTTCCAAAATTCTCATTGACACAAGGTTCTTGAAGCTACCCAGCTTTTGCTGAAAATATAAGAGTGGGCAGAAAACAGCCCTATGTTTCTAAAATGTGGTGGCCATTCATTGTCTCCGTGGAGTGCAGCCTCCCGCTCTGCCTCAGTGTCTCCATCCTCATTTCCTCGTCACATCTCTCTCTCCCACCATTTCTGAGCCCTTGCCCCAACCCCACTCACCAGCCTTCACCCATCAAGCCTCTGGAACTCCCAGAGAACAAGACCAAAATATCATTTTAGGCAGAGCCATTCAGTCCTCTCTTGTATTTCTCCTATCCCTTCTGGCTCAGGGACCAAAGGGGCCCATTAGGCTCTTTCCTAGACTAATAATAATAATAAAGCTATGTAAGAAAAACTCTCTGGAAAGGAATTGTGCCTCTCTCCTAAAAGGCAGAAGTGGTTTCAGACAGTATTTGATGTCAGCGACATTTTTCTTACGCACTTGCGCACACACACACACGTACAGACACACACACTCTTTGCCTCTTTCTTTTTTTCTCTCTCTCTCTGACACACACACACACACACACACACACACACACACACAGCCTAGGAGAATTAATTTCCTGTTTCCTACTCTCCTCCCACTCCCCCTCCCATCTTTGGACAGTTGCTGGAAACCAAGAGGCTGGACCCTCAAATAGGTCCTAGACAGGGACAGGGGTAGGGTGGGGAGAACAGATCTTGTTAGGAAAGGAGTCAGGGAAGGACCTGAATGGGCCTCAGTTTTGAAGGGCACCAATGTATTTACTAAATCACACCCTGCACTTTCCCGCCTCTCAACCTCTGCTCTCACAGTGCCTCACCCTGGAATGGCCGCATCAACCCTCCAGCTCTGGCTAAGTCCTCCGTTCCCAAAGTCTTAGCCTCTGTCAGTCCCAAATGACTCTCTCACTATAATAATCCTCATAAGCTGTCATGTGCACCTCTACCAAAATTCTGTACCCTCTGATTTATGAGGCAGCCCCTGGGGCCGCTACATGTTTCCCCAACTCTGTGGTGAACTTCTGGGGAATGCGACCTATGTTCCCCCAACTCTGTGGTGAACTTCTGGGGAATGCGACCTATGTTCCCCCAACTCTGAGTCCCTAGTATACCCAGTATACACAGCCTGGCACAAAGAATGCTCAATAAATTATATATCATTTGCTTCATCTCTCTGTATCTAGAACTCATTAAAATCTGTGTCATCAATATCTCCATCATCAATATCTACCTACATAAAGCCTACCTGGCTTAGCCCCAAATCCTCAACCTGAGCAAGAAGAAGCTGATTTCTGCTCCTGCCTTTACTACTTCTTGGTTTTCTGACACTGAGAAGGTCATTTAGCTTCTCCAGATTTTTGTTTTCTCATGTGCAAGATAAAGGAGTTGAACAAAGACAGTGGTTTTCAAACTGGATTCCGAGGAACCCTAGGGTTCCAAGAAGACATGATGGTGAGAAGAGCAAGGCAAAAGGGAAAGAAGACAATTGTTAATGAGCAGGACCCCCACTTCTACCCAGATTGCTCCTTCTTGCTCTGTTTTGTCTACCATGCTTCCACACAATACTACACTTAATCAAAGGGTTTTGGCAGGGCACAGTGGCTCACATCTCTAATCCCAACGCTTTGGGAGGCCAAGGAAGATGGATCACTTGAGCTCAGGAGTTTAAGACCAGCCTGGGCAACATGGTGAGACAAAAAATATAAAAATTAGCTGGACGTGGTGGTGCATGCCTATAGTCCCAGCTACTTGGGAGGCTGAGGTGAGAGGATTGCTTGAGCCTGGGAGGTCGAGGCTGCAGTGAGCCGAGATTTCACCACTGCACTCCAGCCTAGGTAACAGAGTGAGACCCTGTTTCAAAAAGAAACACACATACACGCACCCCAAAACAAAGGGTCCTGTTGCAAAAAAAAAAAAAAAGGAAAAAAGAAAAAAAAAAGAAAGAGAAGGAAAAAAGAAATTTGGTAAAACACCAGTTTAAAAGCAGTGTTTTGTTTTGTTTTTTTAATATTTTACTATATTTATTACAAAAATGGCCTGAATTGCCCCTTTCATTTTATCCATGGCCCTTTCTTTTTTTTTTTTCTTTTATTTTATTATTACTATACTTTAAGTTTTAGGGTACATGTGCACAATGTGCAGGTTAGTTACATATGTATACATGTGCCACACTGGTGCACTGCACCCACTAACTTGTCATCTAGCATTAGGTATATCTCCCAATGCTATCCCTCCCCCTTTCCCCCACCCCACAACAGTCCCCGGCGTGTGATGTTCCCCCTCCTGTGTCCATGTGTTCTCATTGTTCAATTCCCACCTATGAGTGAGAACATGCGGTGTTTGGTTTTTTGTCCTTGTGATAGTTTGCTGAGAATGAGGGTTTCCAGTTTCATCTGAGGGCCTTTCCAGCTTTTGCCAAAACAAGATTCTCACCTCATAAAATGCCCATGTAAGACAGAAAGCACAACAAGTGTTTTTTTATGGATTTAGGGCTATCTTTCCTTTTGTATCTAGAGTCACTGACTACCTTTCCCCTTCCTACCAAGACTAGTGTGCTCTCATTACCTCCCCTGGCCTCTACTTTCTCATCTAGCTAAAGGGAACTCTCACAGCACTTCACTCTCAGTGTTTTAAGGAGAGACTTGCATTCAAAGCTGATGAAAGCAAACCCCCGGCACTGAGTGTGGCACCTAGAAGGCACCCTCTGAGTGGTGGCTGTGGTGCCCACTAGTGTCCCAGGAGATGGATGCCTCCATGGGCATCATGCCTGGCTTGTGGCTGGAGTTTGCAATCCGAGGGCAAGGATTGCTCAGTGATTAGGAGCCTGTGTGCTGTCAGACATCTAATTAGCCATCGTCTTCCCAGGAGACAGCTCAGTTGTGCAATTTTTATTTCCATATTTTACACATTCTCCATCAGCAAGAGAGACCCACGCCAATCTTTCACCAGCCTCATTGTTTGTTTGCATTCCAGCTGTGCCAACTGCCCACTTCTTACTTTACTCTGGTTCCCACCCGCCAGGGAACATGCCTGTTGGCAGGCAGGGTGGGGGTGTGGGGAATAGCTATTACATGTCGCTTCAAAGGCCCATCTTCAAGACCAGCACACTAGGGACAGCTGTATTGGTTGGATTTCCTGCCTGGCACAGGGATCAGTGAGAGCACACCCCCATTACCATCTATTTATAGGGACGGTTTGGTGCGGTACAAAGAACATTGGGTTTGGCATCAAACAGGATTGGTCTTTTTTCTAGCAATTTAATTTACCTCTCTGAGCCTTGGCTTCCTTATCAGTTAAATCAAGACCTTGAATAATTCACATTATGAGGCTGTTGCAAGGCTGTATGCTTCCATACATATTTATTGGGTTTGTCCAAATGAAATAATGTTCATGTCTGCGCTTTGCAAACTGAAAGTGTTGTCTAGGTGGGAGTTATTCCACAATTGCAGACTGTCTTTGATTATTCAACGAGCTTTTATCAAGTTTAGATTATCCAGACTCATTATTATGAGATTATTAAACTGGCCAACCCTTCCTGCCTGCTGTTGCCTGTTTTGTGGTTTTCATTGTGGTCAGTTCAAAGAGGCTGATTCCTTGGAGCAAACTCAGCAGGGAAAGATGTGTCTCCTGAAGCTATTATTGATGGCAGTTGTTCCTATCTCATCGGAATATGCCTTCGACCTTTCTCCTACTTAGAAAACTACTCAGTGCTCTCCACTGGGCTAGAAACCACGGATGTTATAAAAGAAATATAAGCCTGAGTTCATGACTTCTACATGCTCCATCTAACTAGGAGAGCAAAAATCCACACAGCATTTAGCAAGCAGCTTTTATGTGCAAGGCACTGTACCCACATGCATTTTATCCAAACCCTTTAAGAAGATGTTATTAGTCCCACTTCACAGACAAAGAAACTGAAGCCCAAAGAGTTTGTCACTTTCCAAGCTCACACAGCTAGTCAGGGTGGAGCCTGAAGATGCTGCCTCCTTTTGAAACTGTACTACGACTGTCTATTTTGTCTCTTCCTCTTCTACATTCTAAGCTCCTGGGGGTGGGAGCTGGGTCTGTTCATCGCAGTGCCTGGCAGAGGCCCCTCAGAAGACAGCGACCACTGAGATAGCTCATTCCGTGCCCCCAGCTCCTCCCTGTCTCTCCCAACTAACCTCTCCTCCTAGCCACATCCCAGGACTTTTGCCTTCCCGATCTCCCTGCCCGCAATTCAGGGGCCTCTTCTTGGCTGCCAGGTTGTTGAGGCAAGTGAAGGCTTGACCTGGGCCTGGGGCTCCTGGCTAAGCTCCTGATTTTGTCTCCCCAGACAGAGAGGGAGGTCCCTGGCATTCAGGACACTGGGTCCTTACCTGCCAACAGGGCTAAGAGGTACTCAGCCCGCCAAGAGGCCGCGGTGCTCACAGCTGCCAGTGGAGACACAGCCCAGGAGGCCTGGTCAGTGGTTGCCTGGAGATTGAGAAATGTGTTGGCTCCAGCCTGGCTCCCTCATCTGAGAAATCAGGGGAACCTGACCCAACAGCCCAGTGTGTTTCCACAGTGTCTGGGGCAGCCGGCAAATCAGGCCTGCCTGACGGAGCTCGGGCCCAGGGAAAAGCAGCCTGTTCCTTCACTCTCCCCATGTTCACGGACTGCTGCCAGGGGAAGCATTTTGAGTGTTTGCTCAGGCTGGGACTGATGCGCAGGCCTCCTATCTCTGCAGGGTCTAGCCACCGGGTGTCATGGAGAAATGGGGCATGTCTGGCTTCGGCCTTTGCTCCATAAAGTGCACTGGGAGGACCCCTGTTCAGAAGGTAGGCCTAGTTTGGATTCCAAGCTCTACTACTTACCAGCTGTGTGGCCTCTTGGACAAGTCACTTAACTTCTCTGAGCTGCTTCTTTATCTGACAAATGGGGATCATAACAGCAAACTTAATAGAACTGGCATAGGATGGACTTATGAAATAATAAATTTAAACAGCCTAGCACACAGGAAATACTTCATAAAGGTATGTTCCTTCCTTCTGTCACACTGTGCCAAGGCTTCCAAACTTTTTCTTGCCCCTCTCACCTGTGTCCACAACATGCAGAGAGGCCAGAGCTCTGGCTTTGACACTGACCACCGTGGAGCAGGTTTGCTGCATAGGTTTCCCTGCACTGGGCCTGGGCCTTGGTTGCCACCACACTGCTCTCATACCCCCATTGTCCTCAGCACACACATGTGAGGGAGGTGGCATTGAGTAAATGTGTAGGTTATCATCAAGGAACAGCCCATCCTAAATGACAAGAACTTACCAACACAAAGAAGGAAACAACAGACCCTGGGGTCTACTTGAAGGTGGAGGGTGGGAGGAGGGAGGGGAATAGAAAAGATAACTACTGGGTATTGGGCTTAATTCCTGGGTGATGAAATAATCTGTACAACAAACCCCCATGACATGAGTTTACCTGTGTAATAAACCTTCACATGTACCTCCAAACCTAAAAGTTTTTTTTAATTGTGTAAAAAGAAAAGGAACAACCCCTCACAAATATATGTATTAACTGACTTCATTTATTCGTCCATCCATTCATTCGTTCCTTCAAAAAAACATTTACTCAACTGCTACTCTTGGAAGGGACACATATTCTGGACCCCAGGGATATAGAGGTGAGCAAATACAGCCCCTGTCCAGTGTCTAGGAAGTGGGGGAAATGGACAAGGGAAGAGGCAATTAAACATTTCACAGGTTAGGTACATTGGTAGAAGAGAAGGACAGAATTCTGGGGCACTGCAGAGATGAGGCTCCTAACTCAGCCTAGGAAAACAAGATAGGCTTCCCAGAATAAGTGATGCCAGACTGTTGGAGGATAATTAGGAACTATCTAGGCAGAAAATAAAGGGGAAAATGTTGTAGAAGAGATAGTATAGCTTGCAAAGACCTATTGGTTTCAAGAACATGCCCATGTATTTGTTAGAGTACGTTAACTGCTGTAATAAGTGTCTACAAAATTTCAGTGACTTCAAACAATAAAAGTGTGTTTCTTGCTCATGAAGTGGTCCTGCGCTGGTGTTCCTGATTTCATTGTGTGACTCTGCCATCGTTTGGCTCCTTAGAATCTATCACTTCTAGCCATGTCCCCAGGAGGAAACGGAAATTGCTTTTGGTGAATATATAGCAGTATCGCAGGAAGTGATATAAGATGTGGTTGTACTGGTAGGCAAGACCAGAGTGTACAGGCGATATATGCCAAGCTAGGGAGTTTGAATTTTATCCTGAAAGTAGTGCAGAATCATCAGAATTTTTTTAACACAGCAATGCATAATCAGATTTGCTTTTTAGACCAATTACTCCAGCTGCAGTGTGGACGACAGATTATGAAAAGAGAGGCTAGAAGCAGTAGCACCAGTCAGAATGGTATTATGGTAATGTAGGCTGTCTTAGTCAGTCTAGTGTTACTATGAGAGAATACCTGAGGATTGGTAATTTACAAAGAAAAGAGGTTTATTTGGCTTATGATTCTGATGGCTGGAAAGTCCAAGATTGGGCAGCTGCATCTGGTAAGGGTTTCATACTGCTTCCACTCATGGCAGAACGTGGAAGGGAGGCAGATGTGTTCAAAGAGATCACATAGCAAGAGAGGAGGGAATAGACAGTCTAGAAAGAAAAACTTGTATTTATAACAACCTGCCCTCTGGTAACTAACCCAGTCCCATGAGAGCGAGAACTCACCTACTTCTTTTGGGAGGGCATTAATTTATTCATGAGGATAAACTCTCGTGACCCAAACACCTCCCACTAGACCCTATCTCCCAACACTATTGCATTGGCAATTAAACTTCAGCATGAGTTTTGGTGGGGACAAACCACATCCAAACCATAGCACAGGCCATCTTACCTTAAGGATAGGTGAGCAGAGGGTATTGGAAGGAAGAGGGGGGTGTTAAAAGTCCTAAAAGGTAATCTGAGTCATCAATTGGAATTTGTATTGCAGTGAAGCTAGAATAGCTTTTAGGTCCATGTCTAGTTCAATGGCTAAGTGACCATTATGCTCATGAAATGACAACGAACTTATCTGAGAGCTGTTTTCACAAGCCTGAATCTCACCTATTAGAGGACTGGTCAATAGATTTGGTCAGTACATTTTGTTAGCTTTTGGAGAAATCATAGATATGTCTGTTGTTGTCTTAACATCTGTGTCTTTTATTCTGTTCCCCACTCTGTTCTCCATATATGTTTCTTATGCCTTTGTTTCCCCCTAGAGAAGCAATGACTTGCCCCTGAATATCAGTGGGTAGAGAGAGATTTCCTTATCCCTACAAAGCGGCTCTTGGTCTGTAGCTGACTATACTCAAACCACCTTCTGGAAGGCCCTGCCTGTAACTTAAGGGCTCATCACTCTGGAAGGGACCCAGGAGACTGCAGACTTACTTTATACCAGGAGAGAGAAGGATTCAAGTCTGTGCATGCAATTCTCTTGGAATTAAGGAGATGAGTTCTGCAGTATTTTTTTTTTTTTTTTTTTGAGACGGAGTCTCGCTCTGTCGCCCAGGCTGGAGTGCAATGGCGTGATCTCGGCTCACTGCAAGCTCCGCCTCCCGGGTTCACGCCATTCTCCTGCCTCAGCCTCCCGAGTAACTGGGACTACAGGAGTATTTTTGTATTTTTAGTAGAGACGGGGTTTCACCATGTTACCCAGGATGGTCTTGATCTCCTGACCTTGTGATCCACCCGCCTCGGCCTCCCACAGTGCTGGGATTATAGGCGTGAGCCACCGCACCCGGCCGAGTTCTGCAGTCTTTAAGTCTTCCTTCACTTACTGTGAAGGATGCTAAAACTTCAGACTCACACCTTTCAGGTTGATATACAAGACCTGGTCAGTCCAGAATCCAGCTGGTGTAGAGCCACACCTCATGAAATGTGATAATGAGTTTCCTCTTAAAAGAAAGGAGCTTCAGTGCTGAAAATTAAAAATATTCAAATGGGCCAGATGTGATTCCAGCGTAGCTCAGCAGTTCTAACTTAAGCCTTCTATAAAGCAACCAGTAAAATACCTCTGGGCCGTCTTTTTATGCTTCATCCAAGAAAACAAGTTTTCCATGGTCTTGGGAAGCCTCACTACTTCCCATGTGCAAAACATAAGCTTGCCACAGCCTGGGTTCTTGGGATTGTCCCTATCCCAACAGAAAGCTTCAAAGTACCTTCCTGGAAAACGTAGGTAGTGGCTACCTGGCTGGTTTCTGTGACTAATACCTGGCCCATTGAGTTGAGATTTGGCCTCCTGGCCACATGGAGGACCACAAACTTCTGCCTGGTCAGGCCTCTGTTCTCTGTATTCCCTTCCCTAGCTGCTGATCTTGCCTCCACCTTCAATCTTTGTGCACCTCCCTTCAGCCCCCATTTACCTCTGAGCTCATGAATCCCTGACATATTTCTTCCACTCAACCCATCTTGCCAATGTTGACACACACAAGGTGGTTTGGGATCTGCATCAGTCCATTCTTGCATTGCTATAAAGAAATAACTGAGGCTGGCTAATTTATAAAGAAAAGAAGTTTAATTGGCTTGCCGTTCTGCAGGCTGTACAGGAAGTGTAGCCCCGGCATCTGCTTCTGGGGAGGCCTCAGGAAGCTTTTACTCATGCAGAAGGCAAAGGGAGAGCAGGCATCTCATGTGGCAAGAATTGGAGCAAGGGGGTGGAGGATGTCACACACTTAAACGACCAGATCTCATGTGAACTCATTTATCACTGAGGTGATGGCCTAAGCCATTCATGAGGGATCTGCCTCCATGAGGCAAACACCTCCCACTGGGCCCCACCCCCAACACTGGGGATTACTTTCCAACATGAGATTGGGTAAGGACAGTATCCAAACTATATCAGGATTCTTCATAGCGAGTGGGCATTTTGTTCTCTTTATTTCCAGGTATCTTCTTAGGGTAGGCCAGTGAGTTGGCTTTTATTTCAGATACAGATTTCTGATCAATTATTGAGTACTTACTATGTGCTAAATATTCTACATATGTTATCTAAAATACTCAGGGTAACCTTAGGAGGTATATATTGATACGTCACTTGTAATGGACACAAAATTGTCTGCCTTGAACCCTCATTTGTAGAAACTTCTTACACAAATCTTTATGGTTTCAGCAGGAGCTACTAGATTTCTACATGATCCTACTTCCTGGGCCCACACGATTGATCCAGGAGTGAGCACCCGATAAAGACTGGGCCAATCATTCCCTTTGATACTGGGAAGTTTGCTACTGGGCATAAAAGAAGAAAATGAGTTTCACTCTCTGTGTCTGAACAGTAGTAAGTAAAACCCAGGGACCTTTATAACCATGCTTCCCACCACATGCACTACAAAAGCAACCTTTGTGCTTGAGAAAGCAGAACTTTCTGGAAGCAATAATGTGAAGGAGTAAGACATATGTGGTGGATTAAGACAGACCTGAGTTGCAAGCCTCATTTTGCCAGTTACTAACCATGTGATTTGGACTGACAATACTAACACTATCTAACAGTTGTTGAATTTTTATGATGTGCCAGGTACTGTTCCAAAGCTTTATATGCAAGGTCTTATATGCATTAACTCATTTTATTATCACAATGACAGCATAAAGTATTTTCTATTATCATCTTCATTATTTTACCCTTGAAGAAACTAAGGTCCTGCAAAGTTAGAAATGAGCCGAAATATACACAGGTGGTTGGGTGCATCTCTTGAGCTTTAATTTCTCTCAAGAAGCAGAGAGAATACACTTTGGGAGCCTGAGGCAGGCAGATCACGAGGTCAGGAGTTCGAGACCAGCCTGACCAACACGGTGAAACCCCGTGTCTACTAAAAATACAAAAGTTAGCCAGGCGTGGTGGCGCACACCTGTAATCCCAGCTACTCAGGAGGCTGAGGCAGGAGACTCGCTTGAACCTGGGAGGCAGAGGTTGCGGTGAGCTGAGATCGTGCCACTGCACTCCAGCTTGGGTGACAGAGCAAGACTCTGTTTCAAATAAATAATAATAAAAATAATAAAGAAATAGAATATTGGCTCTTGTGCAGAATAGAATTGACATAGCAGGCTTAAGACTGCTATCCTTAGAAAGTCCTGCTCACAAGATTGGCCCTTGACTAGCATCTAAGAACTAGGGTTTCTGGAGGGTTCTCATCATTCCCCAACAAAGATGGTTCACTATGCCTAAAATGTTTGCTCAAAGAATCTGGCTTATATTTGAGGACCCCCGACATAGTCCACTTCAGGTTTGTTGTTTGACATAGAAGATGAAACAGATTCACTACTTTGAGGAGGGTTTGGTAACCAGGCATGCTTATGAAATGGTTAGACCCTCTATGACTGCCCCTGTGTGGAAGGCACAGCCTGCATAGCCCCATGTGGGGGCCCCTGGAGCCCCCTCCACCACCATCACCATAACTATTTTTAAGTTCCCAATAGTTATACTTTAGATCTAGCACTGTATATAGAATGGCAAAATATTTTGAGATATTTTAGCAACAAAGGATGTATTTATTTCAAGAGGTTTTCCAGTTTTTAATAAGGTTGTGTGTGGGGAGGACACTTTCCATAGCTGTATTTTTAGGTTGATTCTCTGTGAAACCAACCACATAGGCCCACTGATGTGGAGGTAGAAAAAACAACCCCATTGCCGATAGGGCTGTGAGTGGTCATCTACTTTCTTCAACAGAAGGGGAAACAGAGGATCAGAGAAAAGCAACGTCCTGAGTGTCTCACTCACAGGCACCCCCTACAGAGTGAGGGATGGGGCCAGGGCTTGTGTGGAGCGTTCTCCCACCGCTACATGCTGCCTGGCCTTGTGATCAGGGAGATGGAGTGGGAAGTGGAGAAAATGTGGGGATACCCCCCTAGAAACTGGTAGCAGGGTGTAAACATTCAGTTCTATCTAAGGCCTGGTTGGCAGCCAAGGGGATGGCTCATTCAAATTCAGCATGGGTGAAGGGAAGATGGGAAGGAGACTAACCCGGCTTCTGCTCACTTGTTAAAGTCAGTTTGTGTATGTAAGTGAAGCAAGCTCTGTGACTACCAGTGAAGAACGAAGAAACCTACTAAGCAGATAATTGAATTCAAAAACAGCCATTTGGGCTTTAAAACATCTATATGTTTCAGGGCAAAGTGGGGCTCGAGGCTTAAGTTACCCAAATAACAAATTCCATTTCCTAACTTACCTGGAATGGCATTTTCCAAGCAGAGCTATTAATAATAGATATTCTGGGAAGAAAGGTTGTTTTGGCCAACAGATTTGGACGATATACTGGTCAACCAAGTTGATGGGTATCTTTACTGCAGGACTTCTCAGAGCCTGCTCATGTGTATCGTGAAACTCTGAGAGAAGATTTTACTGTGGTATGATATTTTAAATATATGTATGCACACAAATACATATAATATATAAAAATACATATAATATATACTACATATACATAAATACACATATGTAAATACATTATAATATATACTACTATATCTTATAGTATACAGGATTTTCCAGATTTACTCACTTGAAGATCTTTTTTTCCCCTTCCATATCTCAGGGGACCATTATTTCAGGGCTGACATTGGGAAAAACAGTTCTGTATGGTGTTACCCATCTTCTATGCCTGAGAGAACATTTTAGGAAAAGAGATGTGGTTCTAGGAGGAGAAGGATAAGGATAAAAGGATGGAGGTTAGCCAGTCCAGTGTTCTGGGCAGGTGGCTGGACTGTGAGCTAAGAGATGCAAATGTTTGTCTCAGGAGAGATGATAGCTGACTTCTTATCCTCTGGAGATTCTCCAAACCTGGACATGCTAAAATCTAAGACTTACAACAGGTATCACACTTGTGAAGGGACATTGTGGCACTGATGTCAAGCTAGGGATGGCCTGAGCAACTGCAGACACCAGGGATGTTTAACCTGGGGACCCAGGACACCATTAGCGCTATACTTCCCCAAAGTCCCCACCTAGGGAAAGGAGCTGGTTTTCCTCCTAACCTCTAGGGAGGAACACAACCAGGATCAGAGCATCAGTGTTTTGGAGAGGCAGAGTTCAGCACCACCCAAAAGAAAGCTTTCCAGAGACTGTTGCTGTCCATCGCACTCTGGGCAGACAGGCCCCTGTGGTAGCTGGCTCACCATCCCATGCCCACCTGGGAGGGGCAGAGGTAAGTTTAAACCCTGGATGAGGTATGATTTCAAAGACCTTTCCCAGCCCTAGGAATTTTGACTCTACATAGTTTGACTTTGTAATAATATTGACCAATGACAGCATTTTCTAATTCCCTTACCCTCTATATTCAATCTAGCAACAAGGCCATCATGTCTGCCTACGAAATAAGTCTTCAACCTATCCATATCCCTCCCCCTCCACTGCTACTCCCTTAGTCCAAGTGGCCATTACTTTATGCCTGGAATACTGCAGGAGACTCTTAGCTGGTCTTGCTGCCTCTATTCTTGCTATCTTTTAACCCATCCTCCTCAGCAGCCAATGAGTTGAAACCCTTGGAAGAAGGGCAAATTCCTCACTGTGACCTGCCAGGCCCCCCTGAACTGATCTGAGTCTGACTGTACAATCTCCTCTCTTTCCACTTCCATTTTTGCTTACTACACCATGGCTATGCAGACCCCCACAAACACAGTGAGCGCTCACCTTCCGGCGTTTGCACTGGCTGCTCCTTCTCTTTGAAACACAGTTCCCGCTGCTCTTCCTATGGTGACTCTTTCTCATCCTTCAGGCTTTGGCTCAAATGCCCCTGGCCCCGCCCAGGAAGCTTCTGTGCTTACCCTGTCCACATCAACACAGCCTCTATTGCTATGGCTTCTACCCACTCTCTTTCACAGCCCTTTGTCTATTTCCTTTCTGGCACTTATAACAATCTGAAATATAATTTTTATTTATTTATACTTTGATCCATCTCTGCCATCCCTCCCATTTCTACCTAAAATTCAAGCTTCCTAAGGGCAGAGACTTTATTTTGTTCACACTATATTCCTAATACCTAGAATAGTGATTGGCATATAGCAGGTACTGAATAGATATTGGTTGAATTAATTAATTAATGACGGGCTGCTCTGTTTGTTGCCGAGATGGAAAGTTGAAAGCCTTAGATGAAGACTCCTCTCTGGGGGATCCCACTGGACATCCCTATGCCGTATCTCTACTTTCCCACAGTGGCACTGTACCCATAATGATGACTTCCCCATCTGCACATACTCTTCAAGTCCCAGCCAGCCCCACCCAGGCACAAGCCAGGGAGGAGGCCATTGTTCAATAAGCTCCAGGGTGCTTCATCAGACCTGCACCAGAAGACAAAGCCATTTCCTAAGTGTGAGAATTGCTCAGTACAGTGTTAGGAAATCTTCCTCCCTGGAGAGCTTTTTAAATAGACTCTCATTTTTCTGGGGTTATTTTGAGCAAACTTCCATCTGGAGATGGAGAATGAGACAAACCAGGAACTTAGATGACCTCAGGAGTTCCTCCCTGATCCTGGCTGAAGGATTCTTGTCAGACCTGCAGTTCCACTGCTGGATTCTCTCTGTCTCCTAAATCATCCGCTTTGACTTCTTCCTCTCCACCTGGGCTCTCTGGATGTGCCAAGGCGCTGTACATGGAGTCAACAGCTTTGATTAAGCAGCTTTGATCTCTGTTGAGCATCTCGGAATAAGATCTTTGCTCTCAGCATCTGTGCCAATTCTCGAAATAGTTTAGCTCAGCCAAGCAGGAGGGGGGCTGGATTGCAAAGTGTATTATATGAGAAATTTAAAAAGAAAAGGCAGCTGCAAACAGTCAGGGGTGTGTGTGTGTGTTAATGTGGGCACCCATGGCTCCTGGGAAATGATTACCATGCTATCAGCATGCACCAACCCTGTATTCACAGTGGCTGCCTGCTGCGAGAAAGTGGGCAGCTTGCAGCAGTCAAACCCTTGCATCAGGTGGTAGTTCTGTTGGAGAAACAAAAACATCAAAGACCTTTGCTTCTATTGACTTGGCTTTTGCTTATTTTCACTAAGGTATTCTGAGATGTGTGCCAGCGTGTGTTCTGCATAGCTGCCATCTGGTGTGGGGTTGGGTGTATGCATACAGGGGGAATCACTATGGTTTTGAGGTGTTGATCCTATACACAATTATATATATACATGCCACAGGATGGATGTATTTGCTCTTCTTTTTTAAAATTTTTTTATTATACTTTAAGTTTTAGGGTACATGTGCACAACGTGCACGTTTGTTACATATGTATACATGTGCCATGTTGGTGTGCTGCACCCATTACTCGTCATTTAACATTAGACATATCTCCTAATGCTATCCCTCCCCCCTCCCCCCACCCCACGACAGGCCCCAGTGTGTGATGTTCCCCTTCCTGTGTCCATGTGTTCTCATTGTTCAATTCCCACCTATGAGTGAGAACATGCGGTGTTTGGTTTTTCGTCCTTGCGATAGTTTGCTGAGAATGATAGTTTCCAGCTTCATCCGTGTCCCCACAAAGGACATGAACTCATCCTTTTTTATGGCTGCATAGTATTCCATGGTGTATATGTGCCACATTTTCTTAATCCAGTCTATCATTGTTGGACATTAGGGTTGGTTCCAAGTCTTTGTAATTGTGAATAGTGCCACAATAAACATACGTGTGCATGTGTCTTTATAGCAGCACGTTTTATAATCCTTTGGATATATACCCAGTAATGGGATGGCTGGGTCAAGTGGTATTTCTAGTTCTAGATCCATGAGGAATCGCCACACTGACTTCCACAATGGTTGAACTAGTTTACAGTCCCACCAACAGTGTAAAAGTGTTCCTATTTCTCCACATCCTCTCCAGCACCTGTTGTTTCCTGACTTTTTAATGATCACCATTCTAACTGGTGTGAGATGGTATCTCATTGTGGTTTTGATTTGCATTTCTCTGGATGTATTTGCTCTTCTAAATATGTGTGTTATATTTGAGCACGTACATACCAGGAACCTGGCATTTAATCATCTCCATGTAGATAAATGCATAAGTATCTTGGGTTAGTAAGTAGGTACCCCTGTGCGTATGTGTCTGTGTATGTGATACCTCTGTGTGCGTGTGTGCATGTGCACACACACACACACAGCAGCCTTTCTGTGAGTTTTGTTGCCCTGGAGGGGGATGGGGTATGTACACAGCAGAAGCATGTATGGTTATATTTGCATGGAGGTGAATTCCAGAAAGAGATGCTGGGGAAAAGGTGTTTCATATCAGGACATTTTGAACTGTAAGTCATTATTTTCTCCACTTTGATGCCCAACCCCTGGGAAACTTGTCCTTGTGTATAGCCCCTCTGGATGTACAAGTAAAAGAAAAATGTCTCTATTTGGGACCATTTGTTCCTCCAGAGGAAGCATTTTTTTGGTATTGGCTGTTGCTGCGAGAAGCCTTTGTTCCTATGGTGGCCCCAGGCCGGTGGATATGAATTAATGCATCTCATATAACCCTCTGTGGTAGAGGCCTTTTGACTGAAGCTAAAGGAAGTGGGAGCCAGGAAGGCGGACTGTGGTCTAATATTGCTTGTGATCCAACCATTCCTGTGGGTTCCTTTGCTTTGAGGATCCCTCAGCCGTGGATCACAGGGCAGCTGCAGAAGACCAGGCTCTTGCTGAGACTGGGAGAGTAAAGCCCTGGAAAGAAGTAGTGGATTTTCTGGGGCCACTACAGGGCCTGAGACTGCAGGAAGAGATTCAGAACTGGTTGGGGTGTGGACCTCCGCTTGTTGGGCCTCAAGTAAAGGGGAAAGTAGGCAGCAGAGATGAGATCTGAAAATCAGGATAGATGGGCCAGCAGGCCAGGGCAGAAAAACCAGAGCACAAAGGTATGGACCAGTTTATGGCATTATCTGTAGCCCAGGTTGGGCTTTGACTGAATGTTGCATCTGGTATTTTACACCAGTTGCTTGGTTGTGGTTGCCTGGAGCATTGTATTGAAAATAATTCATAGGCCAATGAATTCTTATGGGAAAAGAAGGTGGACGTATTAGTTTTCTTTTTGCTGCTATAACAAATTATGAAAATTTTGTGGCTTAAAACAACGCAAGCCTATTCTCTTACAATTCTGGAGGTTGGAAGTCCAGTACGGGTTTCACCAGGCCGAAATCAAGGTGTCGAAAGGTCTGCATTCCTTCTGGAGGCTCTAAAGAGGAATTCATTTATTTGCCCTTTACAGATTCTAGAGGCTGGTCCTATTCCTCAGCTTGTGGCCCCTTCCTCCATCTTCGAGGCCAGCAAAGGCCAGTTTGAGCCTCCCTCATGCTGCATCACTCTGACACAGACTCTCCTGCCTCCTGCTTTCACTTCTAAGGACCACTGGGATTACACTGGGTGCACCTGGATAATCCAGGAGATTCTCCCTATCTCAGTATCCTTAAATTATTCACATGTGCAAAGTCCTTTTTACCATGTCAGATAACATTTTCACAGATTTATGGGATTCAGACGTGAACATCTTTGGGGGCCATAATTCCACCTACCACCATAGGGATAAATTAGTAATGTCTGCCCAGGACCTGGTATAGGTTTGGGGTGATAAGGATGCCAGATATTCACCATCCCTAGTCTGGCAACTAACAACATGTAGAGTTAGGAAAGGGATATCAACACGCTGAAAAGGGATGAGAAGAAATGGAAACTAAAACTTACTGAGCTTTTACTATAGGCCAGGCACTTGCTATATGATTCAAAAGCATGTCTCATTTATTAGGTTGGTGCAAAAGCAATTGCGTTTTTTGCCATTACTTTTAATGGTAATGGCAAAAACCATTACTGCAATTGCTTTTGCTCCAACCTAATAATTATCACCACAACGCTGGTTGGATGAGGTGGAAACTAGTATTTTACAGCTGAGTAAAACTGAAGCCCAGAGAGGTTAAGTGACTCTTCCAAAGTCACCCAGTGGTAAATGACAAAGCAGAAATTCAAAACCAAGTCTAACTCCAAAACTACACCATTGCTGCGGCCAAGAACCTGGGTAGCTTCTCTCATGCAATGTGATGTCATTAAAGGTAACATTGGCTGCCACGGGCAGTGATACCTCATTGGCTTGATGAAAATGCCTGGCACTGAGCTTTTCTTAGAACCTGCACCCACCTTGCAGATTATCCCCTGGCTTTGCAAATGGGGTTGAATGAGAGGCCAGGGCTGGGGGCTTCAGCCCCATCAGCAGAAATGCTAATGGCCTCTTGAGCAAATGCCAGAAAACCAGAAAATGCACACCCAGCATCTCTGATTATGACTTTATACCAACATGCTTCGTGTTCTAATTGCTCCTCCTTACCAACCTTGAGGGGCTGCAGAATGGAGCTCACTGAGAAAAAGAAAATGGAGGTGTGGGATGGGAGCTCTATTTCATTTAATACAAATATTCTTAACTGCACATCAGGCCTGTTTGAAATGGGGCAGAGAAAGTTTGGCAGGCAGGCTTCCTCATTCTTTTTGTCTTTTGTATAGGCAAGCTCTGGGCAGCCACACATGGCTCATGACCACATCTGAGCTGAGGGCGTGTGGTGATGTTTACCAGGTGCTGAAAACTACTGGAAGTCAGAGGGCAGGAGGAAGAATGGGTTCAGAAGAGTTACAGTACAGGATCTGGGGAGCTTCCCAGGGTGTGGGGATGTTGGGGTATATTTGAGGGTGAGGGTGCTGGCCAGAGGCAGGTAATCATACAACAATTTTCAAATAGCATCTATACTCCAGGCACTGAGCTAGATGCTTTAAATATAAAACCTTTCACCTTATCAACAACATTGTGAGGTAGGCATTATAGATCTCTCCAATTTATAGATATAGAACATGAGGCTCAGAGAAGTTAAGTAACTTGCACAAAATCACACAGCTTGAATGTGGCAGAGCCTAGACTTGAACTCAGATATGACTTATACTACAACCCATCTCTCTTCAGGCACTACAGGAGGACAGCCCCCTCCCATACTCCCTCTCCTAGGCCTCCAGATTTTCTGAAAGCTCTGCCACAGGCAGGTGGCAGGAGTATCAGAAAATGCCAGCTGTTCCTGCCACAAGCAGAGGTGGAGTAAGAGACGACACTTTTTCTCAGGGTCTCTGGCTTGAGCTGCTAGAACTTGCAATCCTGGTGCCTGTGGTCAAGATTGTCCAGATAGATTTCCCTTGGCGAGCTGCCCTCAGCACTTAGAAAACCACAGGCCTGAGAGGATGTGGCTGAGCGCACATGTGCCTACATACTTTGTCCACTGTTGCAGATCTCCCAGGCTGATGGGTTTCCAGAAGTCATAAAGATGCTGGCTCTGTTCATCAGTTGATGCCACCATGGAAGACTGTGGAGTAGTCCTCAGATCATACCTAGGGTTAAAGCTGCTCTTTGCTTCCCAAAATGTCCCGGCTTTTCTGATCCTCCCAAGCCTGGAAATTCATAAGTCCACTTGCAACACAAAATGAGCATCTGCTGGATGGTCAGTATCTGCCCACCTCCCTCCAGCACCAACATCATCCCTCATCCTCATTATAACTCTGTGAAGCAGATGCATGACCCCCTTCTAGAGATGAGGAAACCGAGGCTTGGGAAGGCTCCAGGACATGTCAAGCTTCTGCAGCAAGCAGATGGGAGTAGCAGCACTTGCATCTGGATCTTCCAGCTCTTGAACCTGGACTTGGACACCCATACCTTGCTGTGTCTGTAGCCAGTCACCTTTAGGTTGTGAGCCCTGGCCAAGGATGGATGTGGAGTAGAGGGAGAAAGTCAAGGCTTCTGACCCACACTTTTGTTTGGTGGAAGCAGGAGAGAATAGGTGGGCTCTGGGCAAGAGGGCAGAGGTTCTGGCTCTTTCTCCTAACTGTGTCTGCTTCAGAGGTTTAAAAGTTAGCGGTCATTGAGCTCCTATTGTATGCCAGGTATAATGTTAGAACTTTTACATTAATCCTCCCAACTGTTGTGAGTCAGACAACATTAGTCTTATTTTACAAAAAAATGACAACACTGAGGCTTAGACATTGTAGTAGCTTCCCTACATTGATGTGGGACAGGCTTCTCTGTAGGGGAGGGTGGCTTGATATGCTGTGGTATGCTGGAGTCAGCTTATACTCGCACAAGAGCCAGCTGTTAATTTTTCAGGAATTTTGTGAGCTACTTGTGAAAAGCAGTTATTATTAAAAATTAAATTTTATAATCTAACAATTAAAACAGTATATTAAAAACGAAGGTAATAAATACTCAAAACTCATCATTTCTTTCCTACTGTCTATGCTCTTGAAGTTATTTTAGGTCTATTGTTTCTAGATGGTGGAAACACTATATAAAATACTATGTAATGATTTACTATACACATCTCTTCCCCTGCCACATTCAGTGGTGCCATGGCAGTAACTTGACATCAGCCATGATGGGAATATTTACACCACAGCAATTGCAAACATGCCAAATGAGAGTTGGTTTTATTTTTCCTAGAGAGCCAGCTGGTAAACATTTTCCCGCACATCACTGCCTGATAGGCCTCAAGCATATCATGTTTCAGAATGGGGCCCAGTAGCTAAGAGGAAGTGCCCAAGGGTCATGAGTCTCAGAAGCCCAGTCCACACTGGGATGGCTCTTATGTTTGTTGGGTGCTGGCCTTGGTTCCACCGTTGCTGCTGATCTGCCAAGTGAAAACAGCCCTGGAGAGTGGTTGGTGATGGGGCCCCCTGAGAGATCACAGGCGTGGACTTTTTCTACTCTGCTATGGTTAGCCTTCAGGATAACAAGGTAATGTCAAACATATATCTGTCCTTTGAAAATTATACCCTGGCAGTAACACAATTAAATACTTGTACAGTTATTATTAGCTAGGTGTAGAGGAATCAGATAATACAGATAAGCCAAAAAGAAATAAAAATTGTCCAAATTTCTGCCACCTAGAAACAATTAATGTTAATATTTTGATGTATTTCCTACCTGATATCTTACTATGCTAATTATGGACATTTTTAGTAGATTTTATTACACTTGATGTTTTGTAATTGGGTTTTCTTCACTCAACATTATAAGCATCTTTCTGTGTTATTTTTTATCCATAGAAATTTGTTTTCGTGGCTCTATAGTATTCTATCATGTGTACTTACAGCTCCAGTTTTGGGGCATTTAGGCTAATCGTAGTGTTTCTATAGCATAAACTGTGCTATGAGGAACATTCATATCACTAAATCCTTGTGATTCTCCTCAGGATAAATTCTCTAGAGTAAGACTGCTATGTCAAGGGATATAGAACAGTGCAATATTTGCATCTGGTTAGTGGGCTAACATTCCCACCATTCCACCACTTAATTTGAGCTACAAGAGCTCTAGGGGACTTTCATAATAAGATTATTACTCCTGTGTTTCAAATGACCTCGAGAGAATATATTATAAAGAACACTGTCCTGGTCCACTCAGCCTTCTGTCACAGAATACCTAGACTGAATGGCATATAAACAACAAACATTTGTTTCTCACAGTTCTGGAGGCTGGAAGGTCAAGATCAAGATGTGGCAGATTTGGTGTTTTGTGAAAGCCTGCTTCCTGGTTCACAGATGGCTGTCTTGTCATTGTATTCTCACAGCGAGAGTGGAGGGGTCTCTCTGGGGCCTCTTTTATAAGTGCACTGATCCCACTCACAAGGGCTCTGCCTTCATGACCTAATCACCTCCCAAAGACCCCAGCTCCAGATCCCATAACATTAGAGATTAGTTTTCAACATATGAATTTGGGGGAATATAATATTCAGTCTATCATAAACACATAACCAAATAATAAGAAAACAATCAATGCAATTAAAAATTGAACAGAATATTTGAACAGGCACAAAAGACATATGAATGGTAAATAAGCACATGAAAAGACCCTCAGTATCATTGATAGCCAGGGAAACGCAAAGAAAACGATAGTGAGATACTTCCACACTCCCATTTGAATGCCAAAACACAAAAGTGTGACAAATAGCAAGTATTGGCAACGACATGAAGCAACTGAAACTTTTTCTGTCGCTGGCAGGAATGTAAAGTGATTCCACCACTTTGGAAAATGGCAGTTCTTATACAGTTAAGCATATACTTACCATATGTTATGGGTTGACTTGTCTTCCCCAAAAAAGATATATTGAAGTCCTAACCTCTGGCACCTGTGAATGTGACCTTATTTGGATACAAGGTCTTTTCAGATATAATCAAGTTAAGATGAGATCATGAAGTTGGGCCGTAATCCAATATGACTGGCACCCTTATAAGAGAAAAATTTGGAGACAGACAGCTGCAGAGGAGAATGCCATGTGAAGACATAGACACAGAGGGAAGGTGGCCCTGTGGAGACAGAGGCAGGTATGGGAGTTAGGCTGCCACAAGCCAAGGGCTGGAACTAGGGCTGTCAGAAGCTGGAAGAGACAAGGAAGAAACCTCCCTAAGAGGCTTCAGAGAGAGCGTGGCCCTGCTAACACCTTGATTTTGGACTTATAGCCCCTAGAACTGTAAGACAATAAATTCCTGTTGTTTTAAGCCTCCTGGTTGTGGTACTTTGTTATGGCAGCCCAAGAAAACTAAAACACCACCCACTGTATGACCCAGAACTTCCATGCCTGGGTATTTAACCCAGAGAAATGAAAGCATAGGGCTACACAAAAAACTTGTTTATGTAGGATCATAGCAGCTTTATTCACAGTAGCCCCAAACTGGAAACAAGCCAAATATCCAACGACAAGTAAATGGATATGCAAATTGTGGTGTATTCACACAGTGGAATACTACCCGGCAATTAAAAGGAATGAACTTCTGACACGTGCACAACATGAATGAATCTCAAAAACATGCTGAGAGATAGAGGCCAAACAAAAAAGACTATATACAGAATAATTCCATCTGTATGAAATTCCATAAAAGGCAAACTTAATCTTTAATGACGGAAAACAGAAAGTAGAGCTTTTGGGGTGATAGAAATGTATATATCTGAGTGCGCTGGTGGTTACAGAAGTATCTCATTTATAAAAACTCATTGAATTGAACACATAAAATGAGTGTTTTATTCTATGTAAACTATTTCTTAATTAAGTTAGCCTAAACATGGAGAGCTATTTGCCTGCCCTTAGTCACACAGCTCTGATGGCCAAGCCAGAACCTGAATCCCATCATCTGAGTCTCCGTTCAAGGTAGCTCTTGGGAGAAGAAAAAAAACACCCCACTAGGTCTGTAAAAAGCCATTAGGTTTGTAGAGACCCTCTTGACACACTTCAAGAGCCTTTTCCTGGAAAGCATTCTTCACAGCTAATCTCCAGGGAGAACGTCTTTTCTCAAGGGTTCTATAAGAGCAGAGAGATTAAATAAGAGCCTAACTCAAGCATTTTCAACCTGCTAGGCCCCAAGGTGGAGAAGAGAGGCCTGGGTACACTTCCCTTGGGACAGAGGCATGGAGAATTTCAGAACCTGTGATGCACATGAAACATATAATGTGCCATGTCTGTAAGACGTGCTTGTTGGAATGTCCTTCACTGCACACCCCACCGGGCCACATGGCTGCAGAGGTGCCCACATCAGTGAGTGGTCAGACCATGCCTTGGGTTGGCAGTGTTACCTAGAGGTCAAGATTCCCCTGTCAGCATGGGCTTGCTGAACCTCAGTTTCCTCATCTTTAAAGGAAGCACATGACACCCACTTTGAAATTTCATTGTGAGAAGTAAGTGGGATGATGTATGTGAAGCACTTAGCACCATGTGGCATGAGGTAAAAGCTCAATGCATGGAAACTTGTTTTATAATTTGAATTATTACCAATCCTGACTCATTTAAGAGCCTGAGGAGGATCTGAGTGAAAAACTGAGGCTGAATAGACCAGCTTAGCCATCCACCTTAGCCCTCATAGCAAAGACAGGGCAGATGGCAGCCTTGACAGATGGCATCTGTTTCTAAAAACCATTTCTGGCAGGATGAGTCATAAAGCATAATAGGATATGCTTTTTCTTTAAACCTTGAAGGATGAGTATTTAGATACACCAGAACTTTGAGGACGTTGAGTGACAGCGTAAGAAAGCTGTACTGCATGCTGTGGGTAATGGTGGACCATAGAACATCCTGGAGCAAGGAGTGACCTTATTTCATAATAACTCGGATGCACAGTGATTAATCCAAGATATTAACCAATTAAATGAAGCCTATTAGAAAAAAATGCCACTTGTCCCCCTACAATCCCAGCTAACAGAAGCCTTCATTCAGAATCTACCCAGGGTCAGGGGCTTTGAGGAGTGCTTGGAGGAATCTTGGTTTATTACAAGTGTCCTCGGGACCATCCTCATTCCAGGGCTGCTCCGGTCTGAAGCCAGCAGAGCTGACATGCAGGGTGGGTTCTTGTGGGGTCCTGGGTCAAGGCAGCCTCCATCCCAGCCCCTCTGCAGAGGTGCTGAGGATGTGGGCCAAGGGTCAGCTGTGAGGGCTGCACAGTTGGATATTTCTCTGAATAAACTGTGATATGCAGTGAGGAATCAAGGCTTCCCCCAGACCCTAGCATCCTTGATTGTCTAAGCTTAGGTTTTTGGACAAAGAACTATTGGTTTTCCCCTCTTTTCTTCCCCCCACTCCACGCCCACCACTGCCCTTTTCTCCCTTAGCTTCCCAAGTAACACATGCATAAAGCAATCACTAGCACAGAAGGATGCGTGGTAAAAAGCACAAGTGTCGCTTTATCCTCCATGGCTGCCCTGAGTCTGCTTCCCCACTGCCCAGAGGCTGTCACCAGTTTGGTGTGCAGCTTATGCATTTACCTGAAGTTATGTCCACAAATGACTACCAAGCTTTTTTAGCATAAATGGAACCATCCCATACATAGCATTCTCCACCTTGCTTTTACACTTGGCAGCTTTCCATGGCAGCACATAAATTTGCTTCTTTCTCTTTAATGGATGCAAAGCATTTCATAGTTTGCATGGACTACAATTTATTTAACCAGTTTCCTGTTGATGGGTGTTAAGGTTATCTCCACTTTTTCTGAGGCCACAAAGCATTGGTTTTTATTTGCCAAAGCTCTAGGGAAGGCAGAGATTGTCCAGCCACAGACCCCAACTATGAACAGTGCAGCTTCTCGGTAGCCATCCTTTCTCCATTCCCTTCTTGAGGCTCCCCATTCAGCTCAGCCTCTCCTGCTGTTGGCCTTAATAGCATGTGACACTTGGCACAAGAGCCACTGAGCAACAGAGGAGCTTCGTTCTATCTCTGATGTGGCTGTGTTTCTTTAAGTGCTCTTGTTAATGTTTCATGATGGATGGCGGTGAAACATGGGAAATGTACCAGCCTGAGTTCTTAAAGTATCTGCTCACACTAACTTAATGTATTCATTTATTCAGCGTGACAGTGAAAGTAAAAAAGTACTGTGAATGCATAGGCAAGCTTCAGAGGGAGAGTAAGGAGGACAAGAGGAAGAGAACTAACATTTATTAAACCTCTTCTAAGCGCCAGGCATTTTACATTTGTGAGCTCACGAATATTCCTCACTGTACCCAGAGAGTTGCTAATACTATTCCCATTTTGCAGATAAGAAAACTCAGGTGATGCAGCTTATCCAAAGACGTGTAGACAGGCAGAGACTGGCATCAAAACCTCATGCTGTTTCTGTCCAATTCTGCTGCCCTGGTTGCTGTGTTATTGGAAGATATCAGAGATGGTAAGGCATGACAACAATAGCTAACATTTATTGGGTGCTTACTATGTGCCAGGAGTCATCCTAAGTTCATCCTGTATATGAACACACTTGTAAGGATGTGAGATAGTGAACAACTGCTATACCCATTTTGCAGACGAGGAACACAAAGCTTAGAGAGCTTAAGTAATTTTCCCATGGTAACGCATCCCAGCTGGCAGAGTTGGACTTTGAACCTGAGAAGACTGATACCTGAGCTCCTGGGCAGAGCCACTCCACCTCCCACACTCCCCTGGATGATCAGACAGGATAGAATCTTAGGGGTGACCAGGAAGTCAAATTGTCCCTGTTTGCAGATGACATGATTGTATATCTAGAAAACCCCATCATCTCAGCCCAAAATCTCCTTAAGCTGATAAGCAACTTCAGCAAAGTCTCAGGATACAAAATCAATGTGCAAAAACCACAAGCATTCTTATACACAAATAACAGACAAACAGAGAGCCAAATCATGAGTGAACTCCCATTCACAATTGCTTCAAAGAGAATAAAATACCTAGGAATCCAACTTACAAGGGATGTGAAGGACCTCTTCAAGGAGAACTACAAACCACTGCTCAACAAAATAAAAGAGGATACAAACAAATGGAAGAACATTCCATGCTCATGGGTAGGAAGAATCAGTATCATGAAAATGGCCATACTGCCAAAGGTAATTTACAGATTCAATGCCATCCCCATCAAGCTACCAATGACTTTCTTCACAGAATTGGAAAAAACTACTTTAAAGTTCATATGGAACCAAAAAAGAGCCCACATTGCCAAGTCAATCATAGGCCAAAAGAACAAAGCTGGAAGCATCATGCTACCTGACTTCAAACTATACTACAAGGCTACAGTAACCAAAACAGCATGGTACTGGTACCAAAACAGAGTTATAGACCAATGGAACAGAACAGAGCCCTCAAAAATAATGCCACATATCTACAACTATCTGAACTTTGACAAACCTGACAAAAACAAGAAATGGGGAAAGGATCCCTATTTAATAAATGGTGCTGGGAAAACTGGCTAGCCATATGTAGAAAGCTGAAACTGGATCCCTTCCTTACGCCTTATACAAAAATTAATTCAAGATGGATTAAAGACTTAAATGTTAGGCCTAAAACCATCAAAACCCTAGAAGAAAACCTAGGCAATACCATTCAGGACATAGGCATGGGCAAGGACTTCATCTCTAAAACACCAAAAGCAATGACAACAGAAGCCAAAATTGATAAATGGGATCTAATTAAACTAAAGAGCTTCTGCACAGCAAAAGAAACTGCCATCAGAGTGAACAGGCAACCTACAGAATGGGAGAAAATTTTTGCAATCTACTCATCTGACAAAGGGCTAATATCCAGAATCTACAATGAACTCCAACAAATTTACCACAAAAAAACAAACAACCCCATCAACAAGTGGGTGAAGGATATGAACAGACACTTCTCAAAAGAAGACATTTATGCAGCCAAAAGACACGTGAAAAAATGCTCATCATCACTGGCCATCAGAGACATGCAAATCAAAACCGCAATGAGATACCATCTCATACCAGTTAGAATGGCGATCATTAAAAATTCAGGAAACAACAGGTGCTAGAGAGGATGTGAAGAAATAGGAATGCTTTTGCACTGTTGGTGGGACTGTAAACTAGTTCAACCATTGTGGAAGTCAGTGTGGCGATTCCTCAAGGATCTATAACTAGAAATACCATTTGACCCAGCCATCCCATTAATGGGTATATACCCAAAGGATTATAAATCATGCTGCTATAAAGATACATGCAGACGTATGTTTATTGTGGCACTATTCACAATAGCAAAGACTTGGAACCAACCCTAATGTCCAACAATGATAGACTGGGTTAAGAAAATGTGGCACATATACACCATGGAATACTATGCAGCCAAAAAAAGGATGAGTTCATGTCCTTTGTAGGGACATGGATGAAGCTTGAAACCATCATTCTTAGCAAACTATTGCAAGGACAGAAAACCAAACACTGCATTGTTCTCACTCATAGGTGGGAATTGAACAATGAGAACACATGGATACAGGAAGGGGAACATCACACACCGGGGCCTGTTTTGGGGTGGGGGGAGGGGGGAGGGATAGCATTAGGAGATATACCTAATGTTAAATGATGAGTTAATGGGTGCAGCACACCAACATGGCACATGCATACATATGTAACAAACCTGCACGTTGTGCACATGTACCCTAAAACTTAAAGTATAATAAAAAATTTAAAAAAAAGAATCTTAGGGGTGACCAGAAAGATCAAAGAGCAGCCTCACACTCCTCCAAGCCACTGGTTGGAGAAGGAAGATTGTCCAGCTGATCCCTTGGTTTTCAAAGAGACAAGCCTCTGCTGGGGGATTGGGAAGATGTCATTTTCAGAACATATGACTTGAGAAAACCTTTCCGTGAAGGGGCTCAGCAGTGTCAGCTCATCTTGCTGTGCTATGGTTATCTCACAGCACAGCTTCAAGCTAAGTTGCTATCTAAATAGCAGATAGAAATGACAAAATGCAGAGCACTGAGGAGTGGCATGCAGAGACCACCATTACCAGGGAGAAGAGCTGCAGGAGGCGCTCTGGGGCCAATTCTCAACAGCAAAGGCCCATCCCTTGTCACGGGGGCCTGTACCTTACTGGTTTTTGTGGTGCGTCATGCTTTACTGGACTCTCCAGCTCAGCATTCATCTGGCAGAAGGGCCATCAAATGCAGAGCCCCTGAGGCTGGAGGCAGCTTGGTGTGTGTGAGGAACAGAAAGAAGGCCATTGTGGTGAAATGCCGTGAGTGAGGGGGGAGAGGCACAGACAGGAGACTGGGGAAGGAGCACAGAGCCAGATCATGCCCAGGCTTGAAGGTCATGTTAAAATGTTGGATTTCACTCCATGTTTGAAGGGAAGGCATTTATGTTTTAATCTGATCTCTCTGGTTGCTGATGGGTGAATAAATGGGCAAAGAGTGGAGGCAGGGGGACTTGGTACAGGGTGCCTGGGGACCCAGCCACACCCACATCAACTGAGATCATGGCCCCAGCCCAGACCCACTGACTTGGAATCTACATCCCCCTGGACTCCTGTGAGAAGCAATGCTCTAGGGGGAGAAAATGGTTACTTGGACTGAGACGGTAGCCACAGAGGAAACAAGGAAGCGGTCGGATTCAGGATATATTTTATAGATGGAGCTGGCTATGTTTGCTTGTGATTTGGATTCTGTGTGTGAGGGGAAAAAAGAATCAAGGATATCACCTAGGCTTTCCACCTGAGCACCTGGGAGAATGCAGGAGCCATTTACTCAGGTGGATACACTGGGGGAGGGAAAGGCCTGCAGAGGGAAGTGGGAGAACCAAGAGTTCTCCCTTGATTGTAATGCATTTGAGATGTCTTCTAGATGTCCAAGTGGTGCTGTTGAGTGGGAAGTTAGCTCTACAGATTCAGAGCTGAGGGGAGAGTTTGAGGCTGGGGGTGTATTAAAATCCATGGGAATGCCTAGAAAGTATGGATAGAGATGAGTAAGACCAGTGGCTCAACCTAGCCCTCTGGTATTTAGAGCTGGAAAAAGCAGGAGAGGCTAGGGTAGATCAGGAAGGCTACCATGTTTGCCACTCCTTTCTGGGCATCCAGTTTGTGCCAGGTACATACACGTTTTGCTAGTTTGTACTTCCCAATACAATTGAGCAGTTGGAACTTATTTTATACATTTAATATAAAAAAACCACCCTGTGGTTCAGAGAGGGTAGGCATTATTTGAGGATTTGAACTCAAGTTAATTTTCAACACCCATATTCTTTGGATTATGCCTCATCCAGAGGCAGATGGTCAAGTTGGCTGTGTATATTAGGGAAATATGGCCATATCTGAATTGTTGCCCATTTCCCACCATGCTGGTGCTTCCCACTTCCTTCAGCTTTCTGAAGTCACTCCTTCTCTGTATTCTGAGAGGGTGAGGAACACATGGGTTAGTGATACCAGGCAGGGTAGACCAGATGTGGAGGGCCTTGAGGGAAAGACTGTGCTAATGTCCCTCACCCTCCAAACGAAGATCATCTACTGCTCTGCGGCTCCAGACCCCTATGCGGGCAGAAAGTGAGTCAGGGAGGCATGAAGAAGAGCTCAGTCTTGAGAGGATGAGACAAGCAACAGATCCAGGCAAGGATCCTTCACCAGGAAGGGGAGCCCAGGGTGATGGATAGGAGCAGCTCATCAGAGCAGGGACAGAGGTATGGGGAGATAAAGACTCAGGTATTAGATCTGAGAACACTAGGGGACATGACCTGGGGAACACAGGTATTATTAACAATAATAATAGATCAGGTATTATTAACAATAAAAGCTACTATTTATCAAGCTCATACTATGTAACAGACACTGTTCTCTGGACTTTTGTTTGCGTTATAGTCATTTAATCACAAACAATAAATATATTTTACTCTGTGCTAAGCATTCTACATTTATAAACTTACTTAATTTTTCACAGCATTCCTATGATGTGGGAACAATTATTATCCCATTTCACAACTTAAGAAACTAAGCGCAGAGAGGTTGAGTAACCTGCCTAGGATCACACAGCGAGTAAGTGACAGAGCCAGCATTGGAGTCAGGCTGCCTGACTCCAGAGTTTAGACTTTTAGCTATTATTCTATAGTGAATACTTAACACACAGAAACTCATTCAATCATCACAACAGCCATGTAGATACTATTATTATCTCTATTTTACAGTTAAGAAAAGTGAGTCTTAGGAGGCTATGTGGTTTGTTCAAGGTCACACAGCTGGAAGGCAGGGGAACTAAAATGCTGACGGGGTCTTTGCATGGTACCAGTGTTCAAACTTTTACTTACCAGCCATAGTATCAGATCCATGCCACCTGGTGGAAGGCAGAGGTGGCAGAAAGAATGCTTTATGCTGAGCTCTTTGAATGTGGAAGCCAGACTCCCTAAATCCTCTTACTGAGGGTAAGATTGGCTCTAGATCTGGGTGAGCCCCAGCAGTATCCCCGTGCAGGCTCTGACTGGCTCATGAGAACTAATTGCTTGTGTCTCTTGCTAATTCTGCATTCACTGACACCACAGTGATTGCCTGAAATCAGCTATGGTGGGAGTATTTACACCATGGAAATCAGAAAATTCTACAAAGCAGGGGTTATTTTTCCATGACAGCCAATATTCCAGTACATGACTGATTAGATTTAAGCTGACATTTAGAATCAAGGGTGCTCAGCTGGAGGCACAGGAAAGTTATAGAGTCAGGAAGCCAGGTACCTCTCTCCACTAGTCCTGGGGAAAACGAAATCAGCAAAACATTCGACAAACACAAGCTTAGCAGCTAAAGGATGCTCTGTCTTTGTACCATTAGGCCCTGGAAGTACTTCAGTGAGTTAAATAGACATATTGCTGACTTATAGTCCAAGAGGGAAGATGGATAATATAAAGAAAACTAAAGAAATTTAAGTGTACAATTTCAAGTTGTGATATTATGAAGGACACAGAGAAGAATCTAATTGTATAAGGGGTAAGGAAGGTGACTGTAAAGCACTGGCATTTAGACCGGAGACCTCTGGTATGAAAAGGAGCCAGCAAGACCCAGGTAGGCAGAAAAACTTGGTGAAGACTGAGTGCTGGCAACAGGATGGGCAAATGCTGAGGCCAGTTCAGATGGAGTGTGTGGTGGGCAAGAAGCATAAGCTACGGCCAGATGGTGTAGGGCCTTGTGTGACACAGGAAGGAGTTTGGTGCAATGGGAAGGCATTGAAGAAGGGTCTTAAGTGGGAGTTAACGTGCTGGGGGGTGATGTGCTCTAATTTATGATATTAAAAGATGACTTTGGCTCATGTATAGAAAGTAGGCAGGGAGGAGAGTGGTCAGAGCAGAAGTAGGGAAATAGCAGGAATTCAGGCAAGAGATGATGGTGGCCTGAGCTATATAGGGACACATTGGAGATACAAGTAGGAAGCAGAATCAACAGGACAAGCTAAGAGATTGATATGGGCTGCAAGGTTAGAAAGAGGGTGGACTCAAGATGATTCATTAGTCTAGATCTCAGTTTCTTTGAGACATTGAAGACAAGAGGCTCAAACCAGAATTCCTGAGTTTCAATCCTAACCCTGCCATCTACTAGTGGTATAGCCTTGGGCAAGTGATTCAGTCCCTGAGAGCCTCAGTTTCTCCATCAGTAAAATGGAGATCATATTAATTTCTACTTCACAGGGTTGTTGTGATGTTTCAATGAGTTACTCTCTATGGAGTGCTTAGCATAATACCTGAACATAATGAGCACTACACAAAAGAACTATTATTATTATTATTATTATTATTGCTATTAATACTAGTCTATTGATCATTTCTCTGCCTACCATTAAGAGATTGAGCCTTTCCAGGCAAACAACTCTTGTTTGGAAAGAAAATGTTCTGGAGAGGAGTACCCCAGGCATCCTTCTCTCACTGTTTGTGTTCCCTTCCCCAGCAAGAGTTTGGCAGGCAAAGCTGTTCAAAGTAAACACAGGTTCAGTGCTGCAGAAAATATCAGGTTTGGTAGCACGGCAAGTCTGGACCAAAGGAAACAGGCTTGCTTTATGCCGACTTCACTCGGCCACTGCATCCCAGGGGCTGCCCCAGCAGGGCTGGTGCTTTCTGGCAGACAAGGCCTTGATCTGGGAGCTCTTCACCTGTCTGGTTTCTTTTCTCGTGTGACTCAGGATGAGTCATCACTGTCACTCACCACTTCCTGGCCTGGACATTAGGGTTCATACGTTCCTGAACTCAATACCCAGGCAACAAGAGATGGAGTCCAGAAGAAAGCAAGTAGGGAGGGGAGGCAGTGGCACTGGGCAATGTCAGGAGAAATTAGAGGTCCACAGGGTACTAGGGAGGGGGAGAAGCCACCTGGAAAGAGCATCAGATCCCAACAAAAGTCAGGATAACCCAACCACCTCTGGTTTCAGACACCTAGACAGCGTTCCTCAACCTTTCTGATCCCATGTCCTGCCAGTCGAGAAAGTGTGGACAAGATATAGTACAAAAGTAACAGGTAGATCTGTTTGCTTTCACAATATAAAATTATAATATTGAATATAATTTCTAAACATTTGTCTGCTGCTCCAAGGTTCTGAAATGAGCCTGAGTGTAGCATGCCCCCAGTCGAGAATGGAGAGTTGTCCTTCTAACTATAGTAGTAGTAGCAATCATAATAGCACTTTTCTGTGCAAATGCTCTAAAAATTGAGGGAAAGTGGGGCTTTTGTTTGGTGTCACTCTTTTTTTAATTGTGGTGGAAATATATATAACATGACATTTACCATTGTAATCATTTTTAAGTGTGCAGTTCAGTGGCATGAAGTACATTCACATTGTCGTGCAACCATCTCTACCATCTATCTCTGTAACTTTTTCATCTTCCCAAACTGAAACTCTCTACCCCTGAAATAATAACCATCTACCCTGTCGCCCCAGCTCCCAGCCCCAGGCAACCACTATTCAGCTTTCTGTCTGTATGAATTTGGTACTCTAGGTACCTCACATGAATGGAATCCTATAGTGTTTTCTCTTTTGTGTCTGGCTTACTTCACTTAACACAGTGTCTTTAAGGCTCATCTATGTTGTAGCACGTGTCCGAATTTTTTTTCCTTCTTAAGGCTGAAAAATATCATACTGTCTGGATATACCACATTTGGTGTATCCATTCATTCTTCCATGGATACTTGGGTTGCTTCTATATTTTGGCTATTGTCAGAGTGCCACTGTTGACACTCGGTTTGATGAGGTGATTCAAAGTCAAAAACATCGTAACAATAAAAGGCCTGGGTTTTTCTGTTTGTACAGTATTTAAACTTGTCAGAGCGCTTTGAAACTAAGGTGTAAAGGAAAAAAAAATAAGTGTTTGTAAAGACCAGACAGACCTGGATTGTAATCCTGGCTTTGTAGCCTCATTAGCTTTGTGCTCTGGGACAAGTTCCTTAAATATACTGTATTTCAGTATCCTTAATGTGTGAAGGAGTGAGGAAATTGTGCCCAGTGTGGACAGTTATTATGATACTAAATAAGAGAACAAGTGTGAAAATGTTGAGTAGAGTCTGACATTCAATACTCAGTGGATTTCATTGTTGATTTCATGTTATTTCTTTGTATCCATTCAATTCAAACGAGAATCTATAGTTAGGTGGGACATTTATCTCATATAATAAGGAAACTAATAAGAAGACTAATTGCTACTCAATTAATTAGTGGTAGAAGTCAAATTGGAACCCAGGGCTCTTGAATTTGAGGTGAGGAATGATCAGGCAGCAAGTCACATTTGATGTATATGTCCACCCCAATCAATTGCTACTGGCTGCCTGGAATGCAGTGGAAAAGTGCTGGGTTTGATTAGCAATGTCTGCCATAGTTGTGGGAATGGGAAGTGGGGGTACAGCAGCCACATGTCTACTACCTCTGGCTTAAATTATAGCATCACTTAAATTCTTTTTAAAAATGTGTGAAGAGGAAGATCATCTTCTGTGTGTGGTTTTAAACAAGTTTATTACAAAATTAATAGAAAAAAAGGTGAAAAGAATATGAGACTTCTAGTTTACCTACCATCAAAGACCAGAAGGTTGTTATCCAAAGTGAGTAAAAAAAATATTATGATTGTAGCTGATCCCACAGCAGAAGGCCGTTTGCTGTGGTCAGAGTCACTGTGATTACCAGACTGAAGCAGCTGCCTACCCAAGGTGGCCTTACTCCCTGCCCATCAGTGGGGTGAGGCAGGAGGTGGAAACACCTGATAGAAACTGGTTGGCAAGGTTCATAGCATGTAAGACCAGATCCCTGCCTCCTCAGGGAAAGAATAGCAATTGCTGAGAGGCCTACCTTTCAGCCTTTCAGAATCCATGTGGGTCCCATGCCCCACGTGTTCTTCCATTCCTGCTAACCACCACATGTCAGGCAGCTGGAGGGGTGACAGTGTGGCCCTCAGTTGTCTGGCACCCCAGTGGCACCGGACAGGCCTGCCTGTGAGCCTTCTTTCCATTCAGCTGCTTCCTTAAGATGAAGCTCTGCCCACTGGCTCAGGAATTCCTGTAGCAGGATATAGGCTTCCTATAGTAGCACCTGCCTGTCTCACCCATGCCTGAGACACTGAAGCTTCAGGTCCAGTGCCAGGTAGCCTTTTGGCTACTTTTCCTGGGCTGCACGCCCTCCTCTTGCCACTCCATATCCTTATTTCTTGGACATGGGACCCAGATGATGCCTGCTAGGGCCTTCCTGACTCACAGAGGACCACTTACAGTTAGCTTGAGTGCCACATTCCATGCCTCGTGGAGGTCCAAAGCCCTCCCCAGTTTCAGTCAGTTCTTGATTGGGGAGTGGTAAGGATAAGCCATTTGCCTAGTCCCCTGAGATCCCACACTTTTCCTCTGTTGTTTACTGACCCTTTCCCCCCAACCAGCCCATGTTGACTCTGTTCTCATCACATCTGCTCACCTGGAAACCCAATATCTCTCACACAAGACAGTGTGTATGTGTGTAGAGTGTACTAAAGATTTGCTGGAGAGACAGAGAGGGGATATGTATTTTAGAAATGCATGTAATTTCATATTGAATATTAGACATGGTGTGTGTAATACATGAAAATAACACAAGCTGATGTTTATGGGGTGCTTATTATATGGTGGGCATTGTGCTGAGCATTTTATATACATTATCTGATTTTACTGTCCCCACAACCCCATGAATTAGACACTACCATTATGTCAAATTTGCAAATAAAACAGAGGCTTAGAGAAGATAAGAAACTTCTGAGGTTACAAAGTCAGGAAGTAGCAGGGCTAAAGAATTGAACTCAGGCAGTCTGACTCCAGGGCCTGTAATCCAAAAGCTGTTCCTGTGGTCCCCTGTCCCCGACCCCCATGGTATGGACTTTTCATTGTCTGCTCCATTGTCATATAGCACCCAGCCTCACACCATCCTAGTGGCATATTCTCTTTTTCCAGCTCTCATTGCTTATCCTCCTTCCTTCTTCATTTTATCTCCTTCCTTTCAGATGAACATAGAAACTGCAATATTTTCTCCCTCTATTATTCAAAACAATTCAAGTCTCCCCAGCCCTTTGCTTCCAGCCTCCTCTTCCATCTTGGATTCCATCAAAGTTCTCTGCAGAAAGAACAAAAGAGCCTCACATACAATAACATCCATATATCTTCGATGTTAAGAGTATGGACTCATTTTCTAATACATGTTTTCTGCTATGGGGCAGGGATGACAACCGTGTAGCATGTGACTACCACTCCCCACTCCAATACCCATGGCAGGCACCGCTAAGTACTGACAAGATTCCTTCCTGCCAAGCCCAGACCACAGCTTCAGAATCCATGACACAGTGCACAAGAAGGCCACTATCAACTTATCTGTTCTGTTATGTGAAAGGAAGCCTTTCTTCCCTCTCAAAGGGTGAACCCACAGCTATACAGGTAGGGAACCAGACCTCCCTTGAAGCCAGAAGGCAAAACCCAACTTCAATTATTAAAGAACACCAGAACTTGATAGATAGGCCTTAGACTGAAATTGATTTCTTTCTCTGAGTCTCCCTCTTTTTTAGTTTACGCTCTTGATTGAAGCCTCCTTTGGGTGAGAGGAAAAAGTCAACCCTTCATCACCTGGATACAGGTCCTATAGCTGGGCATGCAGGCATGGATTGGGTCTTTTGCAGATGCCAGACTGAAGGTGAGCTAGATTTGCCAGTTTCCTAGTCCTGTCTGTGCTTCCCTATTGCTATCCCTGAGCTTTTAGTAGTCATGTTTCATGTCCCAGCCTGGTTATGACTGGTCAGCAGAATATTAATGGAGAGGTCATGAGTCCAAGCTTAATTTAGAGCCATTTATGGGAGAAGCACCAAGCCAATATGGTGGTAACAGGATTGACTACAGACATGAGTTTCCCAGAAAAGGAATTGAGTCTTCCATCTATACAGCTTCCAGCAAGCCTTGTAAAGGGGTAGGTTATACAGCTCTGAATCTCAGTAGAAACTGAGAGTCAGATACCACCCAATTCTTGGGCCTCAGCCTACCTGCCTTTGACCCATTAGCTATACCTTGAGGGCTTTACAATACCAGGAAGCCTTTGCTATGGAGGAGAATGTTGAGTTCCACCTCCCAAATGAAGGAGAGGAAATGGAAGAACATGTATTGAACACCTACTATGTGTTTGCAATGTGCTAGACATATTTATATTCACTCTCGCATTCCATCCTCAGGGCAGGGTGTGAGAGAGAGGTTTAGCTATATCTGCTTCACAGAGGAAAAACCAAGAGCTCAGAGAAATTAAGTAACTTGCTCATGTCACACAGCTGATGGGTAAGTAGCAGACCTGGCATTCAGACCTAAGTCTTGTGAAACTCAAAAGCCAAGGATTTTATCACTTATGTCGCATTTCCTGTGGGGGTTGGAGAGGGAGAGGCAGTCCCAGGTTTGAGAGGCTGAGCTAAAGGGCTGGGCAGAGAGGGAGCCATTGCAGAGCCTGATGCCAAATCAAGAGAACAGAAACTGCCACTCAAATCCAAGAAGCAAGAGGCATGTCTGCAACCTCTGCAGGAACAGCAGCTTCAACTCTGTGGTTCCTGAAGCTCTCTAGGCTGCAGCCGACTGGCCAAGATCCTCTTTTACTCCCACAGTTCTCTGGACCAGTGCTCCTTTCAGGTCTGTGGAGCCGATGCTGTTTCTGAGGCAGCTGAGCTGAGAAGCAGATGGTGCATGGATGAGGGGGCGGTTGCCTGACATCCCTTCTGGAGCTCCTGACAGCTCATGAGCCTCTCCTCCTCCCCATGGCAGCTCTGCTCAGGAAGCTTAACCCAGGAAAAGACTTGTGGCTTATTTTTTCTAAGGAACTGGCTCTTCTGTAAAATGGGGATATTAATATTTTTCTGGAAGAGGTGTTGCTAGTATTAAACTCAATATATGTAAAAGCCCTAAGAGACTGTAGATGCTCAGCTGGGCATTACTATTATTATACCTTGATTTCAAAATAGACATTTGAGGACAAGCCTATCTCAAACTTCTCACCATCAGAAGTATTTATAATCTTCTCTTGGAAGAGCAGAAAAGCATGATTGGCTCAAGTTAATAGTGAAACATTTGGCACAGTGTTCTTATCACTCTTCTTATAAATAACTTTTTTAATCAACCAAAGTATAAGTAAATATGATACTTATGATTGATTACAACCATAATTGAAAGTTATTTCATTCTAGGATTATGAATCACAACATAATTTCAAAGAATGCAGAATCATCATCATCATCATCATCGTCATCATCATCATCATCGTCATCACTATCATTATCCCATTTTCATCACAACTACTTTCCATCCAGGCAATTGGACCTTTCACGTTATTAGTCTCATATCACCCACATGCCTGCAAGTAAGATATTATAAATCCCTTCTACAAGTAAAATAAAACTGAGCTTTCAAGAGGCTAAACAGCTATGCAAGTTCAAATAACAAAGAATCAGTGTAAGAATTTGAATCCGTTCTCTCTGACGTTAAAATCACGTGCTCTTCTCACTCTGTTCACCAGCTTTCAATATTTAATGTAGTTTCTTCACCGGCCAGACCAACCAGGATTCTGATTCAGTTGCTTTAGGGTGGGGCCCAACACATATAATGGAATCCAGATGCACATTCAGCAATATTTGGGATGGCATAGAAAGGTCACATTATGCCTTTGCAGAAACCAATCGTTCCTCCTGTCATCACAGTCCCTACCCAGCCAGGTGTTCTTGGTAACTCCTCCTCCAGCAGCCGTAGGCAGCAGAAAATAACCACCACTCAGTACTGCCATCATTGAGGGAGATCTGCGGTGGTGGCCTCAAGTGTGGGTGGCCTGAGCTCTGGATGTTTGCTTCTCCCCTGTAGCACAGTAGGCTCCCAGACAGATTGTGGAGCTTGGGGATGTCATGATGGGGGCTTGGTGGACACTGAGAGCTAAGGCTGAGATGATGCCCTTTCTCTGTCTTTGCCTCCTCCTTACTATACTTCTTTCAGTTTCTAGACTATGCTCAGGACCTTCATACATGTTGCCCTTGAATGTCCCTCTTGCTCATTCCGCCCCTTTACCTCCACCTCCACCTTCACGTTTATCTAGCTCAATGAGACTCCACCTGGCCTCTCATGATAGAATCACTTAAGGAGCTTTTAAAAATGCAGGTGTTTAGGTATCAACCCAGACTAACTGAATCAGAATTTCTGGGGGTAAGGCTCTGACACCACTATTTTTATATAATTCTCCAGGTTATTTCCACATGCAAACAGTTTGAAAACTGCTGATTCTAGTTAATTCCCACTTGATTTAAATGCCGCTTCCTCCAGAAGGCCCTCCCCAGCCTCCCTCCCACCATAATCCAACTACCCCAACCCCCAGACTAGACCCAGCCCCTCTCTGTATGTTCCCATTGTCAGTCTCCCCCAGGAAGCTGCTAGCTGTGTGGACATAGCAATACTGTCCCCATTGTCACTGGGTTCTCAGAGCCAGGGCCTTGCACAGAGGATGTGCTTGTTCTTATTTGCTGACTGACAGAATAAAGACAAACAGATTTGTAGACGTTGAACAATTATTCACTGGTGCCTGCTCTTTGCTAGATCCCGTTGTAGACTCTGGGGATTGAAAACTCAGTAAGGCATGGTCCTTGACCTTGAGATGCTCAGAGTCAGCAGGGAAGACAGACGTGGACAAATAATTACAATGTGTATCTGACTATGGGCACAGGTGGAAGGTTGGCAATTTCTTCAGTCCAATCCAGATGGCCAATACCTGTGGGTGTGCTTTGGGGGCACGAGGAGGTGAAGAAACAGAGTGAAGAGGAGGAGACAATTCAGTTGGTGTGTTGTGGGGCCCAGGGTTTGGACTGAGGTGTGCTGGAGGAGGAACCATTCTGGATCCCCTATGCCCAGCACAGGTCCTAGAACATAATAATAGGTGCTTATTAGGAGCTTGTTGAGTGAGTGAATGAATAAGTGATAGAATGAGACAAGTCAATGCATAATCTCTGAGGAACTGGAGAACTCACTGGGCTAGTATCAATGTGTATTTTATAGACTTCTTTGCTATGAGATTAGCTAGAAGCACACAGCTAGTAAAGCAGTGGTCCATGGGTTTTAGACCCAGAACAGTGTCATGGTTAAAACAACACATTTCAGAAGCCAAAAGGAATTTCAACATAACTCAAGTCCTTTATTTGTATTCCTCAAACACCATTAAAGGGACTTAAAACCCGCAGTTACACATCTCAAGGTGTTTGTTTCCTTGTGTTTTAGCACTCTCGTCCACTGCCCTTATACTTCTAAGGTCCCTTGCAGCCTGTCTTAGCTAAATCCCCCCAAACTCCCCCAGCCCAGACCCACAGGCCCATCCCACCTATTCTCTCCCTCTATTCCCAGGTCAAGAGGACGACACTGGCAGGACCCTCCTGGGAGCAGAGAGGACAGAGGAAGGAGAGAATCTGAGCAGGCAGAGCAGGGAGGGAAATGTTACAAAAGAGAACATTTTTTTGGTCCCATGACATATAAGATTTGCATTTCACATATGAAACATTGTCGCCATCAATTGCCTTAAAAAGTATCCCTAAGGCTGGGCATGGTGGCTTACGCCTGTAATCTCAGCACTTTGAGAGGCCAAGGCGGGTGGATCACCTGAGGTCAGGAGTTCAAGACCAGCCAACATGGCGAAACCTCACCTCTACTAAAAATACAAAAATCAGCCAGGCGTGGTGACTCACATCTGTAGTCCCAGCTACTTGGCAGGCTGAGGCACGAGAATCTCTTGAACCTGGGAGGTGGAAGTTGCAGTGAGCCGAATTCATGCCATTGCACTCTAGCCTGGGCAACAGAATGAGACTCGGTCTCAAAAAAAAAAAAAAAAAAAAAAAAGTAGCCCTACGTTCCATAGTCCAGTGATTTGAAGTGTGTTTGTAGCTCAGTGATGATCTTGCATCATCTCAATCCAGGGTGGGGCACACTTTTCCTGTCCCTCCTCATTCAGGCCCTTGACTCATCCTTTGTTTCAAGGCTAGGTTGAAGACAGGGACGCTGAGCCACCTCACCCTGGTGTCCAATCTGTGGCTGCTGAGAATTCACACTCTTTCACATCAGCTCATCTGCTTGCCAAATCAGAAGTAAGGCCCCAGGATCCCTGGCTCTCTCCCTTAGGGTATTAGTTAGCCTGCTGTCTAGGCAGAATGCAGGTAACAGACAATAATCTCCTATTTCATGCTTGTTGAGTGTTTCCCTATACATGACAGGCCTATGGGAGACAATTAGGAAACCTTGGATTTTCATCTCTTGTCCATTCTCTTGGGATGCCAGCAAAATGAAGGACAAGCAGACAGGTGAATGGGAAAATCCATGGCTGGACAAGTGACGGCCATTAGAGAGATGGTTAGCTCTAGCAGGGGCACTGGGCACAAAGAGACAGTGCAGCCAGCACCAAAGTTTTATTGAGCTATTCCTCAGTGCCAGAAGCTACACTGGGCCTTTCTGTATGAAAGGCCATTTAATTGCACAAGCTATCTGCAAGATGGGCTTCACTGCCCACTCCCCACAGGCTCCAGCCATGTTGGACACCTACATGCACTGTCACTCCAGTGTTCTCATCTACTCCATTTCATCTCACTGAATACTTTCCCATTCCAAAGCCTCAGATGGCCTTTCTCATTCCTTCCTTTCCTTCTTCACTGAGTCACTAAAAGTGGCTCTACCATGTACCTGCTATATGGGGTTGGGCAAGTGACTTACCCTCTCTGTGCTCAATTTTAACATCACTGAAGTGTGGATGACAATAGCACCTCTCTCATGGTCTGGGGATGATTAAATGAGTTGGGATGTGTAAAGCACAGTGCCTTGTGCACAGTATGCTCTGTTTAAGTGCTAACTGTATGGATTACCTACCAAAGGTTAGGCATTGGGTACCATGGAGCTCACAGCTCCCTCTCCTTCCACCGCCAGTGAGATCCTGCTTGCAATGAAGCTCAGCACTAGTGAGCCTTTGAGCCAGAAGCACCTGGCTGAGTGGTTTGAGCTTGGTAAGAGGGTCCTATCCAGTACCCTATCCAGTTCCCTTTCCTCTTAGTAAATTCCAAGTGCCTTTCAGTGCCCTTTTAAGGACAAGTGCCAATGAGTGAGACCCATTTGCCCATGGTGACCCATGGTGAGATGGGGCTCCTTCCTCCCTTGTCCTGGGTGATGCCCAGTGGGTCAGATTTTAAATCCCACTTGGGATCTAGATCTCAAGATTTTCTAAAATGTGAATATAATCATATGCCCTGCATACACACATCAACATACTCAGGAAAAAGCCCTAATGCTTTCAGTTTGCCACAAAGTCCCATGCGATCCAGCTCCTGCCTTCACTAACTCATGGACTCCGGCCTCTCCTTGTCATGCCCACCCTGCAAGCTATGATCCAGCCTCTCTGAGCCTCAGTCCCTCACATATGCCACGCACACTGTGTTGCCTCTACTAGCACACGCTGTTGCCTCTGCCTAGAACCTGCATACTCCTTGCCACTCACAGCAGTGACTCCCACCCATCCATGACATCTCTGCGTAGGCCTCAGATCCTTTAGCAAGACTTCCTTGATTCCCGGAGTCTGGGTTTGCTGCCTGCTCACCTAACTCTGATCTCCCCGGGCCATCACAGCCTTGTTGGATTTCCTAGGAACTCCACAAGGAAAAGGCCAAGCCACTCCTCCTCACTGCTGCATCTCCGGGGACTCCCGCTGAGTTTACAAACAGTACAGGCTCAACAGATACTTGCCAAGTGAAGTGTCTACCCTTGCAGTGCTCAGGGAACCCCGCGGAGAGGGGACAGTGCATGTTCTTTGGTCACATTCCAAGGAAAAGGCTGCAGCCACCCTGTGGCTCCTCATCTGAGGCTGCTGAGGGTGTCTGAAGTCCTCAGAGGACAGGCCAGGAGAAGAGGACTGCTGACCAAGCATCTCTCTGACTCACTGAGCAGAGGAGGGAGGAGGCGGGTGCTAATTGCTTGGTCCCTCCACACCCAAAGGAAGGCCCAGGCTTTGAAGCGGCAGCTGGGTCACATAGAAGGCAGAAGCAGCCAATTAGGTGATGCTGCAGCTTGCGGGCACCTCTGAGCCCACAGGAAATTATTAATAAAGACATAACAACCACGCAGCCCTTTGTGTGGATAAATAATGACACCCTGTCTTCCCCAGTGGCCTAGTCTAAGCACTCTGCAGCCACAATCTAGTTCATCCGGCCCCTTGGAATGCCAGCGCAGCTAAGGGAGGAGCTCCTTGGGTCCACCCAGCTCCCCAGCCCCTCTCCTCAAAGCCCCCGCTATGCCAAGAGTCTGGAGACTCCATCTAGTCTAAGGATGGCAAATGGTTACACCTCCGGGGTGCATGCTAAGTGCACAGAGCAGGCTGGAGCTTGGGCTGACAGGCATTTTGAAGCTACATCTGAGCCTATCATAAAAGAAGATGGTGATCAATTAGCACTGGTTGCCATGTATCTCTGATCTAGTTCTTGAGATTTCCCTAGTTTTGTACTGTTTGCTCTTGTTCTTGTCTCACCAACTACTGGTTTGTGCTTTAAAAAACTTATGACATTTAGCAATCCCAAGCACACAAGCACACAGTATCCCTCCATAATTTATGGCGTGATTTCTTAGGTTATCGGCTTCTTTACACAGAGCTTCTTATTTCATGTAGTTTTTATGTCCTGTCCTTCAGCTAGGAATATGTCTTGTTGATGGTGACTCTGAAAACCCTACTGGCCCTTTGATCTCAGCTTGCTCTGTGGAGTCTCTCTGAGTGCTCCCTGCTCCCACCACAGGTTGGCATGATGTGCTCCCTCCCCTGTTTCTCGTGGTTCCTGTCTTTCTCCTGCATCCAGCGAAGCTCCTTGTTGTCAGACTGAACCCCACTTGTCCCCTTAGCTCCTCTGCCCCACCTGTTTCCTGCACAAGACTGAGTTTCAACAGTTTAGAGCAGGGGTTGGCAAATTGTTTCCATAAAGGGCAAGATCATAAATGTTTCAGGCTTTGCACGGCCGTGTACTGTCTCTGTTGCATATTCTTGTTTTTGCTTTATTTGTTTGCAACCCTTTAAAAATGTAAAAACCATTCTTAGCTCAGGGGCCAGACGAAAACAGGCCAAGGGCCAGATCTGACCCATGGGCTGTAATTTGCCACCTCCTGGTTTAGGTAAACAAACCTTTAGGAGCTCCTCCTGCATGCTTAGCACTGGTCTACATGTGGGGAATTCAAAGATGTGTAAAGCTTGATTCATGTCCGCAGAAAATGCCCTGTCTAGAGGGAGAGACATTCACAGACAGGCCATTACAATAGTGATGGGTGCCACCAAGCGCTGTGGGAATGTAGACTTCTTGGGGAAGATTTCCGAGTTGAGTAAGAATGAGAAATGAGAAGGAAGAAAGGAGGAATGAGATTAGGCTGAGGGAACAGCAAGCCAGGGGATGGAGCAGGGACCAGCACTACATCTCCTGGGAACTCTGAGTGGAGTTGCCGAGCATGCTTCCAGGCACATAGCAAAGTGCAGTGCACAGTCTCACCAAGTCCCCAGCCCAACACCAGGTCCTGAGTCCATGCTCAAGAAATATTTGGGATTTGTGTGGTTGTTTAACTTTTCTCCATTTTTTTATTCTTATAAAGTTGCAGAGCCTGAATGTGCATTCAACCCTTAGCAGTGAGGGAGATCTACATGGGTATCGCTGCTGGTCAAAGTGGCATTGTGATTCATTTTTCCTCAGCTTGGGTTCTATTCCTGGCTCTGCCACCAACTGACCTTGGTTGAGTAAGTTATTCTATTTCTCCAAGTGTTAATTTTCCACCCATAAAGGGGGTATCATGATAGGATCTTCCTCTTGGGGGTATCCTCAGGAGCCAGTGAGCCCCTGTAAATGCTCTGCAAATGGTGGCCAATGGGACTTCTTTCTCATCTGCTTGACCCAAGGGATGGAGGGCAGGAGGGATATGCTGAGGGTAATTGACACAGAACCAGCAGCAGAGAGAGGACATGGGGAAGGAGCCTAAGAGATGACGCAAGCTGGCACCTCCCACACCAACCAGCTCAGGCTCAGGATAGGCCCATGGGCAGGTTGAGTGCCCTCTGTGTCAGAAACAGTGGGAATCAGGGGTCAGGGAACCATGCAGCTACTAGCTAGCAGCTTATGGTACCTTCTAAGCCAGAGGATTTAGGTCTTAAGGAGGCAGGCAGAGGAACAGGGAAGAGTTCCCATGGGGCAGAATATAGATTTGTAAGTGTTTGTGTGTTTGTTTGCTCCTGGCCTCTCTTCAAAAGGAATTTGAGACAGGTTGTAACAAGTTACATGGATACAACATGGTTGATATAATAGAAAGGAAAAGAAATAGCCATTGCCCAAGAGCTATATTAAACATTGAATTTGGCTCTGAACCTCTGAGCAGCCTAGGCAAGGGAGGGAAAGAAAAGAGAAAAAGACTAATACTTAGCATATGCTGAGGACCATTACCATGGAAGGAATTTCCACACGCAACCCTGTAATGATACTTATTACTATCTCCATTTATAGAACCAGGATGCTAGAGATGCTACATTGAGTTTTATGAATATATTCAGATATGTCTGTGTTTTTTGAGCATCTGCTATATGCCAGGCACTGTGCTGGGTGCCTTATGCACAGAATTTTAATTCTTCTACCAATCTTAAGAAATAAATCCTATTATTATCATCATTTGACAGATGAGGAAACAAATGAAGAACAGAAAGGTGAAGTTATTTTCTTAAGGTCAAACAGCCAGCTTGTGCCCAAGCCAAAATTCAAACCCAGAGAAGTTTGATTCCAAACCTCTCCTCTCACCACCCTGTGAGCACAGCTTCTCTGATAACAAGTTTCCTTGGCACTATACTCTACAATAATTTTCTCAAATTGAGGTGTTAATTGGGGAGGAACAGAAGACATTAAGTGGCACATTAGTCAGTTTTATAAGAATCCTGGCAATGATTTTAAATAGAGGGCTGAAATTTTGTGTGCCTTGTCTTCTGGTTTTGTTTAAACACCACAAGCACCAAAGCTTGCAACTTTCTGCTCTCGGGGCCTGTTCCCTCCCTTCCATGATGGGTTAAATCTAGGCACAGTAGTGAATGTGAGCAACCAGGGCTCAGGGGCAGGGTCCCAGGATCCTTTCAGGCCAGGGTGAGCAAGCCCTATTAGAAACAACAGACCCAAGATGACTTGAATTTCCCACCTGCCCTTCCTTTTCCTGCCCCTTCTCCATGCTGTGTTTTTATGACACTTCAGTGTGCTGCTTCTTGGGGCCAGGCGCCTCCTCCAAGCTGAGCCAGCCTTTTATGGCCATGGAGCTAATTAAGTAACAGCAACTCAGGGGCGCTTGGAAAGCAGCGTGGGCCGTCGTCAGTCCTGGGCTGTGCAGCCAAGTGCCTCTGGCCTGGGTTGTGGAAGGAGCTTTTGGCTAAGCATCAGGCTATTCCTCTGCGCTCTCTCCTGCTGGCCCCAACTCACCTTCTCTGTTACCTCTGCATCAGGAACTCTTGAAGCCGCCGTCTCCCTGAGCTGCCTGGAAACTTCCCGAGACTGGCCTGAGAATAACTGTGCCCCAATTATTATTTTATTTCCACTCCAGGGTACTTATTTACACAAGAGGGACGGGAGGGCGCGCTCTCAAAAGGAGAGCAAGTCCTTCTGGGTGCCAGCCTTTGGGCCAGAGGGCCACTCTTGACAGGCAGGAATGACTGCAGCTCCCAAGTAGCAATTTTTTTTCAATGGAAGGTTATAAGCAACGAGCCCCAAAGGTCAAATTCCCCAAGGGAAAAAAGGGTATATGCCTCTGCTTTCTTCTCCCAGTTTTGCAGTGAGCAGTTTGTTCTCAAGTGTTGTCACGGGCCAGGCTTACCTCCTTCAAACAAAAGGTGGGGGCAAACCCAGAAAGGAATCTCAATGGCTATGTGTTAACAGCTTCAAGTTTCTGTGAGTGAGATCACCTAGAGAGCAGGTTTTCCTGAGCCTCAGGCTTCCTGGGCACTTCTCTGCCTGGAACATAAGGTTTTCCACCTCAGCCTCCACCCACAAGATACTTCCCTCCTTCAGACTTCATAACTTCTTTCCTGGCCTCTTGTTTGACCTCTGAAATGTACTCCCTGTCCACAGTAAGAGGCAGTAGCTATTAGGAGGGCAAAGGGCCACCTCCCTGGGTTCAAATCTAACACAGAATTTAGCTAAGCCTTGGTTTCCTCCTCTGCAAAATGGGGAAATAGTTGCACCACTTTATGGAGTTTGGGTGAGAATCAAAGTAGGAAATCCATGCAAAGAGCTCAGTAAGGTGCCTAGCAGAGATCAAGAGCCTGAGTGCTTCTAATCCGTCCCCCTCAGGACCTCCAGAGACCTCATGGCCACATCCTTCATGCACACCGCAGCTTCCTCCTCTTGCCTCAGCAGAGAGAAACCTCCAGGATCCTTAGCATGGTAAAAAAGGCCCTGTTCAACTTGGTCCCAACCTTTATTTCCATTCCATCTCTCATTCAACTCACCTCTCTAGCTCTCCCTGACTCTACGCCATGGATGTACACTTAAACTTTAATCATATGTTTCAAAAATGCCCTGGAGTCTTTGTAGGTATTATTCCTTTTTCCCAGTCTGCCCTCCCTCACTTATTTGATAAACTCCCAGTTATTTTTTAAGGCTTAACTTAAGGGCTCCCTTCTCAGAGAAGCCTTTCCTGCCCACCAGGACACATACACGCATGCTCACACACGCATGCATACACTCCCTGTAAAGAGTAGACACCCACTGCCTGTGTCCAACTATATGAGGCATCAGTCTGTAGTTGCTTTTCTGTCTCCTTCACTGTCTGTGAGCTCCTGGAGAGCAGGGAGCATGTCATATGCCTCCTGGCACAGGACATAGCAAATAGGTGTTCAATAAATACCTGTGGAATGAATGCTTGCATCACTGACTGAGAAATGTGTGGTAGGAAGCTTCCTTCTATGCGCCAATAAATCAGGGCTGCTTTGTACAGTGTGTGAGCTGTGGAGTGTACCAACCTGCATGGCCAGTCCCGGGGCCCAAATGTGTTTTAGCTCTACTCCCTCAACTGAGTTAGCCTCAGAGTTGCTCAAGTCCCCTCGAAACTAATTGATATTTGTACAGCAATTGGTAATTCACGAGTTTTCACAACAGTATAATTAATAATAATATCAATCGCAAGAATGTTAACATTTTCTGAGTGCTTACTCTGTACCATGCATTTGATGTATATTATTTCAATTAATCCTTACAACAACCCTAAGGGCAGATATGATTGTTATACCCATTTTACAGATGTGGGAGGCTCTGGCTGGGAGTGAGGAAGGTGACCTTCACACTAAGGCCCTTTGGTGCCAAGTCCTGTGCCCCTTCTACCCACCCTGAGAGCCTTGTTCTGGCACATCAGAAGGCATCAGTCTTCATTCCTCAGCTGTTTGATTTCTCTCATTTAGCTTCTTCCCTGTCCCTTCCTCCTCGATCCCCCTCCCTGCTCCAGTCTGGCCTCATAATAAGAATATTTTAGGTTGCAAGATCTCTTGGCTCCCACCACATATATTTGAAAAGGAGCATGCACTGCAGTGTGGAGATCTTGGGTTCATAACTGGCTCTCCCACCTTCCAGCTGTGTGTCTGTGAGCAAGAGTCTTAGTTCCTCTGTGCTTCCATATTCTCATTTGCAAAATGAAGATAATACTACCAATCCTAGTGATTCACTTTGAGTATTTACAACCTAGCACAATGCTTGGTGCATGGTAAATATTGAAGTCAGTGTTTCCCTCCTTACCTCTCCCTGAAAAAAAAAAAATTTTTAGAAAGCAATTTCTGTGGCATTACGCTCAAGGAAACCATAGCAACCAGTTTCCTGTAGCTTGGTTTCCGGCCTTCCCTAGCTGTACAATAGTGCTGGGACACAGCCTTTGTTATTCCGATACCCCAGGGAAGATGTGGACGTCATGCACTCTATGGGGTGGAGGCATCTGCTGGGTAGAATTGCCCAGTGTGCTGGTGGTGTCATTGCTGTTGGCACTTTGGCTCTCAGAGAACCAGGCTGTCCCAGGCCTGGGTTAGGCCACGAGGATGCTGTGGTTTCCCACTGGCGACTCAATTCATCTTCTAAGGGTTGCCTTATTGTGGGTCAGGCCAGAGCAGCTGGCCCTCTCTTTTTACGGGGATAAAAGTAGCATTTGGTTGGGTCTGGAGAGCTTCCTGACTCTCCTTAGATCGTTAAGACATTTCCTAGGATGTGACAGTCACAAGAGTACCATGTGATTGTGTGTGCATGTGTGAGTTTGTGGGCGCCTGTTAACCACACCAAGAGTGAAGGCACGGCCTCTCAAGGAAAGAATCAAGACTGCCAGCCACAGAAAAAGGCTATCAACTTGGCCTTGTGAAGTGGAGAACTCCTTGTCCCTACAGGCCTCTGGGGCAAGCTGCAGTCGGGTCCAGACCATGGTGATACTAACCCCAGCCTGTACTGCCACTTGGCACCCTGCACAAAGAGTCTCCCCATATGCCTGGCGTAATCCAACCTGGATTGCTGCAGTCTGGCTGCAGAGTGATTTCCAGGCAAGCCATTTGGGCAAGAGCAACTTGACTGCATCACGAAGCATGACTGAATTTTGGCCGAGCCCAGGGTGACAGCTTGCAGAGGTCCCTGGCTGCGGGAAGAAAGGCAGTGAGGTGGGCAAAGGCAGCACCTGGCCATGGTCTGGGTGCCTCCCAAGCCCAGTGTGTCCTACTCGGCTTGTGATCAGGGCTTGATAATCAATGCATCCCCTCATTTTACAGAGGAGGAGACTGAGGCCCAGAGAGGGTCGGGCCTTGCCCAAAGTCACACAGCTTGTCAGTCATAGACTTATTGCATTTTCAAGACAGAATGACTCCTAAAAATTATCTGTCCCAAACTCCTCAATTGATAAATGACAAAAATTAGGTTCAGGGAAGGAAAGGAGCATTTTCAGGGTTACAGAGAAGCAGAGAAGACTCACAGCCCTGACTGAGTGATTTTGTGATTGATCTACAGAGGCCAGCAAACTATGGCCCCCAGGCCAAATCAGCTGGCCACGTTTTTGTAAATACGGTTTTATTGGAACACAGTCATGACCATTCGTTTCTGTATTGTCCATGACTGCCTTCATGCTACAAGGGCAAGATTGAGTGGTTGCAACAAAGACCATATGGCCTGCAAAGCCTAAAATATTTACTATCTGGCCTTTTATAGAAAAAGTTTGCCAACCCCTGGTCTAACCCACTGAGGTTTTTCCAAACGCCTGGAAACTGCTGGCCACAATCCCAGTATCCTTCTCCTTTGAGGAGAAGAGAATCCATCCCTATTGTCAGGTTGGGGACTGGCCAGAGACCCCTCTCCAGAGGGAGAGGCTGCGCCGCAGGAATAGGAGCGAGGGGATGCTGACCAAGAAGAAAGCCTCCTTCAGAGGGGAGTTGAGTCCCAACTTGCACTTGGAGAGCGCCCAAGATAATAAGGATGATAAGAAGAAAACCAATTGCTAACTTTTGTGATTGTGTGCCAGGTTCTGTTCTAAGCTCCTTTTTTGTAGGATTGAACCTTCACAACAGCCTAGCACAATGGGTACAATTAGTATTCTCGTTTTGTACATGAGAAATGAAACGTAGAAAGATTAAATAACTTGCCTAGCCTAGTCAGTGGTGGGACCAGAATAGGAGTCCAGGCATGCTTACTCCGGAGCCCATGCCTGTCATCTCGCTGCAGGATCTGGATGAAATGGGTGTCTCACCTGCACTGGGAGGGGTCAAGAGCTTAACCCTGTAACTTTCCTCCTTTCTCTTTTCATCAACTGTTTAGTGACTGCCTGTTGTGCGCAAGTCACAGTAGAGCTGTGCTAGGCTCTGTGATGGGAGAGCAAGAAACATCACATATAGAACCCGCGTCTGAGGAGCCCGCAGATGGGAAGGCAGCAGCTGTGTGATCAATTGCTATCTAGGGTAGAAATTGGCAGTGTCGAAAGAGAAGCATGGGGAAAATGCCAGGTGAATCAAGGGGCATCATCTTCCGAGATACCACATAGCCATTCAAATGTTGAGCATCAGGGGCTCAAAATGCTAATGCCCGGATTGGCCAGGCAGCTGATGTGAACAGAGAAGCAGATCTTATTTGTGTAAGACAGCGAGGAGAGGTGGGGCCTGTGGAGAATGGATGAGTACATTCCCCAGTGCTAGGTGTTCAAATTCAGAATTTCCCACCACCTCCACGAGCTAAACCGACCTCTCTCAGGCCAGATCAGCTGTGGCATCTGTTATGTTGACTAATATTTATCAACATAGAAAGATTTCCTATGTTGTTAAATGTGAAAAGCAAATTACAAAGCGGTCAGATTAACATGTTTTGGGTTTTTAAAAATGTATATGTCTCCACACATAGAGCTATATGGAGAAAAGGCTGAGAGGAATTAGTCCAAAATTTTAACAAGATTTTGAGGCTGGCTGGGTGCAGCGGCTCACGCCTGTAATCCAAACACTTTGGGAGGCTGAGGCGGGTGGATCACCTGACGTCAGGAGTTCGAGAGCAGCCTGGCCAATATGGTGAAACCCTATCTCTACTAAAAATACAAAATTTATCTGGACGTGGTGGCACATGCCTGTAGTCTCAGCTACTCTGGAGGCTGAGGCAGGAGAATCACTTGAACCTGGGAGACGGAGGTTGCAGTGAACCGAGATTGTGCCACTGCACTCCAGCCTGGGCAACAGAACGAGACTCTGTCTCAAAAAAACACAAAAAGATTTGGGGGCTATTATTTTGCCCCTCTGTTTTTTCTTCATTTCCTTCCCCTTTGGTACAATAAACTCACAGTACCTGCCTCAGCTTTTGTTTCTGTTTTTGTTTAGAAGAGAGAGATGATTCTATATCCTTCCCCTCTCTACCCCACCATCTCTTGACTCATTCCTACTCTTCAAGATTCATCTCAAACATCACGTCCTTTAGGGAACCCTGGTTCCTAGGGTGGTTTGGGACACCCCGGCTGTGTTCTGTGCTCCCCACATCACAGCCCTTCCTTTTTGGCGGTTCTTGTTGTGACCTGTGTACTCCTGTACCTGGTACTGAAACAAACACTAGGTATGAGCTTCCTGAGGGCAGGGACTGTGTCTAAGCTATCTTTGGATTTCCAGTATCTAACATAGAACTTAACACATAATGTGTGCTCCTTAAATACCTGAGGAATGAGGGGCTGAATTTAGTGCTGAAGGCAAGAGGAAGGGCCCCTGGAGGGGAGCCCTACCTATTGGGCACAAGAGAGGCCAGGAGGGTTGGGGGCCAAGGCACCTGGAGTGAGGGGCAAAGACAGGACATCCTGGGCACAGTGGGCCATCCCATTTGGCTGGAGGGTGGGGTTCTTGAATGAGAATAGAGAGAAATCAGATTGGAAAAGAGGAGGGCTCCAGAAAGGGGGCTGGAACATCAGGCTTGGGGGTTTGGATGTTATTCCAGCACCCAGGACAAGCCTGCCTCCTCACAAAAGATAGCTCTGGCCCCAGCACATCATTCTTTTCATCCCCCACCCCCCTCTTTAGAGCGTTTTCCTGCCTTTTTGGCACCGAATGCAGTGCTGGCTTCTGTCCTGAGCAGCGTGATCTGCTGCCCATGAGTCAGGGGCTCGGCCATTCCTAAGTGACTAAGGCTGTCGCCTCCCGCCAGTTTCCCGTAACCGCCTGAGTAAAGACTCAGTCTGAATCACTGTTTATTGTTTTTAAGGGTTTTTTTCCCCTCCTCTCCAGTTTTTAAATATCAACCACCCAGCCAGGCCAGTAGGGCTGAATGAGTGCTGGGGAACTGTAGGACACACCCCTCACCCGCACACACAGGAGGGATGCGGAACCCCATTCTGCTTAGGGAAGCAAGGAGGCTGTGGCTATGGAGCCAGACAGACCTGCATTTGAATCCTGCCTCTACCCCTACCTGCTGTGCCCCTTTGGGAAAATCACTTCACCTATCTGAACCTTAGTTTCCTTATCTGCAAAATGGGGATAATAATGCCTATATAAGAGGGTTCCTGTGAGAATGAGAGCTAAAATTTATAAAGGAACTGGCATATGGCAAGCATTCCAGAAGTGGTAATTATTATAAAACACGGCTCTTCTGCTCAGGAATGAGCTCACGTGAGAGAACGGTAGGGGTCTCATGCCTTCTTTGCACCTGTCATTTCAGTAAAGCCAAACAATCAAGGGCTTCCAAAGCCCATGCTTTAGGAATTTATTTCAGACTACTGATGAATCACTTAGTTCTATTATGAATAGCCAACATTTTTGCAGCACTTAGCGGGTGCCAGGCACTGTTCTAAGCATTTTACATTAAGTAATTAATTTAATCATCACAAACCCCTTTGGGGTAGGTATTATCATTATCCCCACTTACAGATAGAGACAGAAACTGAGGTGCAGAATTTAACTAACTTACTAATGAGAGACAGAGCCAGGGGTTGAACTGAAATGATCTAGCTTCTGGGGACAAGGTCATGCCTGGCAGTGAGATTCTCTCAGGGACGTCCCCTGACCTGGCAGTCCTTCTTCATATGTTTTGTCCTAACTGGATCATTATCAAATAATGACAATGTGCCAGGCATTGAAGTATCATCAATTTTCAATTTAATTTCACCGCAGTTATAAAAGATAGATTTGCTTGTCCTTATTTTATATATAGGGAAGTTGAAGTTTTGAATGGTGAGGAAACACCCAAAGTCAGTTAGTGATAGAGTTAGCGTTTGAACCCAGGTCTCTCTGCAATTTGGGGGTAATTGCACCACTCTGTGTGAAATGGCTAGCTGAGTTGAGATCAGGTTTATCTTCTAGAAGCCTATCGATTTAATTATTTGGCATTAATGGCCCACTGGTCTGCCTAAGTCCCTCTAAAGAGGTGACCAGTCTGATGGGATTTAGCAATAGGTTTGCCCCTTGGGATGAGCCCTTGGTCCTCCACACCAATAGCCTGCAGTTCTGGGAGGATCTGGCCAGCCTTTGGCAAGTCTGGGATTGGAGTACAGGAAATCTCTCTATACAGAACATGTATTCAGTGTCCAGAAACTCTCACCAATGCATAGTAAGCATGTCCTCCAGACCAGGTAGCTAGGAAGCCACTGTGGGAATCCACTGAGACCTGTGGACACATCTGAATGGAATTCCTGTGGGATGTACGTGTCAGGTGTCTGGCAGCCTCAGGAGGCTGCGTGGTGGTTTCATATAGAAATTAGGACACCTCCACCTGAGAAAATACATCTAGCAGGGAATAGATAGATGTCCACAATATCAAGATAGCTTGTGTTAGTCACATGATCTGATCAAGCAGCTGAGAGAGAGCAAGCCACAGAGTGGACTTCACTCTGCAGGGTTCCAGGGCTGCCCACTACCACCAGAGCATCAGGCACAGCACCTGGACTCACTCCCCTAGACAGCACCTTACCCACATACAACATACTCACCCCATGGTACACCCTACACATTGCTCTGTTGACTTATGTAGATTGAGGAGTGGGAATCTGGAGAGGGAGGAAAGAAAGAAAGAAAGAAGGGGCTGGTGATAATACCATGCTAATAATAATTGCTTCCACATGCTTGGTATGTGCTAAGAACTGTGCTAAACTTTTTACACACATGCCTTATCTCATAATCCAATTGTTATCCTACTTAACAGATGAGGACACTGAGCCTTAGAGAAGTTCGTAAACTGCCCAGAAAGGAAATGTGTACTGTGGAAATGAGCACTGCGGTCAATGTGCCAAGCACATTGTGAAGTGCTTTATATACATAGCCCCATTAACCTCTGCGAGGACCTGGGAGGCTGGTATTGTGTCAGTCCATTTGTGTCGCTATAAAGAAATACCTGAGGCTGGGTAATTCATAAAGAAAAGAGGTTTAATTGGCTCATGATTCTGAAGGCTATACAAGCATGGCACCAGCATCTGCTTTTGGCGAGGGCCTCAGGAAGCTTACAATGATAGCAGAAGGGATGGGGGGCTACATATTACATGTGAGAGAGGGAGCATGACAGAGAGGGCAGAGATGCCACACACTCTTTTAAATAAGCAGATCTTGCATGAACTGAGTGAGAACACACTATCAGGAGTATGACGCTAAGCCGTTCATGAGGGATCTGCCCCCATGACCAAACACCTCCCACCAGGCCCCATCTCCAACACTCATTCCAATATGAGATTTGGAGAGGACAAACATCCAAAACATATCATATTCATTTTGCCCATTTTTCAGATGAAAACAGTGAGGTTCAGAGAAGTGAAGCATTTTCCAAGGTTGCAGAACTAGGATGAGGGAGGACTAGATTCAAACCTTTGTTAATCTGTGGATTGTCAACTGTGCCACCCTGGTTCTGGCTAGAAGTTAGAAGATCTGGGTTTCAGTGACTGCTTTGGTTCATATAGATAAAATGGGGGTATTTGTATTAAATGATCCTTAAATTTCCTTGTAGTGCTAATATTTTGTGTTTCTCTGAGGAAGGAAGAGTAGCCGGGAGTTTGGGAAGTCATCAGTGGCCTTCTTCTGGGACACATGTAAGCCTGTTTGAATGGGGAGGGCCAAGGAGAGAGAGTAGTTTTTCATTTCCTCTAAACGGAATGTCAGGGGTTGCGGGGTGTAACAGAAAGCCTCATGGCAGCAGCTTAGGAAGGCGGGGTCAGTGATGTGTTTTCTTAAAAGAGAAAAGGTTGAGTTGGGTCACCTTCTTTTTTAGCTGCTTGTGTCCTAGCAAGGACTGAATTTTTATGGGTCATAATTTGGTACAGATAAAAACATATTGTACTGAGCTCAGCCAAATCCCCTATGCTGGCATTACTGGTAGAGTTCTCAGCCAGCTGACTGGGCCCATCCAAGAGGCCTGTGGGGAGAAGAGTCAGGCAAGGCCTGGATGTTCTCTTGGAGCACCTTGGCAAGGATTTGGATAGCACTGTGGTCCCCACTGCCTGCCTCAGTAGAGCAGAGCTGTGCAGGGCATCCAGAAAGGCTGGGCTTCCAGTCGGGTCTGTGTGAGTTGGCTCTGCCCCTTTCTGGCTGAGTGACCAGGACATGAGCAAGTCATTCAGCCCCTGGGGTTGCAAACTTTACTCCACAAACCAGCACAAGGACAAGGCCACATTTCACCAACGCCCAGAGGAGGGAGAAAACTCAGGATATTAAATTGTATCTTCAACAATATAATTTTATTAAGTTTTAAAAAATGACCTTTATTCTGATTAAATTGTCTGCCACAATTGTTTGCATTAAAATATCTTTTCTTTTGCCAAAATGGGACGATAAGTTTAGATGTAGCATTTTTTAATTTTTAAAATTTCCTTACTAAGATAATTGAGGTGAACAATCCATGTACACTCCCCCAATTGTTTTAACTTGATTGCGAAATCCAAAAACTGGAAATCACTGATAGAGCTTCTCTGAAAATTAGTTTCTTCATCTGTGAAGTGGGGATAATTAGCTCCATTTTCTTCAAAGGGTATTGTGTTGGAAAAAATGAGGTAATATATAAAATGTCTGTTCCTGAACTCAATTTAAATAGAATTATACTTCCTTTTCATGCCAACTGTTATATCCTAGGTCTACATGCTGGACTTCAGCCCTTGTCACAATGTCCTCCCATCATTTCTGGGAGCTTTCCCAGGGTATTGACTCATGTGTCAATGCCCAGCAGGAGGTATCTGCCCTGCTGGCACAGTTGTCACCACTGGGGGCTGTCTCTGAGACCCCAGTGATGAAGGTGAAGCTCTTGATTTGATCTAAAGGTCATTCTTGGTGGCCCACAACTCTCAGAAGAGGGGCAGCTGCTCAGATATACCCCTTAGTCTGGAGCACCCAAGCACTACCTAAATGCTGATTATCACCAAACTTGGTGCTTTTTGAGCTGCTACTGCCTCCACCATGGTAAATAGTGGAGGCCAAGCTCCTCTCCAAGGGCACGGCCAAGGGCACTCACCCACTTCCAGATCACTCAAGGCCCCCCCACACTGCAAGCCCAGTGCCAACCCCACAGACACCAGAGTGAGGAATATATTTCTCCCTCATCCAGTCCTGAGTCTCATCATATTTCCAGCCCTTCCGGGATGATTGACTATGGGAATACCCATTCTCTTCAAGGGTAGAGTTCTTCTCACCCATCCTTCAAGAGTGCTCACATCCCTATGGGCTCAAGAGCCCTTGGTTGGCACATTGCCCAAAGTTGGGTCATTATAACCCATGGCCTCTCAGTACAGTGCCTGGCACATTGTAGGTGCTCAGTGAGTGCTGATTTCCCATCCAAGTCCCTCACTCCATAAAAGCACATGGTCAGGCAGGGCTAGGACCTGGAAATCCTTCCCTCATTCTAGCTGTAGTTAATATGGGTTTGGGGCAGGATGAGAGCAAGACCCAAATGCTGACATCAGTCCTGACCCTCAGAGGAGGCCCTACCATGATCCCACCCTGGGCCAGCCTCCAGCGAATCCCAGACCTTCCCTCAGAAGGCCCCACAGACTGCTTAGCTAGGCATGTTTGGGTGGTTTGTCCTGCCCTCTCAGTTCAGAAGCTCTGCCATCTGCTTTTAAATCACCTTAATTTCCAGCCAAATGGGAGTTTTCCTCTCATTTCAAAATGCCCATGATATCATCCATCAGTGGGGAGCAGTTGAAGAAGAAGCCTCGAAGACTTCCAGACCCCAGCAGTAGGGGTGGGGAAAGCAGGTTTCAAGCAGCCCTTACTAGAATCAGGCCCTGTGACCACACCCCCTTCCCAATATCTACTTGAGCAGGCCTGCAGGTATGGCCGGGCTGAGGAGTCAAGCTCTGCGGGCTCCAAGATAATGTTAAGGAAGAGGAGGAAGGGTAACAGATCCAGGGTTCCCATGCACTTAAATTCCTTCATTCTGCAAAGATGAATTTAGTGCTCATTAAGAGTATCAGTTTATTTGGGGTTGAAAGATTTTCACACAAACTAGTGAAACAGCCGTATGATGATTGCAAGTGCAACAGGAATTGCAGCTGAAGACTTGGAAACTGGATCTAGCTCTGACTCTTTTTAAGTTGATGAGTGATATTGGGTAAACCTCCCTCCCTCTCTAATCTTCCATTTATCTTTCTGATAAATGAAGGTGCACCAGTCTCAGAGGGCCCCTGTTGCTCTGGTCCTGGGAATGGTGTGAGGTTTCAGGAGCCTCCCACGCTCTGCACCAAGAGGTGCTTTTGGACTTAGACTGACTCTCAGGGCTCAGGTATTTTCTAAAAGGCAAATCTCATCATGTGACTTTCCAACTTAAAACTCTCCAGAGGCTTCTCACATCTCATAAAGTCCAGAATTCTCAGCATGCTCAGGAGATCTTGCATGCTCACACTCACCTCTTCTCACACTGCTCCCCCAGCTCCCTAGTACAAGCCTATTCTCCAGGTCCCCATGTTCATGTCCTAACCCACCCCAGGGCCTCCTCCTTGGCTCCTCTCTGCCCCCTTCACTTCATTTAGGTGGCTCCTACTCAGCCTTCTAGTCCCTATGGTGACATCGCTGCCTCCACGACCATGTCACTTGCTTCATACCACAGATAGTTGGGTCCCCTGTGATATGTTCCCTTGCTTTTCCTTTGAGTAACCTGTCTCTCAGAATCAACCTTCTCCATCCCTCCCCCTCCCAGACTGGGAGCTCCAGGAAGGTGGGATCCTTCTTATTTCCCAGTTGTCCCCAACACTGGGCCTGACCACAAAGCAGGTACTCTGTGTTTACTAAACAAGAGTCTCATGTTTCCCTCAATCCGCCCATTGTGTGGTCTCAGGGTGGCTCACAGGGAGGTACTCCAGGTCATAGGGGTTGCCTGTTCATTTCTCCTCAACCTGGGGATTCACCTTATCAGATGAATGACACTGCATTCATCACAGTCTCCTCTCACTTAAAGGGGTTGTGAGCAAAATAAGTTCACATTGTCTGGTGCTTGGATGAATAAAGCATGGCTGCATGGGCCTGCCCAGGTGGGGAGGACCCCCAGTGTGGGAAAAAGCAGCATGTTATCATGGAGAGAGCTCCACAGTCCTAGACTCGAGGAGGCCCGGATTATCACTGTTATATCCTGGCTCTGACCTTCAATAAGATACTCCCTTCTCTATCTGGGTCTTAGTTTCCTCACATAAAGTATGGGGGTTGGACTCAATTATAACATTTAGTCTTTAATGGATACTTCTTAGTTTTTGCCAGGCCCAGGGCTAAACCCTTCATATGCAGTACAGGTAATTCCCACAGTAACCATATGAGGCGGGCACTATTATTAGCCCCATTTTACAGATGAGGAAACTGCAGATTAGAAAGTTTATATAACTTTCCCAAGGTCACATGACTAGAAAGTGGCAGAGGTAGGGTTTCAACACATTGAGCTCTTAACCACTTTGCCTCCCCTCCGAGGACCTGCTGACTCTGTTATTCTAGGAACATGAAACTGCCCAGAGGCTCAGAAGGTCAGTATGAGATCTAAAATTATTATGTTCTCAATACAGCATTCTCCCTGGAACAGGGAGACAGCGCAGGCTGTCAGCCCAGCATCTCCGAAACACTGGTAGCCCTGGGAGCCATACAGCAGCTCTTGGCTGCATTGACACTTGAGAGCCAGAAAAGAGCTAGAAATATTTCTTATCCAGATAGTCAATCTCCAGGTTACAGCCTTCCCTCTCAGCCATAACCTGGTTCTGTGCTTGTTTTTACATTTAAATTTTCATTGAAATATTACATGCATTCAGAAAAAAGCAAATATTATACATGAATTATCTCAAAGTGAACACACCTGTGTAACCACCATCCAGGTCAAGACATAGAACATTACCAGCATCCTATTAGGTCCCCTCCTAATCATTATCTCCCAGGTCCTGTGTGTTTTTATCTGAGAATATTCCCTGGAGCTATGGAGAAAGGCTGGAATAAGAAGTTAATTTTCAAATTATCCTTTCATCTCCAGGGAAATTGTAAGTCTGCAGGAGGGATGTGGAGGAGGGGAGGAATGAACACAAGATGTACTAAACCCTCAGATATGGCAAATGGCTGCAGGTTCCAGAGAAAAGGGATGTGTGTACATGTGTGTGTGCACATCTGTGTACATGTGCATGTGTGTATGCATGCGTGTGTGTGTGTGTGTGTGAACTTTGTTGGCAGGAGGGAGGCCAGAGTGACTGGCAAGTGTGGGATCACAGAAAATGAGTGCCTCAACCTCTTGAGTTAGGACAGGTCTCATTGAGAAAGAAGGTCATGCTTAGGGAAGTGTAGGAGATTCATCTAGAGAGCCCCTGTGCCCTAGCGCTGACTCTCATCCTCCATCCAGGTGAAGTTGCTACAGACTCTAGCACTGCAATCATGCCTGCTAGGGGATCTGTCTTCTGGTTTCTTCAGAGATCATAGAATGGGATGAAAGAGGGGAGGCAACCCAAAACACACCCCCAATTTGGGGAAGGTCTACCTAGAGTTGGCTCATTATCAAGCTGAAGTATTCTTACATGAGAAGCAAAGAATCCCAATTACAGCCTTGAATTGCATGATTATGAAGCCCCTGAAAACTCTTGGAGGGTTTTATTGGCCTTATATTTGTTGTACATAAAGGAACAGAAGACTCTGTAAAGGAGAAAGTGTAATGCTTAGGCAAGCTCAGAGTCTGAGCTAAACCTTGACCTGTGTAATCTTATCCATTCCAACAAATGCCTTGGGCACCATGAATGTTCATCCCCTAACCCCACTGAGTGAGAAGCTGTGATTCTCAGACTATGCCGTGGTAACAGAGGTACACAAACCATAGGGAAAACCTGCAGCAAGCATCTTTCCGGGCATCAAGTTTACTTTACATTTTAAGAAAAAATATATGAGAAGTAAAAATATTTTCTGAAGCAAAACAAGGAGAATTATTAAGTAGAATGATAATATTCATATGCTCTTTTCAAATTTCAAAGACAAGCTCTGCTATCAGGAAGCTTTGGATGGTCCCTTTGCTCTGTGCACCAGTCACTCAGGGGGATATATATCAGCTCTCTCCTACTAAGAGAGCTTTTGTGGGCAAGGCTGAGAGATTCTGAACAAAGGAGTAATCAAAGTATATTATATAATGTGGGGATAGAGTTAGTATCAGGCTTTACCTCTGAAAGGAAAGTGGGACTATGAGTATAGGCATGGTATGCCGCAGTTAGCCTGGGATAGTCTCGGGTTGTGCCTTTTATCCAGGCACAATTATTAATAGCATCCCCTTTCACTGCACAAAGAGCCCAATTTGGATGAAAAAAATCATATGGTCATCCTGGCTATGAAAAACTAGATTATTTTTTCAGAGAGTAGAGGAGGAAGGCTGTAAGCACATTCCCTGGCTGAAAGTAACTCAGTATAAGGAGAGCTCTGCACATCTCCACAAAGAGCTCCTGGAGGCATTGGGAATCTAAAAGGAAGGAGGATCCCAATGTGGCCCTTCTCAGTATTCCATTCTTGGCTGCCCTGGTCAAGGCAAAGTTGCTCTAGACAAAGGCTGTGTGACAATGCTGGGACAGAGTTATGAAAGCCAGGCTGAGCCAAGCCTCAGCCAGTCCCTGGAGCAGCCAGAGGTGGAAAATCTGTAGGGCTAGTGCAAATTATATTCAAGGGAGTCAGCATGCCAAACCCAAAATAATTTGCCAGCTCCAAGGGATACGTGCAAAGACATCAACAAGAGATGAGACAAGAAGCCTAGAACCAGGAATGGGAGGAAAAGTTGGGGAAGAGGACTGCAAGGTAGGGACATGGGAACAGGACTCAGGGCAAAGACATCACTGGGGGCCAAGAGCTGGCCACAAGGCTGGCAACAGCCCGGTTGGGTCAGAGGCGTCCGCCAGGAGGACGGTCCTCCCCAGGCTGCATTCATAATCAGCCAGCTAAATTGCCTTTTGGTTTCTGATTTTGGTGGCATTGCTGTGATTACTTTATAAGTAGTTCTTTTTACAGAAAATTTTATTCATAAGAGAGGAGGGGAGTCTTAAAAAAGGAAAGGACTTATTTTAGCATTAACCCTTTTCAGATTATTTCACAAGCAGATGAATTCAGCTAATCAGCTTGCCCGTTCACTGGCATCAGCCTTGCCAAAGCATGTGTTTGCAGGGTTTTGGTGTCACTGTAGCACATGGACAGAGTGTCTTTCCACGAGACTTTCATCATGAGGGTGCTGAGTTGAAATAGAAAGATTGCCATGGTTGCCAGATGCACGATACTGACTATCATATGAGAATCAAACAAATGCTGCAGAAAGAACCTAGAGTTTGGCCTTATGTGTTGACTTGATTCATTTACATCTATTTTATTTTACTTTTTATTTTTTGAGACAGAGTTTCGCTCCTGTTACCCAGGCTGGAGTGCAATGGCGTGATCTAGGCTCACTGCAACCTCCGCCTCCCGGGTTTAAGTGATTCTTCTGCCTCAGCCTCCTGAGTAGCTGGGATTACACCAACACGGCCGGCTAATTTTGTATTTTTAGTAGAGGTGGGGTTTCACCATGTTGGTCAGGCTGCTCTAGAACTCCTGACCTTAGGTGATCCACCCACCTCCGCCTCCCAAAGTGCTGGAATTACAGGTGTGAGTCACTGCGCCCAGCCCATTTACATCTATTCTAATATTTTCCTTTATTCATGCTTATGTTTACCACCTTATAGTTTTAGGTCACTCCTCTCCTCATCAGGCATACCTGCATGGCCAAAGTCTGGTGGTTTCTGAGTGTTAACCAATTGCCAACTGTATGATCTTGGACCACTTACTTGGCCTCTCTGTGCTTTAATTTCTTCATATATTAAAAAGTCATGGTGAGCCCTATCTTTTAGGGTCATTGTGAGTGTTACAGGAGACAATACATGTAAAGCATTTAGAATCAGAATCAACACGTAATAAGTGCTCAAAAATGTTAATTAATTAAAATAAAGTTTGGGGGATCCAAAGGAGGCAGTGACAATGGGGACACATGTGTTGGTTCCCCACCATATGTGAATAGGACTGATGCAAAAGCCAAAGTAAAAACAAAACAAAACCCTCCCTAGGATTTTCTAGAAATCTTGGTAAAAGGAGCTGGTTTTAGTCCTACCAGCTGGTGCAAGAGAAAGCTCCTGCAGGAACTTTGAAGTTCTTCTAGTCCAGGTTCTTCATTTGCTGGATGGGGAACTGGCCCCAGAGAGGGGCCAGTGGCTTACCCAAAGTCACACAGCAATTTCAAGGCAGAGCCAGAAGTAGAACCCAGATCCCCGATTTTCAGCACACACCAAAGCTTTTCTCTTTCAAAGTCTTTTCTGCCACACCCCTCAAAGCTGACCTGGTTGTCAGCAGTAAAGCCAAGTGCCTAGGGAATGAGCTAGCCCAGAGCTTCTGAAACTTTTTTGTACAAGTGAATCACCTGGGGATCTTGTTAAAAATGTAGGCTTTGCTACAGTAGAGCTGGAGAGTGGCCCATGAATCTGCATTCTTGACAAACTCCCAGGTGCTACTGCTGCTGTTCCAGGGATCACACTTAGATAAACAGGCTCTAGGCCAGCGTTATCCAGTAGAAATAGAAGGCAAGCCATGTATGTAGTTTTCAATGTTCTAGTAGCCACATTAAAAAACAGAAAAAAAAAACAGATGACATTCATTATAGCAAATGAAATCATTTAACCCAATATATCCAAAATATTCCCATTTCAACCTATAATGAATACAAAAATTATTAATGAGATTTCTCACTTTCTTTTTTTCCTTCCAAAATCTTCTAAATACCATGTGCATTTTGGAGTGAGAGCACATCTCAATTCAGACTTGCCACGTTTCAAGTCCGCAGTTGTCACATGTGGCTTCTAACTGCAGTGTAGTTCCAGGCAGTTTCTCAGTGGGTCTCAGCCCCACTTCCTGACCACACCATCTTTTTTATTTTTATTTTTATTTATTTATTTATTTTTGGAGACGGAGTCTCGCTCTGTGGCCCAGGCTGGAGTGCAGTGGCATGATCTCAGGTCACTGCAAGCTCCGCCTCTCAGGTTCACACCATTCTCCCGCCTCTTGGTTCTTCCTTGGGTTTTTCCCACTGTGGCATGCTCTTCCCACTGAAGAACAGCAGTCCCCACTCTCACCCAGCCTCAGCTTCCTGGAGGAAGACAAGGGCAAAGAAGCCCAAAATCCACCTTACGTCATTCATTTCCTGACCACACTAGAATTATCTGGGCCAAAAGACCCCTCCCTGGCTGGCACTATGGTGTCAAAATGCACAGCTAAATGCTTGAAGGCCTGTGTGTTCTGCCTTCAATTAGGAGACAGGAGCTGACAACACTTTCCACATGGCTCAGGCCCTGCCACTGTCTGGCCAGGTGGTTTGAAGGGTTTTGCATGAGGCCAGCCATTGACCATGAGAGACACAGTCTGTGATTCCATGGCCAAGTGCCAGCGTGACATCTGTGGGCCCTCTGTGATTTCAGGGGCGGCTCTTCTCCTGCCAAAATACATCAATGGGATCCATCTGACAGTTTTGGGTGAGCATGCAGACTCACTGGGAGAAAGACCCACACTGGCTGAGGGCCTCACCACCGGGGTTGCGGGTGTTGTCTGAACTAGAACGAAGTCCGCAAACATCTTCCCCAATCTGTGACCTGCATGTGACTCACCAGGCACTTCTGTTCATATGTACCCCCCGGAAACCCAGGTCTGAGAAGCCAGGTCATTTGTATGTTGAAGCACCAACCAAATGTATGTTTTTGCTTGCTTGTGTCTGGGAAAGCTTGTAGCTTGACGCTACCTAATGCTAAACATATGACTTATCTGGAAACATCTAAGTATGCTGTGGTCTATAGACAAAACATCCACATCTATAAGGATGTCCTGATTAATGGTATTTTCTGGTAAAGCAAAAATCATTCCTTGTTTGAGTCCTTGTTGTTGCAAATCCTTCTAATCTTGGATTGAGTTTTTCCTACCTTAGTAAGTAGAATCTAATGAGCAAAATCAAATCTTATCTAATGCCTCAGTGTCCTTAATTGCCTCCACAGGCATTTTGCATATTGATCATACAGGCAATTATACTTCATTCATTCAATCAGCAAATATGCATTGAGTACCTGTCACAAGCCAGGCATCGTTCTAGACTCAGGGGATGCAGCAGAAAAAAACCCTTGCTCTTATGGAGCTAATATTCAAGTGTGTGCATGTGTGTTGAGGTGAGGGGAGATGGGGATGGGCAGCAAACAAGCTGATAGCATATACATTATACCAGCTGGTAGGTGTTCTGTGTGCTGTTGTACATTTGATAGGCTCCAAACCGAGGGAACAGGGCAGCCAAGGCTGCTCCCCGATCAGGACAGGTTTTGCTGCCTGCCCAGGCTCTACAGGGAACCTGACCAAGACCTTCTCTCCAAGCTCATAGCCTCCTATCTAACCAAAGGCTGGCACTTGCCAATTAAGCAGATCATTTGGTGCCCTCCTGCCCTTGTATTTTCAGATTAATCTTGTCTCTTTCACGTATCTACTACCAGCCCACCTCTGCCAGGGCCCTTGGTTTCCTCTGTGTTTGAGGTGGTGCCTCTGCGTGTGACTCTCACCCTCCACAGGGTCCCCTCGTGATGGGATGGGAGGGGATGCTGTGTTTCGAGTGAGATAGCCGATGGCTTGTTTGTAACATAGACTTTTCCCATTGTCATGAGGTTGGGGCGGCAACAGCTAGAGGAAATACAAACAACAATTTTCCATGCCCTATTTCTGTCTCCAACCAGGAGTGCCATGCTGACACAAACACAGTGTTCATTTGTTCAGTGTTTGAAGCTGAAATGTACCATAAATATACCATAGCCCTTCAAAGGGTGGGTTCACAACAGTCTGCTTTAAGAGGCCACCAAAGTCATCTTTTGAGGAAAATAAAACAAAAATATATTTAGAAAACATTGCCCTTGGGGGAAATTGAAAACATTTTTCCTATTTATGATCTGGTCCTTTTCCACTTGACAAACACTGATTGCTGTTTCCCACCCACACCCCTGCCCTTTCTACTGTTTTAGGTGGAGCCCAGATTCACATGGTTTTCTGGTTAAATAACAAGTGTGTCTGTCCCAGTCTCAGCCTAGTAGAGCCCACACACCAGCGACTGGTGTAACATTGGAGGCCAGCACTGTTCTAGGAAGGATAGAACATGGAAGACCCTGGCTTGAGAACCCACTAGAGTAGACTACGGTCTTCTTTAGAAAGATCTCTTCATTGTAGCTGGAGGGAGAATGTTAGGAGATTGGACTGTAAAATATCATTAGGCCGATGTATAGGAAATCACCATTTTTGAGTCAAAAGTAGTTGTTATAGACAATTTCATTTAGTTCCATCTAAAAATAAACAGCTGCCATTTATTGATTATTGCCTGTGTGAGCTAAGCAATTTACATGAATGATGTCATTTGATCTTCACAATAACCCAACAGGGTGGTGTCTCAGGTTGGGTTCCACAGAGGCAGACGCTAAGATGAGGATTTGTGACTTATTGAAGAAGGGCTCCCAGGACAAACCAGTAAAGGAGAGGAGAGTAGGACAGGGACAGGGATACAGCCAAGCAAGGATGAGGTTTCAGGCAGAGTCCCAGCCTCAGCTGCACTGTGTGGGGAGTTCTGGAGCTTAAATTACACCCACTGCAAGGCAAATGAGCTGGGTTTTCATATACCCACAGGCTGCCCAGGGAGTCAACCCTCAGACACAACCAGCTCTCTGCATGCATAGGTGAAGGGGCAGGCCTCCGAGCAAGCTCACAGGTGCCGATCATTAGAAGCAAAGCACAGGGAAGCCAGGGGAGGGGAGGGCCGCTGAACAGGGACCTATGGTACTCTGGGCAGAGCATCTTCAGGGTCCACTGGAGGGAGGTATTAGTTTTATCCTATTTTACACTGAAGAAACTGAGACTCGGAAGGATGAAAGTAACCCACCTCTGGTCATAAAGAGATAGGGCCAGAACTCTATTATCCTGAACTGGCCATTCTGTAGAACTCCCACTGTCACTTCCAATGCCCTTAGTCACTGGGGTCAGCTGGTGGTGTCTGGTCCCTCTTTTCCTTAGAATGAAATTTTAGAGCCAGCTTGGTTCATGCAGATAGACTAGGGGTGCAGGGACCACCCAAGGGACCAACAGCTATTGCTCGTCTAAGTCCATTTGGCAGCAAGCTAGGACTTCTTGTCACATTAGCTCTCCCTTGTACCTCTCTAGGTTGGAAAAAAGGCCTTTCTTGGGCCCAGTTCGGTGGGATCTGCTGACATGTTCCTCCACTGTCCCCGGAGCCTGTTTTCCCTTTCAAGGTTCCCTTGGCAGAGGCGGGTGTGACCTGATACTCTCTACCTCAGTGGCCAGCAGCAAAGTGCTATCCAGTGCCACTGCCTGAGAGAGCTGCCACCACTTGGCTTGGATCAGGGAATGTACTCCCAGTATTCCAGGCCAAGGGACACACTGGCATCAGAACACCTGATTAGGGGATCACCTCCCACTGCTGCCTCTTTGCTCACTCCCCTGGCCAGGTGCAGTCAGTTACCTGCTCTTATCTGGCAACCCAAGGTGGCCTTCAGGGAGTTGAGTCGGCACTCTCCGGTCCAAAACATGACATAGTGGGAAAGATACAGACTTTGGAGTCTGCAATCCAAGTTCAAAACCCAGTTCAGCCACTTAATAATGGAAGTGGTTATTTAACTTCTTTGTACTTCAGTTTTCTCATCCGTAAACAGGGAATGACAATACCTGGCACAGAGTGGACTTTGAGGAATATTTGCTCCCAGCCTTTTTTTTTTCTAGATTTTGCCTTACCTGGCATTGTTTTCTGTCACATGACCTATCCTGACTTCAGGTCATTCTATGCATTTTAATACAGCCTAGCTGTCCTGGGATTGATTGGCTGCAGGGTGCAAGCTGGAAAATGTGTTCCTTATTGTCATAAAGAGTTTTGTCCCTTCTGGTTTACCATTTGAGTTCTGTCTAAAGACACTGGATGGGCCGGGCATGGTGGCTCACGCCTGTAATCCCAGCACTTTGGGAGGCTGAGGTGGGCAGATCACCTGAGGTCAGGAGTTCAATACCAGCCTGGCCAACATGGTGAAACCCAATCTCTACTAAAAATATAAAAATTAGCCAGGCATGGTGGTGTGTGCCTATAATCCCAGCTCCTCAGGAGGCTGAGGCAGGAGAATCACTTGAACTCGGGAGACGGAGGTTGCAATGAGCTGGGATCACACCAGTGTACTCCAGCCTGGATGAAATAATAAAATAAAATAAAATAAAATAAAATAAAGACACTAGATGACCTGCTTTTTTTTTTTTCTAATCCTGACTAAGGCCTTGTTCACTGAATCCCATTCTACTCCATATGCTAATGGTTCCTTGAATGAGGCTTGGCTTGCTAGGACATAGCACAGGAGAAAAAGCAAAATGCTACATGACACTGAGATGCTGAATCATGCCCCCATAACCTTCTCCTCCATACATAGAAATGCTCTCCTGGTTTTTTCGGCAGCCTACTTGAACATCAATCACATCGGGAAAAAAAAATAAAAAAAATAAACTGGCTTGCCACCAACGCCATTGTGCTAAGAATAATTTCTGTCCTAGCAGTACAGCTGGTCAGAAACATTTCCCAGTGTTCCCATCTGGAATTAGGTGTGAGGATTCAGGAAGTGCATTTGTCCATTTCAAGTCTGAACCTGGCATGGGCCTTGAAACTTGGAAGCCTGACAAAAACCTAAGAATCCTAGAGTAAATGTCCAAACACTGACCTGCCCAAAAATCTATCTCATATTGAAGTCTCCTTCTCTTTTGTGTGTTGCATGACTCTCATTTAGTCTATTGTTCCTAGTTTTCCAGGAGTCAGTATTAAATATCAACCGTATTTACTAAGGCAGAGCTTAGTTCAGCTCAGCGTCTCACAGTGGAGTCCTCAGCCAGCATAACATCTTGATGATCAGGATCATGGTTTACTGGTTCTGGTTTGAAATTGGTTCTTGATGATAGTGGCTGGCTGTCTGGCTTCAGAGAAAGGATTGTTTACATTTTAATCTTCCAAATAAATAGAATTATTCATCCACTCAAAAACTATTCCCAAGATGCTGACATTGCAGCAGGCATTGTGCTCTCTAAGCACCAAGGACTTTAAGCACAAAAAGACACCTTCTCCACCCTCTTGGAGATGATAGTTTGATTCAGTGGTTCCTAACCCTGGGCTGCACGGTAGAATCACCTAGGGAGCTTCTTATAAGTAGTGTTAAGATATGATTTTCCTCTTTAATCCTCACAATAATCCTACAATATAGATAGTGCTGTTGTACACATTTCAAAGACAAGAAAACTGAGGCATAGATTGGTTGAGTCGCTTGCCCGAGGTTACACAGCATTGTGGAACTAGAATAGGACCACAGAAGGTGTGCCTTCAGAGAGCTGTACTTACCTCAGAACTATCCTGGAATACTATGCAGCCATAAAAAAGAACAAAATCATGCCCTTTGCAGCAAATGGGTGGAGCTGGAGGTCATTATCCTAGCAAACTAACGTAAGAATGGAAAACCAAATATCGCATGTTCTCACTTATAAGAGGGAGCTAAGCACTGAATACACATGGTGGTAAAGATGGGAACAATAGACACTAGGGATTGCTAGACAGGAGAGGGAGGGAGGTGGGCATGGGCTGAAGAAACACCTGTTGGGTTCTATGCTTTTGGCCTGGATGATGGGATCGTTGAGACCCCAAGCCTCTGTGTCACACAATTTACCCATGTAACAAATCTGCACATATATCCTTTAATCTATAATAAAATTTGAAATTTAAAAAAAAAGGAACTGTCCTGCCTCTTCCTGAATAGGGCAATGCAGGAAGAGACAAGATAGTTCTTTTTTTTTTTTATTTCAGATTTTATTATAGAGGAAAGATTAAAGGGCATGGCATGTCTGGAGATGGCTGGTGCAGGTGGCAAAAGAAAAACTAGGGAGGGAGGCAAGGATGGGGCAGGAGGGGTCTTGGGGACCCCGACTGGGACACTGGGTTTTAGTTAGGTGATTGGAATAGTTACCACCTGTAACAACTAGACTGTGAAGGCATTTGCTGGGAGGGGCTTAGCATACATTTCTACACAACAAAAAGTAGGTCATTGTCTTCAGAAGAGAGCAGGGAAGGTGCAGATGCTTGTGATGGCAATTGGCTCTGACAGCAGCTCCGTGCTGAGTGGGGAGGAATGTGAGAAGGGCCTCCTGCTCCTTTTTCCCACTGAACTCTTGCTTTGACACGTTATCGTAACGCTGGGGTCAGTCCTAGAGCAGCTGGCTCTGTGCCTCCTTCCCTGGAAGCTGCCTTGCCTACCCAGCACTTGTGCCCACTCAGATCATCAAGCCCACCAGAATCTTCACTACACTGTTGCTCAGAACCCACTCATCACAGCACAGGGCTGAGTGCTGATGGGGCTGCCATGGAGGAGCTGCAAACCCACTTCCCTGCTCATTGTGTAATCCAGGAGAGAACGGGGTGTAATCGTTACACACATGAGCCAGGGTTTGAATTCCAACTCCATCATTTACCACGTGACTCTGAGCAAGCCCCTTGACCTCTAGGAAGCTCACTTTTCTCATCTGTAAAATGAGGTGGCCATCCCTACTTTGCAGCTTTGTTTTAAGCATTGGGGATATAATTCACAAGGGACCTAGTAAATGTGTCGGAGGCCCTCAGTAAATGGCAGCTGTTATTATGCCTGCTTAACTGCCATTACTGAATTCTAGATCCCCGTGGGCCCAGAGAGCCCTGGTGGAGAGCCATTGAATAAACCCCTTATTTTGCAGATGAGAAAGCTAAGCTTGAAAAGGGCAGTGGCTTTCCCAAGGTCACCCGGACTGTGAAGAGCACAACCAGGAGCAGGAGCTACCTGTGAGAGGCCTCCTGGCTCCAACCACAGAGCAGAGGTGAAAAGTTCAGCTCCAGCTTGGCCACGGCCACCCATAGCCTTTGCTCTGATTTCCTCTCTCCACAATGGCACAGACACAACCTTTCTGGAAGGGTTTGTGTGGACGAGTAAGCTGTCATTCCAAAGTGCTGAAAAGTACTCCACAGGTGCCAAATCATGACTCTCCATGGATTTCAACACCTCGGTTGGCATGCCTTCCCACCAGATGCAAGCTTCATGTGGACAGTGCTCACGTGTGTGTGTGCATGTGAGAGAGAGAGAGTGTGTGTGTATGTGTGTGTGTAGGCGGGTAAGAAAAAGGAGAAGGAGGGAGAAGACCACTTAGAGGATTCCAGACATTCTGAAGTCCTTTTCCATACCTGAACTCCAGGACATTATGACTTAGCCCCCTGCCTTATGAAGAAGACCACTGCTAGCTACTTTTGCAGTTGTTCCAGATCCTACTTCCAGCCACCTGCTAGAGAAAGGCGTGAAGAAGGGCAACTGGCCTAGGGCCCCCACTCTGTGGCCCACAGTGAATCAGTAACACTGTTGCTGAAATCTTCAGCAAACAAGAAGCACAGTCAGGAATTCTGTGCCAGGTTGCTGATGTCAAATGGAGTGTCTTAGCAAAGCATGGAGTTTAGAATCAGACAATTAAGAATTTGAATGCTGGTTCTTCCTAGCTCTGTGACCTTGGGCAAATTACCACTTGTGTACCTGTTTCTTCGTCTGTAAAAGAGGGGAAAATATTACTTCCAAGCATTGTTTGAAGCAATTAAATGGGATGAAGACCCTGGTGCATAACTGTTTAGTTCTTACCCCAAATGCTGCCACCAGCCTCAGTGGCTTCCTGTGCCTGGGTTACCATAGCACCTGAGCTGATCCTGGTATCCCCTTGATTTTACTTATGGATTTTGAAGAGTCAGAAAGATACCAGTATGAAGAGGTGGTCACTGAAAGCAAAGCCTGTTTTCCAAGAAAAGGCATCTCACTTGGAGATGATTGCCTTGGGCACCTCGTATATTTGGGGCAAAGGCAGCTATTGGTGATGAGGGGTAGGGATCTGCTTTTATCCCATATGTGATACTCCATAGTAGAAGAGTAGTGCAGCACCTTGAATAGACGACTTTGAGATAACAGACATTCATAGCCTTACCATGCATTTCCTTGTGAACCAAGTTAGTTAGGCAAGAGGTCAGATGTGGACAGATGTGATCCAGGACTGCAATGAGAAAAGTTGAGCCCCTCTGTGCCTCTCCTGGCCTGCAAAACTGCAAGTAAAGTGTCTACAGGGAGCTTCCATCACACACTCTCTAGCTTCCTTTTCCTGCCTGGTCCATTGTGGATGCCCCAGCTCTGCACATACAGATCCCTTACCCAAGATGCTGGAGGATCCCCGTGAGCCAGAGGGACAGGGATCCCCAATGGGCTCATAGCCTCAGATTCTGGGCCTTCACTTAGTGTCGTAGCAATGGAAATTTCCACACATTCAGATATATCCATGGCAAGGGATCATGCAGTGGCCCTAAGGTAGGTGGGAGAGGAACTGTGGCTTGAATACTTAATGTGTTCCAGGAAATATGGTAATCATAATAATAGTGGTGGCCATGTGTTAGTCACTGGTTTAGTGTTTTACCTATATTCATTTAATCATTCCAACAACCCTATGAGGGAGGGACTGTTATAAACTCTATTTTACAGATGAGAAACCTGAGGCACAGAGAGATTAAGTAACTTGTCCAAAGTAACACTGCCAGTAAGTGGCACAGTTCGGACCCATGCAGTCACACGTATGCAATCAAATTCCAAAATCATCCTTTTAACCAGTAAGCTCCACTGCCTCTCTTTAATCTTCCCCCTAAATCCAGGAGGTGGGCCTTATTACCAGCAGAGGTAAGAAACTGAGGCTCAGAGTGGTTAAGTGACTGGGCCAAGATCACACAACCAATTAAGCGCAAACATCTGTGAGACTCTACTTCACTAAATAGCTTCCAAAAGAGCAACCGAAACCCTGACATTATCTCTTACTCTACACAGAGAAGTGTGGGGTTGGGGACCCAGATTTTTACCCCTCAATGCCCAGACCTCCACCCGAAGCACACTGGCAGGCAGAAGCAAAAGCCCTATTCTTGCCTGGTCATCCTCTTTGCCTTTCAGATCCTGGCCCCAAACATCTAAAGGGGTCTAAGATGTCTTACCTGCTAACATAGCACTTGCCTCACTTAGTAATTATACATTCACTGATGTGGTTATGTAATTACAATTTCCCTGATTGGAAGCTCCACGAGAAAAGAATTTTGATTCTTACTAACATTTTATCACCAGTGACTGGCATGTTGCCCAGCATTTGGTAGCAACATAAAACGCTATTAGAATGAATGAATGAGTGTAGCAGCTATAAGGTTCTAGACTTACACCTGGCCCTCTGTCTCCATTATCTCAAATCCTCACAAGAACTTTGTGAAATAGTCGTCATCATTCCTATTTTACTGTTGAAGAAACTGAGGATCAGAGAAGTGAGGGGACCTTTGCCTCAATCAGTCAATAAGAAATGAAGCCAGGCACCACAGTGAAGTCTGCCAGATCCAGCCTCCGTGTTCCCCTTTTTCACCCCACTTAGAAAGGAACCTGATAATAAACTATCTAAGGGGTTGGGGGTTGGTGGGGGGTCTGCCAGAGTTTCTCCTGTAGGGAAACCAGAAGAAAATGGGGTCGTGGAGATCAAAGGCAAGGAAAGTGCTCAAATGGCCACGGTCATGGGAGGGGATTCTAGAAGACTGCCTTTGATAACTCAGCAGGAAATCAGCTTTGTCGGCCAGCCGCCTTTGAAAACTGGATTCTGCATACTCAAATCAGCCCTTTGTGGTACCCCTTGGGAAGGATAAGACCCTAACAAGCAAATGATTCTGAATGGGAGTTAATTCAACATTCTGATGTTTTTTGAAAAGATGGACTTTGTGGAAATGAAGCCAGGATGATGATGATGCTTAGTAGTTTTCACTGCAACCTCAGGGAGACTAACTTTGTTTGGTTCGTATTTGAGGCACTTCCAGACTGCCTTGAAAAGGAAATTCTGATAAATGTGTGTGAATGTCTAAAATTCTTGTGCAATGTGGAGCTTCAAGAAAGTTGCCAGGCAAATTTTTGGAAAACAATTTAATAGTGTCTTGCCCCACTGTTTATAAAACAATATCTTTCTAAGCCAAAAAATAAAAGACAATTCCTGTGTATTTTGTTTTTTTCCACCCGTGAAGCTCTGAGGTTTTATTTGCCTTGGATTTGGAGAGGGAACGGAAATCAATGCAGCTGTTTATGGTCTCAAATCTTCACACAACTTCAAATGCTCTCAGGGCCCAAAAGATCCTCATGGGTGTCTCTGTTTTGTTGACAGCTTTTAGACCATCCTTGAGCTCAGCCAAGGGGTAGCATTAACTAGAATTCCCTTTTACATGTGCCCTGCAGGGTTCATTTCTGGCATCCCACTTTCCTCTCCATCTTCTCTGTTTCTGCAGGAAGAAGATTGTCTTGAGGCCACCAACATCATTAGTTATAGAGGCAAGTTGATAGATCAGTCAGAAAAGAATTGATTTCCTAGTCCTTGTGCTCAGGGGTGGTCTTGGCACTTCTGTAGACAATGATTCTGTGGGATCCGCTTCCCTGGAAGGAAGGGAGAATAGACGGAATTTCTGGGGTAATGGTTTTTAGTTGTGTCAGAAGAGATCCCACTTGTCAGTGACTTTGTTATACAGATAACCTCCCTTTAACTAGAACTGGATTTTCACTTTTTGGTTGCTAACATAGGTTTTGTTTATTAGTTTGGGAGAAGGAGCTCAATTCTCCTGCCTGAAAAAGGAGAGGGCAGAGATGGATGTAAGCTAGTTTTCTGCATTTCCACATCACCAACATTTGCACAGGGCTTGGTTCACAGCAGGGCTTAATAAGTGTCCTCTGAGGCCAAGCACACACACCTGTAATCACAGTACTTTGGGAGGCCAAGGCGGGCAGATTGCTTGAGCCCAGGAGTTAGAGACCAGCCCGGGCAACATGATGGAACCCTGTCTCTATGAAAAATACAAAAATTAGCTGGCACAGTGGTGCATGCCTATAGTCCCAACTACATGGGAGGCTGAGGCAGGAGAATTGCTTGAGTCCGGAAGGAGGAGTTTGCAGTGAGCTGAGATGGTGCCATTGCACTTCAGCCTGAGTGACAGAGCAGGACCCTGTCTCAAAATAATAATAATAATAATAATAATAGTAATAATAATAATAATAATAAGTCCCTTGAATAAATAAAAGGTTAAAACAAATGAGAATATTTATTTGAAAAAAAAGGAAATCCCATGGAAAAGTAAGTTAAAGCCACCCATAATTCCAACTTTTAAAAATAATGGTATAAAATAAGAAATTAATAGTCCCTAATTTACCCCTCAGAAAGAACTGCTGTTAACAATTCGACACGATTCCTTCCTTCTTTTTCCTTCTCTTTATAAACATGTTTATTTATACGTATGTACACACACATAAATATATTAGCAAAATAATTTTAACAGTAGGCTAATATATATAAATAATAAAGAAAATAATATTTTTTTAAATTACAAAATGCATACCAAAGCTCTAATTTTTGTTAAATTATCCACTATTGAGGTTTTTTTAGGCCAACACATCCTTTTATTAGCACAGACCTTCATGAGTTAACTCTGCTCCAAATCCTCCTCTCAGAGTCCTAAACCCTGGGCACTGGGCCTCTTCCTGGAGGTCAGACATTGACCAGCAGCACCTCTTCCATCTGAGGCTCACCAGGCTCCATGCCTGGGGCAGAGTCAGAGGGTAGGCATGAAGGCTTCCAGGATGACAGCAGTAACCAAAAGAGGAAATGTGTTGAGAGAGCCGTGGGGAGGTGGGGAGCATCGCAGCTCAGTGCCTGGTGGCCCTGCAGGAGCAACCGGTAGAGTAACGAGTAAGGGTCAGGCTGCCTGATGCTACCCGCACCGCTGGAGCTGAGGCGGCATTGGGGGGATTACCTGGCTGTGTTTGGGCTGCATGGGCAGCTGGACTGGCTGAGTGTTTCTGTCAAAAAGGAAATCTCACTCAGAAAGTAATAGAAGGCCTGGATTTTTCCAGATTGGCTGTTAACATAGATTGAAATTATCCAGATTATTGCCTCAGTAATCCCCCACTGTAAAGTGTTGTGAGAGCAAAGCCTTTGCAGCGCTTCATAAAGCCATGTTTTTCAATTCGTCTGCACCCAGAGAGCTTTCTCAACATTCTACTGCCTGTGCCCACTCCCAGAATCTGATTTCATTGGTCCAGGGTGGGACCAGGACAGCCTTAGTTTGTGGATTTCCCAGGTGACTCTAATGTAAAGCCAAGGATGCAAAGCAAAGGGGAGGACCACTAATTCAGAGTAACCTCATTGCTTTTTTCAAATGCAGACTCACAGCTTCAGAATCCTAGGTCTGGTTTTTTTTGGGGGGGTGGAAGGGGGTAGGTATCTTTTCCTTTAACAAGCAGCCTGGGTGATTTTTAGGCTTCTTGTTTAAGGAGTACTGGTCGAAGTTGTCTTTGCCTCCAGATGAACATAGCAGGAAGCCCTGTCTCAGAGCACGAACATCACGCAAAGACCACCCCCTGTAACTGGTGATCTTTCCTTGCCTTATTATTAAGACCATTGTCATTAGCAAACTGGGTGACTACCAAACCTTTCCACTCATTTCCTCAACTTAAAATGGACTCATTCTGCCACCACTCAGGAGTGCTGTGGGGATTCATTTAAATGCCATATATAAGGCAGATCTTAACCGTATCAGAAACAGGAAGTTACATTATCATTTCCATGCTTATCATTATGATGGCTATTCCTTTGATAGTATACTGTCTACTGTCCAGAGTCCAGGCACTGGAGTCAAGTCCTGCTCTTCTACTTAATTGGCAGTAGGATCTTAAGTAAGATACTCAAACCTCTCTGGGCCTCATTTTTCTCTTTTGTAAAATAAAAATGGGAATAACTATCTACCTCATGAAATTGTTGTGAGCATGAGAAATCATGTATGTAAAATGCTTACCTTAGTCTCTGGCACATAAGAAGAATAACTTCATAAATTACAGTTCTTATCAGCATCATCATTATTATTGGGTCAACTATGGTTGCCTAGTCATATGTGTGGGAAGAAGAATAGAGGCCGGGCGCGGTGGCTCACGCCTGTAATCCCAGCACTTGGGGAGGCCGAGGCGGGTGGATCACGAGGTCAGGAGATCAAGACCATCCTGGCTAACAGGATGAAACCCCATCTCTACTAAAAATACAAAAATTAGCCGGGCGTCGTGGCGGGCGCCTGTAGTCCCAGCTACTCGGGAGGCTGAGGCAGGAGAATGGCGTGAACCCGGGAGGCGGAGCTTGCTGTGAGCAGAGATCATGCCACTGCACTCCAGCCTGGGCGACAGAGTGAGACTCCGTCTCAAAAAAAAAAAAAAAAAAGAAAAGAAATAATTTTTAAATATCAATTTGAAACTGAATTAACTAGACCTCAATTCGTAGAAATAAATAAATAAATAAATAAATAAATAAATAAGTCTTCTGTAATAGTGAAAAAGTGGGTGGAGAATTAAAAATAACAAGCAGACAAACAAACAAAACAAACCTTGCATGTCAGATCCAGCCTAGAATCTGAACATACTCAGCTCAGTGTCACCTTTACTTTTTGCAGGTAAAGCCCTAGGTGGTGCTCACTCCAAAATACCAGCTAGAGCCAACTGTTTGGACTGGAGAATCCAGACGTTTTGATTTCCCTCTCCCTATTTGACCTCTTTGCCCACACATATAATTGATACTTATCTTTTATTTACATTTTTCCTGGACCCAGCTCCTTGTTAGAAGACATTCTTAATTAAATTTGCCTGGTCATTCTATCTCACATCAAACAGGAAATCCAATTCCCTGTCTGTCCAGGATTCTGCAAATCACTGAATGAGGAGCAAGGGTGATGGGGAAGAGGCACAATTTCATTCTCGTGGCCATCCCTGATTACATTTCTGCTCCCATTAATCTTAGGATCTCACTCTTGTCTATCTCTTTTCTCTGTTCTCTTCCTTCTGTGCCAAAACAACCCCAAATTCAAAACTTATCTCTTTAAAAAAAAAATAGCAATGTTCCCCCACCTAAAGAAAAATCAAGTCACTCCAAGTATTTGGTAGCATAGCAGGCTTTGTTGCTATTTTGGGAAAATAAACGGGTTTTACTTTGGCACTTTTGTCTGTGTTTTTTGTCCTCCTCAGTAGGCTCTTCACACTGCTCTGGCTACTCCATTTTTTGGGAGCCCTTCATATTGAACCGCTCCCAGGAAATGGAATTTTTCTCACTTATTATAGATGACAATATAGCTTGACCCCTGGACTCTAGGCTGACCTTCACATATCCAAATGCTCACTAATGTATCTCTAAGACCATATACTCAGAGGACCTCTTGAGCAGCTTAGAACTGGCAGACTTCGAAATCTCAGACTTGGCACTAATAGATATTAGTGCCTGAATATGGAAGGAAGTGATATGTGATTTATATTTCCACTGATATGATTTATTTACACAGCCTTCTCCCACCTACAGAAAGTGAAAGTAGTCACAGTCTAAGTTTTAAATAAGAATCCTTTTCTTCTATTACATTATATTTAGCCATTGTTTTATTGAATACAGGCTTTCCTCTAATCCTTTGTGGGATGAGGCAAGATGTAAACAAAGGAATGTTTCCTAGACTTAACTTATAGAAGTAGGAGAGTGGAACATACCTCTTAGAGTTTCAACACCAAGGGTAAAAGCAAAAAAATTCTCTCTATTACTTTAGGTTTTTTGTTACAAAATTAAATTAATCAACATACCTGATAACCCCACAAATAGTTGACCCTCCTTTGTGCCTGATTTATCATTGTATATTTTGTGCTGCCTCTATTAGAGTATTGGTTATATTGTTTGTCATTCATTTATTCCCCTGTTTGGTTTCCCTACTAGATTGTGAGTTGTTTCTGTTTTTCAGTTTCGAGAAAGGACAATCCTCAGGTGAGAAACAGCAGCTACATCCTTCTTTGAAACTTGAGAGCCGAGAGCAATAACTTATTCTTATCTGCTCTCCATCATAATGCCCAAAGCCAGGCACATAGATGGCTTGCAACAATTTATTCCTTGTATTAATTATTGAGCCACTGATTAATCAATGGTTTGCTACCTGCAGTCATGCATTACTTAATAATAGGGATATGTTCTGAGAAATGAGTCTTTAGTCTTTTTTGTTGTTGTACAGACATCATAGAGTACATTTTCACAAACCTAGATGGGATGGCCTACTACACACTTAGGCTATATTCTATAGCCTATTGCTGCTGGGCTACAAGCCTGTATAGCATGTTGATGTACTGATTACCATAGGTAATTACAACACAATGGTATTTGTGTATCTAAACGTAGAAAAGGTACAGTAAAAATATAGTATAAAAGATTTTTTTAAATGGTATACTTGGATAGGGCATTTACCATGAATGGAACTTGTAGGACTGGAAGTTGCTCTGGGTGAGTCAGTGAGTGAGTGGTGAGAGAATGTAAAGGCCTAGGACATTGCTGTACACTATTGCAGAGTTTATTAACACTGTACACTTAGGCTACACTAAATTTATTAAAAATATTTTTCTTTCTTCAATAATAAGTTAACCTTAGTTAACTGTAACTTTTTTACTTTATAAACTTTTAAATTTTTTGACTTTTTGACTCTTGAAATAACACTTAGCTTAAAACGCAAACACATTGTACAGCTATACAAAAATATTTTCTTTATATCTTTATAAGCTTTTTTCTATTAGTTATTTTTTTAACTTTTTCAACTTCTTAAAATTAAAAATGAAGACACAAACAGACACATTAGCCTAGGCCTAAACAGGGCCAATATCACTGTTTTCCACCTCCACATATTGTCCCTCTGGAAGGTCTTCAGGGGCAAAAACACATATGGAGCTGTCATCTCCTATGCCAACAATGCCTTCTGGAATACCTCCTGAAGGACCTGCCTGAGACTGTTTTACAGTTAATGTTTTTAAGTAGAAAGAGTACAGTCTAATATAACAATGAATAGTACAGTAAATACATGAACCCATAACATAGTAATTTGTTATCAAGTATTTATCATCAACTATATAAAGTATTAGGCACTGTACATGGTTGTGTGCGCTATACTTTTATAAAACTTGCAGCACAGTATCACCACAAACATGAGTACTGTGTTGCACTACAATGTTATGACTGCCACTATGTTACTAGGCAATAGTAATTTTTCAGCTTCCTTATAATCTTACAGGACCGCCATCATTATATGCAGTCAGTCATTGACCAAAACATCATTATGCAGTGCGTGACTATATTTATTTGACATTTAGTCTGGGTCATTGACTCAAATGCCTATAAACACACATACACACATACATACCCCTCACACTCTAGCTTCTGCAGGTAGGGGAACCCTCAGCCTTTGTTCTCAGAAAAAAAGCCCCAGAGGTTACCATTGGGCATACTGATTTGCACACAGACCCATCTGGAAGAAAGTTTGAGATTGGAAGTGAGTCACTGATAGGGTGAGTAGATGAGCAGACTTTCCAAAGAGATGTCTTAAGGTTCTTACCTCACTTCTCTGCAGTATGAGATGGGTGGCCTCTCAACTCAGCCACTACTAAAAGGTGAGCCTTTGTGCCATCTCGGAGATGTCTCATAAGTTGCCAACCCATTTGTAGAAAATTAAGGAAAAGTGCATTTTTTTTACTCCCAAATAAACTCATAAATATTTTGCTTTTTATATTATTCAAGAAACTTTGCAACATTTCCCCTCATCATGTATAATCTAGGGTCTCCAAAAGGCTGTAGACTTTTCCCCCCAAGATCCCTGCATTTTTTTGTGACAGGCTGGGCCTTAGATGTTCCAGGCTCTTCACCGGACTGTCTTCTTGGGAGGTCAGGCCAACAGGGGTCTTTAACTAAGATGAAGGATGGGTTGATGGAACTGGTCACTCACAGGTCAGGTCTGAAGCCCAATTCACACTCAACTAATCACAAGTGGCTGACGTTGAGGAGCAGAGAGGGGTGCAGCTGGCACTTCCTGATCTGAGGATGGCTCTTAGAACCAGGGAACTATCCAGTCTCTTAGGATGATTCAGTGGACCTGAGAGCTTTGATAATACGTTTCAATTTGGCCTATCACTGACATTTGGGTGATTCTGCAAGTTCTGAGCCAGAAGAAAAATAAAGAATGGTTGTCAAAGTTGGAATTTAAAATGGTGGGCCATTTCAACTTGGCATACTTGTCCATAATGCATATAGTAAAAAAAAAAAAAAAAGAAAAAAAGAAAAAAGTTATTTTAATACCTGGATAGTGTATTCTTTCCAGAGCAGCTTGCCATTCTCCAAACCAGTGACTTGCGTTAGCCTCCAATGCTTGCAAAACATTGATTTAAAATGACGTTTTTCATGTTAACACAGTATCAGTGTGGAAGGAGTAAACTTATAGGCCGTTTTTATAATTTGAGATTATCTTATTTAAGTAAGAAACTTATAATTATCTCATTTATCCTAGGAGAAAAAATAGCTTCCCCCCGCCCCACCCTTGTCTGGTTATTATGATAAATTATTTTGCTTTAAATAAGAAAAATGAACGTTTATAGAAAATATCTAAAAGGAGATAGGGCCAGGCACGGTGGCTCACGCCTGTAATCCCAGCACTTTGGGAGGCCAAGGCGGGCGAATCACGAGGTCAGGAGGTCGAGACCATCCTGGCTAACATGGTGGAACCCCGTCTCTACTAAAAATACAAAAAATTAGCTGGGCATGGTGGCGGGTGCCTGTAGTCCCAGCTACTCAGGAGGCTGAGGCAGGAGAATGGGGTGTACCCAGGAGGCGGAGCTTCCTGGGTAGTGAGCCAATATCGTGCCACTGCACTCCAGCCTGGGCAGCAGAGTGAGACTCCGTCTCAAAAAAAAAAAAAAAAAAAAAAAGATATAAAAGGAGATGAATCTTTGGGAGGCCAAGGCAGGTGGATCACTTGAGGTCTGGAGTTCCAGACCAGCCTGACCAATATGACGAAACCCCGTCTCTACTAAAAATACAAAAATTAGCCGGGTGTGGTGGCATGCGCCTGTAATCCCAGCTGCAGTGAGCCAAGATCGCGCCATTGCACTCCAGCTTCCAGCCTGGGAAATTAGAGCAAAACTCGGTCACAAAAAAAAAGGAGATAAATAATGCTCCAGGAAAAAGCAAATAGAATTACTAAAGGGAAGAAGAGGCAGGAAAAGAAAGAAATTTGGAAACAGACTAAAAGATTCACTTGTCCTCAAGTGAAAGATCTTTCATCAAGAAAAATGAAGAATTATCAGAATTTAGTTATATAAAACACACAGGGTTAAGGGAAATGCTCATGTTTACCAATCCTAGAACATTAGAAATACTTTAAAAGAAATACTGTTGTTCATATTTATGCATATTTGAGGGTCTCAGAACCCCGAAATGACCTTGGCAGTAAATACAATTTAAACAGGAAACCAAAGATGGCAAATACATAATATGTATTTCACTATTTCCATTTATATACCCATAGCAGACATTATCAAGTGATCAGGCGGCTATTTCCAACTAGATGGATGCACTCTGAGATCCTTTTCAGTAGATGGCCCTTAAGATGAAATCCTCCTGCTGTCTGTGCTACTCAAAGCGTGATCTTTAGAACACCAGCATGTGCATGACATGAGAACTTACTCGGAAAGCAGAATCTCAGCCCCATTCTAGACCAACTGAATCTGAATCTGTATTTTAGCAAGATCCCCAGTGATTCTTAGGCATATTAAGGTTTAAGAAGTTCTGGAGATGCACTGAATGCATGATATATTCATTAGGGCAGAATATCTCAAGTTTTAGTATGCATCATAATCACTAGGTTGAACACTGTTGAAACACAGATTGCTGGGCCCCATCCCCAGGGCTTTTGATTCAATAGGTCTGGGTGGAGCTTTCAAACAAGTTTCCAGGTAATGCTTCTGCAGCTCCAGGGACCACACTTTGAGAACCACTGCATTAGGGCCATGGGAATACTTTGGAATATCTCCCTGATCTTTAGAAGCTGAAGATTGTGATATCTTTCCACAAATCTTGGTACACTGGTCAGAACTAGAATTCAGGGCAGGCAAAAGAGTCCCAAGGTTTATAGCATAATATTTCGTATGTCCTTATGTTCCTAAATCTAAAAGACAATCTCTCCTTCTTCTAGCATCATTCAATCATTCATTCAGTATAAATGTTGGGTAGCTATTCTGTCCACAGCTTTATGCTCCATACTGAGAAGATCTAAAGAAAGTTAAAACACAGCTCCTAATTCCAAGATGTTTATTCTCTAAGATGAAAATGAATGCATGAAACAATAAATAACAGGTTAAATAATGGGAGACAATAGTACGGGAGGTGGCATCAGATGGCAAAGGGCAAAGTGTTAAGTAAGTAGCATGAATGATGTGTGACTTGATTTCAGAGAGAGGGAGGATAACTGAAACAGACATAGACAGGGCCGTGCATTTCAGCCTAACTAGAGTAGAAAGTTGCTACCTAGAATGGCTAAGAAGGTGCCTTCTCATTTCTTAATGCTTCAGAGGTTAAGACTTTGATGTTTCCTCTGGTCTGAGATCTTTGTCACTTTGGGCCACTATAACAAAAATACCATAAACAGGATGGCTTAAACAACAAACATTTATTTCTTACAGTACTAGAGGCTGGAAGTCTGAGACTAGGATGCCAACACGGTATCAGATTCTTGGTAAGGGCCCTCTTCCTGGTCCACAGAAGACTGCCTTCTGTGTCCTCACAAGGCAGTAAGAAAGCATCTCTCTCCTGTCTCTTCTAATAAGAGTGCTAATCCTATCATGAGGGCTCCACTGTCTTGACCTTATTACCTCCTAAAGTTCCCCACCTCCTAATACCATCACACTGGGGATTACGGGTTTAACATGAATTCCAGGGGGACAGAGTTAATAGCATCTGAGTTATTCTAAATCAATGCTATCAGCACTGAAGATCAGGCTATAGGGTGGGCACAAAGTGTCCTGGAAACAAAGAAGAAAGACAAATAGTTTATAAACAGAGATGACTTTGGGGGAAAGCAGCAGTAATTTAACAACAGGGAAAATAAAGCCCAGCTTTTATTGGTCTCTTACATTGCCAGGTACTTGTGCTAAATGACTGCCATGCACCAACCATCTCATTTAATCCAAACAACAGCTCATTAGGTAAATGTCGTCAAGCCTCCACCTTACTACATGTGAAAACAGAAGCTTTATAAGCATGCATGTAAGCTTAAATAACTTGCCCACTTCTAATCCAAGCAGTTCTACAGGGTGGGAGGCTCCTCATTCATAAATCGCGAAGGCTGGCCTGCCTGATCATCTCTCAGTTTCCTTCTTATTCTCATCCACTTTCAGTCAGCGAGGAAACCACAGAGCAACCCAAACAGCGAATTCGAGTCGAGGAACCTGTTGGGGCCAGTGCGTCCCAGGCGCGGACAGGGAGGGGCTCCATGAAACGCAGCAAGGTTTGGCCAGAGCCTGCCGGGGTCATGGAGCCTCTCCCGGCTTCTTCAGGCCACTCTAATTACAGAGTCTGTGGTAGGTTGCGTGGAGGAGCTGTCTCGGGGCGGGAAGCTTCCCTGCGTATTGTATTTGCCTATAAATACTTCAAATAGTTAAGTGAAATGTGCAGCCTTTGAAAACTGGAGAGGAAGCCGTTGGGAGGCCCCCCGCCCAGCCGGCCTGGAAGAGCAGGCAGAGAAATGGCTGGCGCGCTCTTAAAGCGGGAGACGAGCTTCGGCCCTGCCCAAGCCAGATGGGGGCAGCGAGGCTGCGGGCGTGACTCCGGAAGACTCAAACCGTTAAGGTGACCGGAGCAATTTGAAAAAGGAAACAAACTTCCCTCGAGCCGTGCCCGCGTGGCTCTGGGGCGGACGGTTGCGTTCGAAAGGGCATTTTTCAAAAGAAGGGTTTCAGGAACGCAGGGGTGTGGGCCCCCCGGGAGGCGCGCGGCCGGGGCAGTGCCGCAAAGCGGCCACCAGCCCGCTTTGTACTCGCGGCCAAGCGCGGCCCCAGAGTTTCGGCGGCGGCCAGAGTTTAGGCCACACCCTCTTTGCAGTGAGACCCGCGGCCGCTGATTGGCGCACCGTGGACCAATGGGCGCGCCGGGGCGGCCCCGGCTGTCAGCGCGCGCCGCAGCAGCGCCGGCAGCAGCCTGTCCTCCCCTGCGCTGAGCCCCGCAGCCAGCGCAGCCTTCCCGGGAAGCGCGGCGGCCGCTCCCGAGCGCAGCCCTGCCCGGCCCGCCAGCCGCGCGTCCCGGCGCCCGCGCCCCACGGCCACAGCCTTGCCTCTATCTAGCTCACGGAGCATGTGCAGACCCGCAGGCGCTAAGGTGCTCTCAGTCCGGGGGCCTTCTGGGCAGCGGTGACTGTCACCCCAAGAGAGACCTTTCGGGGGCTCTTGCCGCACCTCTGCTGCGTCGCGGGTGACACTGCGGTGCTCGCGAGCAGGGTGGCAGCTGCCTCTCGGTGGAGACGTCTTGGGACCCTTGCGCCCTTCTTCTCTCCTTCCTTCGCTGCTGTCTCCTTTCCTTCCTTGGCTGCTCGCTCTTTCTCTCGCCGGCTCAGACCCGTAGCCTCCGGAACGGGACTCGTGGGTCGCCGCCGCCTCTGTCTCTTCCAAAGGGGCCTCCTCACTTCGGAGATGCAGTGACAAGTTAATATGGGCGTCCAAGCCTCTGTTTCCCAGGAGGAAATTTGCAAGAGGCGGCAGCCCCTGAGCGCCCAGAGCTCTTGAAAGGCCACCCAGGAGAGGTGTGAGACCCGGCGGCAGCATCCGTCCAGGTGGGACCCGCTGAGCGCCGTGGCCAGTCCCCCATTCCCATCCCGGCACCCCAAAGGCGCGCTCGCCCGATTGCTTCGAGTTCCCCGACCTGGGGATTTTTTTTTTAGCCGCTGGTGGTGGGCGCCTCGTGGGCTAAGGCCCGGCGCCTGCTCTGCTACCCGCGCTGCCTTTAGCGGTCGCCCCCGCCGCCGCTGCCAGGGACGTGCTGGGAAAGCCCAAGCCCCGGGAGAAGATGCCGGCCATCCTGGTCGCCTCCAAAATGAAGTCGGGACTGCCCAAACCCGTGCACAGCGCCGCGCCCATCCTGCACGTGCCCCCGGCCCGGGCGGGCCCCCAGCCCTGCTACCTGAAGTTGGGAAGCAAGGTGGAGGTGAGCAAGACCACCTATCCTAGCCAGATCCCCCTGAAATCGCAGGTGCTGCAGGGGCTGCAGGAGCCAGCGGGGGAGGGGCTCCCGCTGCGGAAGAGCGGCTCGGTGGAAAACGGGTTCGATACCCAGGTGAGAGATGCCGTTTGCCGGGGTACTGTTCTGGAAGGATGGATGAATAGTTCTTTCGGGATGGTGTGGGAGAAAGGGCTGGATGGGAGAAGGGTCTACCATGTGGCCAGGGAAGGGAACCATTCCCCTTAGGCCGGCAGGTTGGGGGATGCGCGAGGAGAGTGGGCCGGCCGGTGGGTGTGGCCCGGGTGCCGGAGGTTTGCCTTAAGAGCTCTTCGAGACCTGGGATGGCGGGCACGTCTGCAGCATCTTCCTGGGGAGGAGGAAAGGTCGGGATGTTCTCAAAAAACGTGTGCATCGCTGGAAATGTGAGGTCCTGCATGTTGAGGTCTTGGCCCCAAGAAGCCAGTATCCGCAGCAGCAGCTGTGTGTCTGTCTGGCGGTTCCGCAGAGATTCTGTTCCGGACAAGGAATGATCTAAGGCCCCATTGGGTTCGACGCCCCCTAGCCTGGCTGTAAGATCCAGGAAGAAAAGGGGATCGCGGGTGGCAGTGAACCTGCTCTTCCCTTGGCTTGAAGATGACCTGTCCCTGCCCCATCCTGCGGGGTGACGGGATTCCGGGCAAGGTGCTGGGACTGCGGTACTAGTGCACCAGCTGAGGCCGGCAGCTGGAGACTCCTAGCGCCTTGGCTGGCTGTTGCGGTGGGGGTGGGGGTGGAGGTGGCTGCCTCAGAATGGCGGCCGAAGCTAAGCCCCTCCTTCCTGGGTGGTAGATCCTGGTGTTGGTAGCCCGAGTGACGGGGCGTGGGGATGGGAGATGGCTTGAAGAGAATTGGTGACTCCTACCTTTCCAGACAGAGCCTGCATCCAGACAAGCCCTGGCCGTGCAATCTCTTTTACAGAAATTAGCAAGGGCCAATCAGGTTCTCTTGGTCCTCCCCGCTCCATTTCCCCCTTCTTCTGGTAGGAGGGGGCTATATTTTCTTGGCAGTCAGTCAGCAGGGACTTTTGGGGACAGGCCGACCTGACGGATGTGACTGTCCGGTTAGGAGAGGCGGGAAGCCAGAGGGGAGGTGGTTTGGGGCTGGTGTCAGGAAAATGGCAACAGACCAGCTGACCTTTTTGGCACATACTTCCCTGCTGACACCATCTCCACCTTCTCCTGGAGCTTTCTCTGATCAGAGGCTAGAGCTCAACACGTTCCTAGGCTTTCTGATGCGGGAACTGGAGCTGAAGCTAATTGTAAGCAGACTTTTGGAACTCTGGGCTGGAGAAGGCCCTCAAAGCAGATTAAGCTCCCACACCAGGCTGATAAGCATGCCCCTTGCTGCTGCACTTGCTAAACATTTTTGGAAGCTGACAGGTTTGAGTGATGGTGTGTGGGAGGAAGGCAAGATTTCCTCCAGTGCTCCGGGGGCCTGCCTCTGTGAGGGTTTTGTGCTCTGCTCTTCTTCTGTTGTTACGTACAGGATTTGTCCAGTGGGCTCTGCCATGGGGGTGAGCACCAGGGTACACTTCTGCATGGGGTTTCCCTTCATCCATGGACTTGGGGTTTATGAGGTGTAGTGGGCAGTCGGTGGGAGGTCAGTACAGTGACTCGGGACTGGAGGTGACACATACCCTCGAGCCTGATGAGGAGCACCCGAGGAATGAGAGGGAAAGTCCATGCTGGGATTGTTCATATCCAGGCAGCTGTTCTGCCTTTGCCCGTTTGACCCTTCATTTAACAAACATTGTCAGAGGACTGGCAGTGCATAGGCTCTGGAAAGGTGATTCATCACCCTGTCCGTGAAAAAAAATGTTCTTCAGCTTCTCTCTGAGGGGCTGGAACAGTCCACTTCCCTCAAGACTTTGCTTCCCTCTTTTGCCCTTGGTCCATAATCCCCCCATTTCACCTCTCTCGCCCTCAATGGGCCCTTGTGTACTGATGGTGAACATAGTTTGGATGGACTGCTAAGGAAATTGGCCACTTCCAGTGGACTACCCTGATTTTTACCTGCCTGCCCTCGTTTGCCAGTGCCCAGGGGTTCTGGGGGCTCTTCCCTGTGGCAGATCCCTGTCTGCACAGCTGACATCAAAGTGATTTTGGCCAATGGGATTTTACCTTCTTTGCCAGGGCTTCTCCCACAGTCTGCCTGATAGGGTACCCATTCCCCCTCCAAAACAGTCTCTTGGTTATGGCATGAGGACTGTGTCTGACTGGCCATCTGGTAGTTTCCAGGTCCCAAATTTGGTATATATTATTAGAAGATACTCAGGAAACAATGAATTAAATGGCAAATGCTCTCTTGGGGCCCCTGACTCCCCTTTTATTCAGGGGATTTTTGGCAGGAGATTGGGTTGTGTAGTGGCTGATAACATAGCTTTTAAAGTCAGATGGGTATCGCTGGTGTCTTGCGTCTGTCATATACTAGCTAGGTGACCACCTTGATTAATTTCTTTGGGCTTTAGTGTTCTCATCTATTAAAAAATGAGCATGAACAACCATTAGAGTTGTGAGCATTAAGAAAAATAACGTAAAGTGTTCAGTGCAGTGTCTGGCAAATAAGGAACACTTAATAAAAGTAGCTATTTATATTGCTAACCTAAGAGATGGGGCATGCTGAATCAACATTAATAGCCCGTAAATGAGAAAAGATATGGCTTATTCTCTCAAGCCCCTGGAAAGGTATCAATCTGTTCCAAGGATCTGTAGAACATCTATCACCTTTCTAGTACAGTACCAGGCAGAACGGGAAGATGAGGGAAGGGCATGTCCACTTTCTGAGTGCCTGATGGGTGAGGCTCTTTACATATAATCTCATTTCATCTTTACAGAAACACTTAAATCAGGTCTGATACATCCATTTTCTATGACAGTAACAACATGGTAACAATAATAACAATGGTAATAATGGCCAAATCCTTATATATCACTTTCTATGTGCCAGGAATTGTTCTAAGGACTTTACATTAAAAACTAATTTTATTCTTATTACAATCAAATGAGATAAATGTTATTATCCCCATTTTACACATATGAAAACTGAGGCAAAGACCAGTTTGGTAACTTTGTGAGTAGCAAAGGTAGAATTAGAACTCGGGCAGTCTGGCACTAGATCCCATGTCTTTAACCATGATATTGTACAGGGAGAAACACAGAGACTGTCTTAGAACTTGCAGGCCCTGATTTATAAGACCATTGCTGTAACCATTGAGCTAGATGAGGCTTAGCAAGGTACAGCCACTTGCTCTCGGTCATCCAGGGTGGCAGGGCAGGGAGTCCAGCAAGGTTGGTCTGGCTTTGAGGCCTGCGGTCTTCCCACTCTTCATTGCTTTCTTTTTCCATCCTGCTCTGGCAGATCTACGAGGCAAATAGGACATGGCCTGGGCCTTGGGGATTTTATAATCTAGTTGGGAGGCATAACTGATATACACAGGGCAACAGGGCACAACACAGGGAGGCCTCAGAGGCATGCTTGGGGCTGGGTATCCAAGGTGCTCAAAGGAAAGGCCAAGATGGCTGGAGAAGTCCAGAGAGCCTCTGGAGGAGACAGAAGATGAGCTGAATTTTGGAGATGGGAAGGACAGACTGGTGGGGAGGAGAGGAAGTCAGAATGAATGTGATAGTGGAGAATGAAGAGCAAGGTCATGCAGTGGTACCGAGCAGTTGATGTTGCTTCATGCAACAAGTCATTGCTCCAGATCTGACATCTTCCCTTTCAAAAGGTGATGAAGAGAAAGAACAAAGGCTTTGCAGCTGAAGGATTGGATTTGCATGTTGGCTTCCTGGTGGATCATCATTCTGAATGTGCAGGGTAGTTGTGAGAAGATCCGGAGAGGGTGTCCGTTAAGGACCTGATTCAGATTCATAACAGATCATTGGGAAATGATGGTGATTATTATTTTTAGCTTGGGGTTCAGAATATTCAACGTGGTAGTTACAGGGGAAAGGAGGCTATTCTGACACCTTGTTTTATTATGCAGCAACTTTCTTCAGCCAGTGACATCCCATTGCCCCTAAGCCTGCTCTTCATCTCCATCAAGTGTGAAAAGACCTAACTTAGCCAGCAAGTAGCTGTTAGGTACAGCCCTACTGTCACCCACCCTTCCTCCAGGCCCCTTACCTTGAGTCTCTCCCATAAACCTACAGCTGGTTCTCCCCCACCCACCCCCACCCTTCCCAGTGCAGGAAACTGTGTTCTGCAGCAGCAGCACACCTCCCCTGAATTACCTTCCTGGGACTGAGATACCTGTGCCTTCCCCCAAGTATGAACATTTATAGCATCTGCTCTGTTAACATGTGAATAAATTAGGACCATGTGCAGAGAGCTGTTTTAAAGACACGCTCTGTGTTTGTTCAGAAACTCTCTCTGGCTGACCTTCAGATAAGTAACATGCCTGAGCTATTTGAGGAGACATTAGCCTATTTTTAAGAAGCAGTTGCAAGGAAAAAAAGAAAAAATATATACATATATAAAATATTTTGATATTTCCTGTTTTTAGCAGCTGGTGTTCAAGTTGCACCTAGTTTTTTTAAAAAAGTAATTAGAAGTGATTGAACTTCTCTGTGGGTGTTTTAGATGTTGAAAAAGAAAGCATAGAGGAGGCCCCTGGGAAGAGAGCGCAGCTCTAAGCTTACAACCTGTGGCAACTTTGCTCCATTGTGTTTTGATTAGAATCCTTGCTCCATCATCAAAGGTGATTATGGATTTGATTAGTGCATTTTTCTGCTATTGTGTTACTCCCTTTCTTCTCTTTCTCAGTTCTTGGAGGGGAATGTATAGCATGGTTATCTGCCAACATGCAAGAATGTTTATGGTTCACATATTATTGCTTACTCCATGGGTTAATTTTCTAAAGACACTTTAAGGGTGGTACTGGTGGCTTATTCAGGGTAACATTACATGTGTATATATCTGTATATAAATACATCTACTTCTGGATATGTGTATATATGCATATATACACACAGATAACACAAATATATACACATGGAACAGCTTAAAGTATTGAGCACATATAAGCACACACACACATCAAAGGGGAGGCTGGAGGAGTTACGGCCCAAATTCTAGCTTTCAGAATAGCTAGGTTTGCTTTCCATTTCTCATTCTCTCTTCCTCTGTGACCAAGATCTGAAGCACCAAATCTGGGTCCCATATTATTTACTTATAAGATATAAGGGATGTAGCCTTCAGAGAGGTGTTTTCATGAGGCCCCAGTGGAACTCTTGGAACCATTCTGAAAAAGTCAAACCACCCAGCGAGATTTTGGCTTAAGGTCAGAAATTCTTAGTTCTCAGAATCCGCCTCAGCAGCAGGGAAGGGAACATTTATGGAGCATCTGCTATGTGCCAGGTAGTCTGCGGAGCTCTTTATATAGATATTATTTAATGTGAGGCACAAGAAGCTGGATAAAATGGAAAACGGTCTGTGCATTTTTTGTGAGAAAGCAGAGGCCAAGGGAGGTTATCACTTGGAGGCAGTTTTACGTGGTAAATTCGACTTTATTGAGAGGTCAGAGTTTGCATCTAGGCTTTGGGCAAATTATAGAACATCCCTAAACTTCAGTTTTGTCATCTTTGAAGCAGAAATGGTGATGCTTATAGGTTGGGGGTGAGGGTTCAGTGAGATATTCCAGGTAGGTTCCTGAACACAGTGTATGGCACATACTAAGCTAGGAATATATAGTATTGCCTATTTTTGTTACCTAAGGTCAGATCCAAGTTTGGAAACTATGTCTGCCTCATTCCAAGCTCACGTTCTTTCCACCCTACCTCTCTGCCTCCCAAGTACGCAGCTGAGTACATGAAAAGACAGACGGCTTGCACCATGAAAGTGGAGGGCATAGCAGGGCTTTGGTTAGATGAATGGGTAAATTAAGAACAACGTCATCCAAAGAAGTCATATCTCGAGTTGTTAATTGAAACCTTCACAGGTTGGTCCCAGACATGCCATCTTTATAACAGTAACCAAGCTGAGGGATCCGCTACAAACCAAACTTGTGGGAAGCTTCCTTTGTACAACTAGTCTGAACTGGCACTGTAGAGGTGGTTGAGTGGAGCCGGCCAATCTGAGGGCCTAGCCCAGGACAGGACCAAGAATGGAACATTTTCATTGACTGGGCTTCTTAATGGTTCCTCATTGTTCTGAGGGCAGAAGGAAAGCCCTTTTTTCTCCCAGCAGGCATGGTTGTAATGAGAGCTGGACCTTGTGATCAGTTGGCCATTAAGGTGCCCCAAGGCATGGCCAGCTGCCCAATGGTGCTTTACCAATAACCACAGGCCAAATTCAATGACTATTCTGTCTCTTGGTCACATTTTTCAAAGAGATGGACAATGTGTTCCTAGAATGGCTTGGGCAGAATGGGCCATGTGATTTTGGGAACAAAACTTAGCTAGGCTTTTTGTGCTTTAATCTACACAAGACAATAGTGAGTGACACAAAGTTTTTTGCAGGAACCCCCATTCGCCCACACAGAGCCAGAGAATGACTCATGGCTTAGTGCCCCCTTTCCCAGGGAATACAGATCCTCTCTTGTGTTTTGCAAACAATGGGCCCCCAGCCTCAGAATATTTTGCCTCTTCTTCCAAGTGAAACCTCAACACCTTCAGTGAATTTTGGGTTATTCCAATCCTTCCGTTCATCTTGGTGGGACAGAGGATAGGGTAGAAATGGGGTCTTAGTCAAGATAATTGTGATCCCACTTTCAGCGGTCTTTGGAAGACTTTGAACAAAATTAGCTACTCATGGCAATGTGGCACTTTAAAAATAATTATAATACTAGTCACGGATATCGATTGAGCACAGCCTCTGTATCAGCATAATGCATAGCACCAGATATGTATCATTCATTTAATCCTCACAACATCCCATGAGGTAGATGCTACTTCCTGAAGAGAACTGGAAATGACCACTCTAGGACTTAGCAACTTTGGTTCTAATTCTGTCTCTTTAGTCACCTTGCTACATGACCTTCAACAAATCACATTTTCTTTCTGAGCTTCAGTAGCCTCACCTATAAAATGGAGAAGATAGTACCTGCTGTACCTTCTTTGAAGTTACTATGAAGATTAACACAGGTAATTATTGTGAACAAGGCACCTGTTTAAGCATCTTACACTTTAGGTAGCCCTTGAGGAAACCAGGGCTGACAGAGGTGAAGCTACTTTTCCAAGGAGCACAGCTGGTAGGTAGACCCAAATATTTGAACGCTTATCTGTTTGACCTTTGAAGTCAACCTTCTTAAATAGCAAGTGTGAAAGCACTTTGAAAAAATATCTGAAAAAATGCTGTTACTACTGAGTCTAAGTAAATCACTTTCAAATTTCCTTTAGCTTGGTAATACATATGCCATTTGACTCCTCCCCCTGCCCTAGAGTTTGGAAATATTGAAAATACTCTTTCAATGTTAAGTAAGTATTAGTTGCTTATAGTTGCTTAATCATATTGGTTGAACCCTTTTGGGATGTTTAAAATTTCAAGTCCTCTGAGGCCACAAGGCCCACTAAACGTCATTGTTGAGTGTTAACTGGCCGGGCTGATTCTAGACAGAGGAAGGAGAAAATGAGGAATTTGATTCAAAATCACTTGTTGGCATGAGGAAGCAATCAGATAAGTTTAGATTATGAATCATTATTTAAGACAACAGGCCAGGGATCTTCAAAAATGTCAGTGTCATGAAAGACATGAAAAAGTTTTAAAGCAGGTGAAGGACTCTTCTAGAAAAGAGTACCAAAGCTATGACAACCAAATCCGATGAGAGATTCTTGAGTAGCTCCTGGATGAGGAAAACCATAAATGCTACAAAGGTCATTTGTGAGAAAATTGGAGATATTTGATTGTAGATTGTGTATTAGATAGTATTATTCTATCCATTTCAATGGTATTGGGGTTATGTAAGGAAATGTCCTTTTTCTTGGGAGCTATATGCTGAAATATTAGAAGGGAAGTATCTTGATGTCAGTAAGTAACTTAACTCTCAATTAGGAAAAATAAGGTGAGAACATCTGCAGAAAGAAGAAAGAAAATGCAAAATGTTAACAACTGGTGAATCTAGGCAAAGATATATGTGCACGTCTTTCAACTTTTCTGTAGGTTTGAAATTTTTAAAAACAAAACAAAGTCCTGCCTGAATAGTATTTGTCACCGATGCCCCTGATATTTATGAGAACATAAATGAAATAGGAGTGTGTGTATGTACTCACAATAGCCTGGCCAAATTTGTTTCATGAGGTTTAAGTTCTGGACTCTTTATCTTCTTTCTGGTATAGTGTGAAAACTTTGGCTTAATTCCTTGTTCTTTCATGAGAATGGTTGCTGACATTTTCTGGAAATAAATCACAAGATTCAGTTTCATTTGGTAATCTTTTATAAAAATCTAAGGTGTTTCCAAGGTTGCAAATACAAAATAAATTTTTTAAATGAAGTAATTTTTTAAAAAAAATTTAAAACCTCTGACTGAGCCCTGCTGGTCTAGGCACTGAGAAGGTAAGGAGTATGATTGGAAGCAAGCTTTTCTCTTTTGCCTGACTGAATCCTCCCACACTTTACCCACACAAAATCAGTTTAGTGTTACCTCCTCCAGGAAGCCTTCTGCCACCACCATGGTCCTAATACAGTGTATCTTCTATGTGTTCCATAGCCTGGCCATTAGCCCCTCAGCTTGGACTGCGATTGCTTATTTTGCTGGACCATGACTTCCATGAGGTCAGGGCTGTGTCTCTCCTGATTCCTGCTGGCACAGGATCTATACATAATAAGTTTTTAGTTAATATTTGCAGAAGAAAAGAAGGGTAAGGGGAGATAAAAGAAAGCATTGGAAAACAGTAGTAAATAGATATTGAACTCGAGCTGTGGATGGATCTTGCAGAACTCCCTCTTAGGATGTGAACTGAGAAGGTCATGTGATGGTGGGTGGCCAAGCGTAGGAGACAGAGACACAGAGTGGGCAACCTGAACACTGTCTGGAGCCAGCATCAAAGCTCTCCAACACCAGGTCTTAGGGAAACTTGCCTGGTCTGGCTGAGTAGAGGGCGGAGGCAGATTCCTTTGCACAAGGCTGTTTATGATATCCAAACTCTCTGGCTGCTGCGATGGAAGAAGAGCTGTGAGGATGTAATAATGGCACTGCAGCAGACTGGAGGGGTTGAGAGGGAGATAACACCATGGGCTTTGGCAAGTTTGGGCAGATTCCTGCCCCCCACCCCCAACCGCCCCTACCTTGGATGGAGGACCTGAGAAGGGTTCTGAGGGGGTTTTAGTTGGTTAGGAAAGGGAGAAGGTTTAGAAAAGCCTAGGATAGGACAGAGTTTCCAGGAATGATGATCACAGCAACCATTTATGTGCCATTTCCTTACATAATCTCATTTAATCCTCAAACGAACTTTCTGAGCTGATATTATTGAACTTACTTTACCAGTAAGAAGAAAAATAGGAGACAGTGAGAGGACTAGCCTTAGAGGAGTTCTGGGACTTTTTTGGGTCACACAGCTGGTATAGACAGTGTGTGGCAGGATTTGAACTGAGGTCTTTCTGATTCCCAAACCTGTGCTTTTAACCACTGCCTTCTTTTGCCAGTAATTGAAGGAGGCCTGAGTCCCATATGAGCTACTGCTTTAGATAATCAAACCTCCAGACCCTCCTCTTCTTGGAGCCTACTCCCTGCTTCCCTGGTCTCGGCCCTTCTTGCTGCTTCCCCCTCGTTGGGGCCTTCTGTGCCTGTGCCAGCTTGTTGCCAGAGGCTCTGTGTTTATAGGATGAGGAGCCCTATTTGGCCTTTGCCCACATCCTGCTGCAATCTGGGCAGGATCTCCTTGTCCTACTGCTGTGGCTGCTGTCCCCCAGGTGACCCCCGTGCTGCCGGCCCAGCAGGGTCCATGTGCCTAACAGCTGGCAGGACCTTGTTCCTGTCCTCCTGCCACATGCTGGCTGCAGCTCTGCAGACAGTCCCCATTTCATGCTGATTTGCTTTGATTCTTTTCAGACCTGGGAGTGACTCATGTTTACTTCAAAATGTGTGGGCCACAAGTGTGCCAGAGCTGTCAGACCTTCCGGTGTGCAAGCTTTGATCGTTAGAAGACAAGCCTTGAAGGAAAAAACCTCCATTTAGGTGACAAAACCAGATTTAGAATAACCTGGCTTACTTGGGATATCTGCTTAGTGATCTGTGCCTTTAAGTACTAGAGACTTAGGACATCTGAGCCAGAGGAGACCTATGAGGCCATCTGTTCCCATAGCTCCATTGTACAGATGAAGAAACCATGACCCAGAGAGGAGTGTGACTTGCCTCCAGTCACCCAGCTCCAAAGAGCAGAGTAAAAACCAGAACCCAAGCCTTCTGACTGTGGACCAGTATTTTCATCTCAGTTAGTAATCAGATGTTCTGCTCTGAAAGGCCTGATAGCTTAAAGATTGGAACCAGCCCTATGCTATATATTTTTTCCCCTCCTTCTACCAAGTAGTTAAAATGAGTATCTTTTTTTAAGAGACTGGGTGTCTCTCTGTCACCTAGGCTGGAGTGGCGTGACCATGGCTCACTGCAGCCACAAACTCCTGGGCTCAAGGGATCTTCCTGCCTCAGCCTCCCAAGTAGCTGGCATTACAGGTGTGAGCCACCACACCTGGCCCAGAATGAGTGTTCTTAATTGCTTCATATTAGGAAGCTTTTGCACTTGGCTCAAAGAATCAGAAAAATAGGGCCTCTTTGTGGATGGTATAAGTGTGGCAATAGGCCAACACTGACCACCTCCCATAGTCCAGACACTTTACATACATTATCCCCTTTAAGTCTCACAAGGGCACTGGGGGCATTTCATCCCCATTCTATGTATGAGGCTCAGAGGAGGTCAGTAACTTGACCAAGACCACATGGAGCCAGTACTGGGACTGTCTAATTTCAAGTCCATGTTCTTTCTACCCAGCCTCTTAGACCCTTGCTAGCTGGAAGCCAGAGAGACCTGGGTTAAGTTCCTACTTCCCCATTTATTTACGAGGAATCTCACCTTCCTAATGCTAGGGCGAGGCCTGGGGCACAGTAGGCACTTAAGAAATAGTTGTTGAACTGCAGCTTGGACAGGTCTGCCCTGTCAAGCCTCAATTTCCCTGGGTGGTTATAGCATTTCAACACATTGTGCAAGCTAAAGCAGTTCATGTATGTAAAAGTGTGAGGCAGATAAGATCACTGTTATTTACTGAGCACTTACTATGTGCTTGATATTCTCAGCATTTTATGTGGATTTTCCCATTTAATTGCCATAAAAGCAGTAAACACTGAGATGGATACTTTTGTGATTGTTTCCATTGTACAGATGAGCTGGGGCAGGTAAAGCATAAGCAACTTGCCCAAGGTCACACACCCAGTGAGTGGAGGCGCCAGGTCTGAATCTCAGGCAGTGACTACAGAGCTTGCCTCCTTCCCCACAGCATGGTCCTCCCTCAGTGCTGCCGCCCACTAAACCCAAGTCTAGTTGAGGGTGGGGAAGAGAGACACATGCAACTGAGGACACAGAAAGGGAAAGCAACTTGTTTAAGGTCCCCCAGCAAGTGAGAGGTCATAAAACCCAGCAAAGACTTGCTGTCTAAAGTAACACGGGGCCTTGGTCTTTCAAAAGTATTCCCTCTCTAATGGAGAAGGACACGATGTCCTGGAAAGTACTCCTAAACTAGAGACGGTCACCAGGAATCCCGACTGCCTGGTGGACTCCATGGCTTTCCTCTTTGGTCCTTGCCTCTCACTCATTTGGAATCATTCCTTCTCTGGATTGCAGAGCAGAAACCAATATAAATTTGACCCAGTCTCTAGAAATGTTTACCTGGCTAAAAATATGCCAGCTTTGTCATATTTTTAGCCACATTTAGATTTGAAGTATATGAATTGCCCACACCCATGTATTAGGCATGAACTGTTGGTACATTTTGTAACAGGACCTGCTAGTTTTCCATTCCAAAGAACTGGAATTCAGTCAGAAATTTGTCATTTGCAAATACCAACTCTCGCTACATTCCATTGCTGTTTTTAAGAGTGTCTCGTCACCTGGATTGTGAGGAAGCAGGCCATGGGCGAGGCCAGGCTGGCTGGGCTGCCTTGGTGCATTCCCCAGGTCTGGTGGCTTCTAATCGACCTCTGCCTGGCTCTGCCGAGGCCCTCGCCGTTCTGCGGTGTGTTGCCTTTGGATTAGCATAAGGGCAGACAGGGTGCTTATTTTAGAACTGGAAGGAGAGGAGATATATCAATAAAAGAAATGGGAAAGGAAAAATCCCTTCAGTGGTTTAAAAATATCTCTTCCTTAACAGGCTAGATTATTTCATTTCTTAAAAACAACTAGTAATTTTCTCCTCTGAAACAGCATTGGAAAGAGAGGCGTGTCAGACTAAAAAAGGAGGGGCTGAAATGGTGGCCTGTAGTTTTCACTCCCCTGTCCTGTTCCTATAGGATAGGTTATTTTCCCCAGTCTCCCAAAGCCTTCCTATTGACTCTGGAACCTTAGAACTATATCACAAAGACTCTGTTTTCTTACCCCTTCATTTTGAAGATGAGGATGCCACGCCTCAGGGCCTTTGCACTTGCTGCTCTTCCTGCATGGAATGTCTTCCCCAGATACCAACAGCACTCACTCCCTCAGCTCCAGTTCTTTGCTTTGATGTTACCTTATCAGAGAGGTGCCTTTCCTGAGTTTAGAACTGACTGTGAGCTGCCCACAGTAGAATGTGGGAATCAGGGTTGCCAACAGGCACGATTCCACTTTGTTTTCAGATTTTCTTTTTTATTTTTCTTTTCTGCCCACTTTTTGTGATCTAAACACTTGCTAACAAAAGTATGGTCTGTGGCCTGGTTGTAATGGCATCACCTGGAAGCTTGTTAGAAATGCAGAATCCCAGGCCTTGCCCCAGACCTGCTGAATCAACATCTGTATTTTAATAAGATCCCGGATGACATATACAGAAATGAAAGTTTAAGAAACAGAAGAGCATTTATGCCCTCAACCCCTTCAGAAGAAGAATCTAAGAGAAACCCCATCCCACAAAGTACTGTCGCCACCTCTGTCTGGAGGCACAGGCCCAACTGCCTCAAATAACCCCCTATGGTTGAAGATGGGAGGGATGGATGGAGTCACCCTAGAAGAGGACCTCATAAGACAGACTTCCGAAATCCATAGCTACTCTGTTTCTTACATCTCTCATGTTGCTTAGGGTAATTCACCTGTACACTGGGCTTTGTAGCTAATGTTTGGTCACCATGACCAGAGACTGTTATCTACTTGGTAGCTGCAGAGGGAAGGGAAACCCAGTCTTCAACCTGGGAGTGCAGCAGTAATTAGAGGGCCTTGACTCCCCACTCTGCCAGGTGTGCCTGGGCTGGTTGAGATAGCACCTTTCAGGAGCTGGAGGTAGTTCCATCCAGCCCGTCTCACAAATGGCTGTGAATGCCTCTCTAGATCCTTCAGCAAAGACAGGTCAGCTATTCCCACAGTCTGAATAGAAACCAACTCCCACAGTCCTTTGCTGTTTGGAAATCTTCCAGTTCTTGAGTCCCCCAAATCACATTGCATCATTCTAGCATGTGGTTATGTAGGAGGCAGGATGCTTCCCAGGGCACCAGTGGGAGGGGCTCACTCCCTCTCCATTGCCTTGTCTAATGCTCAGGGAAGCCCTCTCAATGGGCAGGTGCTGTGCAAATCTAATCTGCCTGTGGAGGCATTTCTTTCAATCACCCTGCAATTGTGCATTGATTTGGGGAAAGCCCATTGATAAGAGTAGAGCAGAATAACTGAGCTCCTGAATTAGGCTGCTTGATGAAATTATTGTCTAATGCTGATGTTGGAGCCTTTTTCCCTTGTTCTGTGTAAATCAGGGCTATTTTAAAGCTGTCACATGATCACTGATGCCATAGAAACTGCCTGACCTTGTGCACACCTGTGTCTCAGTCAGGCATGGACCACCACAGGTGGAGGAAGAGGACTTAGTGACAGAGGTGTAGCTTCACTCCAGAGTCTGCACGAGGAAGGAAGGTAGTAGAGGATGCTGTGGAGCACTTTTTGGTTTCTCCTAGCTTTGTCCAGCTCTCCTAGCTTTGTCTCATTTAACCCCATTGAAACCACCTGGAGGAATGACTACTCCAGCCACTCTGGAGTCCAGACCTGGTCCTGAGCAGGGACAGGGAAGCTGTCCTATGACTGAGAGATGATGTTTTGGCACCAAGAAGGTTTCTGTGTGTGTGCATGCATGTGTTTGTGTTTGCATGCACATGCGTCGAGATGCTCCTTGAGAGGTTGTAGAAAGTCCACTTTGGCCACTGGCATCACCATAGCATATGAGACAGTATGGTGAGCCTGAAAGAGCACTGTTCTTAGAGTCAAAAACATTAAGTTCTCTTTCTAGACCCTCATTTAGCAAGCTTCATGACTCTGGGCGCATATTCAGTGGTTCTTCACCAGCCGTGTGTAGAATTGTCCAAATAATCCACCAGCCCTGATGTCTCCCATAGATTCAGGCCTGGAGTGGCACTTTGGCATCTGTATTTCTTAGGGCTCTGCAGGAGATTCTGATGCACACCCTGGGGTGAGATCTGAATTTGAGACTAGCCCCCTCAGAGAAGTCAGGATAGTGAAGTGGAAAAGAGCGAGTGGTCATTGCCACACAGACCAGGGTTTGGATTTCAGCTCTGTCCACGTACAGCAGCATGGTCTTAGGCAAGCTGCTAAACCCTGCCTCTGCTTCCTCATCTGCACCACAGGCACCATAGCAATGACCTCACAGGGCTGCTCTCAGCACTAAATGCGATCATGTGGATGAGGCATGTGGCAAATGCCTGGCATGTGAGTACACCGTAAATGTTACATCTTGGGTGTGAGTATGTCTGTGTGTGTTTTCTGCTGTACTGTTATATATGGATAGAATCCTCTCAAGAAAAGTCCAAGGCAGAACTCAATCAAGAAATGAGATGGCAGTGCTCTATTATATTAGTGTAATTTGGTAATAAGGAAACCAATTAATTCATTCTTTGTTATTAATAGCAAGGAACGTATGCAGAGAAAGGTCCTATGGGGCAAGAGAGAGATGCCAAGAGTGCACCCCTTCCTTCATGACAGTAGTTCTTAAACTTCAATGTACTCAGGATTACCCAGGGAGCTTGTTAAGTGTGCAGAATCATGGGCCAGAGCATCAGAGAGTCTGATTTTGCAGATCTGGGGTGAGGTCCAAGAATTCATATCTTTGAAAAATATGACCAAGTGAGTGTGCATAAGATGGTCTGTAGCCTTCACTCTGACAAAGACTGGTCTAGATTAGAAGATGAAATTGGAAGACTGAGGGAAGGAGGGAACTGGGTGACTTGGAGCAAGCAGGAATGGGATCCTAGAAGATGGGAGAGGAGCTGAGGTTTGAATGCATGCAAGATCCCGAGAAAACAGGGAAGCATACTTTGGATTTGGTCTGATGAACAGACGGTGGAGAGCTCTGGTGGACAGGAAGCTCTGGCTCTTCTCCCTGCTGCCATTGGCAGGAGATGCCAGGTTGGGTAGGCATCACACTGGGAATGTCAGCCACTAGGAAGGGTTTACTGAGAATCCTGGTGAAATATAATGAACCCAAGGCATGTGTCTCTTTGTCCTCTCTTTAAGGCCCAAGATGGCTGGCTTTAAGTTGCCTAACTGTGCCCATAGAGTTGAGCTTCTTTTTATCTATTTCCTTATTCAGAAATGAGGGCTTGAAGCAGCCTGCAGTGGTAGACCTGGAAGTATAAAGTAGATTTGTGATGCTCAGGGCACCAGAGTGGGCTAGCAGAAAGGGCACCAGAGATGATAGGAGATGTTGAGTGCCATTTCTCCTTATTAGGGGCTGTGTTGGCTGAGAGGGGCCACAGCTGAATCTCAGGTCTGCAGGGGACCCATGTTCCATGATAAAGTCTGAACCAAGACATCCCTGTAACAGTGGCCTTTGGATCTGCAACCTATAGGAGAGCAAATTTTGGGGGGTCTTCACTGGATCAGGAAGAGCTACAAATAAGAATGGAGAGGGGAAGGGGTTGTGTACTCAGCACTTACTATGTGCCAGGCTCCACATTCCATGCTTACATGATGTTTGTAATCTAGCCTCCACCTTAGGAGGTAGATAGCTCTAGTTTTACAGATGAAGAAAGAGATGCCCAGAGAGGTGAAGCAACTCACAGCTTTACACAGCCAGGATTTGGTAAAGCCTGGGCTTGAACTTGCATCTATCTGGTTTCTGTCATGAATCTTCCACAGTTCTATGGTGAATGTGTTGGGGACCTTGATTCTTGGTCCTCAGGTGCAAGTGCCTCGGAAGCCCAGTTCCCCTCGGCAGGGTCGGGGGTTCAGTGTGGGCAGAGTGCCCTGGAGTCCTGTGACTTGTGGGGCATTTCTGTGCCCTCTGTCAACAATCCAGCCTTCAGTAACGTTGTGCTGCTGCCGGCTGCTTTCACCACATCCAGACCCCCCACCCACACAGGCGAAGGTTTTGGCCAAGGGCACCCTGGAGGGGGAGGAAAAAGTGCCTTCCAGAGGGGCTTGTTGCAAAGCCCCTGAATGGACCCATTGAGGCTCCAGGGCAGGATGACAATGGGCCTGTTGGGGCCCTCGGTCTGCTGAGGTGACAGGGCTGGGGCCGGGCAGGCAGTGCAGTGCTGGCTCAGAGGCCAGACGCTGACTTCCAGGGCTGGGAGCCAGCGCTTCTGACGTGCTCCGAAATGCCAGCTTTGCTTAATGGGGAGCAGCTGGGGTGGGCTCCGCATAACTCCCTATGCCAGGAAGGCAGCGTGAACCCAGTTCCTCAGGCTACAGCCGCTCTTTTCCTCCTCCCGGCCTGGCACTGCTCCCCCTTCCTGAGCCAGGCCTTGCTCACCGGACACCAGGATCATAGTCAGCTCCTTCTAGTGTCCCCTTGGTCCTCAGGGGCATTCTTTTCAGCCTGATTGGATAAATAACACCCCTTCCCCAATAGTCTAGCCTGCCTACAGGTGCAGCTGCCAGCTAACATGCAGCATGCCCAGTGAAATTTGAATTTTAAATAAATGATGAAAAAATTTTAATTATATTTAAATATGTAATAAATGACAAAGCCTGAACCAAGATATGAGTTCATTTTGTGGGTCATGGGACACACTTAAACCAAAAAATTATTTGCTGTTTATCTGAAATTCAGATTTAACTGGGCATCCTCTATTTTTATGTGCTAGATCTGATGACCCTACCCAAGGCAGCCATGATGGATACCCATGTGGGGTTACTAGGACTTAGTTAGGTTTTCCTTTATGCCACCAAGGTGGGGGATAGGGAGAAGGAGGCCTCTCTGTGCCCACCCTCCACCTCCCATTTCCTGTACATAAAATGCTGGATGCCACACTTAGTAGGTCTTACTCACAGGCAAGCATTGCCCCCAGTGTTACCCACACCACCCTCCCTTCTAGGAGCTGCAGCTTTCTCCCTGGCTCCCACAGTGGGAAGGGAAGCTTTGGGATACAATTGCAGTTGGTGACTATTTACTGAGCACCTGCCTATCACACTGGGCTGAACCCTGGCAATTTAATGAGAATGAGACAGATGTAGGCTTTGCTCTCAAAAGAGCTTACAGGCTAGTAGGGGAGAGAGGCATTTGAACAAAAGAGCAACTATAATTCAGTGAACCATAAACACTGTGGGTAGGTGGCAGGGGTTGTTGGGGGGATAGTTATTGAGGGAGGTATCTCAGAAATTCCAGGAGAGCATCTCACTCGCACCTGTAGGACCAGGATAGAGGTCTTAGAGTCAGGAGATTTGAGATGAAATCCTGGGCCACGTCATTGAGTTGAGTAGCTATGTGGGCATGGGCCGATCATTTAACCTCTTGAGCCTTGATTTTCCTTATCTAGAAAGTGGGAACAATTTTCCTTGCTTTAGGGACCAATGTGAGTTTCCAAGTAAAATGATTAATGTGAACATGTATTGCTAACTGCAGGGTCCTAGATCAAACAAATGTGTGTGTTTGTGTGTATGTGTGAAGTCAGAGGTAGGAGTTGAAGGATAGGGAAAATACAGAGGGGTTAGGAATGCTTGGGCCCCATCCCTGCTCTGTGGCTTGTACAGTATTTTGCTGTTTGCAAAGGATAATGATTAAGAGTATGGGCTGGGAGGCTGAGGTGAGTAGATCACCTGAGGTCAGGAGTTTGAGACCAGCCTGGCCAACATGGCAAAACCCCATCTCTACTAAACAAAAATACAAAAATTAACCAGGCATGGTGGCGCGCACTTGTAGTCAGTCTCCCTGCTACTCGGGAGGCTGAGGCAGGAGAATCGCTTGAACCCAGGAGGCGGAGGTTGCAGTGAGACGAAATCATGCCACTGTACTCCAGCCTGGGTGACAGAGTGAGACTCCGTCTCAAGAAAAAAAAAAAAAGAGTATGGGCTGGAAATTCAAACAGGCCTGGGTTTCAGCGCCATCTCTACTGTGTGACCTCAAGTAAGTACCTAATCTCTTTGTGCCTTAGTTTTCTCCCCTGTAAAATGGAGCCTCACAGGCATGGTTAAAAGGATGAAAAGTAGACCATTCATATAAAGTGCTTAGCATGGAGTCTGTCACATAGCAAGTGCCCAGAAGTGGGCAGCTATTAAGAGGGTCTTAGTTGAGTAGCATAACAACCTTGTGAGGTAGAAATTATCAGGTGGAGAATGAAGTTCAGAGAGGTTAGGTAACCAGCCCAAGGAGGCATAGCCAGAGAGGCGCCTCTGGGAGAATATACCCCTGGCTTCTTAGGAGGCCTTTGGTCACCCAGCCTTCAAGGAACTCTGCTTCTAGCTTTTGGTTGGACAATTCCCTGGGGACTAGCTGGACTCTGGGATTCCTTGCCCAGTTATGGTCTGGTTCAGATACCTGGGTGTTTCCTGGAGATCTCAGCATGCCTGTGTGTGCCAGGCCTACCCTGCCCAGCCTCTGCAGGGTCAGGGAGAAAGAGCATCCTTTAGGAATCTGATGACTTACGTGCCTCACACCAACTATTCTTCCTTTGCTGGATTTGAAGTCTGAGATATGGGCCTCATTTTTATTATCTTATTCCTTTGTGTTAATCAATGCCTGCACAATTATGCAGTTGGCATGGATGCTAGTTTTATTGTCTTGAACACAAAAGCAGCTTTGAAAATGTGGTATTTCTAGGGAGCGGCTGGGGGTGAGCCTCTCACTGGAGAAGGCAAACTTTAGCCAATCATTTCCCCCTCCAATGGGAACAGAAGCAGGTGGATTAAACTGCTCCATTAGGCGATCTTTTGTTTCTAATAGAATAATCATCAACAACCCTTGATGGTTGAAGGTCAGGGAAGGGAGCTAGACCTGGCTGAGCATTTGCTGTGTGCTCAGCTCTGTGTTGGAGCTTCTTTCACATCAAGTTCAGTTGTCTCTATCACTCTGTGTTTATGTCTTAGACCCATTTTTCAAATGAGTAAGATGAGATAGAGAAGTTGACTGATTTGATCTAGGTCACATGGCTGGTAAATGATAGCTCCAGGTTTTGAGCTCAAGTCTGTTCAGTTCTGGAGTCCATACCTTACTATCACCCATGTGCCTAGGTCTATGTGCTTTACGGGAGACCGAAACAGTGGAAGGCATGTGCTTGCCTTCAGGTTCTGCTAAGAACCCAAGATGCTTCACTTACCGCACAACGGGTTTTAAGGCACCTGCACCGTTAGTTCCTGACTTGATAACATGGGACTGAGACTTCCAGGGGAAATGGGGTAGGAGCTGGTTTCTGATTTCACATTTACTTAAAGGAGAGAAAGGATTTAGATATATGGGGAGAGGAAAGAGGGTTTTTCAAGGACAGAAAGCTATCATGGGATTCCAAGTAGGGGAAGGCGGGCTGAAAATAGTGTATAAGAGATTCATATCAGGACATGGAAAAGGATGAAGACTGGAGGCCTACCTGGAGACTGTTGGTAATCCTGGTACTGCTACTGATGATGGTAATGGGAGGCTGATGGTGGTAGTTGTGATAGTGATAGTGATGGTGATGGTTAACGTGTATTGAATGCTTAATATTTGCCAGATACTAGTCTAAGAATTTTACAAGCATGAACTTGTTTAATGCTCACAACAATCTTATAGGAAAGGTACTGTAATTAGCCCCATTTTTAGTTGAGGAAATGGAGGCATAGAGAGGCATAAGGGTCTGAAATAGTGGTGGACTTTGAGGCTGGAGAATAACAAGCAGATGTAAGAGCCATTGAAGGAAGAACTAGGGCAGAATCTGGTGACCATGTCGAGAAAGGGATAAAGGAATAGGAGAGTCTACAATGAATTCAAGGTAACCTATTGATCTTTTATAGGAGCCAACTTCCTGGTGGTAGTTATTGGTGAAGTTATGACCTGACTAGGAAAGACAAGCTTTCAATTTACTAAATGCCTTTATTAAAATGGAAATGTGATATTTGAGAGGATGAATATGATGACCCATTGCCAGACATAGACATCTTAACATGAGTGAGGTCATCAGCTTCAGTGCAAGGGGAATTGCTTAAGTGAAGGGACACTGGATGGGTTAGTTTTGAGAAGGCCTGTGCCAGCCAATTCCTTCCTTCAGGGTGTGCTATCCTAAACATAACCACCCAGGGTCTCTTTTCCTACAACCGCTTCCCCTTCCTTCCTATTCACCCTCAATCTGATGTAAAGCAGTTCATGCTCAAGCATTCGTTGCCAACACTGGATTAAGATCTCCCTCCTTCCAGGTCATACATTGGCATTTTAACAGAGACTTTTAGAAACTTGGCTAATGAAGGTGGGGATGTGAGTGATCCTGGGGTTAGGAAGGGATGGGAAAAGTTCATGCATCCCTCCCCTAACTCCCAACAGACATACAATGGAAAGGGCTGGGGTCTCAACTTAGGCTTCACACCAGCAGTGCCTGGACTCCAAGTTTCTAGACCCAGATTCCCAAAAAAGTCATGAAACACATTCTCTTAGCCAAGTATGCCATGGAGGGCTGGGTCAAGCCTATGAGCCTCCACTCAGGCTGGCAGTGAAAAGCAGCCCTGGGCCCTCCAGCCCACCTAGGTAGCATGTAGTTATTACAAGCATGGACTCTCCAGACAGCCAAGCTAGAGTTGGAGCCAAGCCTCAGATTTGTTTGCTGTGTGACCTTAAACAAGTCATTTCATTTCTCGACTCTTAGTTTTCTCATTTGTAAATGAGGATAATAGTGTTGAGAGGAGTAAATCAGAGAAGGTCTGTAAGGTGCTGAGCCCAGGACATATCACATAGTAGGTACTCACTAAATATAAGCTGCAGTTGTCGTGCCAGGCCCACTGTGAACAACTCCAGAAGACATAAAGCTTCTCCATGGGCTTTGGGTGAAGCCTGGGACCAGGCAGCTAGGTGTTCCCAGTTGCAGGATGGCAGTGAGCTTAGCACGGGCCCCTGCTCACGCTCCCTGGCTCTCTCTGCCAGAAAAATGGGTGGTACTAGAGAGTCTGCATTTCCCTGCGAGCAGCTTTCTTCCCTTGGCATCCTAGGCAGGGCCTTTGTACAATTCCTTTTCAGCCCCCAAAGATCTATATCAGAGGTAATAGTAGTTCCAACTGATACTTACAGAGCACCTACTATGTTCCAGGCACTGGATTCATTAATCCTCCCAATCTTTCTGTGAAATCAGCACTATTATTCACCCTGTTTTACATGGGATGAAATGCAGGCACAGCAAGGCCTTGCTTAGAGCAAGTCACTTGCTAAGAATTATATAGCTAAATCAGAGCCACAACTTGAACTCCATTCTGAACCAAGGAGTTTGAAACCATTCCTCCTGCATGATGCATGAAATTTTAATAACCTGCCGACAGCCCAGGAGGTTTGCAGTTTCTCTGAGCCCAAGGGACCAGAGCCATCTGGTGGGTGCTTTTTCAAGGGAGCTGGTGTGACTGTTTCAGGGTAAAATGCAGAGAAATAGCATCACTTTTTTTTTCCCCGTGGTAAAAATAACATGCAAGGATGGGAAGAACAAATGGAGGTTGGGAGGCTGACATTGCGGGGAGGAAGGAGCTAGAATGCTGGGGGCTGTCTACCTGGTGCCATGTGCTGCCATCTGCCCAGTATGGGGGCAACATCAGCCTGACCTGCCAGCACCTGCCTGGCTACCAGTATCAGCTTTCAGGAATAAAAAGATCTTTTTCAAAAAGCCTTTGTTCCCCAGGGAAGCTCAAGGGGCAGAGTGAGGTCCGTGGAGGGTTGTGACAGTTCAAAACATGCTGTCCATTTATAGTATGCAGCAGTGACCCTATATCTCACCCTCTCTATAGCAACTAGCTCCAGACACAAACTGGGCATGGCTTTTGATCATGAAGCATGTTTTTACAAACAAAAAAATACTGAAAGTAGTATGTGAGGCTGAGATTATGTTAATTTATGCAGTTTCCACTGCTGCTAGGATTAAAAATAGCTTTCTTTCAAGAAAACTAGAACTACGCACTGTCAGTATGCCTTCTAGGCCCTCTTGTTGGGCTCCAGGACTGGTGGGCCAGACACAGGACATGGATTATGAGATCCTCCTTGGCAGTCCCAGGTTCTGGAGCTTTGCTGAAGTGGAAGATAAAGACACTTTATCTTCCAGTGGTAAGGACTCTTACAAAGTCTTTACTGCATGTTTCATAAAACTGGATATGCTGAGCTCTAATGAAAGCTGTTGTCAGCATTAAATACCCAGGGAAAGGCATGGAGGCCTTTAAAAAACTGCCACAATGCTCCTGCACTGAAGTGCTCACATTTTGCTCCATATGTGAGAGGGAGGGGAATTTGGCCAGTGTCATCCACCTCATAAAAGGCAAACCCAGGATTTAAACTCAGGTCTGGTGCCTCCAAAGCCCAGGAACTCATGACATCTCTTCCCCCAACTCTGCTGTTCTACATGTTGATTATGGCTACCTGTGGTGCTCATTTTAATCAGATTTCATCAATATAAACATTAGTGGTGGGGTCTTCCTTTAGAGTTAGTATAGCCACAACCACCTCCCCTAGGTTATGCAGGACACCTGGCAAACCTTTTCTGAGGGGCCCCTACCAGGGGAAAAAAAAACTTATTGCCAAACATTAATATGCCAGCCCCATTTTGGCGGGCCGGTCTCACACAATCTCATGAAAGAACTGTAGTGCCAGCCAGGAGGGGCAGTCCTCTTGCTCTCCTAGAATTGGCTGCTAGCCGTAGAGCCCAAGGCAACACCACTGGGGTAATTCCTGAAGATCCTTGGGACATCTGGTTGACACCATAAGTGGACAGAAGTTTAGAGACTGCTCTGAAGGGACAGCTGAGGACAGGGACTCCTGTGGTTCTGGGTCAGAGCAAGGAACAGCCTGGTCAATCCCAGCCACTGGAAAGAGACTTAGAGAATTTCAAAGAGAGCATGGAAACCAGAAAATATGAGTGAAAGGGAAGGGAGTGAATCTACATATTATACACCGTCTATATACCAGTTACAGTGCTATGCATCGTGGGGAGTTACAGGGTGCACAAGAAGGACAGAACCCATACTTTCACGGATCTTACAGCCTGGTTGGGAGAATAGGCATTATAATTACATCATGGCAGGGAGAAGGGATGGGGAAGAGGAGATGGGGAAAGGGCCCAGCTGTCAAATAGATAATTCCAAGGCAGAGTAATATGGTAGAAGGTGGTATAACCTGGCAATTGCAATCACAGACTTGGGATCAAAGAGACTGGATCCAAGAACCATCCTTGCTCCTTTCCAGTTCCATGTCCCTATGCAAGGCATTTATTTATACTCTGAGCTCAGTTTCCTCATCTGAAAAATGGAGATAAGAGTTCTTACCCGACAGGGTGCTTGAGAGGGTTAAGTGAAATAGTGCATGGAAGGCACTTAGCAGGAGGTCTGACATGCATATCGTGCCCAGTGAATGGTGGCTATTACTAGTTATTATCTGATTTCTGAGACCTGAGCAGATCCAACGCAGCTGATCCGAGTAGGGGAGCTGAGATAAGTAGGTGCTCTGACAGCCCAAGCCATGGCTGATGGTGAAACCACTGACAATCTGACAGCAAAGGAAGAGGGGACCAAAAAATCTACTGTCTCAGCAGCTCTTAGAGCAATTAGTGGTGGTTATGATGTGAATTTCTGTTTGATGTCCTCGTCTTTTTGAGAAGATGTGAGTGTATAATGTACAACTTCATGAATGAAAAGGTAAAATAAAATTTTGAGTGCTTTGAACAGGAAGATTATCTGGAAAATTCACTGACTGGGGAGGCCTCCTTCCCTGACATGGCATGCAGAAAGAGCTGTCTTGGGCTTATGGAGAGGTTGACACCTCCAGAACCATCTGCTCTGCAGAGAGTTCCCTCAGGGGGCCAGTGACATGCCCCAGAGTCGGGTCCCTTTCCTCCCTCAGTGCCAGCTATGCTTTCCCTGCCACATGGCAACAGCCCAGGCAGGGCAGGGGCCTCTAGACACATGTCTGCTGAAGACCCAGCAGGAGCCTGTCAGCCTTGCCCAGGCCGGATTTCCAGTTCTGTAGATGTAGATCATAAATGTGGGTGACAGATGTGGGAGAGACACATCCAGGAGATGAAAAGATATCTCCATCTGCTTGGTTCTGGAGAAAATACGGAGACCATAAGTGGATGGTGGCTTTTCCTAATGGGGAACTGTGGCTGAGTTTTCCTGGGGCGAAGCAGTATTTACAACCAACCCAGACCCCGCCCCCAGTATCCTGACACCAGGTTTGGCTGATCAAGTTGGTAGAGGGGGCTTGTTTGCTAGGGGATACTGGGGAGAATGGTTCCTGGCCATTGTGAGGAGAGCTCAGTCTCTGTCCTGTAAAGGAAACCACACAGGTTTTAGTGTTTGGGCTTTGTGAAGGCTCTTTAAAGGTGTTTTAATGACAGCAGAGATGAAAGGTAAGGCTTCTGCTGCTCTGATGTGTGACTGTCTGTCCAAGCTGCCCACAGCAGTGCAGAGTTGTGTGCTGGAGCTCAGAACCTCCCTTGGAGCTCAGTAAATTAGCTTCTGTCCCCTGGTTCACGTATTGGTACCTGCTGGGAGAAGAGGCAGAAGCTGGAGAAAACACACAACTAATATTAGATGGAAAAATGGAATTAGAAACATATACAAATCACTAGCCTGGGCAACATGGTGAAACGCCATCACTACAAAAAATACAAAAATTAGCTGGGCATAGTGGCACACGCCTGTGGTCTCAGCTACTCAGCAGGCTAAGGTGGGAGGATCACTTGAGCCCAGGGAGTTTGAGGCTGCAGTGAACCACGATTGTGCCACTGGGCTTCAGTCTGGGTGACAGAGTGAGACCCTCTGTCAAAAAAAGAAAAGAAGATACATAGACAACTCTTACACACTTCCCTTGTAATCCTCCCAACTTGGTCAGTAAAATTTAAAATCATTTATTGAACATTCATATATACTAGATTCTGTGTTACTCTCTTCATATTCTCAGTTAATCATCGTAGCAACCTAGAGCATTCTCATTTTATTTGCATTTTAATGATGAGAAATGAGTAAAGAGAGGGCTAGATGCCCAAGGTCACACAGGAAATGACAGAGCAGAGATGTAAACTCAGGTCTGTCCCCCTTAATTGTTACTTCAGAGGTCACGCTGGGGACCCTGAATCCCCCTGTTTTCAGGGTCAGTAGCGAATTTTTAAGCTGAGGGGTGTAGCTGATGGCCCTCAGACTGAATCAGGTCTGTGGAGACATTTGCTTATCTGGCACATTGGTTTAGAAAATTTTTAAAAATGATTTTAGAGAGTGTTCTCTGTTAGCCACAGTATCCACCATGCTCATATGTCTTATACCTGGTCAGCTTCTTGGCCCCTATGGGAATTTGAGTTTATAATCCCTAGCTAAACCTCTCTTTTGCTGGAGTCAGTGATGGAAACAGAGGAGACTGGTAGTGTCCTAAGGAAAAAATGCTTTATTTTGCCCTCTGAAGAAGGAAGCAGCGGCTGGCAGCTCCAGACTTCGGCCAAGCTGGATGGAGGAACTTCTAAGAGGGCCCTGGTGTTTGCTTTTAGGCTCAGAACCCAGCTTTCATGAATTTAAATTTCACAGTAGATCTGAAGAGGACAGTGGAGGGGAAACTGTATTATCCTCTCCTTGGAGAGGGAAAGGAAGGTTCTCCCTGTTTATTCGTACTCCGAGCAGGCTCCCCCTGGAGGGCAGCCACTGGGAGCTTGATGGGGAATCCTTTGTACTGCGCACTTTGGAGGCATCTACTAGAAACAAAGTACCCTGTGACATGCTGGAAGGGATCTCCGGACAGTAAAACATACAAGGAACAGACCCAGGGCAAACTGTACTTATTCATGATGGGCCCTGAAGTGTGAAGGGGTTTATTCAAAAGAAGTAGGTAGGTGGCATTCCAGGTAAAGGGGACATTGTGGGCAAAGACATGGGGATGAAACGTGTGCTGTGTCAACTCAGGGTTAAATGGATTAAGGGCAGTGCAAGATGTGCTTTGTTAAACAGATGCTTGAAGGCAGCATGCTCCTTAAGAGTCATCACCACTCCCTAATCTCAAGTACCCAGGGACACAAACACTGCCGAAGGCCACAGGGACCTCTGCCTAGGAAAACAGAGACCTTTGTTCACGTGTTTATCTGCTGACCTTCTCTCCACTATTATCCTGTGACCCTGCCACATCCCCCTCTCTGAGAAACACCCAAGAATGATCAATAAATACTAAAAAAAAATAAAAATAAAAATAAAAAGAACACAGGAGACATATTCAGGCAAGGAGATTTACTGATATTTTGCAGAGGGGAAGAGTACAATGGGGGAATTGAACTAGAAACAATACTTCCTTTGGTAGCCCAGTCAGCAATAATAGCAAACATTTATTGAGTGCTTACTGTATCTCGGGCATGTTATCAGCATGTGACATATATTGTTTTCTCCAGTCCTCACAAAAAGCCTATAAGGTAGACACTATTACTATTGTTATCATCTACATTTGCAGATGAGGAAGCTGATGCAAAGAGCTCACAGCCACATTCCAGATCACCCAGCTAGTAACCCAGGTATTATGGTCTTAGAGCCCAAGAGCCCACACTCCTAACCTCTTCTTCCTGCTGCTTCCAATAGCAGCCAACAGTCTGGGTGACTTATCAGTAGAAGGGATGTGAGATTGTAGCAAGAGATCAAGTGAGAGGAGTTTAGATCCTGCAATGGCACCATTTTCAAAGATGGGAATGTAACCTTTTCTGACATCAAGGCTGTCTCCTAAATGGCCTTAGCCTCCCCCTTACAGATTTTATTTTTTAATTTTTAATTGTATAAATTTAAGATGTACAATCTGTTTTCATATACTTGTACATAGTGAAATGATTACTACAGGGAAGCAATTTCATATGTCCATCATCTCATATAAGTATCTTTATGTGTGTGGTAAGAGTACTTAAAACCTACTCTCTTAGAAAATTTTCAGCATACAATATAATATTAACTATAGTCCTCATGCTGCACTTTAGATCTCTAGATTTATTTATCCCACAGAACTTCAACTTTGTCCCCTTTGTTCTATATCTCCCCATTCTTTCCCCCACTTCCCTCCCCCACTTCAGGTAACAACTGTTCTACTCTCTGCTTCTATGAGCCTGGCTTTCTTTCTTTCTTTCTTTTTTTTTTTTTTTTAAAGATTCCACATATAAGAGAGATCATGCGGTATTTTTCTTTCTGTGTCTGGGCTTATTTCACTTAGCCTAATGTCCTGCAGTTTCATCCATGTTGATGCAAATGGCATGATTTCCTTCTTTGTAAAAGTTGAATAATATTTCATTGTGTATGTATGTATCATGTGTGTGTGTGTATATATATATATATATATATATATATATATATATATATATCACAATTTATTTATCCATTTATCCGTTGATAGACATTTATGTTGTTTCCATATCTTAGCAATTGCAAATAATGCTGCAACAAATAGGGGAGTGCAGATATGTCTATGAGGTGCTGACTTCATTCCCTTTGGGTATATACCCAGAAGGGGGATTGCTGGGTCATACGGCATTTCCACTTTTAATTTCTTGAGGAACCTCCATGCTATTTTTCATAATGCCTGCTTTCCCAAAAACAGTGTTCAGGGGTTACCTTTTCTCCACATCCTTGCCAACACTTGTTATCTTTTGACTTTTTTTGGATGATAGCCATCCTAACAGGTGTAAGGTAATATCTGCATCTCACTATAGTTTTCATTTGCCTTTTCCTGATGATTAGTGATGTTGAGCACCTTGTCATACACCTGTTCTCCCCTTCACCCCTCCTGAGCCCCTTATACTCCAGCCCAACCAAACATTTTTGGAAGACCATGGACTCAGCAGTCATCGGGACTTGGGGTCAAATACTGGCTCTACCACTTCCTACCTCCTGTAACTTTGGGCTAGTTACTTAACCTCTTTCAGTCTCAATTTCCTCATCTGTAAAACAAGGGTGATAAAAGTACTTGCCTCATACATTCTTTGTGAGAATTAAAGAAGACAAGTGCAAGGCACTTAACACAGAGTCTGGCACATAGTTAGTGCCCAATAAACAGCTACTTTAAGGCCAGAATAAATTTCACACATGGTCATCATCTAGCTCTGGGATTGGCAAGGGTGTGGGTGTGGTTTGCAAGGAAGACTCATGGACTGCCTGCTACCCACTACGTGAGGCGCTCCAGGTAAGAGCTGGTGGCTGGCAGTTCATGCCTCCTTGTTCTGCTTGGTGCCTATGTGGATGAGGCACTGGTTCCAGGGAGGTTACAGGGCTGGTTCCCCTGTACCAGGGCACAGCCTGGTATCAGCTCTGCCCATCTCTAGATAGTGGGAGCAGGAATCCTTCAGTCCTGATGCACAGATGGGCAGGAAATCTAAAAGCCACCTCTGCCCTTGTCCAAGCCAGTCCACATGTGGATTAGAAGCTGCAGCTCTGCACTGCTGTACCTGGAAGGCACAGACAGGCAGACAGGCCCATGTTCCTGTCCACTTTGGTGGCTGTCCTGGCAAGCTGTGGCTACTATTGCCACCTGGTGGCGTTTCACAGCAACACATGCATGGAGACTTCTGTAGTGTCTTATTAAAGATGTCAAAGTTTGTAGCATCCTGGGAATTGAAGGTCCACTTCTACCTGCTCACAGTGCGGAAGGCAAAACCAAGATTAGAGAAGGAAGAACAGTGGGGTTTAGGAGAAAGAGCACTGTGAGAGTTGTGTAGCCTTGGTTCAAATTCTACTCCCCCTATTTGGGATTTTGGACAAATGACAACCTATGTGAACTTGTTTCTTATCTAAAATGTGGTGGAGATCCTCAACATTTACTCATAAGGCCACTGTGAGGCTCCTATGAAGGGCTTTATAAACTGCAAAGGACCCTACAGGTGGAGAGGTGGTGGTTATAGCTGTTGCAGCTCCAAAGTGAGGCCAGTACTTCTGAACTTGGGAGTCAGGGGTCTGGCCTAGCATAACCAACCACTACCCAAGCCTAGCAACAAGACAGATGGCAGAAGGAATGGATATGAGCTACTCCCTCTTTGCTGGCCCAGGATATCTCCAGGGTGGGTGAAGCACTGGGGTCTTCCACCCGTGCTGTGAGTTCCTGGTGCTTTCTCCCTCCTGGGTCTTGCCTGCAGTCTGCTCACACAAGTGTAGCTTCAGGTGGGAATGCCTAGTGCCTGCAGTTGTCAGTTCTAGGCATGAGGAGCTTGTGTCTGGGTTTCCCCAAAGGACAACATTCTGGGTCTCAATGAAGGACAAGATGCAGAATTCCAAGGCGAGGCCACAAAAAAGTGCTGGGCTTAGCCTAGAGCTACCTCTCCAGCCCCAGGAATGTGACGGTATCTGGACCTGGACACAAAGCATTAGCTCATCCCTTCTGATGATAGACAAAGAGCCTAGTGCTCAGAGTTGGGCAGTCATCCCGGCAGCTTCTCACTGTCCTGCCCAGGCAGCTGTCTGGACTGGTCCAGCCCAAAGAGCCTGGAGTGTCTACTTACCCCACTGGCATGGAAGGTTTGGGTCAGGCCAGGGTCATCCCAATCCTCAGGCCCTAATGCTAAGCCCATCTCACAGGTACTCGGAGGAGGAGTCCTATTTGGGTTGTAGTATGCTTCCCCTCCACTGGCCTCAGATACAGTTGGTTTACTGAGCACCTAATATGTGTTAGATAAGGTACAAGATGTTTTCACAGAGATTATCTCATCTCTTCCTCAAAGAAGCCCTGGAAGTGTGGTGTGATTGTTCCCATATTACAGATGAAGAAACTGAGGCTTACAGAGGTTCAGTCACTTAGTGAAGTGGGAGCTTGGTTTTAAACCCATACTTCTGCCTCTAGGGCTTGCCTTTGTGTAGTTTAAGAGTGAAAGACTTTCCAGAAAGAGACCTGGAGTGAAGGCCTATCCTAGGGATGAGTTGCAGGCCTTCACTGTGCAGAGTAGAGGATGCCAATGGCACACTTTGCCAGAGACCCATTGAAACACTCCCCAGTGCCAGCTGTTGGCTGTCACTCCTTCCATCTCCCTGTCCTAAATACCTCCAGAAGGTTTAGTTCTGACACCACTCATGTGGGGCCCATTTAGAGAGACAGTGAGTTAGGGAACATGGCTGAGGATGGAGGAAGGAGCACCACTAATTGTGGTAAACCCATAATTAGTTCTCTGCTTATGGCTTCAATCAGTACTTTTAATTTAAAAGGTAATATCTGTGGATTTTTTTTTTAAAGATTTGTGACATGGGTATAAAAGGAATAGAAAACACTCATGTTTTCTCCAACCAACCTCACCCCACTGTCTCAGAAATCACCTCTATGAACAGTTTCTTGTGCATCATTCCAGAAAATTTGTACAAAAACAAGTATATTCAAATACATCTATCCTTTCTTTACTCCAGTTGGAATTTCACCATCCTCACCATCCTACAGAGGTCTTCTTTCATGCATCATCATCTCTTAGGCATCTCCTGACATAGATGTCAAATGCCTTCTCTTAACTCTGCACTGTAGACTATTATATGGCCATTGTCCTCCTGGTAGGCATTTTGGTTATCCTGATTTTTTGCCGTCATGAACAATGTGCTGATTACACCTCTATTTTTGCACAGTTTCCCATATAGGACTGTAAGATAGGTGGACTCCTGAAAGCATAATTATTGGATCAAAGTACATGCTTTTTAGATTTTACTAAATATTCCCTATCGCTCTCTAGCAGGGTTGTACTGTCACCAGCACTAGGAGTAGAAATGATCTCCACATGGAAGATGAGTCCAGTAGTCATGTGGGACAGTTGCTGAGAAGACATGATTTCAGAGGCACCCAGAAACTGCTCATGATCCTGTCCCCCTCAGGAATCTCCCCTTTCCGCCTGTCATGGTGTCTGGAATTCTCATTCATTCCTTGACCTGTGGCATTGTCTCCAGAAAGCTCAGGTGTTTATTTTATGACTGCATTTGCAAAAGACAAATATAATCCAGGCTAAATTGTATCCATTTCATCCTTCTGGTTTAAAAAACAAATTACAACATTTCCTTGGGCCCCTAAAACTATCTTGGCTCCTAAGCATTGTGCCTACTCTGCCTAATGGGTAAGTTGGCCCTCGATTTTGTCCCCAGAGTAGCCCTCCACACACCTGCTTCCCTACATGTTGTCACCATTCCTGCCCCTGGCTTTTGACACTGGAAAGGTGTAAAATACAATCTTTCTTGGGGGTAGCCGGCTATCACAGAAAGCGGTGGTCCCCAGCCTTTCTGGCACCAAAGACCCAGTTTTGTGGAAGACAATTTTTCCATGGACAGAGATGCAGGATATGGTTTCGGGATGAAACTTTTGCACCTCAGATCATCAGGCATTAGATTCTCATAAGGAGTGTGCAACCTAGATCCCTCGCATGTGCAGTTCACAATCGGGTTCACGCTCCTGTGAGAATCTAATGCCACCACTGATCTGACAGGCAGAGCTCAGGTGGTAATGCTCACTCGCCCACCACTCACCTCCTGCTGTGCAGCCCAGTTCCTAACAGGCCATACAATGGTACTTGTCCATGGTTCAAGGTCTGGGGACCCCTGACATAAAGCACTGGGCAACATTTGGATGGGATCAGGGCTGACCGTATTTACTAACAACTGCAGAATCCTGCAGTTTCCAAAGCATTTTTATCAACATGATTTTCTTAAAATATTATGCCCATTTTACAGATTAGGGAAATGAAGACACTAAAACAGAGAAGAGAAGTGATTTGTCCAAAACACAAAGCTAGTAAGAAATAGAATCATAGGGTCAGGTCAAATGCAGCCTCGGCCCACTTCACAGCTTCCAGCACAGTTAGGTTCTGCTGGATCTCATGATATATCTTTGTCCCTGAACATCTCATATGTGTGGCATTGCAGAAGACATGCTGACAGTGTCACATCCTGACAGGTGCACAAGTGGAGCTCAACATATTTGGGTGGCATATGGAAGCTAATTGCAGCCGTGGTTCCCAAATCTCTCCCCAAGTAACTGACTTCAGTATGCGTTTGTATGTTTTTTTTTAACTAGAGTAAATTTGATTGTCACACATGCCTCCAATCTTATTTTAATGTAAGTAGAGCATGATTGGAAATTCAGAATTAGACTGCCCAGCATTAATTACCTCTCAACTACACTTTTTATTTATGGAGCATGTTTACTGTCATTAATGAGGAGAACGCTAGAAGGGCATGGAAGGAGGATTGATCAAAAGAAGGTGGATTGAATAAGTAGTTATGGATAGGGCAATTTGAAATGGATTTATTCCTTTTTAATTTAAATTGTATCTGATTTCTGCATTCTGATTCTTCTAACCCCTTTGCCACATGCCCCCATGTTCTCTTTTTGAATCTTGCTCTCATTCACCTCGTATTGCCCCATCCACAGTGTTAATAAGATAATGTCCAGGATGCCCCCTAAAATTGGTACTCCTGATTGCAAGGGGCTGCAAGATTCTCTCATCATGTCTGTCCCGGCTTAAAAAAAAACATGAAGATTATCACTGTCTACCTTTTATTGAACACTCTTTTTTTAATTTTATTATTACTATACTTTAAATTTTAGGGTACATGTGCACAACGTGCAGGTTAGTTACATATGTATACATGTGCCATGTTGGTGTGCTGCACCCATTAACTCATCATTTAGCATTAGGTATATCTCCTAATATCTATCCCTCTCCCCTCCCCCCACCCCACAACAGTCCCCAGTGTGTGACATTCCCCTTCCTGTGTCCATGTGTTCTCATTGTTCAATTCCCACCTATGAGTGAGAACATGCGGTATTTGGTTTTTTGTCCTTGCGATAGTTTGCTGAGAATGATGGTTTCCAGTTTCATCCATGTCCCTATAAAGGACACGAACTCATCATTTTTTATGGCTGCATAGTATTCCATGGTGTATATGTGCCACATTTTCTTAATCCAGTCTATCATTGTTGGACATTTATGTTGTGAACACTCATTATGTCTCAAGTACTTTCTCACCACTCATTATTTTACCTCCTAATAACACTATTAGGAGGAGTAGGAATAATTATACCTAATATATAGCTGTGAAACCTGAGGCTTAGAGAGGTTGAATCAGTAGTTTGAAGTCACACAGCAGATATAGGAGTCAAATTCATTACACATTGTCAACACTGACTATGCCATTCTCACACAGGACAGTAGTCAGAAAGGGCTGAATGAAGCATATCGCCAAGCAACCAGGAGTGGAAGGGATCTAGGACTAGGGCTGAGTCTCAATGCTTGGACCACTCAGCATTCAATTTGCCCTTGCAGGGGAGGCAAATCTGCTTTTGTCCCATTCCTGGCGTCCTCTGCTCCCCCTGACTATCTTTAGGCAGTAGCATTGATCTGGTTTCAAGCTATTTTGGTTTTTCAAACTAAAAACTAAGCTGAGTTGGGCTACACTATTTACTTAATGCTTTCCCTTGGCAGTTATTTCCCTTCCAGGAAAGAGCTACTGTGTGTCATTTTCTCTCCTGACAGTGATCCCTTCTGGAAACCAGGAGCTTCCGGCCCAGGTAGAGACCTGGAAGACTTGGCCAGGCTGCTAGGCCTCTGTCTGCTGCCCCTGGGGAGCCTGCTAACCAAGTAGGGAGATGGTTTGCAGCCCAGGAAACCCTGAGCACATGGGCAGTTGAGCATGGCATTAGTGGGATATGCTGGGCATGTAGTGAGACCTTGTCCAGGCTTTGTGGGGAAGGCTCTGATGTCAAACGAGGCAGCTCTGAGGCTGTGGGCAGTGCTGACCAGTGGACTGGTGGAGGCAGAGAGATTGGATTTCCTTCAAAGCAAGTCACAGTCAATTCTCCCAGCTTGTTCAGAGGCCCTTATAGATGCCTGCATGTGCCCTGGGATTTTCACATCCCAGGAGACAGTGAGGCAGACCTGTTTACCCACATTTTACAAATTAGGTAACCAAGGATTGCAGAGTTCAATTAAGCCACTCTTATTTATCAAGCATCTTACTGTGATGTGAAGGCACAAGAGACCTGGACCCCACCTCCAAGGAGTATGAGAGAGGGAAAAAGAAATGTAGCCAGGCCACTGGAAGTGTCACAATCTAGGCTGGATTTGAATCCTCCCTCTGCTACTTCTCACTATTTAATCTTTTTTGAATCTCATTTTCCTTACCTGTAAACTAGTTATAATACATACACCACAAACTCCTCAGGGACAAGGGCCAGGCTTGTCTTGTTCTCCACCTAATCCCTGGCGCCTAGCATGGTGCCTGGCACAGAGTAAGGAATGCATATCTGTTAAATGAATGAGTAGACATTGTCATGAGTATTAAATGTAATGATGTGGGTAAAATGCTTACTTAAAGGTTCATGGGAAGCACTCAATGAATGGTAGTGTTAATACTCTGTTAGGAACGGGGCAGGGAAGGTGCAGGCACCTCACTTCACAGAGAGGTGCAGACCAAAGAGAAACAGGCTTGCAAGACAATGAGCATATCCCTCAGCCAGGTTTCCAAAACAGATGATGCTGCTGAAAGGTAAAGATGTGAGTGACCATGATTAAAGATATTGACAGGCAGAGATAGGGAAGAACTTGCCCAAACCACAAGGCTGGTGACTGGCAAAAGCCAGGGTTAAAACTTGGAGCTTCTAACTCTCAGTTTGTGTTGTTTCTGGGCCATTCAGAGGTCTTCTTGTACCCTTTAAAGTTTTACCAGCAGATTGTTTAAGCATCCTCTGTATGAAGCTCTTAGAATTTCAAATGGACTCTTATTTTTAGAAGCAGCATCCCACTGAGCATTTGACAGTGATCGATTCATTTCCCAGTTTGTTTTTTAATAAGCTTAAAGGTTACTGTTGATAACTGTTTATAGACAGTTAATGTGGTACTTGCAGTTCCTGATTTCTTAGGCCTGGGACTCACTGCGCCTTCAAGATGCTGAAACCAAGCAAGGTGTGAGGAGTAGGTGGGGGCATCTCCCTCCCAGATTTTCCTCACCTCTTCAAGGCTGTCATTCACAACTCCAGTCACTGGCTGCTGCAACGTTGTTCCCAATTTGACTAAAATGTCGTTATTTTTTATGATGACTTTATTCTTTCCATCATAAGCTGGATGATTAGGAGCTAGAGGCAGCCAGTAATTAAGCTCACCTGTCAGAGTTTAGATTCAGTCAGAATGAAACACATCCTTTAACTTCCCCTTTCATTTCCCTGGATGTCAAGACGTCTGAATTAAGCTCCTTATGGGAACAATATCTGACCCAAAAATGTTAGGACAGGGATTACCGAGATGGAAATTCGGTTACGTTACCTACTTGTCATGACTTAGAAGGGCTGTGAATTCTCAGGCTGCTTGAGAAAACTACTCATTTGTGAGGAGAATTGAGTTCCAAACCATAATAGCTAGTGGAAGCAATTTCTGGGATCACAGCATTCAGACTTGATATTCATTTGTCCCCTTGAGAAGGAATTCAGGCTAGAGACTTTCACGAATAAAAGTGCAAAGTCCACAAAATCTCCTGGTGCCGTTTGTCATCTGCGGAGAGGCCTGCCTCACGTCTATGGCTTTGAGGGAGCAGAGCATTCAGATACTTTGTTTCTGCTGGTGGGCCATTTGAGCCAATGGCTAGATGAAGCTTTGTTCTTGACTCTTGAAAATTATACTCTGATGTACTTCAAAGGGATTCTAATGAGGACATTGGAAGCACAAAGAATTCAGCTTTGCAAAGTCAGTTCTCAATTCCATAAAGTTCGGCATTACTTGATTTCTCTAACGAACCTCTTCGCTCTCCCTTGCCTGTGTCTGGGTGAGGATTGTCTTAGAGGACATTGATCATTTTCACCTTCATTTTCCATTTTTGCTTCTGGTATGCTCATCTCACCCCCAGTTTTATCAACAGCTCCTCTGCATTCTTTTCTCTCTTCACATGCAAGGTTTGGCAGAAATGGCCTTCGTTTCTAAAATGTTGATTAAAGACATTTTCTGAAAATCTATCAGTCCCAAACCTTCTCACTTATACACATCTTTTTCTCTCACAACTGCCATGTGTCTCATTTTCTCCCCAGGTATTTTTCTGTCGTTCCCTTGACCTTTCAAACAATGCTTTGGCCGTTGCCAGTAAAGAACTCACTCAGGCTTGCTGTCCTAGACTCTGAACACATCTGCCACCTCTGTCCAGGTAGTTTTAATATTAGTGAGATATGGCTAACTCTATCCCACCTTCCTGCTGCCTTGGGAGCCCTCACCCACTCTGTTAATGCTGCTTCCAGAGCATTCCCCAAAGTAGGAAGTTATAGAATGTCCCGTGTGGAAGGGGCTTTATACTGAGTTCTATCTCTCACTTCAGATAGAGTAACTGAAGACCAGAGAGGGAAAACAACTTGCACAGTCACAAAAGGAGGCAGAGACAGAGTCAGAATAGGGTCCCAGGCTCCTCTTGGCCCTTTCCCTTTGAGAATTCATTTCTATACACAAATGCCACACAGGAATTCAGGATCCTTATTGAGTCGGCATTGCTGCTCTCATTTGTGGAGCATTAGCTATATACTATACACTGTGCTAAGTGCTTTTTATGTATGCTTCATCTGATTCCCACCAGGTACTCTATAAGATGAAATCCATTTTGCAGATGAAGACACTGAGGCAATGGTATGCTGAGGCTGGCTGGTACTATCTCTTGAGAGCCAGTTGTGTGCATCTCTTCCCAATTTCACATTCAGTGACATCATGTTGCTAGCTAAAAATAGACTATAGCAAGAGTATTTACACCATGGAAATTGGCAAATGCTACAAATCAGAGCATTTCTTTATCCCCTTTCCTCCCAAAGAAGATCCAGTTTCCCAGCGCACCACTTAGCTTACATATTAGCTAAGCAGCTTACCCAAGGGCACACAGCAGGGAGGTGACAGAGCTGGGACTTTTATCCAGGGCTCTGACTTCGGAGTCTGAGCTCTTAACCAATACTCATACTGCTAGTCAACAAGGACAGGTTTTCAGTGACTCATTTACTCTTAGACTGGAGATGATGAGTAGGAGAAAGCAGCTGCCAGGGGTCTGGTACATAGGATGGTAGCAAGGTGTGGGGTACCCATATCTATAGAGACCGTACCCCGCCAGCTAGAGAAGGATGCCCCCAGAAGTTTTCCCAGATCTCACTCCACACCAACCACATCAGCTTCCTTACTGTTTTCCAAGTTTTTCAAGCATGCTCCCAACTCAGGGCCGTTATTGTTGTTCCTGCTGTCTTAAATGCTTTTCCACCGATAAACACGAGCTTGCTCCTTTACTTCTTTAGTATGTGTGCTCTTTCTTGACCAACCCATCTAAACTAGCACCCCAATATTCTCTACTCTCTTCCTTTATTTTCATAGCATGTATCACTACCTGTTTTCAAAGCACGTATTTGCTTTTTGTCCTTCTCTTTCAGTGGAATGCAAGCCCTGTGAAGGTTGGAGCTGTCCCTGTTCACTGTTGTAGCTTCAGAGTAGAGAGCAGAGAGGGATTAGATAGGAAAATAAGTGAATCTCAGCTGTATTCTACTCCACATGCCACCTTTCTTAGACTTGACCCAGGTGGTCAACTACTAGCTCACACATTCACCAGTAAAGGCAAAGGGCTTTCTCCTTGGTTCTGTGATCTCGTAGGATCTTCAAAGTCTAAAACCATCTTCTTTCCACCTTGGAGCCTCTTCTTTCATGTTCTCACCGTCCCTCTGAAAATAGGCCAACAGTCATATTTGTTGGTGCTGATTTGCAGACAGATAATAGATCAAACATTTTCAGAAGGAACCTTTGGCCCCAAGAACTAATTACATCCCCATCTTGGAAGGTGACTGTCCCTGTGTCATTTAAACTGTGTAAGAGAATGGTGGAGGCTGAGTGTGACCTTTGGCAAAGCCCACACGAGGGTACTCAGGGAACAGCCAGCAATGGGAGAAGCTGCAGTGAGCCCTGGCCTGGGTACCTGTGCACTTATTTTCACCTGGAGGGCCACACTGATGTTGTTTCCTGCATTTCTTGGGTCATGTCCAGCAGTAAATGCATAATCACTCTTACATACCCATGCACATATACATACACTCAACTTCCTTTCTCATTTCAAAAATCTTATAGAAAATGTCAACCATAGGGATGGGAAAAGGATGATTAATAATCACCTGCAATCCCACCCCTGAGATAAAAATTGTGAATATTTTGATCAATTTCCTTTTAGTCATTTTTTTCCTACTAATTAACATCTGTATATTTTGTGACCCATATTTTTAAAAACTTAGTACATCATGAACACCTTTTCATGTCATTAAGGATTTTTATACACAGTCACTTTTAGTAGCCAGAAAGTAGTTGTATGAAGGTACCATGATTTGTATAACTCATTCCTGACCATTGGACAGGAATGTTGTTTCCAGTTGTATATTATCACAGATAATACTATGAGGGGATTTCTCATTGGTAAGTATTAGACAAACAGTGGTTATTCTCATGGTTATTCACTTCAATCATTGTAAACTCAATGCCATGGACTGAATTGTGTTCCCCCAAATTCATATGTTGAAGCCTTAATCCCCAATCTGATGGTATTTGGAGGTGGGGCCTTTGGGAGGTAACGAGGTTGAGATGAGGTCATGAGGCTGAAGCTCCCATGATGGCATTATTGCTCTTATAAGGAGATGAAGGTATTAGACTCATTCTTTCCACCATGTGAAAATAAAGTGAGAAGACAACTGCCTGTGAATCAGGAGGAACACCGTTACCAAGAACCTAACCATGCTGGCACCAGATCTCAGACTTCCAGCCTCCAGAACTGAGAAATGAATGTTTCTTGTTTAGGCCACCCAGTCTACGGTATTCTGTTATAGCAGTCCAAGCTGAGTAAGACACTCCCCACTTCATGAGTCCTTCACTTGTACTTATTAGAATGGTACCTTCATCTTGACCATGATTTTGCCTCTAGGCCTTTGCATATTCTGTTCCCTCTGTTTGGATAGCCCTTCCCCCTCAAGCCTCTTTATCTTATTTCCACAGATTTTTTCTTACCACCCCCACCCAAGCATACATTTTTTTATATTTTGATATCTCTGAAATGGGGATGAATTGAAGGGTCATTATGCATATTTGTGGTAGTAAGTCATAGACTGGAGACATAGAATTCCTCTTCATTGTCTAAGGCTCAGCCCAGGCAGTTCCTCTTTGGGTTTAGGCTCTCTTCTCTGGGTTGCAGTAACCTCCAGGCTACTCTGTCATTGCATTAGTCAGACTATACTGTATTTGTCTGCTCATTGGTCTCCCCCTGCACGAGGACCTCCTTGAGAACAGCAAATGTGTCTTTCATTCCTTTGTCCCCTGCTCCCAGTAGCCCAGGCTCCAGGACAGTTGCTGAAGTCAGAACAGGTGGGGGTGGACCCAGCCCCTGATTATCTTCTGCCCTCTCCACTAATAGGCAAATTGAATTATTTCCTCATTCCAGGCCCATGGAGAGCTCCTTTAAGGAGCCCTTGGCGGGTGGGGCAAAGCATCTCACCTGTCCCAGCTTTGAGGTTAATGCCCATTTTAGGCCATGATTGGTGTATTTATTTGCTCAGAGGGAGGGTGGGGAGAAAGCTTGGTGGGTGGAGGTTTTGGTAATTCATGCCCGCATGACTATAAGAGAGCTTCCAGGAAACCACGTTACCAGCATAGCAATTGTTTTCACTGCATTTCAGAATGACATTCAAGAGTCAACAGAAATGCTTGAATTTCAACTTTACAAAAGGGCTTGCTAGAGATATCGCCTTTCCCCTCTGTCCCTTTTGCTTAGTCCAGGATACAATGACCATGAAAAAAGTTGGCCATTTGAGCTTTTCAATGCCCTTCCTCCCAACTTTTCCCCTTTCCCTACCTCTTTCTGGGCCTTTCTCTTTTTTCTGAGTTGATATTCCCTTATCTTCCTCTGCATGACTTTTAACTTTGCTTTTTATTAATTAACTCCAGAAGGAATAAGGTGCCTGTTACATGGGAACACACTGCACAAAGTTGGGAGAAGGGAAGATCATCCTTTCTGGCTGGGAAGGTGGGTAAAGGCTTCGTGCAGGAGGCAGCTGATTCTTGAAGGCTGGGTAGGATTCAAACAGATGAAGAAGTGGTGAAGGAAGAGGATAAGTCATTCCAAGCCTAGGCAGGAGCAAGGCATGGTCAGGAAGGTGAGGGCTGAGGCTGAAGCAAACATTTATTTATAATGTTTACAGACTACCTGCAGTAAGCTGGCAACTTTCTTAAGTGAGTAAACCAGATGTCACTCAGGTCCCTGGTTCTCCAGCTCATGTGTCTGCATGGGCTTTCTTCATTTTTACCCCATGACAACAACCCAGACTCTAAACTCAATACATTTACAAGTTTGAACCAAAGGAATCCATGATTATAAAAATATTGGTACCCAATTTAGATTTGACTGGTTATTTTGTAGAGGACATGGAGGATTGAGCTCATCTTGTATACTTCACTGCAAGCAACTGAAAATATCCATTAGAGGTTTCTGTTTTCTCAGAGAACTCCCCTTAGCCTACCGTGGTATGGAGGAGTGTTGCTGTCTCCTTCCCTCGCTTACTTCCTTGCTGGCCCTTTTCTCTCCTGGATTCTTTCCTGTGAACTCTGCATTCCTCACCCTTTGTTAGCCAACTCTTGCCACCGTCACCCACAACTTGCAAACTACAGATCCATTGTGTTAATCGACAGGATCAATGATCCAGATCATTGTGTCCAGATCATGGCCCTTGGGATCCACTCTTCTGCAAGAGGTTGATTTAGCTGTACTTTCCAAACAAATGCAATGTCTTCCCCAAGAAAATTCTGATGGCGAATGTAGTCTCCCTGTTGTTACGTGTACATTTTCACATTCAACTCACCACAACAGTCCTTCTAATATCTTCATTTTACAGAGTAGACAACTAAAAATAAGAGAATTGGCTTGCCCAATGTCACACAGCAGCCAAAATGGTGGAGGTGAAATCTGAACTCTGTCATTCTATTTTTTTAAAATGTGTAAGAGCTACATCCCATGCATGGACTGTGAGGAAGGTGACTTTGATGGAAGAAAGGCTAGACATGTAGGTTGTGACCTGTATTTGTTTCCTATGGCTACCATAAGAAAATACCATGAACTGGTGGCTTAAACCAACAGAAATTTATTATCTCACAGCTCTAGAGGCTGATGAAAGTCCAAAATCTGGTTGTTGGCAGGATTGGTTCCTTCTAGAGCCTCTGGGGAAGGACTCGCTCTATGCTTCTCTCTTAGCTTCTAAGGTCGCTGGCAATTCTTGGCATTCCTTGGTTTGTAGATGCATCACTCCAGTCTTTGGCTTCATCTTTACATGGTGTTCTTCTCTTCGTGTCTCCTGTATCTTCACATAGCCTTGTTATAAGGACACCAGTCTTTGGCTTTGCAACCCAATGTTGTGCTAAACTCCTATTATTCTCAGTAGGGAAGGCACCAGGTTCTAGAGGCCAAAGAAGAGACCCAGAGCCAGCAAATACGATATGGAGTTTTATTAGGGACTTACCTACAGGGCAGAGAATCTGGTGGCAGCAGTCTGGACAGGACAACCACCTTACATATAGAAATGGTCCAGCGGCAGCAGGCTGGACAAGATAACTGCACAGCCTAGTGGTGGCTGGCTGGGCAGGAAAATCACAACTGCTTTCAAAAAGACTGTAGTTTCTACATCACTTAACAGCCTCCCCTTAATGACCTCCACGTGGCAACTTTCATTTAACCTAGAGCTCAGAGCCTCAATCTCCTGTACAGCTCTTGTTCTATGGGACGGGATGGGGGCTCAGATGTTCCTCATGGGCAAGGAATGAATCTGTGGGTTGGTTACGTCTGGATTCCCTGGCTCAGAACGCACATTCAGGTGTTTCTGCCAGACAAGGTCATTCTAAGGGTATGCTTAAATTATTGCTATAAGGGGCACTTACCCTACACCCACCCTAATCCAGGATAAACTCATTTTAACTAATTAAATCTGTAAAGATCATAGTTTCAAATTAGGTCATATTCTGAGGTTCCAGGAGGACATGAATTTTTGGCAAGACATTATTCAGACCAGTACAGGACCAGTTCATGAAGAGTCTAGAAGGTATTACCAAGAAATTTGGACTGCGCGCAAGGGGCAGTCATGAAGGGTGACTGAGGGAAAGAATAACCAGAGTCAACCTGAAACCCCCAGGAATCTGATTGGCTCCGTGTTCTTTCTTTCTCACCCAGCTCCCTATGCCTTGTTGCTTTATTAAGGAATTAAACAGGGTGGGCGTCCATCAGCAGATGAGTGTTTTTTGAGAGTGGCAGCCTTTTCTTCTTTTTGGAAACTTTGCATTTGCCTCTGTTGTGCCTTGGACTAATCAGTATGCCGCGTGAAACTATTTAAAGCCTGATGCATTAGTCACAACAAATCTGCTCCTGCTGGGAGTTAAAAAGGCTGATCAGGGCGCCAGTTTCTTTTTGGTGAGCACAGTTTGTTTTTCCCGTTACTTCATTTGCATCCAGCCCCTTGGATTTCTCGGACTTCACGCACAGAGCCCCTTTCCTGAATTGCCCCTGGTACAGAGAGAGCTGCCAAGGCCTGGTCAGGCCACCTTTGAAAACCTTTCTGAGGACAGAGGCTGAGACAAGGCCAGGGACCAAAACAGGAGGGGCTGCTGGGCTGGACTGAGCTGGGCTGGGCTGGGCTGATCCACGGGGAAGACCCTGATGCCCAGAGAACACACTGTGCCAGCTGGAAACTGTTGATAAAGCCTGTGGTGACCACTTCAGCGCCCTGCTCTGACCTTTTCCCATCTAATGTGGGGCTATTTTAATGTTGTTTTGAAGCTGAGAGAGCACCAGAACCTTGGGCCTGCTCTCCTGGTGGAAACCACAGGCTTCATCTGCCTTTGTGGTGTTGCCAAACCCTTGACTGTCCTATAAGGGAGCGGGCTTGAGAGTAACACAGTTGGCCTCAACGCGTGTGTGGAGGCCTAGGGCTCCTGTTTATTTTTAGCAGGAGTACTCAAGCAGCATGGCAGAGTTTCTCCATACTGCCTCATAAGGTGTCCTCAGATTCTGGGGCTGCAGGTTGCACAAGAGAGCAACCCTGGGGTGGTGACAAGAAGAGAGTTTGAATTTCTGAATTAAAGGCTTTTGCTCCTCTGCCTCGGGTTAACTGTGTGACCTTAGGCAAGTTGCTTGACCTCTCTGAACACCAGTTTTATCAGCTATAAAGTAGAGTGGGTAATTCCTCTTTATCGTAAGATTCAGCAGCATGAACTAAGAGGATTTCTGGGAAAGTGCTTCATAGGCTGCATGGTGTGTGATGGGAAGGTATAAGGGACATGAATAGCCCTGTATCTGGTGCACAGTAACAGCTTACACTTATTGAGGGTATGGTATGTGCTATACATTGTTCTGGGTACTTTTCATGGATTGTCCTATTTAATCTGCACAAAAGCCCTAAGAGATACTGTTATAATCTCTATTTTACAGATGAGGAAACTGTGGCTTAGAGAATTTATTTGCTGAAGATCAAACAGCTAATTAATTGCCAAAGCCAAATTCAGACTCTGCAGCCTGCAGTCTTACCCCCAGTCTCTTGGTGCTGCCTCTCTCAGTGTCATCATTATCATTACCATCATCATTGCCCAGTTATTGGAACCTGGTCTTCGACAAACCCCAAAAATATTATACATTGTCTCTAATCCTCACAGCAGCATCATAATATTAACTCATTGTAATATTTACATTGTGGTGTAAATATTATCCCCTCCACTTCATAGATGAGGAATGTTGAGAATAAAGGGTTTTGTTCACTCCGTTTATTGAGCACCTACATCTCTATTTGAGGCACTGGGACACAAGAATGAACAAAACAGGAGGGTCCTGCCCTCATAGAAAGTATATTTTAGTGTGAAGGAACCAGGTGATGTAATACCTAAGCACAGTAATTTCAAGTAATACTAAAGGCAGTGAAGAAAATAATGTAATGTGACAAGTGATGGGTCAGGGAAGGCCTCTCTGAGGAGGGACTGTGTGAGATGAGGCTTGAGTGGTAAAAAAGAGCCGCATAAAATGTATGGGCAGTAGAGAGGGGCTGAAGGAGCTGGAGCTGGCGAAGGGTGGTGGTGGACCAGAGGAGCAGGAAGCAGCGACTGTGATTGCAAGTGGGGTGACTTCGTTATAAGAGGCAGTGCGGGGGACCAGGAATCCATCCCCACCAATGTATGGAAGGAGACATGATGGCCAAGGACAGGCCCAGGTGACTCAGGGAAGGGTGAGCTGAGCTGGTGGGCAGCCCCAGTGGTGGGTGAACTGAGCAGGTTGCAGGGGAGCGGGGTTCAGGCTTGGGGCCCTGTGGAGCCCTCTGCTATTTTGCTGCAGTGCAGTCAACTGACCTGGGGGATTGTGGGTTCCCTCCACGCCAGCTCGGGCTGGTTGTGGTGCTGGTGCATGGGGGATTGATGAAGCTGGCAATCGCCTTGTGACTAGACCCAGCTGGCTGCCAGAAAGGGAGCCAAAACCTCACCAGGGAGGCAGAGCAACTGCTTCTGCCCTTTTCCACAACCCCCAGGAGGTCATTGATCTTAATTAATTATCCCCCCTGAGGATTGTGGAGGAACCCTCCTGTCTACAGAGAATTACTGGTGGATATTCTAAAGAACCGAATAAGATCCCCACCACCAACTTCTGTCTTGAGAGAAAGAAGGTGCTTCTGTGCAATTGATCAGAATGAAATCATAGAACTTTGGATCTGAAAGACACTTTTTTTTTTTTTTTTTTTTTTTTTTGAGATGGAATCTTGCTCTGTCAGTGGCACAATCTCAGCTCACTGCAAGCTCCGCCTCCCGGGTCCACGCCATTCTCCTGTCTCAGCCTCCCCAGCAGCTGGGACAACAGGGGCACGCCGCCATGCCCGGCTAATTTTTTTGTATTTTTAGTAGAGACGGGGTTTCACCGTGTTAGCCAGGATGGTCTCGATCTGCTGACCTCGTGATCCGCCTGCCTCTGCCTCCCAAAGTGCTGGGATTACAGGCGTGAGCCACCGTGCCTGGCAAGGATCTGAAAGACACTTTAATGATAATCTTGTCTAACACACCCTAACTTTTAAGAAGAAACTATGGCTCAGGTATTGTTTGAATTTAGTGTTAGGAAAAATAGTCGGTGAAAGTCTTTCTGGGAAAAAAACAAAAACCAAACAAATGCACTTTTCCTGTCTTAGTAAACAGAATAAATCGATTGCTTGGTCAAAGAGAGGCCAGGAACAACATGGAGCGGGGCCTCTGGTGCTGGGTACTCCTGGGGTTGGCTCCCACATCAGGTACTACTTACTAGCTATGTTTTCTTGGGCAAATTGCTTTAAGTCTCTAATTTCTCAGTTTCCTGTTTGTAAAATATAAATAATAATGATATCCACCTCATGGGGTTTTTTAATGTGAACTGAAAAAATAATATATACAAAGTGCTCATCACATCCTGAAGGATCATTATTCAATGAATGATTGCTGCTGTTGCCGTTTGAGGCGCAGGTGCAGAAGACACAGATGAGTGGTGTTGTGGAGCATGTGGAAATGCTGGGGGTGGGGGGTAAGGTGGTCTACAAATGGCACTGCCGTTATCTTGAGCTCAGCCCTCCATAGCATCCTTCAAAGCTGATTTTTTTCTTTTTGTAAATTTCCAAATACATAGGTGTTATCCTGTCCATTTGACTCTATTTTCTGAGAGAGGCAAATGGATAGGATAACACCTATGTATTTGAAAAAGAAAAATACTCCCAGTTAAGTGAGAGTTCCAGCAGATGAATTAGGGTTTAAAACAGAACTGTATCCTCATTTCATTTCAAGGGTGGCCCAGCATATCTGCTAGTGTGAGCTTTGGCATTGCTCCTCTGAGAGGCAGGCTGGAGAATGAGACCCTCTGTCTAACCCAGCCATTCTAGGACCCTGTCCTTTACCCCATTCTCAGGCCCACTCCCAACCCAACTCCAGGGCAATCCAGTAGGTTTATAAGATGACAATTGATCTTATCATCCTACCAGCATCATATTATGGTTTAGCTGAAATAATACTGGACAGTGATTCTGTTATTAGTTATTTCCCTCCTGGCTTCAGGGGAGAATGCAGGCATGTTGCAGGAAAACAGAAGAACCATGCACACCAACCATCGACTCACAAGCTCTGAGAAGAGACCATTTGCTGGTGACGAAGCACTGACTTGCCCCTTTGCTGGGCTTTTCAGGGGCTTGGCTGGGTCTTACTATGCCAGGCTTCTTTCCCCTCTGTAGAATGGAGTCCCTATCTTCATGTTATGCAAACGGCACCTTTTCAAAATAAACTTTAGAGGAGTAAGAGAGAAGAATCTAGTGCCCTTTCTGAGAAGGAATTTAGCTAGGAGAACCAAATGTTGTCCCATACACTGGGTTAAAAAGAACCAGTTATGAACTACAAATGCAGTTGACTTTGGCCCTGAGCTCTATAGGGAAAAGTAGGGAGAAAAAATAGTAACGAATCAGCAGCACAAGCAATATTTGCTTGTGAGTTCTTCCAGTCATGGGCGTGAATGAGTAATTCTGTCCTGGGATCCTATTGCCTTTGCTTTGTGCCCCAAGGTATAGAGTTTGGAAAAATACCAGTGCTGGTGGTTCTTCTGTTTCGGGGAATAAAGAAAAGGAATACCCCATTGGGAGTGCTGTTCTTTGAAAACTGCAGCTTACCTGAGCCCTTTGTTGAGATGGAGGCCAGAATGAGTCTGAAACAGCTGGTGGGGAATCCAACCACAGGGATCACTCAGACCAGGACAACACTGAAGTCAAGTTTGCTATGGATGTCCAGAATGCCAAAAGAGAGGGCAGTCTGGAGGCCTTTTTTCTTGGGGGAGTTATTCACTCATTTATCTTCTTTTTATTAAGTACCTACCATGTACCAGGCACTGTTCTAAGCAGTGTGGTGCAAGAATGGCAAAATTTCTATTCTATGGAATTTACATTCTTATGGAGAGATGTAGACAAAACACGAGTAAACAAATACAAAAATAAGTTTATTTCAGTGAGCGACAAGTACTATGAAGAAAGTAAAGTTGAATGATATGCTCAGGAGTGACAGGGGCAACTTTGGATGAGGGGCTCAAGGAAGACCACTCTGAGGCAGCAGCATGAAAACTGAACAATCCACCAGGTAAAGACCAGAGAGCATGATCCAGGCAGCACAATAGCCAACACAAAGGCTCCAGGTGAGGACATCTGTGGCTTTTCAATCAACACAACAATGGCCAGTGTCACTGCAGCCTCATGAGTTCGTGGCTGTTTCAGCTTTACACCCAGCTACTGTAACCCCAACTGCGATGTCCACTGACGTAGCCATTTCCTAGGGGAGAGGGAGGAAGGGATGTCTAGAACTGCTCTAAGGACTACCAGAAATTACTGATTAGAGGACTAATCCTACCCTCATCCTCATCTCCACATTTAACCTACCATTGAGTTCTGTTGGTTCATGCTCCCGGTTTTCTCCTAGGTAAGTCCATTTCTTTTCATGTTCATTACCTTCACCCTGGTCCAAACCATCTGCATCCTTCCCCTGGTCTACTGAACCTTGCCCATTCTTCACACTGTAGTCAGAATCTTGTAAAACCTCAAATCTGGCTGGGTGCAGTGGCTCACGCCTGTAATCCCAACACTTTGGGAGGCCAAGGGGGGCGGATCACCTGAGGTCAGGAGTTCAAGACTAGCCTGGCTAACATGGTGAAACCTCGTCTCTACTAAAAATACAAAAATTAGCCAGGCATGGTGGCACGTCCCTGTAATCCCAGCTACCCAGGAGGCTGAGGCAGGAGAATCACTGGAACCCGGAAGGTGGAGGCTGCAGTGAGCTGAGATTGCACCACTGCACTCCAGCCTGGGCAACAGAGTGAGATTCCATCTCAAAACAAACAAACAAAACAAACCCTCAAATCTGATCATGTCAGACAAACCCACACACACATGCCGAATACTTCTTCATGACTCCCCATTGCTGTCAGCATAAAGATCCAAATCCCTACAATGATATGCAAAGCCCACTCTGTGCAAATCCCCAAGTTCTTCTCCAGCATGTTTCTAGACATTTGTGGCTTCATTTTCCATGCTCTGGCCACACAGGCTTTCTTCCAGTTGTTGCAATATGCTGTATTAGTTCTGGCCTCAGGGCCTTTGCAGAAGCCTTGGCTCCTAATCTTCTGTTCTCCTCCATGAGCCTTGGCCTCAGCAACTACTTGGGTATCAGCATAGCTGTTACTTCAGCAGAGAAGTCTTCTTTTTTTTTTTTTTTTTTTTTGAGATGACATCTCACTCTGTTACCAGGCTGGAGGACAGTGGCATGATCTTGGCTCACTGCAGCCTCCACCTCCTGGGTTCAAGCAATTCTCCTGCCTCAGCCTCCTGAGTAGCTGGGATTACAGGCGCACACCAACACACCCAGCTAATTTTTGTATTTTTAGTAGAGACGGGGTTTCACCATGTTAGCCAGGATGGTCTCAATTTCTTGACCTTGTGATCCGCCCGCCTCAGCCTCCCAAAGTACTAGGATTACAGGCATGAGCCACTACGCCCAGCCAGGGAAGTCTTTTTTATTCCTTAACATCAATCTACTCCATAGGGTCTTTTGGTTACCTGTCCTCAATAGCACTTCATATTTTCCTTCATACTTCTTAGCACACTTGTATTTACCTGCAATCTTCCTGCACTTGTCCATAAGCTCCAGGAGGGCAGGAACCTTGTCTGTCTGGTTCACTACTTTGTCCTCAGCACTTAAAAAGTATCTGGACCGCAGTAGATATGTGATATGTATTTGTTGGAGAAATGAAGGAATGAATGCTCACAAAGATCTTGGATCTTAAATGTTCCACTTGAATATGCTACTTGCTTTTGACAAAATGAAATAACAGGAGACTGTCTGTATTTTCTGTTCCATTTCTCTACCCTATAGAGATGGTGATTGATATCTGGAGTTTAAGAATAAGGCATAGCATGCAAGAATTCTGGCAGATGAACAACCTGCTTAGAAAGTCTGTTCTTGCCTTCGACTATCAGAACAGCATTATTTTCTTTGGCTCAAAGGAATCTAAGACTGTGTGTACTCAGGGAAATGGTGTAGACCCACGGTGTGGAGTCAGGGCCAAGGGTGAGACTTAAATAATAATTAAGTGAAAGAGGGTTGTGTGAAGCCTGGGGGCGACACTGCCTTTCTCAGTGGCTGCGGAATTAGAACATTCTCCCTTGTGTCAATGTGGAAGTGAATGAATTAGGCTCCGTTTTATGCTGTGCCTGGAAAAATACCAATCCGTACTCGCATAGTTTCTGAAAGCAAACCCCAAATGCCACTGTCTCAGCTCCATGGGAGACTGTTAAGGAAAAAAAAGAGGTAACATTCACAGACTATGGGAAATATCACTGAAGTGGAAAAAGATTAGCGTTGTTGTTTTTTTGTTTTTTTGTTTTTTTTGTTTTTTTTTTACCTTTTTTGAAGTTACATACCCCTTTGGTAATGTAACAAAACCTATGGACCCTCCTTCCCCTTCACTGCCCTGCCCACTGCAAAACGTATGGCCGTATAACATCTCTCTATCCATGGAGACCCCTCGGGTTAAAAATCCCAGTTAGTGGGTCTGACTGGAAATTGAGCAGAAATAAGCTAATAAGAGATGGCCAGGAATCTGAAGTCTAAAAAACAAAATAGAAGTAGTGCTCTGTAATTACATTTTTTCCATTCCTGAAGTTCTTCGTTTTTTAGAACAAGTGGATTGGCACAGGACGAACACGTGCCTTAGTGAAATCATGAATGATGAGACCTCTAGGTCTTAGAGGAAGCATTCCTGGAGGGAATCAAAGTGGCCAGCCACTCTCAGCCACTCTCAGCACCTTCCTGGATTTTAACTGATATTTTAACTGATAAGCATGCATTTTATAATTAAGTACTGCATAAGAAAAAGTATTGTAATGAAAACATGTGTTTATTTAATTGTACTAAATTTAGAGGTAAGAAACAAGAAAATTTTATTGTCCCTGGTCTGTAGAAAACAATTCCAGACAACTGGGAGAACTCAATTTGTCCACTGTGTCCCCAAATAAAAATGCTTCAACACAAGCACCAAAAAAGGAAGGGCATATTCCCAAGTAGACACAGATGTATTGTTCATGCTAACAGATGTGGTGTTAAGAAACTTGAACCCCTGGTTTGTTTTCTTATCAGTAAAATAGGAGAGACAAATGGAGAATTTTTTCCTTATAGGTTGTTGTGAGAATGAATATGAAATACTTCACATGTAAGAGTAAGCCTTCAGTACATTCTTTTTTCTTTTCTTTTCTCCAATAGCATCAGTGACATCATCATTCTTTATGTTATATGTGCGTGCATCTTGCATGAATGTATATATAAATGTCTCCATTTGATGTCTAATCATCTCAAACTGGTCATGCCCAAACTGGAACTCTTGGTTTCTCAAGTTCATCTCACAGACTGTTTCTCCCTTAGTCTTCTGCATCTTTGTCAGTGGCAGCAACACCTGCCCAGTTGTTCAAACTAAAAACCTAAGAGTCATCCTTCACTCCTTTCTTTCCCTCACACTCATATTCAGTTGCACATCTTTGCCAATATGTTGCAAAATTGATCCCTCTTCACCACACTCACTGCTACCCTCCCAGACACTACCCTCCTGTCATTCCTGTGCAAGTGTCCTGGATCTGACCCTCCTGCCACCACCCTGGACCCTGCAGTCATCTCTCCATGGTGTAGCCAGTGTATAGGCATTAACAGATTTACATCAGGTTGTTCCACTTGTTTGCTTAGGACCCTCCAGTGACTTTTATTTCCAGTGACTTCTGATAACACCGGAAATAAAATTTAAATGGCTTACAATTCTGTAGGTCTCTATATGAGAGATAAGCAAACTTTTTCTGTAAAAAGCCAGATAGTAAATATTTTAGGCCAAATGGGAGTCTATCACATCATCATCTTCTTCTCCTCCTCCTTCCTCATCCTTCCTCCTCTTCCTCCTCATCCTGTCCTCCTCATCTTCCCTTCTTTCCTTCCTTCCTTCCCTCCCTCCCTCTCTCCCTCTCTCCCTCTCTCCTCCTCCTCCTTCTTCTTCCCCTTCCCCTTCCCCTTCCCCTCCCTCTGTCTCCTTCTCCTTCTCCTTCCAACCCTTTAAAACTGGAGAAGCTGAAAGCTGTCCTTAACTGACGGGCTTACAAAAACAGGTTGAGGACTGGATCTGGCCCCTGGGTGGCAGTTTGCTGACTCTTGCTCTATACAAGCTGGCCTGACCCTTCTCTCCTGCTCACATCTTCTTGCCCACTGCCTTGCTCACTGTGCTCTAGCCTCAGTAGCTTGCTGGCTGTTTGGGGGCACACTGGTCACATTCTGCTCAGGGCTTGCACACTCCTGTTCCCTCTCCCCGCAACATTGCCCCTTCAGGTCTTCCATGTGGCTTGCTTCCTGCCTTTGTTTAAGCCTCTGCTTGCAGAAGCTCTCCTTGGAGAAGCCTCTCTGAGCAGCCCCTCCAAAATGCTCTCCCCACTCCACCCCAAGGACATGCTATCCCTCAGTGGCTTCTCTCTCTAGGACTTACTATATCTTCACTTGCTTGTTTGTCACTAATGCCAGCCTAGCATCAGCTCTTCCAGGGCAGGTGCCAGCTTTGTCTGTCTCATTCCTCACTCTCCCTCCCTATCACCCAGAATAGAACCTGGCACTTAGTGGTCAATCAGAAAAAATATTTGCTGGATACATTAATAAATATATCCATATAAGGACAATTTTTTAATTATATAATATATAATTAATACATATAAGGACAATTCTGCCATGTGGCCAGCTGGTTTTCAACCCCTGTAGTACTACTCATTTGCAACAAGGCCCTCTTTTTAAATCCTCAGCCCGGTTGGCTCTGTGTAATGCAAAGAGGAATCGGATGAAGGTGCCAAGCAGTGCTTGGGGTGGCTGTGGACTGTGAGAGGCCAGTTCCATGTGCTGTCATGGTCTGAAGGGTGAATCCAAGTGTGAACATGGTGATGGGGGTAGAGGAGAGCTTAGCCAGGCTTTGATGTGAGGGGAACTGTCCAGCTCTCAGGAAGCTGATGTCATTAGAGCATCCCTGGACAATAAGTGCTGAGTGGAGCCAGTGCTGATGTCTCTTAAGGAGGGAGTGAAGTAGCTCTCAGAGCCAGAAGAGTGCCGAGATAAACTGTCCTTCCCAGAAACACACAGCTGAGCCAACCTGCAAACCAAGTTGGTGTGGATGGGGGCTGGATGGTGCTTATCAGTCCTGGATGGATCATGGTGTGAAAAGCTGGTAGTTCTGGAGCCACTTTATGGAGCATGGTGCCTCTCAGCTCCAGATGTGAAGCCTCCTACTCCTGGGATCTCCTTCTATAGGCCACTTGGGAATGGCAACTAGAGGGAAGCATCTGGAGCAGCCAGCTATACCCTCCTTCCACCTCCTTCTCCCACCCTGATTTGCTATAGTCCAGAGGCCTCAGGAGAAATGAGCTTGGATTTGGGTCATTGAAAAAGAGAGCCTAGGCCCCTTCCTAGGGCAATCATAAAAGGCCCCTTGGGGGGTGGACTGCAGGGGATGATCCTGTGGAAGGCTCCAGGAGGACTTGGTACCCTACACCCTTGAGTTTTGGCTCATAGTCAGACGATGAGTCTTGGCTGAACCTGATGCCCCAGGATGGGATGGACTGGGTAGTGAGCCAGGCTATAAACTGACTCATGCACCAGGCAGGGACTGGACCATCCTTGGCCCAGGAACCAGGTCAGGGAATGAAAAGATACAAGAATCTCTTCTTTGGACTTCCCCTAGGATAGAAACTGGGGTGTATAGATCAGGGTAGCCTGTACATATCCACATTTGGGAATTTTATGTCCTAGATCATGAGAGTAGCTCTTGATTGTAGTAAATAAGACAGCTGCATAACAGGAGGGAAAATGCAGTGATAGTACATGTCAAACTTCATCACAGCCCTGTCTCAGGAGCCCAAGGCAGGAGGTCAGATGGTCTGGGATCTAATCATGGGTCTAGACTGTGACCTTGAACCAGGCATTTCACCTTTCTGGGCTTTAGTGTTTTCTCCTACACAATTATAATGGTAAACCTTGATGTTGTCACCTCACTGAATTATTAGGATCAAATGAGAGAATAATGAAAGTCCTTGCAAAGTTAAAAATGCTCTAGCCATGTATAACTTGATCCCTAGTCAAGTTGTATAAAGCAATAATACCAATAGGAACAATAAACTTTCAATGAGCACTGATCATGTGACAGGCACTGTGCCCAGTGTTCGCATGCATATCTCACATGGTCCCCACAGCAATCTTGAGAGACAGGCATCATTATAATCTGCATGTGCAGATGAGCGAGCAGGGCATGAAAAATTTAAATAATTTGCCCCAAGTCACATATTTTCCAGGGAAGACCAGAACTTGAATTCAAGCAGCTTGTCTCTGAAGGATGCACTCAGACCCTGAGGGCCTGCAGTGCAGATCTCCAGGCTCCCAGCCCAGCCCCCTAGGCTTCCTTCAGGAAGATAACCATGAGTCTGTCCAGTGAAAACAGACCCATGTCTATCTCTTCCCTGCAGACGGGCTTGATCCCTGCCAACTGCAGAGAAGCTGCAGAGCCTGAGCAGAGCCTGATGTTTACCAGCTCTAAGAGCTAAGGGTTCCAGCTGGGACAGCAAATCCTCAGCAATCCTGGGAAACAGGGAGTGATGCCAGGGCACAGGGTCTCCTCCAGGTTATGAAGAGCAGACACATGTGGTTGGAACTTCTTCATCCGGGATGGGCGTCCTGCACGCACGTTGAGTGGCTCTCAGGAAAACATTTCCTTGAGAAAGCAGAGGCAGGGAGGCAATCTCTGAAGGGCAGGCTGTTTTTTTCCATGTTCTCATCGGGAAGGAGAGAAGAAAAAGCAGTCAGCACTTCCTCTCTGCAGCCCTTCCTCTGGGGGCTTCTCATCCCCCTTCACAGCAGCAGAGCCCCATGGTGCAGTTTGCTGTGCTTGCCTAATATCAGTCAGCGAAGTAGAGTTTGATGAGTTCAGTCAACAAAAAGTAGCCGATAAGGGCTTCTGGGCACCCCTCCGAGAATGCCTGAGGAGCCTTTTCAAGGATGGACTGGTATGGCAAAAGGACGGAAAAGAGGTAGAAGAAGTATTGAAAGAACCGTGGCCTTTGTCCTGGCCTAGAGAAGATTTGGGAAGCCTTGGCACTTGTTCTCAAATATCCAAAGGGCTGTCTTGAGGCAGGCTAGTTCTATGTGGACTCCATGGGGTGGAGGAGGGATGGCAGGGACTAGTCTAAGGAAATACGCAGAAAGGCACAGAAGCTTAGGTTCCAGGCTATGCAGTCTGACAGGCCTGCGTTGCAATTCCAGCCACACTATTTATAAGCTGTGTGACAATTAGCAATTTGCTTAACACTTGTGTACCTCCATTGTACTGTAAAATGCCAGTGGTACCATATTCAAAGGTTTATTGTGAGGACTGAAGATGGTGATTTATATAAAGCACTTAGATAGTGCCTAGGACTTTTGCTAATAATAACATTATTGTGTAAAGTCCACTTGTCTTGAGAACCTATGAGGAGGGTATTTGGATAGGAGCTAATAGGTCTAAGGCCTAGTGTGAACCTCTCATTAGGCAGCTGTGCAGCTTTGGACAGCTCATTCAACCTCTTTGTGCTTCAGTGTCCTTCTCAGGAAAATGGGACCATGCCAGCCATTCAGCTTAGTTCACAGAGCAGTTCTAAGAATAACTGCCAGGATAACTGATGTGAGAGTGTTTTTGAAAAATATAAAACCAGGTTATCATGAGTTCTTGATGTTGGCATTTCACTGGAATATGACCAGGAAGGAAGCTGTGGAAAGGAATTGAGTTTGCTCTGGAGGACCTCCGTACTGGTTCTGCTCTACAATCTGAGAAATGCCCAGAACAGCTGAGGCCAATCAACAGCAGCAGTAATTATGACCAATGCAATGTCATGGACCTGCGCAGAAGCCAAAAGCAAGTCATTAGCAGCACTTGAAGTTTTCCTTTGCTAAACAATGGCACCTTCATTTTGGGAGTTCCCAGGTTGTCCTCTCTGGACTTTTGGATAGAGGGTGATTGCAGATACACTCTGTTTCTGCTGGTGCACCTGTTTCCTCCCTCAACTCATGTTTGTGGACCAGACCCAGAGTGCCAGCATCCACCCCGACCCCAGTGGTGCTCACTGGAGGCACCCTCTCCTGGGCTGGGTGAAGGAGGAAGCCCTGGAGTAGATTGTGTCCACCGTTGTGTATGTGTGCTTGCAAACAACCATGTCCTGGGAGGATTAAGATCCCTAACAAAAATGGAGTTAGTTTACCTACTGTTTTTGTTCTAAGGGAAAGGTTTCCCAAGCCTCCCATCAGGTAATAATTTTTTAACCCACTTCAAGGCTATTTGTTTTCCTTTAATTGTTCAATCGGGTAACTTTTAGCAACCACATTCCCTACAGCAAAAGGGTTATTAGGGAGGCACTCAGTTCCTCAATAGTTCCCAGGAAACATAGACCACAGCCCTTTGGGAAAGACACTGCTTCTTAAATTGCTAACCTTAATCCCTAGTGACCAGAACTGGCCAAGAATGAAAGGGCTGATCCCACAGGGAAAATAAAATAAACAAAACCACACCAACCCTCACCCCCACCAAACCACAACCACCGAAAACAAAACAAAACAAAAAACCAACAGACAAATGCAACCCAGTGAGAGTTTGAGGGCAACTCCTTTCTAAACTGTTTCTCTGAATCATTCAAATACAAAACCAGAACAGAGGGCAAAAGTTAGAAGCCATTGAACTTTTAAAAGTGCTTCAACAATAGCTATCCATATTTCTGTGCCCACAGTTCTGTGGCAGGAATTTTTTTTAAGTTTAAAAAAATATTTTTTTTTTCACCTTAATGAACCCCTAGCCCACCTGAGTAGACTAGATATGCCTAAAATGAGTCTTTAAGGCACTTCCCAAAATGGCCACAGGTCCCCATGCCCTGACCCTAGAGGTGCAGCTCCTGGGAGGGTGGGAGGAGGGAGGACCAGCAGCACGGAGGCCCTTAAAAGGGGGTCAGAGGTCTCCCAAAGATTGCACAATTTCAACCCTTATCTGCTGCATTGAGGTGGTGGGTGGGGAGGGGGCTGGAGAAGGAGTCCTCAGGCCCCGGATGTTGAACAGAGCAAATAAATTCCAGAGGCACCTGGCAACCCTTGGATTCATGGGAATAGCATGTCTGCTCTTGGGATATATGCCCTGGGTTGCTTGGGACCAGTTTGTCTGCTTGAATAAGTAAAAAACCACTTACCCTGGAGCTTTCAAATTAGTCTTCAATTATTCATTCATTCATCCTGAAACTTATTTTTTACCCTGAACGCCTTCTATGTTTCGAGCGTTTTGAGGGCTATAGAGAGAAATGACACGTAATCTTCACTCTCCAAAAGCTCTCCTTCTGGTAATACTTAAAAGAAAATGTCAAGTACATATCCAGATTCCCAGCAAACAAGTGAATCTTTAGCCTGGTGAGGGCATCATGAATTTCTGATTTCTTCGTGAGGTCTCACTCAAGATGCCTGTATGCCTAGTATTTTTGGCTTCCCGTTTCAGTGCAGTTTATATTCATTACATTTTTGATGGTACAGTGGAAAGGGGTCTATCTAGGGGACTCAGATTCTTCTGGAAAATTAGGGAGTAGGATGGGATGATCTTTAAATTCCCTATAGCCCTGACACTGAATCTGTCAATTCTATTTAATTATACCAATGATAAGCCCAGTACTATTCTGAGTACACAAAGATGAATAAGATAGAGTATCTGTTCCTAAGCAACTTATAATCCAGTTGTAATAATATTAATGTCATTGCTTACATCCATAACAACAAATGAAATGCACCTCTCTCCTACTATAAGAGGAGTTGTACTGTTTTAAAGGCCGTAGAGGAGATAGAAACAAAGTACTAAGAGCATTTACATACTTCTGATGAGTGGAAAGGATCCGAGAATTCACCAGCAGTTAGTTTTGCTCTGAGTCTTGAAAGATCAACGTGATATCAATTGGTAGAGAATGGAAGGAAAAACCTTCCATGCTGAGGGAACAGCCTGAGCAAAGGCATGGAGGTGTGACCATACATGACCTACTCCAGAGGAGTAGGCAGCCCACAGGGACATTGGGAGGGGTGATAGGAGACACTACTCTACCCAGAAATTCTTGACCCTCATCTGACCCCCCCCATTAGAAGGAAGAAAGTATCTGAGTTGTCGGGGGAGCCAGGAAGTGACAAATTAAACCCTGTCAAGGGAACATACTAAATGCAGTGGCATTTAGTATGCGCAATGGGGAGATCCCTTTACATAATTCTTTATCTCAAGAAAAAAGAAAAGGGAAGAGAGGAAGGAGAGAAATCCTTTGCTAGCCCAACCCAGCCCTTTCTGGGGGCGTATTCATTCATTCATTCATTCGTAGGCTTGTCAGTGTGACATTGTGTTTGCCCTCCTGAAAGCCATACATCTTACTTTCAAAACCTCCAACAGCCTTCAACCCCCTGCAGACCCCAGTGTTCCAAGGCTGACCTTTTGGTAGGAGGCTTACTCCCCTCCAAGGCTGGTGGAGGGGAGACGGCACCTCTTGTGCTCAGGCCTTCCTTGTCGCTGGCTTGTGGACAGGAGTCCTTTCTTCTCTAGGAAGGATTAGTGCTTTTCTTAAATTCGACTCTGAAGTTCTGAAAAGCCTACCAACTGTGTACTTCCACAAGCTTTTTATTTTAATTTTTATACATCTTCTTCCTTTCTTTCCAAGGTCTCTGGGTACCCCCAGAGAAGGAAAGAGACTAAGTCTTTAAGCTACTTGCAAAAATGTCTGCACACAGTTTGCCTTCATGATCCTAGAGATGGCATTTCTGGGGTTTCATTTCCTGCATGTAATATGACAGTAATGCAGACAACTGCAGAAATAGGGGACCAGGCAGGGAGGCCTGAGTTTTACTCCTGTTTGGTGGCTTTCAAGTCAGATGAAGAGGATCAATCACTCTCCATCTCTGAGCCTTTCTCTGCAAAATAGCAAAAAGGATCCTTTTCAGTATTGCTGTGATGAGGTATTTTCAGTATTGCTGTGAAAGGTGTCCAGTACCATGCTCAATAAATAGCCACTACTATGGCTAGGGTTTTCATGCGGCAGGCAATGTGAAGCTCTTCTGTGGTATTTTTATATTCAAGCCCAGCTATTTGGAGGCAAAATGGGCTCCCTCTGACAAGCTATCTAGCTCATTCCCTCCTCCCCATGGGGTGCCACAGTGCTTCTGATCCTTCTTTTGTCATTTTAAGACCATGTAAAAGCTGACATCCCCCCATCAGCCTTGCCTCATGTGTGGGTGGAGAGGCGTCAGCCCACATCATGCATGGGAGCAGTCTAGAGAGCCTACTTTGTCTGAAGTTCCCCTGGCCGGCCCCCACCGTGTCTGAGCTTTTTCCCATTAGTCATTGCTTTGGCTGAAAGAGTGGAAGACCCCTGTTAAACTGAAATATGTTATCTGGGAAATACATTAAGCCATTAACAGCTGGACACAAATTAGTTTATCAGACAGAGGCTGGGCTTGCAGAATTTAGGAGTGAGAAGGAACTTTATAGATCATCAGTTTCTTAGTGAAGAAAAGAAGGTCCACTGATGAGTAGCTCTTGCTCAAGGAAACACCAGTGGCACCTTTTGGGATGCCAGGCCTCAACCCTGCCTCCTGGCCTGAACCCCTCTTCATTCCACCTTGATGAGCAAGATGGACAGTCCAACTTTCATTCAGGAGATATTTATCATGTGGCTGCCATAGCTGGGCAGGTGCTGAAAATTCAGAGAAGCATGGGAGGCAGACATGGGAGTGTTGAGTGATTGAACGATGTGGGACAGGTCTCTTGTATGGTGGGACGGGAAAGGTCTGGAACAGAGGACACCACTCAGTGAAAGGCAGATCCAGACTCTGAGGGGTCAGCCCCACCAGGGGCTCCACAGTACCAGAACACTGGGACCCTACCTCGTGGCTACCATGAGAGTTCAAGAATGGTCATGCTCAGGGAGATAGGCTAAGCTGGCAGTCAGGGCCAGGGGATGGGTCAGAAAGCCATGAGCTGAAAAAAGAGGACAACAGCTGGAAGGCACCAGACCACACTTCAGGGCAGACCTTCATAAGCATTGTTCCATGTGGTCAACACAGACTGATCTCTTTCCGCTACTTCACATCAAAGGTCTTGGTGGAAGATTATGGAAATAGGAGGAAGGAGAAAGGTGGTAGGAGGGGTTTGGTGGATGAGGAGGTTGTGAGAAGCCACTTCTGTCTCTGCAAATCTACAGGGTCCTGACACCTGTGAACTCACAGCCATTACCCTTTGGAACCATCTGTACCATCATGCTGGTGATATCAGGCATCTCTTCCACTCACCTCTTCTTGCTTGGGTCCTCATACCCATCCCCTGCATGATTTCAACAGACATCTAATTGGTCTCCCTTCCTCCAGTCTCTACCTTTTTAAAGCTATCTTCTTGCTGTTACTAGGTCTTCTTAAAATGGGAGCTTGGACAAATCATTCCCCTATTTATAAGAATTAAGAATAGAGTGTCCTTTACAGCAATCTTGCTTGTCCCAGCCTACCAAATAACCCCATGTGATGTGAACACACAGAACCTGCCATGAACTTTCACCCCTCTACACCCTTGCACATGCTATTCCACCTTCCTGAGATGCTTCTCTCCTCTTGTCAAACCTGCCAGAAGCAGGTCAGCATCACCTCTGTGAAGTCCTTCCATGCTCCCCAGCCTTGTGCATTGTTCTTTTCTTTTTGCAGAGTTTGTGGAGGTCTTACTCTGTTGCCCAGGCTGGAGTACAGTGGAACCATCATAGCTCATTGCAGCCTTGAACTCCTGGGCACAAATGATCCTCCCACCTTAGCCTTCCAAGTAGCTGGGACTAAGGCATGCACAATCACACCTGGCTAATTTTTAAAATTTTATGTAGAGACAAGGTCTCACTATGTTGTTCAGTCTGGTCTTGAAATCCTAGACTCAAGCAATCCTCACACCTTGGCCTCCCAAAGTGCTAGGATTACAGGTGTGAGCTACCGCGCTCAGCCAGCTTTTTTCTTTATGACCCAGCTGTACACTATACAGGCCTCTTTTGTAGCACCTGTTGCATTACATTGCAACTGTTGGTGTATTTGTCCATTTTCTTACTAGACTGTGTGTGTGCATGGTAGGGACACACACATACACACAGAGAGAGACACATACCCCAGACAAGGAATCCTCCCTGATTCTCAACACCCTCGGCAAAGCTGGGTAAGTGCATCATGGTAGATGCTCAAGGAGTGTTTGCTAAATGAGCTAGAATACCTATGACCTAAGGTGTGTGAGATCTGAAGGGAAAGGTCACAGGCTTTATTCTCTTTAATTAAAGCTGAGGCAGGTACCTTCTGTATCTCCCTCCACACCTTCCCATCTCTCCTTGTACCATGAGTGGTATTTTTTCACCTTTTTCCAGCAAAGATTGGAAACTAGTTGCTCATTCAATGACTTTCTGCAGATGTATAGATCGTAAATGTTGTGGCTATCCTAGAAAGTATAATGAACCTAATGATGTTTTCCCAGAAAATGTATAAATCCCTGATCTTGCAGTATTTTCACACAATCAGGATTTTGGATTCTTTATCCAGCCACTCAACTCCAAGGAACTTTAGGCTTTAAAAAGCTGTGATAGAGATATCTTGTGTTTTGCTCTCTTAGCCAATAAGATTTGTCAAGCTTTATTTTTGGAAAAATTATTTTAGGATTTGTTTTCCAAATATATAAATATATTTTAATACAGAATATGCTTTTTCAAATGACACATGCTCTCTCATTTCTGATATGTTGTCCTAGCCTGTGCCCCTTCCCTTGAGACAGCAAATATTGCTGCCTCTGTTTCATTCTTCAGAAATGTGTGTAGAGATGTACATAGAAGGGCCTCTTGTAGTCATTCAGTCTAAGTTAGGGCCCGAGGCAGGATGTGGGATCTGCTGCCTGGGTCTGGCTCAGTCCTAGCTGTAGAGGAAGCTGCATGGACGGACACTAGGACAATCATCAACAGCCTTTCATTTGGGAAACATTTACTGAGCTCCCACTATGGGCCACACATTGTTCTGGGTACTGGGGAACAGTAGGGAAACAAAACAGACAAGGTTGTTGGAATTTGTAGTCTAGTGGGACAAGGCAGAAAAGAAACAAGAATACAGGTTAGCTAAGTTAACTCAGTAGGCAAAACAATGACGATGAGACAACAGTAATGGAGTGGAAGAGAGTGTGGGAACGAGAAGTTTCAACATTAGGAGTCAGAAGTCTCCCTGAAGAGGTGCCATTAGACATGAGACCATGGGCAAGTCTAGGGGGAAACAGTGCTCCGGGGAGTGGGACTATCACGTGCAAAGGTCCTGAGGTAGGAATGATTTGGATGTGTTTGAGAAAAAGAAAGCAGACCACTGTTGCTGCAACACAGCTGGCCAGAGGGTGGGAGACCAGGTTGCAGGTCATAGAAGAGAGCTGGGATTTTTAAACTCTGAAAGGAAATCAAGTCCTGAAAGGTTTAGGTAGGGTGACAAGTTGATCTAATTGCCATGTTTTAAAGATTAGAATGAAAAAGATTAGGACCAATTTTATCACCTTTCCTCATTATGAACAGTTTTGACTACGGAAATGAATATATAATAAAGCAATCCATGATTTCTCATTATAACTCTCTGCCAGTGGGGGAGAGCCAGGATTTCCATCCTAGGATGTCATGGCTGCCCAAATCAGAAACAAGTTCCGAGGTCTGGGTGGCTAGTGCCATCTTTCCTTGGGGAGCTGAAGGATTCTTGAGCCTTTTCAGGATACCGAAAGTTGCTGGGGACCCCTGGAGGGTCACTGCCAGATGAGAGGATGCTGGACCTAGGACAAGGGTTGGGCAGGAAGGTGGGGAGGTCCCCAGTCCTCAAAGGAAGGCACCCGGGGCCTGTGGCAGGTGGAGCAGGCAGACGAGGAAATAAAGGCCACAGGCTGCCTCCTCTGTCGCTGCCTGACCTCTCCTCCTCTCCAGAGGGCCTTGAATGGCCTTTCTCCAGCAGCGGCCAGGCAAGGTGTGTTTGGAAATACCCAAACTCTGTCCTTCACGTGGCAGGAAATAAATATTGCTGGGAACGCAGCGTGTGGGCTGGGGCAGGGGTGTGTGTGTGTGTGTGTGTGTGTGTGTGTGGTTAGAGTTGTGGGGGTCAGAAAATGTGTGTGTGTGTGTGTGTGTGTGTGTGTGTGTGTGTGTGTGTGGTTAGAGTTGTGGGGGTCAGAAATGCATCCATCCTGCAGCCATAGTTCCAACTGCTCCAGGGGGAGGCGGCTCTGTCAACTTGCGTGAGTTCTGTGCAGAAAGAAAATGCGGATGGAGATGAGTGCGCATAGTGAGGCGCCGGCTGGTGTCTGAGCTAAGAACCCATGGGGACCCGGGAGCCATGAACTGCGCTCCACAGCCCCTTCCCCCGGCCTCACCCCTACCCATCTTCTGCCCAAGGCTCTCCCTACTACCCACGCCCTCCCCGAAATAGTTAAGTATCCTCCCACCAACTCCGACCATCTTTCCCCCTTCGCGCCCACCGGCGGCAGTGGCGAAGGGCCCACTGAAGCGCCGGGTGCCACGCGGGGCGGCCCGCGGGCCAGCTAGGGGGCGGGGAACTCACCAGCCGCCGACCCCCCCCCCCACCCCGCCCTCGGCCGCCGCGGCCCCAGCGGCCTCCGCGCTGCGAGGAGCGGGCGCTTGGACACAGGGCGAGTTGTTTGATTTGGCGGAGGCGGGGAGGCCGGCGGGGAGCGAGCGAGGGAGGCACGAGAGCTGGGCAGCGCGGGCGCCGGTCTCCAGGGTAGGGTCCCCGCGCGCAGCAGCGGCCCCGGGGCGGGGGCGAGGCGACCGCGGGCGCCGGGGATGCCTGGAGGGGCCGCGGCCGAGAGGAGACCCGGGACTGGACGGCCAGACCTGCCGGGCGCGCGGGCAGGTGCTTCGGCTTTTTTTTTTTTTCCCCTCCTCCTTTTTCCTCTGCCCCTTCCTTCCTCGCCCTGAAGTAAGATGAGCGTGATGCTGTGGCGCTGGGAACAGAATAACACCACCATGAAGCTGGTAAGGGTGGATTGCAGACCGCACCCCCTGGGCGCTGCTCTACTTTTTAACCCCCCACCCCGCCCCCCATCCCCTTTAGGAACTGGCCCGGGTGGTGGAAAGCCCCTGAAATGCATTCCGCACTTGGTATTTCCCTTATTGTTTTGAAGCTAGATCTCAGGGGAGGTGTGTGTGTTTAAACCAGGAAAGTCGATGTGTGTATGTCTCTGGTTGTGAGTCATTGAAGGGGGGTGGGACTGGGCTGCATTATCTCTCCGTCCCTTCCACCTACGAATTCCTGGAGCTCTCTTGGATTGCACACGCTGGGATTGTCTCCTACGAGCATGTCTGCGCCCTCACAGCCTGTCCCGGGACAGCGTGGTCCGCGTCCCCCGAGCCCCCATTGTGTCTTGATACTTTGGGGTGCACATGGCTATTGATCTCTACTGCGGTTTGGCTTGTCTGTGGGGAATACATGAGCCCCGAGTGAGTGAGTATGCACCGGGTCCTCCTCCCGCCTCTCACAATGGCTTAGTTCTCTTTCAAGCTTGCAAAGAACCATCCAGGGTGCAGGTACTTTTTCCCTCCTCCGTTTTCAAAAATAACCGCCTATCAGTCCCGGGAGAGCTGAGGATAGCAGGATTTTCCTTGCTGCCCAAAGAAGCCTGAGTTGTTTCTCCATCCCAAAGAGGAAATGTGATCGGAAATCTCTGGGTTTTGCTTTTGTGAATTGTTTTTTTATCGGATAGTTTCAACTGGCGGGGACCATAATTCCCCCATTAAAGTCAGCCAGTGCTGTGGCCAAGTCGGTTAACCCCCTTGGATGTTAGTTTCCTTCTCGGTAAAATGGAGCAAGTTCCCACCTTGTAGAACTAGTGCCAGGATAAGAAATCATATTTGTGGATTGCCTGGCATATAAAAAGGATTCAGTAAGAAATAGGTATGATTAATAAACTGGAATGCATACTTACTGGTGTGAGGTCTTTAAAGATGCTACCAAAAACAAAAACAAAAACAAAAACAAAACACAAAAAAAACAAAAAGAAAGAAAGAAAAGAAAGTCACAGCAGCTGCATTGGATACCAAGATGCTAAATCAACCAAAGCTGGGTCTTCATATAATGAACTTATTTGTTGGAAAAATGGCACCTTGCTTTTCATACTTCTTGTGTTATGTTTGGCCTGCCTAACTTTAAGCTACTATTTTACAACTTCATTTAATGTGCTGTAACATTAGCAGACGTTATGCACCTTTGCTATACTATGTCATGATTCCAGCTCCCTAATCCTTTCCTGGAATCTTTCTCCAACCAGACTGGTGTGGAAGAGGCCAGAGTTTCACATAATTTCTCTCCAAGCTGTACCTGAGATGCCACTCTAACAGGCAGCATAGGAAAGCTGGGTCCCGATCTGAACTGCATAGGGTCAGGTTGCCAAACCTAAATGCTTTTTTAAAAAGAAGAAAAAGAATGATTTGCCAGGCAGGGAAAACGTGGAGCCTCCCAGGGGATGGCTTCTGGAGCTTGGTGGCAGGTGGCCATGGTAAGGGCTGGGATGTCTTCTCCACTCCGATATTGCTGCCCGTTTAGTCTATGGAGGGAGCTTTCCTCAACAAGGGTCAGGGGTCAGCCTTTATTGGGTCTGCCTGAATCTTTAGAGCTGTCTCACTTTTCAAATTAACTGTGAGGACCACCCAAGGTAGTTATGGTCCACCAAAATACCCTTTCCCCATGAGGTGGAGGAAGGGCTAGGGGAGCTCAAGCAACTGGGAAGCCCTGAGGGAGTAGCAGTTTCTGTCCCGTGTATCCCACTGCCCCAGAGCCCAGGCAGGAAGAGGCATGACTGGGTCTTGGCGTCCAGATAGCCTCAGATATCCTCAGTGATGAGCCTCAGCTTTTCTGTGAATGCTAGAAACCACTGATACATCATTAGCTGAAGTATCATTAGTTTGCATTTTGTTCATTCACTTATTGATTGATCAATTTACCCTTTATTTGTTGTGTGTTTTGTGCAGAGCACAGCCTTGGTGCCTGTGTTCGTTGTGAAAGATTTTGCTTGCAGATGATTCTTGGTTTGAATTCCAGCCTTGCCACTTACTAATCCCTGAATCAGTTTTCCTCTTTTGTAAAAGGCTGTTTTACAACTCTCTTTCCCCAGGTTGTGAAAAGATGAAATGGCATAATACAGGAACATGATCCAGCATAGAGTTGGAAGCATGTTTGTCTGTTAAATGGGAACTATCATTATTTTCTTCAGTGGTAAATGAGACATAATCTGTCCCCACTCTACGTTGTACTGTTGGGTGAATGGTTGGTTCTTCTAATGGGCCCTGGGAAAACAAACCTTTCTTACCTTTGAATCATTAGTAGCCCTCAGCAGGAAGGAGCTCCCTGGGAACATCTTGGAAGTCAATTGTGTGTGAATAACTGCTCCAGAATGAGGCCTGGGGCCAGAGGTGTGTGCCCGAACTTTTATCACTGATGCACTTCAATAAACATGAAATCAGTTAACCCACAGCTTGAAAATGCATTGTTTTGTTTGAATAGTAGAATTAAAGGTCTTGCTTCATGTTCTATTTTAAGGCTAATTGGATCAAAAATAAGGCCCAGAGTAATTAGAGGCAAAACTTGCATCTTTATATGTTATCTCTGCAGGGGAATGTCAGAAATGCACCTGCCCACCTAGGAGAGAAGGCAGTAGCTGGTAGATCCTACATCTGTCCAAATCCCATCTGACAGGGTCACAGGCCTTTGATGAAAGTGAGAGGAGGTGACTGCCCAGGTCCAAAGCACCCACTGGGAGGGGATAAGCTTGGGGCACAGCCACAGAGCATACTGTGGGTGGTTCTGACATTCTTACCACCTTCCCTCCACACCCTAGTTCCCTTCTTTTAAATTCTTTGGACTTAGGCAGAGCAAGGAGAAACAATGAGGCCACTTATGGAGCAGCTGGTATTATTTGAGGAGTGGTAGAGTCCAAGAATGGCAAAAGGAAAGGCACTGAGAGAGGCCCCCTGGCAGCCTGTGCTAATGCACGGAGTGCAGGTAGTCCAGTCAGAAAGACCTGTAGCCAGAGCTCTGCACAGGAGCCACTGCCTTGTGACATGGGCCAGTTGCTTTACCTCTTCGATCTTTGGTTTTCTCATTGTAAATTGAGACTACAGCACCTCACAGAATTACAGTAAAAATTAGGGAAAAAAATGTATCCGGATTTGAGCTCAGCGTTCTGCAATTAGTTGGTGGTCAGTGAATGGTTGCTCATATGATGACGGACGAGATGAACCAGTAGTGTGTGCATTTCTCCACACACAGAGAAAAGACTCAACAGAAACATTCCCAAAAGTCAATAGTGCCAAGTTCTTGGGGGGAAGTTACCAGGACTGTTTTTTGTTTGTTTGTTTGTTTGTTTGTTTTTGGTCTATACTTTTCCTTATATTCTAGTTTTGTACAAAGCTCATATGTTACATTTATCATCAAGAAAAGATTTTTTAAATTACTGCTAAAATCATATTAATAGCTAACATGTGTTGAACCTTTACTTTGAGCTTTATGTGTATGATTCTATTTCATCTTCTCTACAATCCTCTGAAATAAAAACTATTATTATCTCCATTATTCAGATAAAGAAATTAAGGCTCAGAGAGTTAAATGACTTGCCTAAGATTCCAGAGCTAGTAACTTTAGAAGTGCTGCTTTGTCTGATGGCAAAGGCTGTACCTTGAACTGCTGTATCAGACACCCTGGATGCCTCCTAGAGCGCTGCAGGGCCTGCTGCTGAGGTGGGTCTGCATGAGCGTGCAGTATAGATGCCTGTGCTCACTGCTGCAGTTCTCTCTGTGAGGGGCCTCTCTGTTCACTGCAATCCCCTCTTAGCCCCTTTGATCAGGGACATCCTGGGAGGGAGGTGGAGAGGAGAGTGGGGATGGGTTGGGTCATCACCCTTCAGCGTCTTGGAAAACACTTAAGGGGGCTCTTCCTCAAAATGAAGGAGAAAGTGGCTCTGCATGAAGAATAATTGAGAATAATGATGATGAGGGAAATGTGCCCCTGACCTTTGACCTTTCCCCAGAGAGGCATTGGTCAAAGACCCCCTGGGCCTGTCCACAGCCAGGCTAACAAGCAGATTAAAAGAGGTCAGTGGGTTAAAGGGCTCTGTCTGCTTCCCTGTAGTTATATTGCTCCCTCCCAAAGGCCAGGATGCTGTGGGCCCTGCAGAACTCCTGAGCTCCCAGGTGCTGTGTTTAAAAGACAAATGCTCCTTTAGCTTTTTTTTTTTTAATCCCTAACTTTATGGAGGCTTAATTGCCAAATAAAAATTGTATATATTTAAGGTGTACAGTGTGATGATTTGATCTATGCATACATTATGAAATGATTCCCACTATCAAACTAATTAACACATCCATCAGCTTGCTTCAGCTCTTTACACGTATAGACTGATTCCCATCTTAACAACTTCCGTTTTTTTTCCTGACTAAAGCTCATTAACACTCACATGAAAGTATTACCACCTTCAGCTAGAAAACAACGGTCATTTCCACTCTCAGGGACTTCTAGGACTTTCTCCTGCTTTCCACTAATTGTAACTGGCATAGATTTGACCATCTCCCAGGTACTGAAGTCATGTCCATTTTCTACTAATTCCCCAAAATCTCAAGGGCAAGAAGTTCCATTCTTTCCTTGAGAAAGCAGGTTGGAATATACAGGAATAGTTCCATATGCATTTCCGCTGTGGGTAATGAGCCCTCATAGCCTTGATGTACTTTCCTGAATTGAAACCAAAGCATGTGAGGAAGGTTTTGACTTTGGTTAATTACTAGGAAAATAAAGAAAGGAATATTGGGAGGGAAGGAGAGAAAGCCTCTGAAATTAGTAAGTGACTTCCTCTTAATGACATTTTGAGGTAACACATTTTCCTTCATTTTTGTGTTAATAGAGAAGTAGAGATTTATAATTGGTCCCTTTGGTGACCTGGCAGTGCTTACATTACTTATGCAATTGTTTTTGTTTTTGTGTGAAGCCAGGGAAAAAAATTGTTTTGTTTCTGGCTCCTGTAATGTAATGCCAGCCACCCAGAAGGCATGTGGCTAAGCTTTTCTTCAGGGTCTCTAAGACTCTCCAGGACACATGGACCAGGCTGCCATTGTCTTTCCAGCTGCCAGCCCAGAGATCTGGGCTGGGTGACCCAGGTGCTGTTCCCAAGGGTTGTTCTTTTTGATTCAGAGATTGTTACAGAAATGCTGTTTCTAATATAAGAGCAATAGCCAGGGAGGTGGAAAGGCAGTGGAAGAGCCTGACCTCCCACTAAGAATGGGTGTTAGAGTGAAGGGTTAGAATGAGTTGACAGATATTGTTTAAACAGGGTAACAAGAAGGTGTGATGGAGATATTTGGCTGGGCTGAGATGTAGTCGAGGATTGCCCTTGTGACCAGAAATAATATGTCTGGTTATAACACTGTGGAGTGGGACAAGGGTAAGCACCTGCATTATACATTATCTTTGTCATAGTGAGAGATGAGCTGTGTGCTTGCTGGGAACATGATAGGTCCTGTGGCACAAATGAATCTATAGGAAAGCAAGGCACTTTAAATGGGATTTATCAGCTCCAGTATGTTTACTGGGCTTAGGAAGGTGTGTATGTCTGTAGAGGGTCCAGGAGTGAGTCTTTTGTTTCACAGCTATAGCTTTGCCTATTTTTCTAGCATTGTTCCCGATGTGAAGTTTCAGGATTCAAGACTACTGATTTCTCGTTCCAACCTTTGTGGGATCCAGTCCATTGGTGGATGAAGTCCAACTCCTTTGTGGGATTCAAGGCCTTTTAGATGATAGCAGTGTTTTAGGTCTTCTTCAGCAGAGCTTCCACATAGAACCTGTTAGTTCCAATCAGCATGGTTGGCCTGGTGATATTCCAATTTCACGCTTCTTCCATCTCTCCATGTTATCACCCCATCCTTTTGAAGCTCAGATTGAGTCCCCTTTTTTTAAGAAGCCCTCCCTGACTTCTTAAAAGGAGGGCTTTTAAGCCCTGACAGGCAGTAGTATGAACCCTCGTCTGATTCTCTAAGTCCTTGAGCTGCTGGTGGATGTGGTATCTTTGCTATCAGACTTTGAACAGTGGCTTCATGCATAGATACTGGGGATAGTCAAACCCCCCTTCCCTCCTAGCTCTGCCAATGATCTGTGCAACCTGGGGAGAATATTGCTTTATTTCTCTGAGCCCCAGTTTCTTCATCTGTAAAATGATGATGATGATAATCATTCCAAATTCAAGGTTGTTAGGGTTGTTTAGTAAGATACAGGTATTCAGAGCAGCATCCAAGCACATAGTAAATGCTCAATAAATGTTAGCCATTGTTATAATGATAATGATCATGATGTTACCTTAATTCATCCAACACATTTATGAAACATCTTCTAGGAACTAGGGAATATATGAGTCAACAAAAAAGTTTCATACCTATATTTTACTGGAAGAAAGAGATAATAAGCAAAACATGTTACTTTTTATGGTGATGAATGCTATTATATTAAGAAAAATATAGCAGGGTGAGAAGGATAGGGAGGAATGGTGGAGGTTACCTTTAATGTAGGATGGTTAAGAGGGGCTTTATTGGCCAGTCGCAGTGGCTTATGCCTGTAATCCCAGCACTTTGGGAGGCTGAGGTGGGCAGATCACCTGAGGTTGAGAGTTCAAGACCAGCCTGACCAACATGGAGAAACCTCGTCTCTACTAAAAATACAAAATTAGCTGGGCATGGTGGCACATGCCTGTAATCCCAGCTACTCAGGAGGCTGAGGCAGGAGAATCGCTTGAACCCGGGAGGTGGAGGTTGCGGTGAGCCAAGATGGCACCATTGCACTCCAGCCTGGGCAACAAGATCAAAGCTCCATCTTAAAAAAAAAAAAAAAAAAAAAAAAAAAAGAGGGGCTTTATTGCAAAAGTGACATGAATATTGTATAATAATAATAGTAATTATTATTATTATTATTGACACTCCTTAGGTATTATACCAGGTGACTGTATAGTTTATTATCCCAACCAAGATACTTCTGAGAGTGAAAGGGAGTACTAATGATAATTGCATTCCCTTTGATCATTGAGATACAGTTGTAAATTTTGGTCCTGTCTTGGGCAGAGTAAGTTGCATTTATAGTTGCACTTGATCACTCCAAGTATAAGAGATAGTATGGTGTCAGACAGACCTAGATTCAAATCCTGGGTTCCACCACTATCTGTGAGATCTTGGAATAGTCATTTAACCTCTTTGTACCTCAGTTTCCTCATTTGTTATGCATACCTAATAGGGATTTTGTGAGAATTAAATGAGATAATGAACGCAAAGCGCTCAGTACAGGACCTGACACCTCATAAAGAGTCAACAGAAATTCATCATCATCATCATCATCAGATCGAGAGCAAGAATCACTCTTTTTGATATCTCTGTGCCTGGGAAGGGGTTGAGGATATACAAGGTGGATTAATGTTAGGGTTGGAAATTTACCTGAGCAGTGGACTTGGGAGATGAGCTGAATGATCTGCCAAGTAGTTGCCTCCATTCATTCTTACAGAATGTAAGACTCACACAGTGTTTAAATGTTACCGATCGGGTAGGTGACTTCATGCTGGGGCAGCCACAGGAAGAGTTTGGAAAGTAGAGTCCAGGACTAAGAATCTTGGGATGTTAGTTCAAGAAGAGGCCCCATGACAAGTGGCCTGGAACAATCTACTTCACAGTAGAGGAAGGAAGGACCCAGAGAGCTGAAATGACTGGCCCAGGGCCTCATGGCCTGCAGCCTGTTTCAATGCATCTGTCCTTAACCATCCTGCTGACTGGCAAAGCAAAGATTATAAAGAGCGAGAAGAGAGAGCACTTAGAATTCCACCTGGAAAAGCCATGTTTCTTTGGAAATGGGCCACAGATGACATAACCCTGCCATCTCCCATTACCTGGTACTTGGCTAATCTTTGCATGAAACTTGTTTTGGTGAAACTTGAGCCTGGAAAAGCCAACTAAAGTATATTATTTTATCAGTATTGAATGCCTCCTAGACTTGAGATAACATTTAATCCAAAGAGTAAGGTGATATTTCCTGAGATAGCAATGAATTCATGTTTTGAAATTAAATAAGATGAGTTTATTGCGTCAGCTGGCTTTTTTTTTTTTAAAGCACTAATTGCAGTAGTAAATGTTCTGTCCACGGAGTAATGTCTGGCCACTGTATGGGGAGGAGTGGGAGCTATAGGCATGGTAGTTTTCATTCCTTAGAAGCTGTCTCACTGTCTCTCTTGTTAGGTACTATTCCAGATTTAAGTATATTTTAGCTTAAGGGGACCTCTATTTGAATAAATAGATTTCCAACCCCAGACAACTTGGGGACAAAAAGGTTTCTTTTACATTATCTTTCCTGAATACATGCTACATGCTTTCTGCCCTTTCTCCTTCCCAAGGTGCTTATCACTCAGTAAGGATGACTGCACACCTACCTTACACCAGGCAAGGAGGGAAAAGGTTCTGTTTATAGACCTTCTTAGATAGCCAAGTTGGTCAAAAAAGAAAAAAAGGGCAAAGACAGGAATTTGGAGTTTATTGCATTATCTTCTTGACTTAATTCCCAGAAGTGTTTTAGATTCTAAAAATGTGAAGATTAATGTACAATTGAAATAGACTTCTTCAAAGAGGCAATTGGTGTTCCAAGGCCATCTACAGTGCAGTTCCAGGATGTTTCAGCTGCTAAGCCTATTATGTCTTCACAGTGGCAGTTGTGGTTACAGTCCGCTATTTCATGCCACCACCTTACTCTCAGCTCATCTTGACCCTCTGCAGACACCTGCTATAGCATCAGCACTGGGAAGTCAGCACTTTAGTCTCCATCATTTTTGTATCCCTAGAAACAACACAGCTCCTGGCATACACTAAGTGTTCAATTAATGGAACAATGGTACAGTTACCATTTCAGTGTTTCAATATAATGCAAAGTTGAATCACATAAAATGTGGGGTTGTTTACTGTAAGGTCATTGAGATTGCATACAGCTTCATTTGTGCCTTTAAACACAGTCACCCCACCAGTAAGTTGGGACCCCATAAGAGTACTGATTTTTGCCAGGTCAGATTAGATACAGCTTCTCCTGTGGGAGAGTGACTTGGGTGTGGAGAAGGAAGCCAGAAATACTGATGGAGCTTTCTTTGGGGAATCCAAGTGGGAACCTGGGGGAGAGGGAAAAGGGGAGGAGTTCCCTTTCTTCCCTACATAGCTCCCTACTGTCCAGTTTACAACATAATTGGCTAGGGAGGCTGGACTAGAGGGAAGACACTTCTACAAATTACCCAGCAAGAACTGTGTGTTAAGGTGGGTGTGGTAGCGTGCACCTGTAGCCTCAGCTACTGGGGAGGTGGACGGGGGTGGGTGCTGAGTTGGGAGGATGTTTTGAGGCCAGGAGTTGAAGGCTGTAGTGTGCTGTATTTGTGCCTGTGAATAGCCACTGAACTCCTGCCTGGACAGCATAACAAGACCCCATATTTTTTAAAAAGTTAGAAACAAAAGAAGAAGAAGAAGAACTGTATGATAACCACTCTGGGTGCCAGATTGCTGCATTTTTATTTTATTTTTTTTGAGATAGTGTCTTGTTCTGACACCCAGGCTGGGGTGCAGTGGTACCATCATAGCTCACTGCAACCTCAAACTCCTGCGCTCAGGGGATCCTCATGCCTCAGTCTCCTGAGTAGCTGAGACTATAGGTACACACCAACATGCCTGGCTAATTTTTATTGGATCTTTTTTTTTTTTTTTTTTTTTTTTTTTTGGAGATGGGGTCTCAGCATGTTGCCAGAGCTGGTCTTGAATTCCTGGGGAAAAGGGATCCTTCTGCCTCAGCCTCCTAAAGTGTTGGGATTACAGACGTGAACCACTGCACCCGGTAGAGTGCTGCATTCTAAAGCAGGATGTAGAAATCATCTAAAGGCTGTAGATTAAGCACTGTTGGAGATCAGAGGGAGGCCATTTGTGTAATGCATTGATTTCAGAAACAAAAAGAACTTGATACAAATCATTGTGACCCTGGGCAAGTTGTTTAATTTGTCTGAACTTCCATTTCTCTATCTGGAAGATTGGTGGAGTCCTTTTCTCACAGGGATATCAGATATGTTTAAGAGGTGTGTATGCGATAGCATGATAGTAAACTTAGAGAGGTGCTGGAAAAGTTACCTCCTCTGAATTCAGACCCAGGAAGGATGGTTGTCCTTCAGGAAGCCTCCCAAATCTAGGACTTGGAGCTGGGCTGAAAGAATAGGCAAAATTTAGAGTGGGAGAAAGGGAGGGTCATAAATAAGGTGAATGGCAAGTATAAAGAGCCCTACTTTCTTGATTTTATGAAATTTCTTTCATAATTTAGCTAGCAGGAGGGGCTCATGAGTAGCTAGCTTTTCCTGGCTCAGAGAGAGCACATGTACTCTCTCCTCTCCAAAAGAACCTGGATGCCCGTCCCACATGTTACTTTCTCCATTCTAAGCAGTGTGGTTCCAAGTCCAATTTAGCATGAATATTTCAAATGTAATATGTCCCAGATGTAGAGCTAAGTAACCCCTCAAACTTTCCCCCACCTCAGTCTTCCCACTTCTGTAAGTCGGGGTTTCTCAGCCTCAGCACTTTTGACAGTTGGGGCCAGATGACCATTTGGTATAGGGGCTCTTGTGTGTATTGCAGGATGTTTAGCAACGTCCCTGGCTTCTACCCATTGTAAAATGTTTAGTAGCAACACCCAGTCATGACAATCAAAAATGTCTCCGTAAGTTTCCAGATGTCCCCGAGGGGGGAAAATTGCCCCAGTTGAGAACCACTGTAGTAAATGGTCCCACCACTTAACCAGCTGCACAAGCCAGAGCTTGAGGCATCATCCTTGAGTCCTCCTCTTCTGCATTCATTCATCCTAATAGCAAATGCTTCCGTTTGAGCCTCCCCAGTAGATCTAAAGTCCAACAACTTCTCATTTCATAGACGAGGACACCTTCACCCTTCACTTAGAGAACTGCCATAATCTCCTAACTGGTCTCCATAGTTTCACTATTGCCTGCTTCCAGTCTGTTCTCCATACAGCACCAGAGAGGTGTCAAAAAAGAAATGTCACTGTACCTGTCTGCTGCTTTAAGCACATGTCAGTCTGCTCCCTTCCCTCTCTCTCCTGTACCTCCTTTGGTTGCTCACCAGGCCCCGGCTGCACCATTCTTCCTCTGGTTCCTCGAACTCACCAAGCTCATTCTCACCTGGGGGAGTTTGCCCATGGCATTCCCTTGCCCTGGAATGCTCTTCTCTTCTTTTTACTTGACTGGCTCTTATCTCTCAGGAACTCTACCTAAGTGGAGCTCCTTCACAGAGACCTTCCCTGATCCCTCTGTCTCATGTAGGTACCCCCTGCAAAATCTGAGTCCCTCATTTTATCCCTTCATAACATCTATGCCAGTTAGTAACAGGCTGTCTTCTTGAAATATTGCTGGCTCTCATGAGGGCAAGAATCCTGCTGCAATGCTTTTAATGCGGCCCCACTGAGAGGCATAAGATAGGTGCTCAGTAAATATTCATTTATTTGACTAAATCAACAAATGAATCTCTTCATCTTTCTTGAGGAAGAGAGACACCATTTCTCTAGTTTAAAATTGGTAATTGCAGACCTCTGGAATTATTCTTCCAATAAAATCAGTAAGAAGCTAGTTTTCTTCTTTAGCTTCTCAGTACTGTTAGTACACTGCCTACTAAAGAGTAGATGCCCAAGAAATCACTGTTGAATAGATGAATGGTTCATACTTATGTAATAGTTTGTGAATGCTAAATAATGAAAATAAACAGATTTTAAGCAAGTAGTCGAAATCCCAAAATCCATCCTTTGACCTTCTCAAACTTTCAGGGAGAGAAGGTTTGATTCTCCTCTTCCACTCCCAGTCTAAGAGACTGATGCTATTTTCGGCCGTTATTGTTATTGTTAGCTTATAGAAGTAACCGGAATGCATACATGGCATACTGCATGGCCCATAGTACATATTCAGTAAACATTTGTTGACTTGAATCAAAGCACTTAGGAAAAAGAAAAGAGAATTAGACTGGTTGGTGTACAGAGACGGTATATTCAGGTCTTATCGTGAAAATGAAATCAGTTATCAGGTCTTGATTAGAGGCAGAAAAATTTCATATCCTGTGAGAATTTATTGTCCAGTGGAAGAGGTGACTTTGGAGAACAGGATAGCATATAATTGTGCTAAATAGCATGGCACTGTTTTGAGTATCTTTGTAGTTGCTTTGAATTAGTGCTGGGGCTTCCTCCCCCTTTCTGGACCAGACTCGGCTGTAAGAAGCATGGAGAAGTAATGAAGATTTTTTACATTCTCAGACTGCTTTCTGGGAATCCTGCAAAGTCCCGACTTCTTCTCTGATTACCCTTCTCATGGCTGAGTTCAAGAGCATTTTGAAACCCGGACTTTGAATCTGGGAAAATGCTTTATGACCATTTTTATGACCTCAAAGCAACCCGCTAAGGCAAGTTATTTCCCTCTCTTTGCCAAGGGGGAAAAACCAAGGATCTGGTAAATTGCCCAGGATTTCCCAGCCTCGGATGCTATCTTGTGGGCGGCTCTCATGCTCCCGGCTGCATGCTGTCCCTTCCATTAGACGTGCTTTGGCCGTTTGAGGAAGGGCCTGGTCAGTAACCTCAGCCCACATTTTCATGGATTTCATGGTCTTCCTCTGGAAGGAGGAAAGCCCAATTCAGAGAACCATATACTGTTAGAACTGCAAGTTTTCAAGACAGAGTTCTAGTCCAAACCAATCCTTTTATACTCGGGCCAACTGACATCCAGAGAGGGAAAGTGATTTGCTTAAGGTCACAGCCCAAAGTCTCTGACTTCCAGCCCAGGGCATTTTTTGTTCCAACACAGTTGTCTCTTATTAGAAGAGTGTCCTCAGCACCCACGAGTTTTTATTCTTAGAGATAGGGTAGTACAGTAAGCACAGAAAGGGCTCAGAGCAATTCCTTACACAGCATAAGGGCTGTGTAAATGTTGCTTTCATTGTTGTGAAACTGCTGCTTATTAGCTGTGTGACCCAGGACAAGTTATTTGATATGTCTGAGACTATGATTCCTCCTCTGTAAGAGTAACTCTGGTTCATCAGAATTGTTGAATAGATTAGAGATTATGTGTATGAGGCACCTACCTGCCTGTATAGTAGGCTCTGAGTAAATGGTCACATCTTTTACTGCCCCCCAAGGTGTGAGGCAACCAGCACATCATGCAACACCAAGTCGCTAACAGTTGTTCCTTTCTGTTTGCAAAAGGGGGGAATATTAGGGCTGGATCTGCTGCCACTTCCAGGGAAGAACTGCAGCTTCAATTACTTTTCACTTAAAAGGAATATTGCTTGTTTTTTTTTTTTTTATTTGTTAGCATTTATTGGGCACTTACTAGGTGGCAATCACTGTTCTGTGCCTTTACACACATTATGTAATTTGTCTGCACAACAGTCCCTGTGATGTAAGTACTATTATTATCCTAATATGATAGATAAGGAAACTAAGTCTCAGAAGGTGATAATTTACCCAGAGTTAGTTAGTAAGAGGGAAAGCCACAATTTCAAACCCAGAACAATCTGGCTTGAAAACTATACCCTTAACCATTCTCGGCCAGGAACTGTGCCAGGCCCTGGTTGCAGACAAGTCCTGCCCACGTGGACATCACTCACATCAAGGACAGCAGAGGAGGATGGAGCACCTTCCCAGGTTAACCATTACCACCTCACCAGCTGCCAAATGGCAAGAGGGCAAGGCGTTGGAACCGCATCTTTGAGCTCCTCCCCTTCCCTATCCAGCCCGCCCCTTGTACTGCACCCACCAATCTGCTGGGGCCTCTGAACACGTCAAGCCCGCCAAGTTCCTTTCCTTTCCTGGCCCAGGTGTGGAGCCCCTGGGGAGCACACGCTGGCATGACAGGAAGAAGCTGTGCCTGAGAGCTGTTCAAAGGAGCATCTTAATCTGCACATGAGAGAGACCTCATCCCATTGCTGTTGGTAAATACACTTGGTAGCAGAGTTGGGGTGCTGCAGAGTTCTTCCCTCCCTAAAAAGAGTTAGTTCCATGTGAGAACATCTGTGACTGGTTGCCTTTCTCAAGCTTGGTAAGCACTTGGGGCAAGCCGAGTGTTTGGGTTGGAATCTCAGGCCATAACCATCCAGAGAGCGGGCACTCAGTCTCCCCAGAAGAAAGCCTGGCAGGAGAGGAAGGCAGCAAGGTGTGGGGAAAGCATAGGACTTATTCAAATTTCAGCTTTGCCAAGCACTGCTTACATGGCTCTGGGCCTCATTCACTCCGCTGTAGTGTGGAGATGGTCATTCCTCTCCACCTAAGATGATTTTTAGAGGGGCTATATGGTAGACATGTGTGAGCATAGGTGCTAACAGAGTGCCTGGCCCCAGGAGATGCTTTGCAATGTTCAGTTTCTTCCACCATCTCTGTGCAGCACCAATGCTGGGCCCCCATGAGAGGACTGTCCTGGGCATGGTGGGGGAGAGAAGGGTGATTGTTCTGCACATGTGTGACAGTTTATATACCGTTATATACATGCATGGCAATTTATATACCAAAGTGGTGGTGGGAGGTAATTAAATTTAGAGACTGACAGGAGATCCTCTTTTCTGCATGTCTCTCCAACACACATATACTTAGGTCCAGGTCCCAGGCTTTAGGAGCTCTGTGCCAGTGACATTCCTTCCTGTCATGGGTCCCTTTGCCTCTCCCTTCTCCCATAATTTCTTCTGGAAGTCAAAGCTCTCACTGCCAGGGGGATTTTGTTCTAAGTAGTGGGGGGCATTGCCCCCTCCTCCTGCCCTCCGAAGGATTTGGCCAGCCCATTGGCTCCTCGTACCAAGCCTGACACCCTGGTCTGCTGCAGGGGAGAGCACTCTTGGTAAATGAGAATGGTTTTTCTGAGCCCATTGAAGATCCGTGTCCTAACTGTATGCACCTCACGCTTCCAGAGGGAAAGAGAAAACCTCTATTCCTCCTTGCTGCTGTGACACTGCTGCTGTTTGAGGAAGCTGGGAGGAAAAGGCCTTCTCTGCAAACCTGCCAGCAATTACAGAACTCACTCAGACTCTGCCTGGATGCAGGCTCTGGTTTATGTCTCCCTTTGGGACATCTCTTCTGCTTTATTTGAAACTTCCGGCTTCATTAATAGGTACTCTTAATACTCTTATCTCAGCATGCCTTCTGGGTTTACTGAAGCATCATGCCAGAGCACATTCTTCCTTGGAAGTTACAGTTTGTTCTGGGGGAGGTTTTAGGTGCTTAACTTTGAGACTTGGGTTGTGAGGGATGGGGGATGGAGGGAAGGCAGTGGAAGACAGGGAGCGCCTGACAGCTCAGTTTTGAGTGAGCCATTAAAAAAAAAAAAGAGGCTGGATGCAGTGGCTCATGCCTATAATCCCAGCACTTTGGGAGGCCGAGGTGGGTGGATCACCTGAGGTCAGGAGTTCGAGACCAGCCTGGCCAACATGGCGAAACCCTGTCTCTACTAAAAATACAAAAATTAGCTGGGCATGGTGGTGGGCACCTGTAATCCCAGCTACTCAGGAGGCTGAGGCAGGAGAATTGCTGGAACCCAGGTACAGAGGTTGCAGTGAGCCGAGATCATGTCATTGCACTCCAGCCTGGCGATAGAGTGACACTCTGTCTCAAAAAAAAAAAAAAAAAAAAAAAGAAAGAAAGAAAGAAAGAAAGGATGGATGGAGGTGCTGCCCTGGATTTGTCTCAGTGCATGTATCACAACAGCTGATTATTGTCAAGTTTGAAGATGTCTTTTGTTTTCCATCTCTGATTTAGAGCCATTGGATATGTGTATACTTGTCTTAACTTTTATGATGATTGAATTTAGAAAAGCCAATCAAATCAGCTAAAATTCCAGCCAAGTTATAATGTATTCACTGGGGAAGCATTGATTCGGTGCCAAAGCATGCCCAGCACTAGCACTCTTTGTCAACTGCTTTTCTTCACTTCCTTCTGTCTCTGCTGCCGTCACCTAGCCTGGGCCTCTTGCACCTGGACTGTTCCAGTAGCCTGGGCTTCCTGCTTCTGCTCCCAGCCCTGCCTCTCTGTTCATTCTCCCCATAGGTGGCCAGAGTGGCCTATGGAAAACTTAAATCAGATTGTGTCGTGCCCTGTTTTAACCTTTCCCTGGCTACTCAAGGAAACAGAATAAAATCCGATTCCCCTGTCCTGGCCTGGAGTGCCCTGTATCATCTGGCCGCTGCCTTCCTCCTGATATCATCTCAAGTTTCTTGTTTTCTCAGCCACAGGCGCCCACCTCAGGGCCTTTGCCTTGGCTGTTCTGCTTTTCCAGAATATTCTTGCCTGGCTCTTCACATGATGCTTCCTTCTCATTTTATCCTCGGAGAGGCCGCCGGGACCCCCAACCACAGTGTCCACTTCAGTCCCTACCTCATGTCTACCACACACTTCCTTCAGGGTACATCACAAACTGAAATCGCCTCGTTTAGGGGTATGTTTACTTGTTTATCATCTGCCTCACTCAACTTGTAGATGAGCCCCATGACATAGGGACATGTCTGCATTATTTTCTACTGAATTCCTGGTACCTCACAGAATATCTGGTTCAAAGGTAGGGCCTAATAAATATTTGTCAAATGAATGAATGACAAATGACTTGAGCAGGGTCCTCTGAAAAGGAACGCCTGTGCTCGGCGTTGTAAGGAGGCTTTCTTCTCACTCCATCTAAGCCAGCGATGGTTCCTCCTCCCCCTCAACTGTTGTTAGGGTCCCACACGCCATATATCGTTGTCACATTGGTTATAATGTATCATCTTTCTCACTTCCTCTCTGAGAGCCTACTCTTATGGGTAGATTTCCAGTCTCTTACATCTTTATAGCTGCTGAAGAACCCAACTCATATCTTACAAAACAGGTGTGATCCCACCCTTCAAAAACTGTTTTAAGTCAATATGGTATTTACAATGAATATAACAACTATTTTCCCCAGAAGACCTTTTCCCTTCTCAAACATTCTAGGATATATTTTGTGACATCTGAGCTAAAAATGACCATGGTAGGTCCACAGAGAATGTGGCTTCATCCTGTCCTGTTAGCAGGGAGTTACTTCCTTGGCTTTGTTCCTAATCTTTCCTGTTATGCCCTCTTGTGATGGGTTTAGGGGGAGGGACCTAAGTGCCAGTAGCATTTTTATGGGATGTCTAGAGAGAAAATGCCAACCTCCTTTCCCTCACATAATTGTGAATTTGTATTCTTGAGGTAAACTTACCTCTGCAGCCATGGCTCTGTGGCTTTTCCCAGTTAATATTCATTTATTTGAATAATTTATTGCAAACCTTTCCCCTCCCTCAACTCCAGGAATATATATATCTCGAAAACTGCATTTAAAGAAAACAATTGCAATAAAGACAATCATCGAAATTAATGATTTAACTTAAAAGGCCTAGCGGCATCTTTCTGCCCTACTCAGTACCCTATGGAGTAAGCATACTCAGTGGCTTCCTTTCCCAGGTACAGGAGTGCAGGCAAACAAGGTTGAATAACCTGTCCAGTGCCACAGTCTGCGCAAGGCTATTGAAATTCATGACTCTTTCTAACAGTTTTCCTGTAAGACCAAACTATTCCCAAGGGCCTGAGAAGAGAAATGGGACAGAAGTTATTTAAAATGAGTTGTGAACATTCTCAGAGCCATCTCATACTGCTGTCCTGATAAGCCAAATAGATTAGATATTTGGAATTCCCCAGAACATTTATTTGTAAGATTTGATTTAAGTCAATGTCACCCAAGCTTATCATTCTCATGGCATATTTAGAATTTTTGCCATATTTGCCTACCACTTATGTCCCTTATTTACTTGTTTCCTTCAAATTGACTACCTAATCTGTATAAATTTAAATAAAGAGGAAACAAAATATTCTAATGGTAAATGCAAAAGCAATATTGGGCAAAATAGAAGGTAATCATAAAAATAAATATATAGCTATTAAGATGTTCACCAGTGTACAGTCTGAAATCTTATAAATTATACCATAAGTAGTTCATCTACTGCAGTTTGTGAAACAGAGATTTATAAAGTAAGGCTAACTCTTATTGATCAGAGAGAAAGGAAGACAGGGGAATGGGAAAGCAAAGGAACTACTAAAGCTCACATAATGGTCAGAAAGTTTTAGTCTAAACTTCGTGATAAATTTGCCTCCTCATGTTGATTGGAAAGTGTGATGAAGGTTTGTCTCAGTGACAGATCTGCCTTTGTCCTTCCAGTTTGCCATGGGACAAATTGTGGCTATTTCTTTGCCCAGCAAAAGGTTTTATAGATACTTTGAGCCCTCCTTGGCCATAGGCATGGTTAGGCAATATATACTTTCATTTGTCAGTTCCACAGACTGTAGTGGCTTTGAGAAACCCCTTTAGGTTTAGCTGGCTCCTGAATGAAAATGAATCTGGATTCCCATGGACTCAGGTAGTGAGCAGCTCCTAAGAGTAGGGCTAAGCACTAAACTGCATATATATAATGTGTTATATAGTTACTGAGCTTAAGGAGCTAAATAGTAAATTAGGGAATTCATCAATGGGGGGATAGCCCAGGAACTAGGAACCATTCTTGGTACCTCAAACAAGAAGAGATTTCATACAGGGAATTGGATACTTATAGAATTTCTGGAAGAAAAGAAATGAGAAGTTACAAAGAACAGAAGTTAGATCTAGGGGTGCTCAGCTATAGTAGTTTGGCCTTGAAACCAAGAGTTCAACCAGACCCTCCTAATATGTATTATTACAGCAAGAAAGAGGGCCCTCTGCCTCAATCCTCATGCAGGTGCACCTTATTGACAGAACCCAAATTAAACAAACCTGTCTGCTGTCATGAGGGCTTGAAAATCCTCAACCTTCTTTATTGTGAACCCTTTCTTGGTGCCATATATTGTACTGAAAACGTTTTACATGCAGTAATTTAGTTCTTCATCTGAATGTGATTTCTTCCCATTTTAGCCTCAGAGAACCTAGTAATCTTCCTCCCTGACAAGGTCACACAGCTGTTAGGAAGCTGAGCCATAATGCTAAACACAGGTCAGGCTGACCCTGAAACTGGTGTGCCCAGTCGCTAAGCCACACCACCTCTCTGTGGAGGGAAGGCTGGTGGAGATAGGTTGGTAGCATTGTACTACTCCATCTCTGACTTTTTCTCATCCAAACCTTACTACCACATGCCCCTACACACCCCGAGCAGAATTCTGCAAGATTGTTAGATTAAGCCAATTTTGTTCTCTTCTTCCTGTGGCCTTGCTGGTACTTGCTGCTTGTTACCATGTAGCTGAGATTTGCACGCTTTCTCTGATTAGGTAGTCTCCCCATGGCTCTATTGTCTCTTGGCACTTGGCATGCATTTCGGCCCCCACTTTCCTTCTTCTCCATCCCCTCCCATTTCCATATTGCTGAACCCAGGTGAGGCTGAGGCCGGGATATGATGAGTCCTGAGTGCCAGGCTAAGGATGCTGAACTTTATCTCAAATGGTATGAGGGGTCACTGGCCCCCCACACGGGTTTGAGAGCCAGAGAGAGAGTGATGTGATGGAGGCATGTAGAGGATCGAGCAGGAGAATGTGGGCCTGGTCGGCATGAGAAAAGGCCAGAATCAGAGAGCAGCTAGGAGACAAGAGCAGTAGATGAGTCCCCCCACTTCCCCTCCACCCCTCCTGGTCTTTATTGGCTTTTCAAAGAGCATGAACTCTTTCCCTAACAATTCCTGAATCTCAGGTGGTTTTAGGCTCTCAGTATGGCCACCAGTGGTTTTATTGTCTGTTGGCATTTGCCATCCATTTCAGCTGCAGTTATGTTCTCCACCTCCTCCCATCCCCATATTGCACAGTTCAGAAGGCTAAGACTAGGTTCTTAAAAGCATTTTTCTCTCACTTGTGGAGAGTTTTGATCTTAGACTATTTCCAAGGGTCAACTTGTAAATGCCATTCATTCTCTCTTTTTCTTTTCTGTGCTATTTTTTAATGCCTTGACCATGATGTGGAAGATTTGATTGACCTTCTGACCAGAGATACTCTGGTCATGACAGTGAGTGGGAGCAAGCCAGCTTCTGTGGACACAGACAATGAGATATGGCAGCTCTGGTTGGAACGAGCCAGTTCTAGCACAATGGATGGATTTTTGAATTCAGAAATACCTGCTTTGAATCCCTACTCTGCCACTCTGTGTGGGGAGCTTATAGAACCTGGAGATCTTTCTTAGCTTCCCTGGGCACCAGTTTTCCCTTCTGTACAGGAGGGATAACAGTGGCCCTCCTCAGGTGGTCCTGAGGACTCAATGAAGTCACCGGTGTAAAGCTTTCACCATGATGGGCATGTGTATGGTATGAGTTCTGGAAATACTGTTCACCTTTCCTTTTCAGCTTGTTGGGATCTGTAGGAGATGGTTCTGATCAGCTTAAGTCAGTTGATGTTTGTCTGATGATTTAGCCTCTAGGGCTTTTCTTTCCTAGTGGCCATGGTGTGATTCCCTCCCTCTGGTCTCCAGTAAAGGCCTCAGCATAGACAGACACACATTCCAGACCCACCCAGGAGAAGACCAGTGAGCCAACCCAGATCACAGTTGTCTCCCAGTGAATTGAAGTCCACACCAAACACCAGTTGATGGTTCATCTAGGAGATGCAGTGTACCTACTCAGTCTAGTTAAAATGTGTCTCTTCTTTCCTGTAATAGACAGAAGTGCACTCCCTTCTCACCTCACCAAGAGAAGTGCTCAGACGTGACTGCTTGACCGCTCCAACTTCTCTGCCAGTGCAGAGAGCTTGAAGCTTTTGCAGTTCTCCAAGCATCTGGCCCATCTTATCTAGATGACATTTGGAATTTTAATCTTCTAGTTATGGGTTTTCATAAATCTAGTTTGAAATCATCACTGCCAATCTCCTCTGCTGTGGGAAAATGGCTTTAAAAAGATGTGGGGAGGGGATGGTTTGTGCATGAATGAAGATGACGAGAAATGACACTTGTTGTTGGAAGGGAGGCTGGCCACGGGGAGCCCTCATGCTTGTTTCTGACTGTGGATAAAGTACTGCTTTAGTTTAACTCGACTTTGGAAGCCTGAGTTGGGGTTTTGGGGATCTGCAACTGATACCGTGTCAAATACTGTGTCAGATGCTTTACATGGGTTATCTCATAGCTGCCTTCATGTGTTCCCATTTTACAGATAGAGAAAAACCGAGGTTCTGATATATTATGTAACTTGCCTGGTGTTACCAAGTGGATGGTGGAGATTTTAAAATCTAGGTTTAGCTGACTTCAAAGCTTGTAGTTTTCCTGGCAATGCCTGACTTCGACCTATGAATCTATGGACTCTTGGAAACAAAATCCCTAAATTTACATATCTGAAATATCAGCACTACCCCAGTCAGTATTCTTGTAACCCCTTTAGCACACATCCCCTCCACTCCGCTCAGAGGAAATGCATGAGGTGGTTAAGGAGAAGAGGTGAGCAGAGGCTGGGTCCTGCAAGACCATGCCAAGGTCTCAGGGGCTGGGACTTTATCTTGAGGATAATAGGATGATATTGAAAGTCCTAACAGAAGAGTGGCATGAAGCAACTTCAGCAACTATTGAGGGCCGACACTAGCAGACGTGCCTTTTCCCGCTGATTGATTGAAAGCGTTCTTATGCCCACATGAATTCCAAGAGACCCTGCTGCTTCATCTTCAAGAACTCCAGGGATTCTGGGCCACAGGTGGGGAACTGCCAGCATAGAACATTTTCACAGGACTTAGAAAGGTAAGGAAGAGTGAGGAGAGCGTTCCAGATTACAGATCTTCACTGAGTTAGTTCTACAATTGCTGAGTGTTGTGTCCCTGTCACCAAAACCTGCTAAGAATCAACAACCCTAAGTGAGTAGACAGAACTACCCAGTGGATCTTAGTGTGGGCAGATAGCATGAGATTTGGAATCAGTTGCCCTGTACAATGAACCCGGTATCTCCCAAATTAGGTGCTGGGCTGCAACTGGCCAGGACGCCCGTTATAGTGGTGCGGTTGGGGGCAGGGGGAGGGTGGGTGGCGGGGTGAAGAACTGCTGGTTCAGAAGCTCCTGGGCAGCCCTTGAGCTTCAGAAAGTCTGTCACCTGCCCCTGCCAGGACAGTCCAGCATTTACTTGTTTTTCCTGCAGAGCATGTGCAAACTGTTAAGGGAATAGAGTCCCAAGTGCAGTAGAGATAATGAGGTCAAGTGTGCGGGTGCTTTTCGGAACCCACCACCCCCCACACCTGCCCTGTTCTTTCCTTTCTTTGCCTCCCCCTTGCTATATTCCACATATATTGGTGGGGACAGCAGAGCCCTGAGAGACTCTACTTTATATGGACTTAAGTGACTTTCATCATTTAGGAGGCTGGAATATGCTCCTTTTCACAAGAGTAATTTGATGGAGAAATTATTTTAACTGTCCCTGGGTTTCAGCCCAGGGCTGCAAACTTGAATAGGAAAATGCATCTTGGCAGTTTCCTGGAGCTCAAGGGAGCCCCTCATCTTCTATTAAATTGACACACTTTGTTTGATTAATGCAGGTATGACATTAGTGATGGTTTCACAGTGCTTCTCCCAACCTCTTCTATCCATCGCCCCCACTACACCTCTGTCCTCCCCACTAGCTAGATTGACGTTCCTCCCTGCACACTAGAGTTTGCTGTCCTCGCTGGCAGTTCTGTATAGGGAGAGTGGGGCTGGGCCCACTTCTGACAAGCCTGGGCTTTGTGGGGTTCTCTGGATATTCTAGCACTTGGGGAGCAGCCCACAGTCTCACATAGAGGATTCCAGTTGGCTTCCAGGAGGCCAGGCAAGGCTGCCCCCTCCTGGGAACATGTATGGGCTTCATAGAAGTTTTCAAGTCTCTCATGGTTTGAGAAGCAAGAAAAACTTCATTCTCTTCAACATATCAAATGTAAAATAATTCTTCTTCCCATTTCTAAGTAGACACCCTAGGACCTGCTCAAAAAAATCCCTCTCTTGACCAAATCATGTTGCTCTGAAAATCCAGGTTCTGAATGAATCTTAAACCAAATTATCTTGAAATGCAAGCTTAGTGTGCTCCAACTTGATAGCTTGGCGATTATTTGCTTTTCCAAAAAGAGAGAAAAAAAGGAGAATGGGTGTGTGTGTGTGTGTGTGTGTGTGTGTGTGTGTTTGTATGCATGTGTGTATAGATACATATGTGTATGTGTGTGTGTCTTTTGGGAACTTTTGTGCTTTCATTACACCATGATTAAAATGTGAAGGTGTGTGGAAGCAACATTGGGTTCTCCAAAAACCTGGGATCCCAGTCTGGTCTGTAGCCTTGGGTCATTTATTTAAGCTTCAGAAAATTTCCCCATCCTAGACAAGGCATGAGGCCAAATGAACAGTAGGTCTTACCTCAGGACCCAGATGTATTCTTTAATTAGTTCCTGATAAGTTTCCTCATGAGGTTGTTAGGACTGAACATTTCAGAAGCAAGCACAACAGATAACTTTATTTTTTTAGGGAGGTTTTGTATTTTAACCCCCGAAGTAACCTTATAGTTTATTTTTCCTTGTCTGATTACAATCTCCCAACTTGCTGACAGTTCACCTTTGAAATGAGTCAGCTTTGATCAGGGATGTGGCAGCCAGACAGGTCATTTTTACTGTCTGTGACTTAGTCCAACCAGTTTGGCAACAGCAGGACCCCATCCCAATTTAGGGAATGGAAAATGGTAGTCAGTCTGTGGTGGTGCGGCCTGCCCCCTGCCTGTGGGCAGCAGATTGCCCCTCTCCTCTTTGCACTGACTGACTGGGTCTCCCCAAAGGCAGAGTCCTTTGCCAGCCCTTTGCTGTCCTCCTTGGGCACCTCTCCCTTTGCTGTGTCCTCTCCAAGCCCAGCATTGCTTCAGATTGCTAAACGATACAAAGTGTGTCCTCACTGCCTCCCACTTTCCTTTTCCTCTTCCCTCTCTGAGGCTTACGTCTGCCTGGATCTTTTTCTTTTCAGTAGAGCAAGGCAGTTTCGGCCTCCACCTGAAAGTGGAAGTATAGGGTCAGGCACATGGACCTCCTAGCCCTGAGGATCATGAGCCAGGCTAACACCATTGGGGACTACTTTCGGAGGATGTGGCTGAGCTGGAATCTGCCCCCATCTTCTGGAGGCACAGTGACAAAGAAGGGCAGTCTCTGGCTGAATCTGAGTTCAAATCCCGGCACTATCACTTACTAGCTCTGTAACCTTGGGCAAGTTACGTCACCTGTGAGCTCCTATTTTTTCAAAATGTGAAATTAAGAGGACAATAGTCTTGAACTCCCAGGGTTGTTGTGAGGATTCAGTGATAAGTGCATATAAAGCATGTAGTACGGTGTATGCCACATAGTGTGTGCTTAATAAGAGCTAAAATCATTGCTTTTATTTTAATAATTATCATTGCTGACCTTATCCATCATCACCCTTGTCCGGAGGAGAATAGCCAGGGTGGTGAGAGAACCAAAGCTTTGTTCTATGAAGAGTATTTATAGGAATTTGAAACTCTTTTATGATATTATGACTCGTGAAAGAGACACTATGCCACCTTTTATCTCCGAAGGGCTAGAAGGATTAATCACTGGGGGTCTTCACCAAACTGGGACCAAAATTCAATTCAGTGGGAGGAAGAGTTTTCTGAGATTAGTGTCAAATGGCTCTTATAGGAGGTCAGAAGGTCTTTACCCCTGGCAGTTTAGGGAAACTTGGCATGGAGCTTGTGCAAGGGATTCATGCATCAAGGAGGGGTGGGATTGGGCTAGAGGGCTTGGCTGGCCTCTTCCATTCCCAGAATTCTCTGATTCTGGGTTCCAGGAGCGCCTGTGCTCTTTTTTCTAAAGAAAGACTACCTAGAGGAATACGCCACACTGTATAGCAACTTTATGTGATTGCTGAGGCCTCCCCAGCCACCTGTGATCTGTGAACTGGCCTCTTGTTCTTGCATCTTTTAAATAAGTTAATGTCCATGCTCTTAATTTTGGTTTTGGATGAGTTATTATTTCTAGATACTTAAAGCAATTAGGCCTTATAGTGCCAGTATTGGTTAAGAATAGTACATCACCAAGGCAGGAGAATCACTTAAGGCCAGGAGTTTGAGGCTGCAGTGAGCTATGCTCATGCCACCATACTCCAGCCTGGGTGACAGAGTGAGACCCTGTCTCTCAAAAAAAAAAAAAAAAAAATTACACCAATGTTTTTTCATCCTGGAGAATGGTTTTGTGGGGATGAGAGAGTCGATGGGGACAGGCAATTTGCAGGACCTCTGCTCTCCCACACAAATCAGCCTTCTAGGAAAGCCTCAGATGCACAAATTTAGAATGTATTTTCTTTCCTAAGAAGCCATTAACCCTAACTAGGAAAAACAGACAGAGGGGAGCAGCTGCTTCCTCTCTGTTATAAACAGCCATTTTGATCACAGAGGCCTCCTTTCCATTCCTTTCCAGGTTTGTCATGTTCTTGCACAGAGACGGTTGTGTGTTCCAGGCTGGGGTTTATTTTTACCAGCAATACAGATGTTTCTGCTCTTGTGCAAAATTTCATTAAAGTTCAACCAGTGGTTTGCTGTGGGAGGAGGCTGCCAAGGTTAATATTTCTGCGATGTATTCCCTTCTGTTCATTCTTGGCACCAAAATATTCCCAGGTGGGCAGGTTGTGCTGGTGCTGTATATCAAAACTAAACAACAGAATCACCAGTTTATCTGTTGAACTCAGGTGGAGTCTCTGATCACACAGAGCGCATCAGCTTTGTCTTGAAAATGCAGGCAGGGAGATACTCCCTCTGGTGAGTATCTGCTCACCCTTTAATGCCCTTTAGCAGAGAACGCCTCACACTGCAGAGGTTACCTTGGGGGCCAAGAAAGCATTTGGCAGCATGAAATGCTACATCCTTCCACTTTCCCACTGAAATGGTGGGAGCAGAGCTTCAGATATGTGTTCAAATCCTGTCTGTGGCTTAGGCAAGTTACTTACCTCTGTAGAGTGTCAGTGTCTTCATCTGCAAAATGGAATTAGTCATCCCTGCCTCAAAGGATATTGTGAGGCTTCATTGAGATGCTGCATATAATTAATTGAGATAGAGCAGAATGCCCTGGGGCAGGGAAGATGCTTGTGAGAGGAAACTGTTAAATGAGCACTTGGGGGATTCCCCCAATGGTAGAGGATAATGTATAGTCCAGGGAAGCCCCTCATTCTTCTCCCTGCTTTTGCAATGGAAAAATTCTGCATGCAGCAGAACCAGTTCTTCTACCTGAGAGCTTGAAAAAGGCAAGTTAAAAGTAATAGCAATCTGACTTGTTTGACGTGTGTTTCCTCTGCCTCGCCCCATCTGTGGCTTATCGAATTGGAAAGTGGTCAAACAAACATGGCCCTTGTCTAGGAACAATTGGCAAGGGTAGGGTAGAGCTTGAAAGGGGTGTGGCTAGGATTAAAGGTGAGACAAAAGTGATATGGTATAAGGTGATCTGTGGCCAATTTGCTTAATGACTTTTACTACTTACTTTCTGAATCCAGGTCTACTCATTAGGTCAGTGAGAAGAGCCAGACCTCATGCACTAAAGAGAGCAGGTGTGTGTGTATGTGTGTGTGTCCTTCAGGTCTCTGCAGATTTGTAGGGTCATCTGGTTAAAAATAGATAATGTTCATACTCGTTTTATAAGTCTCCATTGAAGAAGGGAATATGGACAAAATTATTCATTTTCAATTACAACGTCACCAAACGTATGTCTAGTTATTTAGGATTATTTTAATCAGTACTCTTTGTAAGCTATCCCTCTCACATACCTCAGTGCAGTGGCAATTACAGTTCCCAACCCCAAGTCTTGCAAGGTATCTAAGTGCTGAATGAATCATCAACAAGAGACAGTCTTTTTTAGTCCATTTGAAATGCAGGGTGGATCTTATTTTAATCTTGAGAAGGTCAGTTATCAGTGGTTGAATCTGTGGATGGTCTTGTGGGAGGAGCATTCTGTTAATCAGCATATTGTGATAACCAGGACATTCCATCTCCTGGCTGTGTTGAATGACAATGACATAGTGGATAATGTGTTCCCTTGGTGGTTTCTTTGTAATCCATCAAATCTGTCCAGTCTTCTGTCTGTCCTTCCATCCATCTATTTATCCATCCATCCATCTGATAGACATTTATTGGCACTTGAGTTGACATGAAACTTACAAGGGGATATGGAGATAATGATCATAGATCCTGCTGTTAGAGAATTTAACATGTGAAATAGGGGATAAGACATGTAAGAAACTGGATGAAAAAGCCAAGGAAAACTTGGGGGTGAAGAGTGGCATTCTAACCCAGTGCTTTTGAGAAACCCGTAGGATCCCAGTTTATGAAGACTGTGCATTCCCACTGCAGGAGTAAAGGCCCAGAGGCTGGAAAGAGGTGGGTCTTTATGAGGAATCACCAGTAGTTGAATTGGGCTGAAGTGAAAGGGAGGAGTGGGAAATCAGGGCACCTGCTTAAGTGGCAGTTCTTGAAAGTCAAGTTAAGGAAGTAGGACTTGGTTCTGTAGGTGCTTGGGAATGGTTTCGTGGCAGGGGTGGCCAAAGGAAGACTTTCTGGCCCTCATTTGAATCTGGATGCATGCTGACAGATTCTGACAGGTCTTCCAATTTTTAAAGATTAAGTGTCAGCTGAGAGATGAGGCAGTCTTAATGATGGGTGATGGCTGATTCAGCAAAGCCAGGCATATGTAGCACCACTTACATTTTCTTCTCTCATGGCTTCTTTCTTTTCAGACCTCTTCTTATTTTTAGTTTTTGTCACTTTTATTAACAGTTTCTCCACTGTCACAGGCATTCCTCTAAGACCTACTCTCCAGCCTCACGTCTCAGTCCTCTAGGAATGAGAATTTTGAGATGGGGGTTTGGCGTCCATGGCTTCTTCTATCTTTGGAATCTGTCCCTTGGCTATAAATAAGGCTGTTGCTTAGTGCCAGTATTGATGGTATTTGCAGCTGTCCTCTGGGAGATGGACTCAGACGAATAACCCATTTTCAAGAGGACATGGCCATTAGGTGACAGCTATTTATGGTTCCTATTGACTAGGGCCAAACCTGAACTGTCACTGACATTAAAATTTCATGAGCTGTGAGCTGCCTTTCCTTATCAGGCTGTCTCTTTCCATTTATTTGAAATATCTAACCATGTTTATCTAGGTTCTTCAAAAGATAATCTTGAGGAACGCTTGTGTTGTGGCTGCTGGGACTTTACCAAACGTACTTCTCATCCCCGCAACATCCTTCCAAACCAGAGCATTCACATCTCCATTTCACAGAAGAGAACACTGAGGGTCAAAAGGTTAAACTGCTATCCCAGAGTCACCAGGTCAGTTCATAAGTGACAGAGCCAGAATTCAAACCGACTTCTGCCTAGAATCAAAGCCTGGATAATTTCCATGAAACCATGCGTGTCTGATTTCTGAACCTGGAATTTCACTACAGAGGTTTTTATTTATTTATTTTGTCCCCTGATAGCTCAGTCACTTGGAGTTAAGTAGTTGATTGAACATGCAATTTTTAAAGCTCATTCATGCTGAATTTGCTTTAGTGTGGTAGCCAGTGTTCCATCTTTATAGAGTTTCTTTCCCACACTCTTATATGAAAATAAACAAGGCCCTAAAATGTCAGGCAAGATTCCTTCTGGCTTTGTAACCTAATGTATTTTATAGATGGTTGAATTCTCCAGTGAACATTTCATTGGAAAATATTCCTTTCCTGACTTCTGTTTCTCCATCAAAGGGATATTACATTGTAAGTGATAACTATTTCTTAGTGGCCTTGACATTGCAGTTCTGTGTAGGAAATTATCCTGCATCAGTCACTTCTGTTGTCATCAGATTCCTTTCATCTCAAGTACCTGCATTTCTTCAACTTAAAATTTGGAACATGATCAGGCCTGGGGCCAGGGAGATGGAACCTCTTGATCTCTCATATCAGTGTTGATTCTTAGAAAGAAGAAGGTATGATGATTGATAACCTGGTCTTTGAAAGCAGAAAACCTTGGTCGAATGTCAGCTTTGCTTCTTGTTAACTACTAGACCTTGGCCAGATCGTGTCTCTGAATTTCAGTTGTTTTATTTTAAAGTGGAGATTCATTTCTAAAGAGGGGATGGAGAATTTCTTTTGGTATTCTCATAGAGGCTTTGTATGCTGATGCTTTGGTGAATTAGAAAAAGCAATGCTAGAGACCCTCCTTTTTGGGGAACACTTAAGCCTCGCTGTCCCACTCACCATATAATAGATTTTCTAAATATCAAGAAGTAACTTGGGTGTCAGTGAAATGCCCCTCTTTCCTCTTTCGGAGATAATTATCTATATATCTCTATGTAGAGTGTGATATGATAGCTAACCCTGCCTGGGCATCAGAATCCTCTTGAGACCCTTGAAGGGAAAAGAAAAATGGGCATCCAAACCTACTGACTCGCACACTTCAAATATGAGGCCCAGGCATCTGTGTTTCTTAAAAGCTCCCCCAGGAACTCTGATGCACAGCTAGAATTGAGACTAGTCATGTAACCAGCATGTGGGGCAAATGTGATGTGTGCATTGCGGACAAAGCCCGTGGAGTTTTCCTGCCATGGGGGTAAATGCGTTAGCAACCCATGGCCTTTCTGTTCATTCATAGAAAATCCCATGGTCATGATAATTTGCAAAGATAGTTTCACATGACAAATTAGAATATCCCTTCCACAATACAAACCAAAGCTCCAAACTGGAATTCTGGTCAGAACCCTGAAGCAGGAGAGTGAAAACAGCCGGCCTCCTCCACCCTCACCTTCCTGCTCCACCCCCAGGGAGCTACACAGAAGACAAAGATGCTTATTTAGATGCTGCCTTCTTGAGCTGGTTTCCTGTTCTGCTAAAAGCTGGGCCTTTCTTTTTTGGGGCACATTTAGGGTCCCTTTTTAGAACCCAAAATGCACCTATGTGCACACTCTCTCCAATGAGACATTTGAATTCCTTGCCCCAATGGTGGGGGCTGCAGGCCAATCCCAGCCTGGAACCATCCCTTGGTGCTACCACTGAACCATCAGCCATGCTCTTCTCTCTCCCTCTAGATTCTCAGGGCAGGAGTCAGGCCCCAGGCCACAGCATCCCTAACTGCAGGGATATCCACTGCAGGCTCCCCAGTGACCCCACTGAAGTTCTCACCCACCCACTAGGTTTGATTGGGTGAGCAAAGGATGTGCTCATAGCAGTGTTCTCCAATGATAACCTCCTCTCAAAAAATTCTCTCTCTACACGTTCACCTGTTTTTCTATCCTCCGTCTGATACAGCAGGAAAAGTCGTGAAACTGACTCTTTGATATTCCTTGAAATTCTGCATTTTGCATATTTGTCCTGTGCTTGCTTACTTTGGTAACCACTAACTGTGGTATTGGTGCCTCAGCTTAAGCCAACTTAGGAGTGGCCACTCTGTCATGCTGAATTACCTTCATAGTGGCAGGTGGCTGTCAGGTGAGATGAGCTTGGTATTGAGACCTGGCTATGCGTCCTTAAGCAAGTGTTTTAACCTCTCTTAAAAACAGGACTAGTCACAGAAACTAAGTCTAAGATTGTGAGGATTAAATGTGGCAAACACATATAAAGGACTTAGTGTGTGGCACATAGGAAGTGCTCAGTGGTACCCATTATCCAGCCTCAGTTCCACTAAAACTCCAGCCATCTTAGCTGCCCTCTTTAAAACTTCATTCACTGAGGGGCACCAGCTGGAGAGGGGTTGCATCACCACTCCATGGGGGAACACTCCTCTAGCTCAGTCAGCTCCTGACTAGGAGCTGTCAGAAGCCACCAAGGAAAGGTCCCATTGAGAACTGAGCACAAAAGCGGGGTCACAAGAGCTAACTGAATTAAGCAAGTTATCAGGCAGTAGAAAATGCAGTTAGATTTGCATCCATGAAGCAGATGGTCTGCACAAAATGATTAAATTAGTTTTATTAAGTTTGGAGGAATTAATTTGTCACTTTATTTTTTCTTTTATTTATTAAAAAAAGAAGAGATGTGAGTTTGTTATCTCTGGCAAAAGAGATTTATAGCAAGTTTATCTGCTAGTGGAAAACAAGAGTTATGGTAGGACCTTAAAAAACAATTGTCTTTTTATTGTCTATTAATAGTTGGTACAATTATGTAGAATGTGGCCCAGAGAATAGAAATGCTGCCACCTATTGCTGGTAAAACCTGGCTTATGTTTCCAGTCATATGGGGGATATTTTTTTCCCCTTAGAAATAAATCTTCACTTCATGGGTTATTGAGTATTTAATTCATTTTGGAGACATTTTTTTGCTACTGGTGTTCTTAGGATCTGATGTTTTCTAGTTTATTGATTATTAATTACAATGTCTTACATCAAGTAAACTTGAGGGAACCTCTGGCATTTTTGAGTCCTTCTTTTAATGGTGAGGAAGAACCAAATGCAGAATCTTTATCTAAAAACAAATGGGAGCTTTTGAGTTAGAGCTCAGGGTTGTTAACTGGAGATTCCCAATACTTATTGTTTGGGCACAAATAGTTCTTTCATGGCCCTTTTGAATGGATCAAAGCAAAACCTGGAGTTTTGAATGGCTTCTTTTTTGTTAAGTCCTTTTATCCTGAACAGTTACTAATGAGTATTCTAGGAAATTCATGCATGCAGGAAGAATTTCTTGTGCATAATAACTAGGGTATAAACTTTATATTCACATACCCATGTATGTTGTTTGTGTGTTTACACACACATGAGAGTTTCTGAAATTTTCTGATCTCAAATCAAACATCAGGCTAGCATTCTGCCCTTGAAATGGCTAAATCCACATGTTATCCATGGAGGATTAAGAATTGGGTTTTCAAACCTGGTTGCACACCATAGTCAACTATGGAGCTTTGTAATTGTTCTTTTTTAAAAAATAAACTTTAAGACTAGATTTAATTTTACAGAAAATTTGATAGTACAGAAAGTTGCCATATACCCCACCCATTATTAACAACTAATATTCACATATTAGTTAGTGAACCCATGAACCCACACTGAAATATTATCAACTAAAGTCCATACTCTATTCTGATTTCCTTAGTTTTTACCTAATGACCTTTATCTGTTTCAGGATCCCATCCAGGATACTACATTTCATTTAGCTCTCATGCATCCTTAGACTTCTCTGGGCTTGACAGCTTCTCAGACTTGCCTTGTTTTTGATGCTTCTAATGGTTTTGAAAAGTTATAGTTAGATATTTTGTAGAATGGACATCATCGCTATTGCCCCCCAATTGGGATTTGTCTGATGCTTTTCCCCTAATTAGACTGAAGTTGTAGGTTTTGGAGAGGAAGAACACAGAGGTAAAGTGACATTTTTCATCCCATCCTATCAGGGTCATGCTATCAACATGACTTGCTAATGTTTATGTTAACCTCGATCACCTGGCTGAGATAGTGTTTGGCCGGTATCTTCACTGTAAAGTTACTCTTTCCCTTTTTTCCATGTTTTACTCTTTGTGCAGCCCACACTTAACCTTGAGAGCAGAACATCTACATACTTTATTTGAAATTCTATTTACATGGAAGATTTTTCTCTTCTATTTATTTAGTCAATCATTTCTTTGTGGCAGTATCAATTATTTCACACTTTGACTTATAATCCAATACTACCTTATTTTGTTGCTCAAATTATTTTGAGCTTGGTCAGCTTTGGCCATTGGGAGCTCTTTCAGTTGGCTCCTGTGTCACTTTGACATACTCCATCATTGTGTTTTGGAGTGGGGATATATGCCTACATTTTGGCACTATACTGTGCTCCAGGCTTATTTTAAATTCTTCCTGCCCCAGTCCAAGAATCATTTCTCCAAGGATCCCTGGTTCTTTTGGTTGGAGAATGCTATTGAAACCAAGATCAGGGGCTAGATCTGCTTGTTGCTACTGGGCTGTTGTTATTTTTAGAACTTTTCAGCTGAAAGAACAAGGATATGTACACGTATCTACGAATATCCTATCTAGATTCCTTTACGCTGACATGCTATATAGATCAGTATGTAATTTATACTGATAAACTATACTATAGTTTATAAACTGAAAGCAGTTTTTAGTTTCTATAGAGTCTTCAATTCTAATCCATTACCACATGGCTCATCCTAGCCTTCCATCTTTGTTCATCTGTAAGCTTTCACTCCAACAGTGAGAACATCCTGTGAAGCTTGTTAATAAACACACCTGGGCCTGGGCCTTATGGCCTGAGGTTGAGGTAGATGCCCACCTGGGATTTTGGCATCTGTATTTTAATAAGCTCTACACAGATTGAACTCTCCCAATATAGGCTGTCACAATGCCATATATTTCTCCTTTGTACCTTTTGTCACCGTTTCCCTTTGGCATCTTTTTATAATATCTTTATTTGACATCCTTATTTGATTAATATCTGTCAACTCCCTCAAGACAATAGGCTCTGTGTCAGTTTTGCTCATCATTCTGTCCTCAGAAAGGGTGCATTGTAGGTATTTATTAAATATTTGTTGAATGAATGGGTGGAATGACACACAGCAACACTGAGGAGGAAGAGAAAAATGTGTGTGATTTATCGAACTCTTCCTACATGCTAAACGGCTGTCTAGTTGCTTTCTAAATATTATCCAGTTCAGGGATTTGAATCAGGTCCGGCTGACATCAGAATCCACACCCTTTCTGTTGTGGAGTTCCTGCTGGTAGGAAGCCTCTTGTCTTCTGCTTTGCATGTCATGGGCTCTCCTACTGGACTGGATGGAGCTGTGTGGGTGGCCAAGGAGGAGGTCAGAGGGGGAGAAATGGCAGCACCCATTTAGAGTGTCACCCAGGCCTCATTAGGAAATTGACTCCCATTTGGTTTGGGAAGGGGGGTGTTTTTTCCTGCCTTTTCATGCTCACAATGAAGGTGACATTGATTTACAAGTCAGTGGGTTGGAGCAGGGAAGGGAGGCTTCTATGGGTGGAAAAGATCAATTAAATGATTATCCCAGCTGCCACACACTAATGCCTTTCTTACTGAGTTTCAAAATCAGGAAGCAGAAGGTTACCACATTTAGCCTTTTACAGGAAATCTAATTGCCAACCTTGTGGTGCCAAGGTTTATTAGATTGGGAAGAGTTGCTCTTAGTGGCTGGCAGTTTCTGGCATGACAGAAAGCTTTCCACTGGCCACCTGGAATTGTAAATGACTGCCTCCTCTTCCTTTTTGCGTGCTTTTGCTAAAGTTTTATGCAGATAGCCTTTTGTGATTTTTATCTTTTTGTGATTTTTATCTGGATTCTAGGGGGATGGTACTTAAGCTTGGTAAGCAGTCAAAAAAAATATTTATTCAATTCCTACTATGTGCTATGCCCTGGTCTAGTGGCTGAGAACTGCAGTGGTGAGCAAAACAGATACGCGTTGTCTTTAGAATCCTTTGCCTGGAATGGTCTTCCTATGGCTTAGTGGTTCCCAGACTGTAGTATGCATGAGGACCACCAGAATGCTTGTTCAAACCCAGTCTGCTGATTATTTTTTCCATCGCCTTTCCATGGTCCTGTCCACATTGAAAAAAGGCAATCTCAAGAGCAGACCAGAATTCAGTCCAGCAAGCAACTCTTGCACAAATTGCACGGCTAAGCTGCCACCCCCCACAATTTCTGATTCAATAGGCCTGGAGTGGGGCCTGATAATCTGCATTTATGATGAGTTCCCAGGCCATGCTAATGCTGCTGGTCTGGGAGAACCACCCCCTGAGCCTTTGCATGGTTGCTCTCTTCTTATCAGTTGGGTCTCTAATCAAATATTACCTGCTTAGAGAGGCCATTCTTGATTTCCCAACCACATTATCCCTCCACTCCTGGCCATTCACTCTCTAATGCATCTTCATAGCATTTATTATTCTCTAATATTAGTTTGCTTATTTTTTATTACCATTTTGTCTCTCTCTCCTACCTCTCATCCTCAGTAGAATAAAGCCTCATGAGAGCACTTCCTTAGACACTGTTGAATCCTCTAAGATTATCAGAGTACCAGAGTATGTGCTCAATAAATACCTGAATGAATTAAATAATTACAAGAGTAATGAGTCATATGAAGGAAAGACCTAAGATGCCTTGGTAGTGTAACAGGTAGACCTAAGGTGGAGCAAAGATATTGCATTTCATCCTACTTGGAGCAGTTTCTAGATGTGGCCTTAACACCTGATTTAAACACTGCATACCAGAGTTTTGTCTTCAAGGTTACAGGCTGTGGGATTTGTCTGCGATCATAGCAGGCCACTCTGGATTTGCTTAGTTTTTCCATCGCCTTTCTATAGTCCTGTCCACAATGAAAAAAGGCAATCTTAAGAGGAGACCAGAATTCAGTCCAGCAAGCAACTCTTGCACAAATTGCATCATGAAGTTGCCAGGCCCCTATCTCTGAGCTTGGCAGGAGGCAAGGCCTGAAATTTACTTCTTCTAATAACCTTCCACCTGAAGCCTATACTCATTCCCTTGTTGGAATCTGGAATCCGGCACCCATGCCAATGTCTCGGTAGCCTTTTCATAACCTCTACAAAGTTGAATGAAGGCTCAAACTCTTCTTTGCAGGAGTGAGACCTTTCGATGAAACATGTAGATTCCTCTCCTGCACTGGCCTTTTAGAGAAATGTAAGGGCAGGCACTGTTGTTTTTTCTTTTCAACAGAGTCAAGCAAAAGATGAGGCACATGGAGGCACCATGCGACTAAAAGCTCTGAGGATGATTGTCAAAACCCCACTGGAGGAGTTGGAAAGCATGTAAGGTTTTGCTCTTGTGTGGCCTCAGCAGCCACTGCCTGGTTCAAGTGAAGTTTGCACAGTCCCTTGGCCTAGAGCTTCATGCCCAGCTTTTGCCAAGCGTGGGCCAAGTGGGGGAATGATTCCCCAGGTTTGTTTGCCTGGGGCAGCCAAAGAAACAGTGATTTATTTCCCCTGAGTGTGTCATGAAAATGTAAGCACCGAGAGTTGGATTATTTTGGAGGGTGAGAATTTGATGGGGGAGATGGAGATGGAAGAATTGCAGCAGTTTGGAGTCAGGGCTGGGGGCCAGAGGGCCGCCCAGTGGGTTGGGGTAACATAAGCTGCCGCTATTCAGGAGGTGGCCTGTGTAAGAAAATCTGACCACAGCGGGTGCGTGACTTCAGCTAAAATTAACCTTGGAGGCTTCACACGCTTCCACAGTGCTTTGAACTAGACACTCCCAGAGAGGGCATGGGACGTTGACTGCTGAGGACTGCGCTGCTGCTGTGGGTTGAGCCATGCCTGTAAGCATCAACTTATGGGTTCCCGCTCGGGGTCAAAGTCGGGATTCCTGTGACCATTATAAAGTGGTAAGCAACCTCCAGGGATGTTGGCAGGGTCTCTGGGGAGAGACAATGAAGTTTATTTGAATTGGACTTGTGTTTAGAGATGGTTTCAATTTATTTTCTATGCAGAGCAGAGACCACGAGCCCTCCAAGCAGGACTTTCATCTGTGGAAAGCTAGAAGAGCTAACTGCCACCTTTGTGCTGCTTTTTTGTTTCATATGTCCGCCCAGGGTGAGGGCTGGGTGGTGTATTTTTAGAGCAGGTAGAGAAAGATCTGTCTGGACATTGTTGGTGGCCTGAGAAAATACAACTGCATAAACCAAAGGCCAAGCTGAGGAAGCTGAAATTGGGAAGGTCCTGGATGTCAACAGGTGTGGCAGGTTTCGCTTGTTTTCTTAATTGTGGGCCTCAGCAGGTGCAAAAGAGTTGGAGGAGATGCCAGGGAGTACTCCTGAGGGCTTCATTGAAGGAGGGACTTGCTTGGGGGAAACTGGAAGCAATTTCCTGTTCAGTGAGACCCATGGATGTCCCGGGAAGGGCCCACTGCCCTCTCCCTCCCCTGGCCAGGGTGACCTGAATGGTATCATTTAAGCTGGAAGGCATCTGTACCCATGGCTTTCCACTTGCTGCCGAGAATCCATTTGGGAGCATGCATTCACAGAGCAAAAAGGCAAGATGCATTTTTATTCCTTTATGCCTCCTTAACCTTCAGACAGTTACTGTAACTCAGGGGCTAATGGCAGTCCTGGTGCCTGCAGCTGTGTGGCGCTCTGGTTTTACAATCAGAATGGCCACTTTTTTGTTTGTTTGTTTTGAGAGAGTGGATCTCACTATGTTGCCCAGGCTGGTCTTGAACTCCTGAGCTTAAGCAATCCTCCTGCCTCAGCCTTCTGGAGCAGCTGGGACTCCAGACTTGAGCCACCATGCCCAGGTAGAATGGTCACTTTGATGTGGTCAGAGGCAATGGCTTTATGACAGAGAGAGAACCTTCTTAGCCTATTCTTCTTGTAAAAATGCTGTAGTTTACCCTCCCCTCCTAAAACTTATCCTTCTCCCCCACCTATCTAACCCAACTTCCTAGGCAACATTAGCATTATTAGGTGGCTTGGCAGGTGCTTATTTTCTAGGAAAGAGTGTGCTTCTCTTATCTGCTTAATGCTTACTCTATACAGCTGACCTTGGAGTGATCTATTATAAAAACGTTTAAACCCGCAAAGCATTTGCTTTGGTGAGCAGATATTCTGTGTGGCCCTTTATGTACAAAGATAAGAACGATGTGGGTATGAAAGGTGTAGGGAAAAAAACCCCTGCATGAAGATACGTTTTCACACAGTTTTGAGGTCATTTTCCATGTGAGCCACTTTACTGAGTCCTCTGAGTATTTGATATCCTCTTGTTCCTTCATCCTCTGGGTGTGTGGCTCATTAAAGGTGGAAGGCTGCTGGGATATTGGACATGTGTGTCGTTTGCTCTAGATGTGTAGCACTACCCAGGCCAAGCACAATTAATGGGGATGTCCCTGAGTTCTCATTATTATTTTTAACTCCTGGGGTCTAGGCTCACTGCCCTGTGGAAGAGATTTCTTTTGAGATAGAATGTTAAAAATAGACATTTCAATAGGAGGCAGCTATTGTATGTGGTTCTGAAGTTGGATGAACACATCTTATATGCCTGCATGGGAATTCCCATCCCATGCTGGACCTGGGTGATTAGACATAGAATTCAAATTCCCATCTTCATAGGAACACAAGGCTCCTTCCAGTTCCATCCTAGAACTTCTTCTTCATCGTGGTCATCTGAATGACCTGGCCTGATTTTTGTAACTGCCTTGTGGCATAAAGATGACTGGACTGAGTTGGAATACCTGGTCTGTTAGCTGGACAGATGCTAACCTTGTCCAGCTGGTATCTCACTGGCTTCATCCATGCAATGGGGAGAATGCAAGCTGCCACCGCCCATGTTTCCCAGGATTGTGGTGAGGCTCAGATTGGATTGTATTTACAAAAGAACTTTATAAATGGTAAGCACTGCAGACAGGAGGCAGAGACAGCACTGTTGTTAGGACTTTATTATTCTTCTTGAGATGAATCAATCAGGGCCTTCTTCCAGGACTTTGGAGAATAAATAGTATCTTTGTGCAAATTGTTCTTTTGTGCTCTGGGCCAGGTTGTCCCCTGGGTAGAGGAGACACCCCTTCTTTCCTAGGTGCCAGCTTGGTGTTTGGTAGTCTTCGTAGTAAACGCCTAGTATAATAAAAATAATAAACATGAAAAACCCGAGATGCCCTCAGGCCTGAGAGCTCTGACATCTGGGCTGGAGAAGGGCCCGGGGCACAACGGTCATTTCCACTGTGGCCAAGTCTCTTGGCCATGGAGTTGCCGAGAAAGGAATGAGGCTCCCAAATGGGGAAGGAGCAGGCAAGCGCATTCCTAGGGCCGGGCAGCGCCAGCCACTGCTGGGAATTGCCTGCCTTCCAGAGTTTTTTAAAGCCTTTGCTACACAACTTTCCCACAAGTGACACAACAGTCTTTGCCAGGTTCTGTGCCTCTCTGCCCAACGGGCTGGAGGGCCATGGCCATTTATGAGAATGTCAGATCTTCTCTAGTCCCTCTGTACCTTCCTTCACCCCTCTGTCCGTTACCCCTCCCTGAGTACTTCTGCAAGTGTGCTCATAGGTGCTTCACATTTTTTCCTCATTCAATTCTTCATCTAAGTTGGTGCAGTAGATGCTATTATGATCTCCACTTCACAGATGAAGAAGCTGCATTTGAAGAGTTTAAGTGACTTGCCTGGACTTGGATACATTAGCAGAAAATTCAGGGAAGTTTATGGCTATAGAATAACATCAACACAGAATATCCGCCCTCCTAAGCAAAAGCTTCCAGGGTTTAAACATTTTGCAATTGATCATTCTGAGGTCAGTGCTTTATGGTCCATTGTTTGTGGTTGGCATCATTATGTAAAAATATGTAAATATACCTATAATATCTATTATTTATAAACAAAATCTAATTTTCAGGCCCTTCCGCCTCCCTCTTCAGGTGAAACCAGAGGAGGCTCCCACCACCTTTTTTTTTCCCCTCTGTGCCTTCGGTCACAGCCCCTTATGCAGAAAAAGGGACTCCACCTGGAGCCCTCTCTGGATCTACTTCTCCCAGATAAATCAGTCGGCTGTGTAATCTTTCAGGAAACCTGACCCCTCATCTCCCAGGGGAAATCCTTAAACTACCCACCACCCCACTGCTCAGGTTTCTTGGGTAAGAAACATCCTCAAATAATCACCACGAGTGCACACAGTTTGCCTTTGGTGTTGGGAATTTTAATAAGCAATGTACACCTTATATAGCCACTCACCTGCCCTGGTCTGAATGGCCCTAAGAAAACAAAAACAAAACAACAAAACAAAAATCCTTTACCATTAAAAAAAATCTCCCAGGCTTTCCAGAGTGATTATATAGCCTCACATCAGTCTCCTGGGGTTAAAGCATTGAGGATCCCATTGGAAATGTAAATGTTTTTTGGGAACTGTGACTCACCTTTCTCTGCCAGAGCTGTGTGCCTGGGACCTAGTAAGCCCTGATGGAATGGAATGTGGGTCAGGTGAGTTTTGATCCCCAAGTCAGGCAGAGACAGTTAGGTCCAGTGTCTGGGAATGGGGGAACACCTGGAGCGGGGCTTTTGGGACGCCTCAGTGGGTGATGAGGTCCGAGTTGGGGGAGGGAGGGCCTGGGCAAATTGAGGATGGTCAGTGTTTGGGAGACCAGTGCCAAAACCAAAGACACTCATGTGAAAGGAGGGAGGGGGTGGCCAAGAGGGCCTTTGAGCCAGCAGTCCTTGAGCAGGTGCTCTGTAACAAGCACGCTGAGAGGTCCTGCAAAGGGAAAACTTGAGCTCATGCTCTACCCACTTGGCCCTGTAAATAAAGCCGGGTCACTCTCTTAATGGGGAGTAACTGAACCTTGGCTCCAGCTCACTTGCTCCTGTCCCTTCACCTACTAGGAAGCGGAACTTGGCACCTCTTGTCCTTTCTGAGAAGGATTCCACTTGCCCTAGAAAGCACCAGTAAGAATACAGATTGCACTGGAGATCTCCAAGGGGAGAGTTCGGATCGTATTCAGTCTCCCTAAAGGCCCCTCGATCTCATCTCCAAGCCTTCTTGCCCACCCAGATAGCCTCTTTGCACCCCACAGGCTTCCCAGCTCCAGATCTTACCTCTCTCCCTGAATTCCCTTTTTTTCATGCAAAGCATTTTAGCACAGTCTACTGCCCCCTAAATTTGCATACTCTTACCCATCATTCTACAAAACAAAGAGATTTCCAGTTTGGGGGAGGGGTAGGGGTAAGGAGGGAAAATAATAACTCATGTTTTTTTCCTGTCCCACCTGTGTGTATTTAGTGATTTTTTTTTTTTTTTTTTTTTTTTTTTTTTTACTCCATCTCACCTGTCTATACTCAGTGACGTTTAACAGTTGGCTCTCCAAGGAGAAAAGCCTGATAGGTAGTACTTGCCAATTACCATGGTGTAAATCCTTCTACCAAGACTGATTTTAATTTACCCACTCTGAGCTGGGAAGAGATGTACAGTAGTGCATTATTATATAGTATTTCCCTCATACAGATATAATAGGTGTAAATAATCTCATGACCATAAACAATAGTAAAATACAGTAAAATAATTAGAAAGTGATGAGTTTTAAATATTTACTATCACTTTAAAAATATAATTTTAAGTTTATATAATTTAATTATTAAAATAGTGGCTGTAGTTAACAATCAGCTCCAAAATTTACTGAAAATGTTACAACCAACTCTCTTGAGCCAGTCCATGCCTGCCCTGGCATACCACTGTATGTGTGTTTGTATCTTTGAAAATAGCACTTTAGCATCCACCGTCGGGTGGGTCCTACTACCAAGCTACTGAAATTGTCTCATGGCAGTGTTACTTACCAGTGCCTGCTGTGGGCCTTTTGCTATGACTGGTCTAACAGCTACATGAAATATGTTGGTTTTATGGACTTTATAATCTAGGCAGTGAAGGGGAACATACTTATTCATCTGTCCCACCCATTAGTCCATCTGTCTATTTGTGCATCCCCCACCATTTAATCATTCATCTCTTTTTTTCCACCCACTCATCCACGCTTCCATCCATCTGAACATTCACCAGTCTGTTTACCCAGATCTTCCTCCCTCCCTTCCTCCATCCATTTTTACTTTCTTCCCTTCATCCATCTACCCACCCACCAGTAAATCAATGAGTGCTTGTTTATCACGCTCCTGTAGTGAGTCAGGTGTTGTGCTTGTGTTTTAAATATGTATAAAACTTGTTCTCTACTCTATAGAAGCTCCTGATTGAGAGAGATGTGAGTAGTTACAACAGCCAGGATAAAGGCAGATGCAAAGTGCTTTCAGAGGTGAGAAGAAAAAATGAGTAATTCTGTTAGGAGTAGGCAAGCAGGTTGGGAATGGCTTTACGGGGACTGACATTTACTTTGCTTTTCAGATTTCAAGTGGGCATTTCCTAGGTGGTGGGGGAAGGGCACCCTAGGCAGAGAGGGCAGCGTGTGAAAAGGCACAGAGGCTGGGGAGCCTGTCCCACAGGGTTGTTTTAATTGCCTTCTCTGAACTCCCAGTTCACACAGAAGCCTGGCAGGCAGGGTTGGCTTCTAGGAGAAGGGGGAGTTCTGCTAAGTGGAGGGGACCAGGGAGGCACATGGGACCAGAGAACCTGCCCATAGGGACTGAGGGTTAGAGTAGCATGGAACTGTGGTGTGAGGGATGCCACCAGCTGATGCACTTGAAGGCATTTTTTAGGGACATGGAGATGACGGAAATAATGAAAGGAAACTAACAGTAAAGGCACCACCTATGTGCTAAGCACTTTACAAACACTGAGTCCCCACAATAGACACATTAGTCTTTACAACAGATAATAGAGTATTATCCCATTTTACAAATGTGGAAACTGAGGCTTAGAGAGTGGTGGATTGCCCAAAGCCACAAAGCCTCAGTGTAGTCTGTGTCTAAACATGTGCAGAGTTCTGCGGATCTAATCTCTCATTCTATCCCCTCAACAATCCTGAGATGTTAAGCAACCTGTCAGACGTCAATCAAGACTCCAAGGTCTTGGCTGGGCATGATAAGGCCAGACGTCCTAGGGAGCCTGTGCCTAGAAGGTGGAGCTGAGGTGTTTGGCTGGATGAGGACAGCTGACAGTCCCTCTGTCTGCAGTCTGCAGGTGAGGGGAGCTATGGAAGTTTGAACAACTGGATGGAGGCTACGACTTAAAAGGTCAGTTTGTGACCAGACCAGAGAGAGGCCTTGTAGTGGCCCAGGTTCTCACTACCCACTTAGGTGTGGCTGCCCTGTCAGGCAGTGGCACTGATTGATGTCTGCTGTCAATAAGTGTGCTTGCAGCTGCTCCCAAGCCTTTCTGCAAGGGCCTGATTGCCATCATACCAGAGGAAGCACTTGGAAGGAGAATGCATCTGATTAGTCAGTAACTAATGAACACAGGGAGAAAAAACACTTGAAAAATTCCTAGCAGGGCTCTGACATTTGGCTTTCTGGCAGCTAGTAGAGATTGTGGTTAAAAGTTGTTCAGATCTGGGTTCTAAGGTTGGAGAGAGTGGGAGGAAGTGCTGTAGAAAGGGACTCAATTTTGTTCTGAAGTGACCAGTAAGAATTCCAGTTTTCAGCCTCACTTGGACTTATTTGATTTTCCAGGGAGTTTACAGGGAGAGCTGGAGACATATTTTGCCGTGGTGAGAGGTGGTAGCCGTGAGGCTGGTCAGCTTGAGTCAGAGGGAGCTTCACCTTTTATTAGCTATGTGATCCTGTGCACCTTAACCTCTTGGAGCCTGTTTTCCAGTATGTAAAATGGGGCTGATCATCCATTCAACAACTGTTTAGTGAACACCTACTATGTGACAAGGGCAGCTCTAAATGTTTGGTCCTGGCGTATTGGAGCTGTTACTCCAGTGAGTGAGAGATTGTAGATGAGATCACAGGTACAAAACACCTGGCACACAGTAGACAGAAGCACAGACTTCCTAGCACATAGGGGATAGTGATCAAATGAGGAAATGAATAGGAAAGTACTTTCTATTATATGAAGTATGAAACGGGGCATTGAGAGGAAGATCGAGGGCCGGGCGCAGTGGCTCACGCCTGTAATCCCAGCACTTTGGGAGGCCGAGGCGGGCAAATCACGAGGTCAGAAGATTGAGACCATCCTGGCTAACACGGTGAAACCCCGTCTCTACTAAAAATATAAAAAATTACCCAGGCGTGGTGGCAGGCACCTGTAGTCCCAGCTACTTGGGAGGCTGAGGCAGGAGAATGGTGTGAACCCGGGAGGCGGAGCTTGCAGTGAGCCGAGATTGCGCCACTGCACTCCAGCCTGGGCGACAGAGCGAGACTCTGTCTCAAAAAAAAAAAAAAAAAAAAAGAGGAAGCTCGTAGGCACTGAATGTGGGTTATCCTGAGGTGTGGATGAAGCAGGCACCTACACCCTCATCCTTAAAATATCACCTGTTTCTCCCAGCACGTTCACCAGCCTGGTTTATTTTTTTTAAAGGCATAGTTTCAAAACCTCTGGAGGTGCTGTGTACACCCACCTGTGGCTTGTTCATGTTCCCATCAGACAATGTCACCATTGTGTGGCTGTGGTGCCATTCACAGGCATGACCCAGTGTCTGCTGCTGCATGGGGTCCCAGATCAGCCTTGCACACCACAGACTGGAAGAACTGGGGGACTTTGCCCCTGAGTGTTTCCCTACTTGGATACAGTCCTGCAATGGTAACTCATGTTATATTGGCATTTTTGTTTTTGCTACAGTGAGATTGTTGTGAAACTATGTTTGCTTTGTGCTTTGGTGACATGGGAAAGTGTCAGCTCCCCTCTTGGGTCTGTTAGTCCTGAGTGACAAGTGGCCAGCCCTGTTCCCAGGGTCAGGGGAAACACTGTGATGGGTATTATGCAATATGCCTTTCCCTCTCTCTCTGCTTTTTCCGCACTGCTGTAGCACTTGACCTTCTGTGGTAGTGGTTTCTGTGTGGGCCCCTCAGTAACAGTGTGGCATCATTAGGAGCCAGTTATTGCTTTCAAACCCCGCGTACTTGTCACATAACATTGGGAAAGTCACTTTGCCTCTTTGAGCCTCAGTTTCCTCATCTGTAAGATGGGGAAAATAATATCTCCCACAGAGGTGGGTTGGAAACTGAAGGAATCCCTTGTTTGTAAAGTGTTCACGTTGCATGGCATCATCTTCATGGTAATTATAATCACAGCTAACCTGTTGAGCCCTTGCCGTGTGTCAGGCATTGGTAGATTATCTCATTTCAATCTCACAGTAACCAGAATGGGTGATCCATTTTACAGATGAGGCAACTGAGTCTCAGATAGGGTAATTCTGGGCAAGTTACTAAAACTATCAGGAAATGCTTGGAGCATGTTTGGAACTAAATTATCTGACTCTAAGAAGTGTTCTCTTAATGATTTCACCGTAGACATTTGGCAGATGGTAGTTACTATCCTACATAAGACTGGAGCAAGCATTGCCCCCTGCACAGGTAGATGCTCAGGCAGTGTTTTCTTCATGCACCAAGGCACGCATGCAGCTCTAAGCTACTTAACTTGATATTCAGAGGCAAAGTTAGGAGTAGGGATAGTCCCAGGATGTGGAAAAAGATGAAAATCCTAATTAATGAGAAGCTGTGCCACTCTTGCTGGTCACTTGCTCTGTGTGAGTATCCCTTTGAAACAAAGGCTTCTAGGTGGGCAGGTATTAGGGTTTATCTTTGTTTGGTGGTTGTGCAGGCAAGTAGGTTACTGCAGATAAAAAGAGAAGAAACCAGCAGATGGCTCTTCCCCTCCCCCTGCTGCCTTCTTCTGGGTCCAGACAGGGATTTATACCCTTTGGTATAAATGTTCATGTTAGCCATATTACAAAACATATGTCAAGAGCAAAGGCTGGCAATACAATTCCTCATATGCTCAGATGGGGAATAGAGAACCCATTCACATCTCAGTGCTCCTGGAACCCAGCTTTCTAGGAGTCTTACCTGGCTCAAGATCAGCTGAGAACCAAAGAGCCTTCCCTGCTGTACCCTGGGGCAGCTCAAAGGCGTGTCACAAAATCCTTCTACTTATGGGTTTTCCTTGAGGGAAAAGTTCCAGCATGGCTCTTGCTTAAACAGTATGTGCTCTTACTTTATACAGAGTTTTGTTTGAGACAGGGTCTCGCTCTGTTACTCAAGCTGAGTGCAGTGGTGATCAGGGGTCACTGTAGCCTCGACCTCCTGGGCTCAAACAATCCTCCTGCCTCAGCCTCTTGAGTAGCTGGAACCACAGGCACATGCTACCACACCTGGCTAATTTATTTTATTTTGAGATGCATTTTCACTTTTGTCGCTCAGGCTGGAGTGCAATGGCGTGTTCTTGGCTCACTGTAACCACTGCCTCCCAGGTTCAAGTGATTCTCCTGCCTCAGCCTCCCAAGTAGCTGGGATTATGGGTGCCTACCACCATGCCTGGCTAATTTTTGTATTTTTAGTAGAGAAGGGGTTTCACCATGTTGGCCAGGCTGTTCTCAACCTCCTGACCTCAGGTGATCTGCCTACCTTGGCCTCCCAAAGTGTTGGATTTACAGGCGTGAGCCACCGTGCCCAGCCTATTTCTTATTTTTGTAGAGACAGGGTTTCACCATGTTGCCTAGGTTGGTCTTAAACTCCTGGGCTCAAGCAATCTGACTGCTTCAGCCTCCCAAAGTGCTGGGATTACAGGTGTGAGCCACTGTGCCCAGCTTATACAGTTTCTAAAGACTCTGGGGTCTCTTAAGGAAGGTCGAGCAACTCAGTAGGTCCTAAGGACACATCCTTGTAAACATCAAAACACTATCATTTATAGTGACGTCCCTGGGGCCGGGGCCTGTCGGGGACTCGGGGGCTAGGGGAAGGATAACATTAGAAATACCCAATGTAGATGACGGGTTGATGGGTGCAGCAAACCACCATGGCACATGTATACCTATGTAACAAACCTGCACGTTCTACACACATATCTGAGAACTTAAAGTATTAAAAAAAAGACAAGAAAAGAAAAGAAAAAGTGCAATTGTGTTAATTAAAAATCAGATCATTATAATCTGTTTGGAAAAAAATCCCAGTGGAATTGTTTAAAATGTGTGGCTCTCAGAAGTGTAAACCTTCAGCAATCTAGAATGACTTATTCCTCCAAAACTCAGTGTTATTCATTTGAATATTAATAATGGTTGTTTATTTACTACATACTATGTGCCAGACACTGTGTTAACCACTTATATGATCTCATTTAATCTGTAAAGCAACTGTATATCACCACTGCACAAGTTCAGAAGGACACTGATGTTCAGAAGGGATATGACTCCCCAAGGGTCACCTAGCTTATAAGGCAAAGCCAGAGTTCAACCCTGGTCCACACCTACACCTGAGACTGTAGACACTTGCCTTTATGATTTTGTGGTTGCAGAAAGCCCACAAATGTCCCAAGTAATACATCAGAAGATGGCAAGGATGGGGATAGAATGATGGTCATTGCCCTAGAGGTTGGGCATGTGGGGCACTGCAGGGACATTGGGCAGAACCGGACTTTTCTGAGAAACCGGAGAGCAGAAACCCCTGTTGTGCTGTGCAGCCTTGAGCAAAAGACTTGCTTCTCTGTGCTCTGCCTGTTTCTCCAGTGTGTAGGGCTGGGGACACCATTTCACCTATTTGACTATTGTAAGGAGGTGGTTTTTAATCCCAAGGTGGGGGCTACATTAAAAGGAGGATACATTAAACCGTTAAGGAGAGAGGAAAGTGGGAAAAAGCCACCAGCTAATTTCGGTTTCCTCACCCCATGCAGCTAAAAGGTTATGTGGACTTGTGGTTGATACCTGTGGGGATGGGTATCATACTCCTTGCTAGATGCTGCAGATGCAGGAATGAATGTGTCACCAGCTTAGCTCTTGATAACAAATGGTGCATTTCGATTTTCTTAAAATTGTGAACAATTGAATAAGCAGTGACATTCTTTGTGGTGTTCAAGGACAGAATGAACACTCTACTATTGTTGCAAAATCATTTTTTATACTCCAGAGCATTCAGAACTAAACCATTTAACCACGTACTGCTCAGTCTTAGAAATGACATTGTGTTGGCTAGGTGTGGTGGCTCATGCCTGTAATCCCAGCACTTTGGGAGGCTGAGGAGGGCGATCACTTGAGGCCAGGAGTTTGAGACTAGCCAGGCCAACATGGTGAAACCCCATCTCTACCAAAAATACAAAAATTAGCTGGGCATGGTGGTGCACACCTTTAATCCCAGCTACTTGGGAGGCTGTGGCAGGAGAATCACTTGAACCCAGGAGATGGAGGTTGCAGTGAGCCAAGATCACACCCCTGCACTCCAGCCTGGGAGACAGAGTGAGACTCTGTCTCAAAAAAAAAAAAAAAAAAAAAAAAAAAAAAGGCATTATATGATGACATTACCAAAGTCTAGAGTGAGGCTTCCTGAATTGGGGCCAAACAGTAGCATTCCCCTTACAATCAATCCACTGGAAATGCCTCAGATGCTAAACGACTGGTTTACTTTAAACATTAGTCTCCACACTGGCATTTCCTTCTAAGAAATACAGTTTGCTCTGTTTCTCCTGGAGCTGCTAACCTGATGCCATCTGCCTCTGGATCCATCAGGCTGCCTGGCATATCCATCTGCATTTATAGTTTGGTAGCTAAGGCTCCATTCTAGCACTTTCAGTGCAGTTGTTTTGCAGAATTTTTCTTGGGTTCTTTAGTGCTACCCGGCTTCATTTGAGGGCTAATTGCAGTATAAACTTAGCAGTGTTATTATCCCCTTTGGTTTAACATGGTACAATTATTATCAGTTTTTGTTATTACAACTAATGATTAGGTTCTTTACTTGAATTGATCTGTCAAAATGTTCTCTTTTGGATTTCAGCCTGTTTGATGTGGAATGATGTGGAGTTATAAGCAAACAAATGATGCACTCCTTAAAATTCTGTCAGGGGTAATAAAGTGAATCAAAATGAATTCACTGTTTAGCTGTCTTAGCTTTCCTTCCCCTTTTATCTTGTCAAGCCTTTGACAGCAGCTTCTCTCCCTCACAGAGCAGTTCTGGAGCACTGAGTTTTTGGTTAGAAGGGATGGGCAGAGGGGTACCTCTGCAAGATGGAGTGATTGGAGCAAGAGGATGGCTGGACTCATTCTTGGGTACTAGTGTCAAAGGATCCTAGAGACTTTCTCGTGAAATGACTTGATGATTTAGAATTGGAATTGGGGATGGGATGGTGGTTTTGGTCTTTCCTGCTGTTCTTTGTCCAATCAGTTTCTACTGAAACTTCACAGCTATCCACCTGGGGGCAAACCAGGATGAAGAATCAATGGGCTCCTGGGGAAAAAGCAACAGCAGCCCTCAATTTTCCATCATTTTAGGGAATGAAAGCCTTTGGAGAAAACAATTCTGGATAGCTGAGGCTCAGACAGGAAGCCTGCTTGCTTTAAGCCCTTACTCAAAATCTTGAGCCCTTACTCAAAACGCACATTGCTCCGTTTTTGCTGAATTGCTGGACCTGATGAAATCTATCTTTGATGACTAAAGAAATTATAAGTTTATTTTTCAAGGGTACCCCTTGGAAGAATGATTTTCCTTGCATGAGCTAATGAAACAGCAAGTGAAGGAGATGGGGCTGAATTTATGTCCATGATTAGCATGGCCCATGAACACTGACTTAAAAAATAAATCTAGGTGTTTTCTTGATTCACTTCAAAAAGTTGAGAGCTGGGGACAGGGAGGGAAGGGAGAGGAAACTCCAGATAATTAATGATCCTTGTGAAATGGTTTCTGATTAATGAGCCTGAGCTATGGAGTGATTTATTTTCCCTGCTCCCTGCTCTTTTTAATCAATAAAGAGATTCTGATTGGAGGATTTGCTGAGAGCCCACATCATGTAAGTCTCAAGTGTAATCAGTTTCCCAAGATTTGCCCTTTTTCTCCATATTCAGCTCTACCTGGCGACCACTTACCAGCCTCCTGCGGTGGGCCAGCCCCTGTGACGCACTACCAGGAGTGCAGAGATGGGTGAGTGGGAGTGGAAAGGTGGTGCCAGCATACACGTTCTCTACATCTGCTATATCACAGGCTGCTGAGGTTTGGGTCAGGAAATTAAGAGGGACTTGATGGGGGACAGGCATTGGAATTAAGCTGGGTGAGATGGCCTCAGGCAGCAGAGGCACCTGGGCAGAGGGGATAGACTGAGTTCAGAGAGAGGGAAGTGTGGGGTGTGTCCAGTTTTCCTGAGGGTTATCGTATTATTACTACTGAGCATGTGGTATGTGTAGGTGTATCATTTCATTTGGTCCTTATAACATAGACTGGCAGACTTTCTGTGAAGAGCTGGTAGTCAGTACTTGAGGTTTTGTGGGCCACAGGTCACTCGGTCACAACTGCTCGGCTTTGCTTTGTAGCACGAAAGCAACCAGAGACCATAAATGGATGAGTCTGTGTCCTGATACCTGTCCCGAGGTTGTTGACCGCCTATTTGTTTACATAAATAGGTGGTCAGCTAGAATTGGCCCGGGTTGCAGTTTGCCAGCCGCTGCCTTATAATATGTTTGATATAATCCCTGTTTTATGGAGGATAAAACCAAAGAACAGAAAGATTAGTAGAAACTAACATTGCCCAGGGCCAAGGGCCAGCTTGACTAGCTCAGATTCCAAAGGCTGCATTCTTCCACACACGCTGCCTCCCCTTCAAAGGCTGGAGGACTTTCTGGGACAGATGGATGATAAGGCTGCCTTGACTGAAGTGTGAAGAGTTAGCCTTTATTATTTTTATTATTTTTTTAATTTTAAAAAATTGTTTTAAGAAGTTTAAAAACAGGCATGCTTAATTAGCATAATACTGAATGACAGCCAATCACAAACTGAATTTTTAAAGTGGGAAGTGTTTGCTCCTGGTGTGGTGCACCGGCCTGTAATCTGGGAATCCCAGCATTCTGCGAGCCCACGCCCAGGCCTAGGAGGGAGGATCCTTTGTTCTATGAGTTTCACAAGCCTAGGTAGTAGAGCGGAATCCCGTCTCTACCAAGGGGAGGAAGGGGAGGGTGGGGAGGGAATCAACAATGAGCTGGGCGTGATGGCACCATCTGTAGTCCCAGCTACTCGGGAGGCTGAAGCAGGATGATCATTTGAGTCAGGGAAGCTGGCTGAGTTCGAAGCTGCAGTGAGCTTTGATTACCCCACTGCACCCCAGCCTGGGAGACAGAGTGAGACCTTGACTCTTAAAAACAATTTTTTAAGGGGGGGATGGTATAAAATAGATATAAAATTTACCATTTTAACCATTTTTCACATATACAATTTAGTGGCATTATGTACATTCATGTAACAAATGGTATATAACCATCACCATTATTTATCTCCAGAACTTTTTCAACATCCCAAACCAAAACTCTGTACCCATAAAACTTCCCTTTCCTCCCTCTGCCCAGACCCTTTTAACCCCTATTCTACTTCGTCTCTATGAATTTGATTCTTGTAGGTACCTCTGTAAGTGGAAACATGCAATATTGTCCTTTTGTATCTGGCTTATTTCACTTAGAATTACGTTTTCAAGGTTCATTCATGTTGTAACATGTTTCAGAATTTCATTCCTTTTTCAGGCTGGAGTGCAATGATGCATGACGGCTCACTGCAGCCTTGACCTACAGGGCTCAGGTGATCCCCCCACGTCAGCCTCCTCAGTAGCTGTGACTATGGGCACGTGCCATCACACCCGGCTAATTTTTTGTGTTTTTTGTAGGGAGGGGGTTTCACCACATTGCCCAGGATGGTCTTGAACTCCTGGGCTCAAGTTTGCCTTTAATTCAGTGGGAAGTGGGGAGCCATTGATGATTTTTTGAACGGGTAATTAGATTAGAGCTGCGCCCTAGGAAAGTTCGTTTGGCATTGGTGTGTAGGTAAATCAAAGTTGAGAGAAGAGCTCTTGTTTCAGAATGAGAAGTTCACTTTGGCAGAGCCGTTTCCAACCACTCTATCCTGTAGAAGTTCTTGTGAGTGTACCTGATACTTGTGTGGCCTCACCGTGGCTCTATAATCGCAGTGTGTGTGTATGTGCACTTGTTGAAATAAGTTTAACCTTGGCTTCTTGCTGTGTTGTGCAAACTCACAAAGAAACCTAGTTGTAGAGACAGTATGTCTATTTTAAAGAACCTTAATCATCTAAGAAGGGATGAGCTGAGGCACAGCATCTCATCCCACTCAGCTGTGCCCTTGTTGATGTTCACTTCTCACTCAGCTGATGTTTTAGGTGCACGTGGCTTTAAACTGTAAACTTCATGGTCCCTCCCACGTGGCTGAGGAAATCCCTCCAGGGTTTGAGAGAGCAGTGTGGTGCATCCCCTAGTTAGGGAAGGAAGCCTTGCTTTATATACCAGCCTGGCCGGTTTCTGACTTGTTTTTCTTTGACACTGTGCCATACTTTGTTATTCCAGGTAGGGGATATTCCAGACTCTTGAAATTTGGCTGTGAGAAGGGGAAGAAATCCTTGAGTCATTTGTATCCTGGAGATTCAGGGTGGAGGCTGTGGCCGATTTTGTTATGTCCATTTCACGAAGCTGTTAATAAAATTTTTTATTACTAACTTTTATTTACTGAACACTTAGCATGTGCCAGATTCTGTGACCTTTGTATGTATGAGCTCATTTCATCTTCATAATACCAATGATGTAGGTATCATTATCTTGCAAATGACAACACTTAGGCCAGAGGGCACAGAGGGAATTGATAGCATAGAAGCTAAGATTAAAGCAACTCTGTCAGTTCCAGAGCACGCCTCTTTATTACCCTTCTCCCCAATTGCCTTCACTTCCTGAGCCCCAGCATGGATCAGGACAGGCACTTCCATATAGTCCCACTCTGAGTCTTCACATCGACCTTCTGAAGCAGGCCTTATTGTACTCATTTTACAGGTGAGTAAACTGAAGCCCAGAAAAGTAGAGTCACTTATCCAAAGGCATTCAGATAGCAAGGGAAAGATCTAGGTTTGGGTTTTGATTACTTTTAAAATCTGGGACCGGGTGCGGTGGCTCACGCCTGTAATCCTAGCACTTTGGGAGGCTGAGGTGGGCAGATCACAAGGCCAGGAATTAGAGACCAGCCTGGCCAACATGGTGAAGCCTCATCTCTACTAAAAATACAAAAATTAGCCAAGCGTGGTGGCATGCACCTGTAATCCCAGCTACTTGGGAGGCTGAAGCAGGAGAATTTCTTGAACCCGGGAGGCGGAGGTTGCAGTGAGCCGAGATCACGCCACTGCACTCCAGGCTGGGTGACAGAACGAGACTCTGTCTTGGGAAAAAATAAATAAAAATAAAATAAGATAAATTCTTTCACTGAGAACATAATAGAGGCATGAACCTAGAGTCAGTAGGAGGATGCCACGGAAGGGATGAATAACTCGATTAACATTCACATTTGTATTCAGAGAGGCATTGCAGGATGTCAAAGGGATTGTAAAATAGGTTAGTCTGGGCTCAAATCCTGGCTCTGCCACTTATTTGTGACCTTGGACAGGTTACTTTACCTTTCTGCTCTTCAGTTTTCTCCTCTGAAAAGTGGACACAATAATAACCTCTGCCACATAGAATGAAGATTGAATGAGTTAACGTGTGTAAAATGTTTATGTCAGTGCCTGGCATGTAGTAGGCACTGTATGTTAGTTGGATTTATTAAGCTCCTTCTCTGCATAAGGCACTCTTTCAAAAGTGCTCTTGTAGGTACTTGGCATACGTCATTAAACAAAACATACCCAAATCCCTACTCTTGTGGAGCCTACAGAACCGGGACCTGAACCCATGTCTGCTTCTTTTCCTTTTAATGTTTATTTTCCTTCCTCTCTCCCTCTTAATAATTTTCTTTAATGATCTTTTAAATTTCAAGTTGGCTATTGTCATTACAAAGGTGATGGGGTCTACTTCCTGAGCCTTCTTTGTGCTTATAAAATTGAAAATACTCTTGCTTTACTGGATCGTTGGTCTCTGACAACTGGAGAGTCACGGGGAAGGAGACTAGCATGGATTTAAGGATTGGATCCTTGGGCTGTGTTGTGAAATAGAAGGTCACTGTGGGTGCACCTTTGCAGTGGAAGACAGAGCTTCTAGGTGGGTGGGTGGTGGACAGGTGCTACAGCTCTCATCTCTTCAGGAACCAGAAGATGCAGCTCCACCTCATCACTTCCTGGTATGAGGCCCTCATGGTCCCCAGGTGGAGTAGCCAGAGATGCTACCTCCTTAGAAGGTCTCTGCTTGGCAAACCTGACCCCGGCTCCTGTTCCCATTCCAGGAGTGTTGCGGGGGGGGGGGGGGCGCGATGGGGAGTGGGGGGGGATGACCATTGTGTGGGATTACACTGGGAAAGGCATTTGGAAGAACAGGATGGAGGGTGAGGATGAGACCATATGCTGCTCTGGGAGTCACATGGATCCTCGGAGCAGGCCTACTGGTTGAGGTAGAATGATCACCTTCATCATTTTGGTGGAGACATCATGGGATTAGTACTTGAGCCTGTTGTCACTAACCAGTTGAGGCAGGACATTCTCCTTTTGACCAATCATTTGTTCCTATCCATTTGAAAAAAAGAGGTGCTGATACCCTAAGGCCTACATGTTCACATATACACTCTTCTGCAAACTCACAAGTCCATGCATGGAACTTGGCACTCAAAATCAGAAGGTTTTTTGTTTTGTTTTTGGCTTTGATGGCTGGGGAGAAAATTTTCAGGCAAGAGTTTTCTTGTGCTTGTTGGCCTGTTTCGAAAGAAAATATTCTTCTTTCCTGACCATTCTGTGACCAGGAAGAGCAGGTCAGATATGTTCCCCAAGGGGGTCTGTTCTCCTGATTCCATGGGTCAGCCAGTCTTTGCCTTCTAAAATGCTGCACACAACAGTGTTGTGTTTAAATATGTTGGAATTTGCTTGGTTTTGTTCACAGAATCCCAACAGTGAAAATGATGCCTGGCTTTTAAATTAAACCGATTAAATTTGAGATTATTGTGAGGCCATAAATAACTTCACTCACACAAGAGTAATTGAAGGGGCTCTGTTTTCATACTTGGCTTCTTTTCAAGGGACCCAGGCTCCTGAGAACTCAGAATAGCTCAATAGCCCTCCTTACCCTGAAATGGCCCATTAAGAGATGCCTGTTGGGTGGTAACCTCCCCATACGTTTTCTCAATAAAGAGAAAAAGATGGGAAGGGGTGGGGGAGACTTTGCTTGCATCTAGAGTCGCAGCCTCTCAAAGCTGCAGCCTCTCAAAGCCGTCTGGAGCAGACTGTTTAGTTCTGTGTCCCCTGTCTCATTCAGCCCTCTGCATGTTTTGAAGCTTTCTTTAGTTTTTCCCTGAATCTTGACGGCAGTCCTCTCAATAGGCTAAGGCCCAGCTATGGTTAGCTGAATGCGTGATCAGCACAATGCACTGAATTTTAATGGTGCTGGCTGGCCCTGAAAGCTCACCAATGGGACAGTGGCCACTGTGCCGGCCCGAGCAGCTGCCTCAGACTCTGAGAGGGGATCCGACTGGCTTCCTAAAGTTGCCTGTTTGCTTTTTTTACAGATCTACACAGACTGGGCCAATCATTACCTAGCCAAATCCGGCCACAAGCGTCTCATCAGGGATCTCCAGCAAGATGTGACAGATGGCGTCCTCCTGGCCCAGATTATCCAGGTTGTGGGTAAGAGCAGATTTTACCTTGGGGGTAATGAGTTACAGTGGAGCCATCTCAAAAGGCCGGGGTGAGGGGAACAGAGCACTGAAATCTCTCAGAAGGCAGCTTTCTGTCTCATGTCTTGACAATTTATTTGATTTGTGTTTTGACTAAGTTGTGTGAGTACCAGCTTGATTTTATGCTTTTCCTGTTAAGGTCACATACACAGAAATATCATCTTGATTCTCTTAGAAGAAAGGCTGGCCAAGGCCAGAGGGAAATGCTGGTGGTTTGGGGAAGATGTGTTCTGCACCACTTCTTGCCTCCCATTATCTTTCTGGCTCTCTCATTTCCCCCTTTGGATGGTACTTTTGTGGATTACTCTGGAAATATTTCCAAAAAAAAAGTAACGTGGGGCTGGTTTAATCCTGCCAACTCTACTTGGGTCTGACAAATCAAAGGCTAAGACTCCAGAGAGGATTAGATGGTCCGGGTTAATACTAGGGGAAGGGAACTTGAGCAGTGGAATTTGTCATGCCTTGACCATGTGCTGGGAGGAGAGAGTTCCTCCAGTGAAGGCACGTGGGTGGATACTGGCCACAGCTTTGCCTTGGGCCTTAAGGTAACCACCCCATGGGCCTGACTGAGAGCCCAGAGCAGACAGAGGAGGCTTACAGGTCAATTGGACAGCATTAGCCTGATTATTGTTACTGGTAGCCTTGGCCAAGGGAGAAGGTGCAAGGAGAGGACAGGGCCCAGCCTCTCTGGCATGTTGTTGTGGAAAAGTTGCTTACCCTTCAAGTGTGAGAAGTAGTCTTTCATAGTTGGAGCTCTGCTCAAATCCGTGGAGTACGTACCTGAAAACACAGAAGGTTGGCCTTAGCTGAAACTGTTGGACTACTGCTGCCATTCAAAGAGAAAGGAGTTTGTTTTCCCTGTTGTCTTGTGATTGATTTCTTAGACTACCTGCCATTGATTCTCCTCTTCTCCTTTTTCCTCCTCTCCCTGTATTAGTTTTCTGTTGCTGTATAACAAATTATCACAAACTTAGCCACTTAAAACAACATGTCTTTATTATCTCACAGCTTTTGTGCATCAGAAGTCTAGGCATAGCTTAGCTGGGTGCCTCTGCAAGGCTTCAGTCAAGCTGTTGCCCAGGGTTGCATTCTCATCTGGAGGCTTAACTGGGGAAGGGTTTGCTTCTATGTTCACTCAGTTTGTTGGCTGAACTAATTTTCTTGCTGTTATAAGACTGTGGGCCCTGGCTTCTTGGTGGCTGTCAGCTGGAGGCCACCATCACCTCCTAGAAGCTGCTCTCAGCTCCTTGCCACATGGGCCTCCCAATATCTGCCTGCTTCCTCAATGCCAGCATGGGAGAAAGCTTCTGGAACAAGTCTGCTAACAAGGTAGAATCTTACCTAACTTAACATAATCATGGGAATGGCATCTTACCAGCTTTGCAATAGTCTATTGGTTAGAAGCAAGTCACAGGTCCCTACACTCAAAGGGGACAGGATGATACAAGGGCATGAATACCAAAGTGCAGGCATCATTAGGGGTCGCTGTAAAGTCTGTCTGCCACATTCCTTTTTCCAATTCTTCCTCTTCCTCTTACTCTTCATCATTATTGTCCAAAGCTCTTTTAAACTATCTCTCATTTTCTCAAAACCCTTTTGAAGTAGGTGGTATTCTCTCCATTTTACAGATGCAGAAATTGAGGCCCGGTGAAGCTTAGTAGTCCAATGTCACCTGACTAGTCTCCATGGGAATTCTAACCCAGGCAGTCTGCTTCTAAAGCTTCTGTTCTTTGCTCTGCTGTATTATATTACTTTTTACTCCAGAGATGCTTAACTTAGTGCGGGGCCTTGTCCTCCTTCACTTTAGTAACCACTTATTGAGCACCAATGTGTTCCAGTTCTGTACTCCTTGCTAAGAATAAATAACAAATGTGGAAGGCTGAGACCTCAGAAGAAGGGGTACCTTTTTTTTTTTTCTTTGGTAGGATGGTCATGGAAATACCACTTGCATCTGAGCTGGGTTTTGAAGCCCACATCAGCAGAATCACATTATGCATGTGGGCCTACTTTGACTGAGTTTTGCAGCTGTGCAGAGTGTTTCTACCTGAAAACTTCCCAGGTTTTAGCACAGGCAGCAAGAGAGGGAATATAAAAAGGATCATACTGAGAGGTCTTATATTCATTCCAGCTCCATCCCTCCTGACTGTGGGATCAGCTGTGCTGCCTGTTTCTCCATCTTTAAAATGAGGATATTCATGCTTGTTTTATCTGATCTTACAGCAGTCTTATGAAATTCAAGTTAGGTATCAAATATGACATAAGTTTGAAATCTATGGCATGTTCCAGATAGCACTTGGCAGCAGCTACCTAGAAAGGTATGTATGGAAGGATGATGAGGTCTCAATATCTGTGTCAGTATGTTGTGATAGATTAGTCATGTCTGCCTTGGGCTCAGAAGAGGCAAATGGGAGTATGTATGTTGTGCATTTTCTAAACATAGTGCTATGAAAATGTAAGTTAGCAGTTTTATCATTGCTCAGGATGATGCTTCCCTGAATCTATTCAGATGAGATGAACTTCCCTAGACAGTGGCATCTTTAGGCCTAGGGTACTGGTCTGCAGTTCCAGAGACCCAAGTTAGCACCAGTTGTCCAGGCCACACCTGAGGCCACTAAATTGCTTCCCTAAACCCTCCACCCTCCAACACAGGATCGCTTTGTCCAGAGACTCCTCAATAAGGCTGGATATCAGCATGTGACTCTCTCGCCAGACTGGCTGTGCTGGGGCTTGGAAACTCTGCTCTGTATGTAGAGAACAGGCTAAAAGGAGTGAGAAGACAGCAGTTGTAGGCATCTCCTGTGTGACTTCTTTCCTCAGTTGTCTATCAGCCAGCTCAGAGCATTTACTCTTAGATTGTCTTATGAACACAGGTCTCTTGGTGAGAGGGGGGAGAAGCATCTTCTGACTAGGATGCTGAACTATTGGCCATTTGAACACTTTGCTTTTCAAGTCCATGCTTTCCGCCATACATGCCCATTAAAAGAAAATGTAAAAATATATTTGTATGTGTACACATATTTAATATACACATATGTATGTATATATAGATATCCATATATCTATATATACATACATAAAATTTTCTACATAAAATTTTATATATATCTACATAAAATTTTCTACATAAAATTTTATATATATCTACATAAAATTTTCCCAGAATTGGAATCTTACTGACTTCATCTTATACTGGACAGAATTCTAGTGGCTATACTTGTTCTTTGACTGGCAAGCTCCTACTTATTCTTGAAAAGTGAGTTTCTCTTTGAGACCTTTCCTAGCTCCCCGACACAGAACCAGAGGGACCTCCCTCTATCATCCCACCAGCTGCTGTCTTGGGCCTGGGTCTTAGTTGTCTTCCTTTCTGGGTTCCCAACATTTAGCATGGTGCCTTGCATGCAGTGATGTTCAGGAAAAGTTGAGAGGATTAGGGATAAGAATTTTATTCACTACCAGCCTGGGTTGGATTGTTTCCAATAGGTGGCCCGAATGTTTCCCCTTCTCAACATTTAGTACTCCACTAAACATTCCTCTAAATTGTATGTCACACCTTTCTACTTTCTAGGGATCTACCACAGCTCTCAACTGTCAGGTTTGGAAAGGACCTTTAAAAGCTCCGATCTGGGCCAGGCGCGGTGGCTCACGCCTGTAATCCCAGCACTTTGGGAGGCCGAGGCGGGTGGATCATGAGGTCAGGAGATCGAGACCATCCTGGCTAACAAGGTGAAACCCCGTCTCTACTAAAAATACAAAAAATTAGCCGGGCGCGGTGGCGGGCGCCTGTAGTCCCAGCTGCTCGGGAGGCTGAGGCAGGAGAATGGCGTGAACCCGGGAAGCGGAGCTTGCAGTGAGCCGAGATTGCGCCACTGCAGTCCGCAGTCCGGCCTGGGCGACAGAGCGAGACTCTGTCTCAAAAAAAAAAAAAAAAAAGCTCCGATCTGATGAATGAATTGCTTCTATAAAAAGTAGTCAACAACCTCTATTAATTACTTCCTGTGATGGGCAGCTTACTACCTTTTCAGGCACTAGTTCTAATGGTGAAGAGTTGGAATCCTTCAAAAGCTCTTTTCTTAGATTCAGACTGCTATAACAAAATACCAGACTGAGTGGCATATAAACAAAAGACATTTATTTCTTATGATTCTGGAGGCTGGAAGTCAAAGATCAAGGTGCTGGCAGATTCTATGTCTTGGGAGGGCCCACTTCCTCATTTGCAGACAGCCATCTTTTCACCGTGTCCTTCCATGGTGGAAGGCGTGATCCAGCTCTCTTGGGCCTGTTTTATAAGGAAACTAATCCTGTTCATGAGATCTTTACCCTCATGACCTAATTATCTCCCAAAGGCCCCATCTCCAAACACCATTACATTAGGGATTAAACCTGAATATATGAATTTTGGGAGGACACAAACATTCAGACCACAGCAGCTCTTCTTTTATTAAGTCCTCCCCTTGGTAGTGTCATTCCCTGTAGGGCTACAAAGAATAATCCAATCTGGGGACAGTGTGAACATCAAAATCAATTGAGGACAACAGTGGATTATAGCCACTAAATAGAATAGGAATCCACAAGCCTATAATAATAAATAGATACATTTAAAAATAGATATATCAATGGAGGAGAAGAGAGGGCTGGACTCTACAGGAGAACGCTGACTGATAGAGGGAGTTGCAGCCTTCTGGTGAATGGGAGTTAAGGCAAGAATCATCAACGGATGCTGAAATCTAGAGGGGGAAATTTGAGGAGGAGCAGGATTTTCGCATAGTCTCAAAATATCTCTCTATTGATTGCTTATTAGCTGCAAGGGGAAACAAAGTAAGCACTAATTGGAGTATCCAGATCACATCATGACTAGGTGATCAAAATTACATCACTGGTGAGGGACAGATGGACGTCATGTGCTTCCTGAGGTGATACCCTGAGAAGAACACAACATCAGTTATGCTATATGCCAGTCAGGGATGGAAAACCTGAAACTAATCATAAGGAATCTCAGACAAACCCAAATTGTGGAACATTCTATTAAAAAAAAAAACTGGGCTACATTGTTCAAAAATGTGAATGCTGTGGAAGACAAAGGCTGAGAAACTGTTCCAGGATGAAGGAGACTAAAGAGATGTGACAGCTAAATGTACTACGTGATCCTGAACTGCATCCTGTGCAGAGCAATCACATGGTCTAAAGGACATTTTTTACTCAATTGGCAAAACTGGAATGTTGGAATTAAATCAGTGTTAAATTGCCAGAATTTATAGCTGCACTATGGAAGACAATATACTAGTTCTTTGGAAATAAACACTAAGCATAAGAAGCAAAGGGCATAATCTATGTGGCTTACTCTGAAATGGCTCAGAAGAAAGATGATATGTGTGCCTTACAGATAAAGGAGGGGAGGAGAGGGAGAAAGGAAAGGAGAATGGATGATGTATGGGGGAATTCTCTATACTATTCCTGTGACTTTTCTGTAAGTTTGAAGTTGTATCAAAATGAAAAGTTAAAAAGAAAACATATCTAAATGAAGGCCTATCAAAATCTGTAGGCAGCACGATTGTGCCTTTTAAGGGACAGCCGCTTTCTAGGCCCAGGAGGAGTGTAGTGATGATGGCATGGTTGAGGACCCACTCCATCGTGGGTCAGGTGCTCAGACCCGACCTATGATGGAGTGGGGATGGTGGGAGGGTGTCAATCACAGAAAGGTTCCTCAAGGAACTTACCTATAAGCCAAGACTTCAGACTTTATTAAAGTGAGACAGGCAAAGCAGTCAGGGAGGGCATTCCCAGCAGAGAAAATAGTGTGTAGAGAGGAGAGGAGAGCCAGAGGGCCAGCAAGGCAAAGTCGGGCAGGGCCACCAGGTATAAGGCAATGAATTCTGGGCTTTAGCCTAAGAACAAGGGCCAGTGGTTGAAGAGTTGATTTTTCAGGCTGAGAAGTAACATCTGATGTGTAACTTCAAGGAAAAACTTAAATGGTTTTTGTTTTGTTTTATTTTGAGACAGGGTCTCACTCTGTCACCCAGGCTGGAGTGCAGTGTTACGATCTTGGCTCACTGAGGCCTCTGCCTCCCGGGTTCAAGCAATTCTCCCACCTCAGCCTCCCGAGTAGCTGCGATTGTAGGCATACACCACCATGCCCAGCTAATTTTTGTATTTTTAGTAGAGACAGGGTTTTGCCATATTGGCTAGGCTGGTCTGGAACTCCTGGCCTCAAGTGATCTGCCCACCTCGGCCTCCCAAAGTGCTGGGATTATAGGTGTGAGCCACATGCCTGGCCTTAAATGCTTTTCACATGCGCTGTTCTTAAGTCTTCATCTATCCCAGACACCCCTGGAGCTGGGCTTCCTAGATAGTGGGATTGTTTGCGACTTTTCTGCCATCATCTTCTATAAGGCAGAAGAAAGTGGGCCTTTTGCTGCTGCTCTTTAGGAGCCTTCCTTTGGTGGCTAAGGTTGGATCTGTGTGTTCAACGTCTTGTTAGTGTGATTATCTTCTTGAGTCATGAGCTTCCCCAAGTTGGCTGTTGCCTGCCAGCCCATCACAGTGGCATCTCTGTGAATTATTAAGAAGGTTTAAGAGGCCAGGATAAACAGCATGAATCAAGAGAGAGACAGGCCTCCCTCCTTTGCTTACGTTGCTGTCACACAGGGAGGATGCCAGAAGAGGTTGGAGCAAGGAAAGCAGGGAGCGAGAGAGAAGGGGTGGGAGAAAAGGGGATAAGAGTTGAGAGAGGAAGGAAAAGATGAACAAAGGAGGACTGGAGAAAAAGGGAGCAAAGAGAGAGAGAGAATTTCTTCTTAGAAGTGGGAAGACCTGATAGCAGCTTCTTTTCCACCACCATTTGGGCTGCCTCTGAACACAACCAGGAAATTCAGACAACATGTAGGACTATCCCTTCTTTCTGTTGATGATCTACTACCATTATGTGACCCTGGGTAAGTCATTTACCTTTCTGGGGAGCCAGTTTTTGTCTCTTCCCATTGGCAGGGTTGTTAACTGCCAGGGATGATAAGTGCATAGATGCACAAGCTATGTTGAAATGTTCTGAATCCTTTAATGAAGTCTTTTGAAAAGTAATAAGCTTGATATCACTGTTCTTATTTTAAAAGTGCACTGATGCTTTCCAGTCACTAACTAGTCACCTTGCATGCAGGCAGGTTACTGCATTAGTGGGGCTAAGAAAGTCTTGAATACGCTGGGATAAATAAATTACCATTGGCACTTAAGGATGCCAGTTTTAATCACAGATGAGGACTTTGGGGATAAGTGCCTTTGTTTCTTTGATTATCTGCTTTTGGGATGCAGCCAAAGACCCCCTGCCCTGAGTTACTAAATTCAGCTTTGAAGACCAAGCTCTTCCTTCTTACCAGCAGAATCAGAGCTGCTATTAGCACTCTAATTATTTATGACAACCATAGGAATTCCTGGGAATTTAAGTAAAGGAGAAGTATTTCAAGTATATGAAACTGGAAACTAGGAGGCCCAAAACTCATTTTGTAATTTTATTAATTATTTATTTTGAGATTGGATTAGTCATTTGATTCATCTCTTCCCGTGTACTCTTTAGAGTGGTTATATTTAGGCTTTACCCCATCAGTTTATTTTGACTTTTGTAAAATGGAAGTATTAGGCTTGTAAGAGCCATGATATTTAAATTCAAAGAGCACCTGACTGGGTTTAGGTGACAGACCATGAAAAGGAATTAGATGAGAAATTAGACCAAGCCCTTTGGTTTCATTATTCAGGTGGCATATAAAGAATCTTTAAAGTGTCCCAAATGACTTATTAGGATCACAGTTATCCGTCTTTCACTGTAATGAGCACTAATGACCTAATGCTGAACTGGGTATTGATCAGAATCCAATGACTTATGACTTTGGCCATCATGAGTATCCATTTGGAAGACACCTTGACTGGCCTTGATTCTCAAAAGCTGCATATTTATTCTCTCCAATGTTGAGTGTCAAAATCCAAGGTCAGAGCTCATGCCTGCCATAATTTCCCAGGTATGGAAGAGTGCCATCTGTCAAGTGTTTGGTTTTTTTGGACTTTAGTATATACATCTGTATTATAAATGGAAGGATAGCTGCCTGAAAATAGGCAGCTATTCTTGATTCATCTCAATGTTCAAGAATCAAGATTTCTTGATTCATTGAGATATTCAGAAGACTTATTTCTTAGTTCCACTCAACAAGTATTTATTGTGTGGCTCCTGTGTGCCAGACACTGTGCTAAGCTCTGGGGTGACTGTAGAAAACAAAGCAGATAAGAATCTCTATTCTTATGAAGTTTACAAGCTAGCAATATATTCTGGCTCATTATATTTTCTAATAAACAGAAGAACAAACATCTATGAGTTATTCCATTCAGTGGGCATCTTGTTTGTGCTTTTCATGGCACCTCTTTTGGGAGCAAGGCTTTCTACAATGCCTATCCTAGTGTTCTTATATTAAGAGGAGTTGAGAAAATGCAATTAGATCTCTGAAGATTGGGATTTTCCCAGGTGGGTCATAAACCTTAACATCTATTACTTCTGGCAGGTTCTAAAAAAAAGGTGTAGATTAGACTGAATATATACTAACCAGTCTGTCTTATGGTAATTAGATTTTTAAACAATTTTCTGCCACTAGCTTGCTTCTTAATTTTCACTTGTCTCTCAAGATAGAAACAGAGAAAAAATGAATTCAATTTGAGATAATGATTCAGGTTTCTAAAATCTTGGAGGCTTGGGACACTTTGATTCTATTATCTTTTTCAGACAGTTTCCAATGGCTTTTCTCTTTTTGGAAGTTTTAGGTATCATATTTATTAAAATATGATATGATTTTATTTGGGGAATTCAATTTTGTGAGCAGTTATTGAGCTCAAAGGATACAGATGTGAAAGGTAAACTATACACGTCTGCTAGGCTCTCACAGCATATTTTGGGGAAACAAGAAAAGGAGGAATTATGTATTGGATGATTAAGAACAAAACAGAGGCAGGTACAGGGTGCTGTGAGGACAGAGGCCTGAGTGTATCTTTCCCTTCTGTGAGTGAGGACATGGGATTGCAGAGGGAGCATATAAAGGTTTCAAGAGGAAGCTAACCCTTAGTCCTTTACTGTGGAGCCCTAGCTGAGTTTCCAAACTGAGACGGAGATATCAAAAGGACAATTTTTATATACAATACGTATTATTGGGTTCATGATACTACCATTTAGAGAATACTTACTACGTGTTGGGCACCGTGCTAAGCATTTTACTGGCATCATCTAATTCTAATTGCTTCTCTTGTGAAGCAGGTAGTATTAACTGTGTTTTATAGATGAGGAAACTGTGACCCAAAGAGGTCGAGTGACATGCCTGATGTCACACGCTAAGAAGCTCTGCAGCTGGAATTCACGCTAACGTATCTTTGCCTCCAAAGTCAGTGTTCTAACCACTATGCTACGGCCTTTCTTGTGCTGCTGTATTCTCAAACACAGTCTCTCCATAGATATCTTGGACTGTGTTATGCCAGGGACTCCTCCATACTTACGATGAACTGCATTCACCCAGGGAAGCTGGGCCAGTCCTCCTTTGTATTAGTACTTGATTTCCTGTGAATGCAATGCAACCTCTTTCCATCACTTCTCTAAGTAGCTGGACACACATATGTGTGTCCCTTGATCTAATTTGGACTTACTGTGTGGCGTTGGTCAAGTCACATAGTGAGAAAGTGATGAAGTCTCACTTTCTCATTTTCCCCATTTGCCACTGCTTTGGGAATAGTTATTAGGACAAACAAAAGCAATATTAATCTGGCCAAAGATGGAGTGAGATGCTTTCATTTGTGGCTTTTTTCTCTGGGAGCTGAGTTGTAGCTGGACTGATCCACTCTGAACTATTCCGTCTTTTGTGACGGTTGTATTTGCCTTTCCAAGAGCCTAAAGCACAATCACAGCTAGCTCACTCTCTTTCCCAGTCTCCAAGCATTTCCACGATGCCCCTTCACTCCAAGACTGTCATCGATGCAGTTGTCTCTGTTTTAGATGACGACCTTGCCCCAGCTGTCCCTGGAGGACGGCAGCTCGATGAGTAAGTCCTGAAGCTTGCTAGATGTGTCTCAGTATTTCACATGCCTGCACTGATTGGACAAACCCTGGTATGGGCCTTAGGACTTGGTTGCCTCAAGTGTCCTGAACATCACTACTGAAAGTGTCTCTCTGGTGATTTATTTTTCTGACTTGTGTTTCCTTTTTCAGCAAATGAAAAGATTGAAGACATCAATGGCTGTCCGAAGAACAGATCCCAAATGGTAAGTGGTGCATAGGTAGTAAATGTTTGAGTTCTGTCAGCAAGCCCTGCCTCTAAGTGATATTGACCATCTTGAAAACATTCATACCAGATGCTTTACTCCAGGGGATTATATTAATAAACTCACAGCTATTTCCAAGTAGCTGTGTTCTGCTTTTCTGACATTTGTTGGCATTTATTGAAAAATGGCTATGATTTTTATGTAGATTGTGAGACAGTTAAAGTGAAATATTGTCCTTGTTCTTAGACACAAATTATGCAGAACTGGTACAAACATATACATGTTTAGTACTTGAACTGCTGTGGCTCGTTCTGCTTCCTCAAAGACCCACATCAATATGTGTTTGTGTATGGAGCTGAGGCACGGATGAAGTGATGGTATCTTACTAATCAGAAACTGGAGCATGTGGTCAGATTGCCTTTAAAGGTTGGAATGATGTGAAATCAGAACTGTGACAGGAAATGTGAAATGTGCAGTCACATCTGAAGCTTTTCAACATAACCTTTGCAAGTGATATTCTCTCTGGCATGATGCATTTAAGTTCTGATATTATAGCTTTATACATAACCCCCAAAACTAATCTTTTAAAAATCTGTTCTTTTTCTTATTGCATGTCCTGCACATAATCTTTGAATTAAAATTTATCGTCATTGTTGAGTTCAGAAAACATTGGCTTAGTTTTTCACTTCAAAACAAATTTCAAGCATGAATATTTACAAAAAAAAGTATATTTTCAGAGTCTGTTAAGATAACACTAATAACCTATTTAAAACATGAAGGTGGCAACTTAAGGACAACTATTTTTTGCTGGATGTTCATTTGCTTCCAGAAATCTAAAAAAAAAAAAAAAAAAGCTTAATTTGCTTCTGTAACCCCATCCTACCTCCTTTGAGTAGGCACAGTTTGATAGGTCTCATTTCAGAATAAACCAAAGTGATTGGCATTCCTTGGGCTTACTGTTTAGTTTTCTGAATTGTTATCCCAGTGACTTGGGCAAATAGGCAGCCATTTTAGTTGGCTTTTTTTAATGCACATTTTGAATATAAAGATGTCAGTGTATGTATGGAAGGGGAGTCATTTTCCAGTTTATATTCTGAAACAAGTTTTTGTTGTTGTTGTTCCACTGAAGGTTTTCTTTCTTTTTGATCCAAAGACCAACCACTTCTTACATAGGAAAGTCCCCAGGCTGACATCTCATGGCTGCTTTGACTTTTGGAAAAGCTGGGCTGCTATTTTTGCTGCAGCTACTGCAGCTGTCTAGGGTATTAATAATTGAGAAAATTTGGATGATAGAAGACTTAATTTTAGTGCAGGCATGCTGCACATGTAGTCCTATCTTCATATGAAACAGATGCATTATTTCCCTCCAGGATAGATACTGATGCAATTGCCCCAGGCCATTATAATGTGTGTGTAGAACTGGTATGTGGAAATTGTCAACCTTTTATTCTATTTGGTGCACCTCTATTCTAAGCACCTTCTATTGGAGGTTTTGCGTGTTGTTAGAGTCTACTTCCAAGCTTATACAGATTGAGTAGCCCTAATCTGAAATATCTGGGACCAGAAATGTTTTGGATTTTGGAATATTTACATTATACTTACAGCATCCCAAATCTGAAAATCCAAAGTGTTTCACTGAGCACTTCCCTTGAGCCTCATGTCATGCTCAAAAAGTTTTGGATTTTGGCATATTTTAGATTTTAGATTTTTAGATTTGAGATGTTCAACCTGTAATATTGTCATTTCAGATTCTTCTTTGCAAATTTATTTCCATATGCAAATAAGTTACTTATAAATACTACCATAGCACCAATGCAGTGTTGCAGTTTCTCTATAACTCTTTCAGCCATGCCAGTGCTATATTTTTTTGTTTTTGTTTTTGTGTGTGTGAACTGTGTGTTTTTTTTTTTTTTTAGAACACAAGAATATAAAATCCTATAATTGTCTGTGATAATTAGTTCCAGCTTAGGGGTAGGGAGGCAGACACAGTCTTGTGGTAAGCCTAGCAGAGAGTAGTTCAGCGTACAGGATGTGAGTCCAGGAAAATGTGAAAACTTCTGCCACAGTCATTCTATTCTGTAGGAAATGAATAGGATGATGAGAAGGACAATAGGATCATTGTTCTTGCCCCTACATCACAAAACAATGACAAGTTCATAAGGCAGAACTCACTAGATCACACAGGAAGTTCTTTCGATAGACAGGCATGGATGATTTTCTGGCTAATAGGACACCTGTGTGCACACAAGCATATATAGAGTTAAAGCACTTTTGCTCATGGGAAGTATAATTTGAGAAGATGGCATAGGGTGTGAGCCACCATTTCTAGATTGCTAGGTGGTTAACCTCCCAATTAGACTTTATCTGGGTGGCCAATAATAAACATTTGTTGTTCGCTAAATATTGCCTGTTTGGAGGATACCAAAGGAGAAGATATGTAGAAAGCATGGCAGAAGGAAGATGACACACAATGAGATGAGAACTTGGGAAGTGTATCCTGTTAGGAGGGTAATGGGCTCTGCTAGGAAAAAAAAATAATCAGCATAGAGTTAATGCGGTCACTCCCTAAGAAAACAGATAGAGCACCTTTAGGGCCCTTTAATAATAGAGACAAAAGGAGTTTTATTTCAGAGCAGGAATGGAGTGGGTGCTATTCCAGTTTTCAGTGGGTCAGTTTGTATCCTCAGCTCAAGAGTAGGTTAGGAGCATGAGCTTTGTAGGAGGAGCAAGCCCTGGAAGAAGGCACCTTTTCCTCCCTCCCTTCACTCTTCCTAACCCACTAGGCTGCCCAGCTGCTCTGTTCTCTGCTGTAACTCCTGCTGTCTTCCCAGAGGATAGGGAAGTAAAAGCAGACATTTGTGGAATATGACCTAGAGGATTCCAGGGGCAGCAGTGCATAATCATAATGGGCTTGGCATTGTGTACTTTTAGACTGTCAATCAGCAAGCAGTCACAGAGTGCCTACTAATGTGAGATGCTGGACTAGGCCAAGCTGAATACACAGGTGACCAAGATGTGATCCCTGCCCTCAAAGAACTCAGATAAGTGGGCAAGAGACCAGAGAACAATTAGAAGAATAGACTATTGCAGCTGCTCCCACAGACACCTGTGCATGGCACTGTGGAGACCCATTCTACCCCCAGGGCAAGGAAGGTTCCTAAATAACTTCTAAAGGGTGAGTCTTGAAAGGTCAGAGAGTTCACCACAAGAGATGATGGGTGGAAGAGGATTCCAAGTGGAGACAGCCAGGCATGGAACCCATTTCTGGAGAATGGGTTTACTTGAGGAAATCATGGATCCCACAGAGGAAGGTTTTACAAACAATCATCCATTGATTGTACCAAATTGCCATGAACTGTGTCTGGTGAGGCTCTTCTAGCCTCTGGGCAGCATCAACTCCTTGTCCTGTTGTACCTGGGGTGAAAGGAGGGGCATGGAAGAGCCCACAGTACAACAGACTCATAGGCACAGAGGTCTTTTCAGACCTGGGACAAGCCTTGTGCATGCTTCATCACACAGATTCCTGCATATGGGGGAGAAACCTCAGAACAAAGTTTTCTAAAGGAAAAAATTCGAGGTCATCAATTCCTGTGGACAGAAGTTCAGCCATGAAATTTGGGAAATGGAAACACAACCCGGTTGGAAACGGCTGTTAATATTTTTATATTAGCACTAATACGCATCTACACAGTGCTTTAAGGCTTATGAGCCCATCACACATTCAGTCCTCCTGACTCTGCTGTGGGCTGGCATAACACTCACACCTTTTGGGTGAGAAACGGAGATGCTCTCCCCAGGACTCAAGCCTGATGCTTTTCCATCAGCATTTGTAACCCTCAGTGCCGCCCTCCTCTTGGCCCTGGTAAAATGGCACCAGGTCTGTAACCCAAAGGCAGAGAGGCACAGCAGTGGCTTCCCTTTCCTGGAGCAAGCCCAGCCTTGGCTTGTTTTTAAGGAGCGCTTTGCCCTGTTTCAGTCTGACCCAGATGCTTTTGGGGCCAAATCCTTGGAGATGGAGCTTTAGAAACAACACTCCCACCCCATTCCCTCTCCCCCACCAAATTCATCCCCTTGGCCCTTAAATAAGTTTGCGTGTGTGCGTCAGAGCTGGTTAAAATGTTTTGTCTATTTAACATTGCCATGGCAACCAAGGGGCATCTCTTTGGCTTTCAAGTGGTGTGTTCAGCAGAGTTATCTGTTAGTGTGGAAGGAAAAACATTGCTTGGAGGTTAGCCAGTGGGTGCTGGGGCGGCCCTGCTTCCCAATTTGAACTCACTGTACTCAGGACATTGGGGGCATTGGCTCACTTTGGAGCCTGGGAATAGCCAGTGGCAGGGGGTGGTTTTCTTTTTTCATCATTATTATTTTAAGCAGCTTGGCTGTCTGTTGTTGATTAGGAGAAGTGCAAAGTTAGGGAGGCTTGCTTGCCTTTTCAGCAAAAAAGCCCCAGGCCTGCTTTCCCCTTTAGCTGATCTTGGACCTGGGGTCAGCTGAGCCTCCCAGCGCTGAGCCCCTGCTTCCTCCTGGGCTCTTCAAGGAGTCCTCCTGCCTTCTTCCCTCAGTGCATCTAGACGGAGGGCCAGCCTGAGCTTGGGGACCAGCCAGGCCAGGTTTCTAATTCCTTTTCTGCTATTCTGCAGCCTTGAGCTAATTACTTGACTCTTTGAAGCCTCATATTTCCTGTTCTATGAAGTGGGGTTGATAATAATACATACCTCATAAAGATTTCATGAAGACTAATGAGGCAATGAAAATGATAATAATGGATAATATTAATTAAAGTGATAAAATATAACCAAAGCTTACAGTGTTTGTCTTGTGCCAAGCACCATTCTAAGTGCTTTACAAATACAGCATGTCCCCTTAGTTCATCCTCCCAACAGCCCTTTGATGCGGGTGATCTTATTATCCCTATTCTCCTGGCATATAATCAGCACTCAGTATATGGCAGTTACTACGATAATGAAGATTTCTTTCAGTGATCATTCATGTTTTGGGGGACATAGAACCTTTTGGAAATCTGAGAACCCTTCAGAAATCTTCTAGCTCTCTCCTCCCCAAATTGCACTTATCCCAGAATTTTGCATACAACCTGAGCAGATCATGAACCCCAGAGGCCAGCTCATGTATGCCCTGGGGCTCCATAGACTCCAGGTTTGGTGCCCCTGCTGCATAGAGCACAGCCCTTCTTCTCACCCTGTCCTTTCAGGGAGCTCTATGGAAAATGCCAGCACTGGAGTTCCTAAGACAGTAGGAATCTGCACTTAGGCACAGAGAAGGGCCAGGCAGTGATTTTCTAACTTCTATTCCATAAGCAGAACCCCTCATTTTCCCAAATAAAAGCTGTGGAACCCCATATATGAGTGATAAAAGCTGCTATAAGTAGGGGTAGGTAGCCCAGGACAGGGCCACCATAGCTGCCCCTTGCAGGAGGCCAGCACCTGGGGAGATGCAGCGGGATGTAGCCTAGGAAGGAACATGGCAGTGTCAGGTTTCAGCTCTGCTCTTGGCTCCAGCCCTCCTTTCTCTGGTCCTCCTCAGTCTCTTTTCTGTGAAGTCGGATTAGGTCTTACCTCTGACCTCTGCAAGGCATCACAGCTGAGAGCAAGGGCTGGGAAGGCCAACTGCTTGTAACCCAGGTGTGTCCCTTAGTCTCTAAGGGAGCCAGTTCCTATAACAGAGGTAGTAACAGTATTTGCCTCATGGGGTTGTTTTAAGGCTTCCATGAGACAATCTACATGAAGTGCTGGCACGTTGCTGGCCACAGAGTTGCTGGCCTCAGTAGATGTTAGCTCTTTTGATGATTTTTCAAGGGACTTAAGTATTTGTTAAAAAACAGACATGCCTCGGGAACAGCCAACTCTGCTTTTGGGTGGGGGCTTGTTTAGTGGGGTTTGAATTCATTTGTATGCCTACATCTCTCTGAATGATAGCACTGGACTCAAAGGAAACCCCTGAGAGATCTCATGTCACAGAACACTGTGGTCAGTCTCGCTCAGTCCCATCATAAGTGGCCCTGGATAATCCACTTGGCCTTAGCACTTCACTTCCTTCTGTGAGAAATGTGGAAGAGAACAACACCTCGCAGGGTTACCATGAGATTTTAATGAGCTAACATTTATTGATCACTCACTATGCACCAGACTATGTGCTGAGAGCCTACTCAATCACTCAAAACAGCCCTATGATAAAGATGCAGTTATTGTCTATATTTTGTACATGGGGACTGAGGATTTAAAAGGGTGCTCGTGGTCCCAGATTCTTTACCTAGGGAGAGGCAGAGTTGGAGCTCGAACCCAAGTCTATTTTCAGAGATATGGTGTTTACCTCTGTGACAGAGAAGGGGTATCATAAAAATAGTCTCCACCTCACCAAGCCGTGTTCTCCTTAGTTTTCATCTGCAGCTACAGCAGAACCAGTTAGGTTTAGCTGAGAGTTAGCAAAAAGGGAGGAGATGGAACATTTCTGGAAAGGGCCTGAGTTGACCTGCTGATGGCAACATGAAAGCTGAAACAGGGGCAGGTGGCCCCTTGTGAAAGGCAGCTCCTTGAATTGGCCTCGAAGAGCCCTGGCGCCAGGTACCTCTCTGGCTACATTCTCTCCAGAGCCTCCTGGGCCAGGAAAAGGCCATCTGCAGTGGGATCAGATTTCCAGGCCCAGTGACCTTGAGCCCTCCCAACAGCTGCCAGAAAGCCGGCCACATGCCTGGGGAGTGTCTGAGATCCTTGGGCAGCTGAGTTGCCTCTTCCCTGGGCCCTGGGCCTATTTTTACACAGCTCTAAGGGCACACACATGTTGCAGAACCAAGAAGGAATGAAGAAAAGTCCATAGGCCACTTAGAATTTAAAGCAAAGTAGAAAGAGCTCAGGGCCAAGATCAGCAGGAAGCATCCACTGCTTCCCACCCAGGGCAGCATATACACACTATCTTATGTGTTGGCCATCGTTCATTGTCTTTCAAAGGTGGCAACAACCTCCACGTCTGTCTGTCTCTTCAGTCATGCCTGTTTAAAACTGTCATTGCCTTCCCATTTCCCTCTCCATACTCTTTAGCACGGAATAGAAGATCCTTCAAGATCTGATTACCATCCTCTCCTGCCACTTGGCCACTCAAACTCTACACCCCAGCGAGACCAGATACCTTGTAGTATGCCAAAGAGGCCGTGTATTTTCATGCCTTTGTACTTTGGTAATATACAAAGTACTTATTTACAGATAAAGTACTGTCCAGTCTGCCACAGGACTGATCTCCCGCTTGCCCCTTCCTGGGCAGTGTGACCTTTAATATTCAGGTCACTTGTTTCCTCAAAGTGTTGACATAATGAGGTGCCTATCATCTTTTGTGTCCCCAAGTGTCCTGTGCCTGCTTTTAACATAATACACTCTCTTGTGGTTGTCTGTTTACTCATCTTCTTGAAGGAAATACCATGTCTTTCACTTGAGTATCCTAAGCGTCTGTCATTTTGGTGACTGGGCCTGTAGTCAGCATTTAGTAAATACAGGATGGGTAGATGGACAGACGGAAAGACCAGGGAGGGAGCTGGCCTGAATGTGTGTGTGTGTAGCTGGAGGATTCTAACATACCATTATTCTGATTTCATTATCTACAGCTGAGCAGTGCTTTGAGCACTCAGTATTAATTTGGAAGTTCCTAATAGGATTTAAGAAATAGATATGTAGTGCTGTTCTAGAAGTGTCTTTCCCTAATTCTTTTCTTCCTCAGTTTATCCAGAGGACCCAAATAGAACATTGTAATTACTCTCAGGACTTGTGGTTAATTTTTAGTTTATTGAGTTTTTTGTGTTGCTTGAGGTGAGCATATTTAATTAAGCACCCTCACAACCACCAGTTTATTAATGTTGATAACAAAAATGATGATAAGGTACTGTTCTAAGTGCCTTCCATGTTTTAACTCATTTTATTCTCATAACCATCCTATAGAATGAGGAATATATTTTATCCATTCCATTAAAAAGAATGGAGAACTTAGACCTTGATGCCATTTAATGTGCTCTGCCAGGGGCCAGCTGTGGGTTGTGATAAAGAACCTCTCATTCTTTCCCCTCACACAGTAGCACCTTTGTCCCTGACTTTCCACCATGCTTTTATTTAACAAGGTATAGCAAACACTTAGAGTAGGTACTGGTTTAGATATTTTATCTGTATTGACTGATTTTATCTTCCTAAAACTCTATGAGAGCATATACAATTGTGATTGCCATTTTATAGATGAGGAAACAGAGACAGAGAGCAGTTGAGTAACTTGCCCAAGGTCACACAGCTAGTAAGTGGCAAGCTGGGGTTTGTTTGCTGGAAGCCTGGCTCGAGAGTCTACTCCCTTAACTGTTTTGCTATTCTACATGTAAAGGAATTGATTAAAGAAGAAAAAAAAGACTCACTATGACATGGAAAGGCAGACATTCCATTTGTAACCCTAGCCCCTCATCTAGGCATAGGCAGAGGCTCAGGATGAGACATTCTGTTTTGGGAAGGAGATGTGGGATAAGAAGAATAAGCATGGGCTCTGGGATCAGGCTGACCTAGGTTCCACACACGGGGTATGTGTGCTGGGCCAGTTAATTGAATTTCTCTGAGTCTGTCTTCTCATCTGGAAAAGGATAATGATGGAAGCTACCTTCTAGGGTTGTTGTGATGGGGGTATAAAAGGCACCTGGTCTCATCCTGGCTCACAGTTAATGCAAGTGAGAAGGTCATTCCCTGCCCTGTTTACAAGTCACATATTTCCTAACTATGGTACATCAAAAGATTTTTTCCTATTCAAAAAGTACGCCCTCAGTGGGGTAGCTGAACAGTGTCAACCCATCCCCAACAATGTTCACATCCTAATCCCCAGAACCTGTGAATATGTTATCTTACCTGATGAGAGACTTTCCAAATGCGATTAAGGATTTTGAGATGGGATAATGATCCTGGATTATCTGGGCAGGCCCAATGTGATTACAAGCATTCTTATAAGACAGAGGCAGGAAGGTGAGAGAGATGTGACAATGGAAGTAAAGTTGGAGAGAGAGATTGGAAGATGCTAAGTTGCAGGCTTTGAAGGTGGAAGAAGGGGCCATGAGCCAAGGAATGCAGGTGGCCTCCACAAGCTGGAAAAGGTAAAGGAAACAGATTCTCCTCTAGAGCTTCCAGAATGGATGCAGCCCTGCCAAATCCTAGGTTTTAGCCCACTGAGACTGATTTTGGACTTCTGACCTCCAGAACTGTAGATAATACATCTGTATTGTTTTAAGCCACTAAGTTTGTGGTTAATTTGTTGCAGCAGCAATAGGAAACTAATACACTCTGGGATTCATGCAAAATAACTCTTGCTGTATCAGAGAGTAAGCTATTTGGGTTTTATAGCACAGGCTCATTTTGCTGTAAATGTGGGTTCCTTGGATTTCTGAGTTTACTGGAAGGTGCCTCTATTGTTAGAACCCTTCAGAATGGAGCTTGCTGCATCAGTACATTCAGAGCACGTCACTGTAGGGAAGCATGTGGAGGACAGAGACCCACAGTTTTTTATTTCTAGTACTGTGTCCACATTGTGGGCCGATATACATACTAAGCTGTCATGGGAGAGGCAAGTGCATTTCATCTCAGTAATTAGAAGTGAATATTGCATCTTCTGGACCTCTTTGCCAATGTAAACTCACAAATAGGTACTTTGTCCCCACAACTAACATATGTTTGTCTTGTTAATTAACATAACATTTAAGCAAATGTTAGGAATTTACCATATTTTATATGCTATTGAATAACATCAAAGCTTTGTAATGTGAATAGTTTTTTTAAAAATCTCTTTCAGTTCAATAAAAATATCCATATTCTCAGCACCTGGCACAGGCCTAGGTATGTTAGAAGTGCTCAGCTAATTTTTCTCAGATGAGAAAGCTAAACAATAAGTGGTCCAACAATCCAGGAGTTTCACAGAGAATGGAGTGATGTGACATATCAAATTTTAATATTTTGAGCGCACTGTGTAAGTTTAAGTGCTCTCAAGAAATGTGGGATTCAGTCTCTTCTCTCACAATTTTATATTTTAACTCAGTTCTAAAGGTATATGAAAAGACACCAAAATAACAGATTATTTTTATTAATAAGGGAAATGGTGTTTGGGTTGGTAAAGCCTCCAATAGCCGTGTTCAAACTTTATATGTGAGAGGCACCTGGAGAGATTATTAAAACAGATTGCTGGACCCCATCCCCAGAGTTTCTGATTTGGTATGCCTAGGGAGGAGCTGGGGAATTTGCATTTTTGACAGTCTCCTGGGTGCTGATCATGTTACTGCTCTGGTGACCACACTTTGCCAAGCATGACACATTGTCTCTGAGTTAAGTAACAAAGCCTCTTTGCTGGGATATGACTGAGCAAACATGCATTTAAATATATATTAGTCTGTAAAGTTGTTTCCAGTTTTAAAAGTTAATAGGAGGGAATCCTTTTGCTTTTTGGAAAGGTTAGGATGCCTTCAAGCTAGTCCAACCCGTGGCCCACAGGCCACCTGCAGCCCAGGATGGCTTTGAATGAGCCTCAACACAAAGTTGTAAACTCTCTTAAAACATCATGAGATCTTTTTTTTGTGTGACTTTTTTAAAGCTCATCAGCTATTGTTAGTGTATTTTTTGTGTGGCCCTAGACAATTCTTCTTTTTGCAATGTGGCCCAGGGAAGTCAAAAGTTTGGGCATTCCTGCCTTGTACATTCTTTTTTCTTAGAACTATTATATGTTCCAAATTGATATGATTTGAACTGTGCATGTGGTCATGATCTGGTTGGAGTTTGAGATGCCTTCTCTACCCTCTTCCAGCTCACTTAACCTCTGTAACTTTTTTTTTTTTTTCCACTGAACGTCTGGGGTGATAATTCTTTAGGACACTGGGCTTAAATGCCTGTGTCCCCACTAGACATTAACTTCTTTGAGGACAGTAGTGGCATCTGTCCATTTGCTCACACTGCTTAGCAACCTGGTAGATGCTCACTCAGTGAATGTTTAATGAAGAAATTCCCAACACACCTGCATTGGGACTGATGTGTTGTGAGTGGCAACATGTTGTACTCAGGAAGGTTAAAGAATGTAGCAAATGTGAGGCTGACCGAGGTTGGGGCTGGGGGAAGGGAAACATAGCTGTAGATCTGAGCTGAAAGAGAAATTGGATGGTGATTTATAACCGTGTGGATTGTGGTTTATATAAAAGCCATCTGGGCCTCATGCTTGGATCCACCTCCCTGCATATGTCTTCATGGAGTTCTTATGTTTCAGCCTAGCATCAAAGAGGTGTTTTTTTGTATATGTGTTGTTTTTTTAAAAATTTGCCGTGAAGTGGAACTTAGCAGGGAAATCCTGTTTGGACGTTGTAAGGCATGGTTAGCCTATGGCATCTGCATGTTGGAAACTGGTCAGGTCAGTGGACAAGTGCCAGTGTGCTCACTTCAGAGAGTAGAGAATGGTGGCCAAAAAGCTAAGTTGAGGTGCTTTTAAAACAAAAACTGAACAGATGCCAACAGTTAGATAAAAATCAATATATTTCATTAAAATTGATCTTCTGTGGATTGGCACGCAACAGGCAAAAAATTGGCTGTAACTGGGTAGGAGCTGCCCCCTTTGGGTGGGTGTGGGCTGTTTGTCACAATCTCCACCATTCCCTATTGTCTTATACCTAACCCGTTTTACTCATTTGTTACCTGCCTATCCCCCTGCACACATTTGACGTTTTTGATCCCTAAATGATGATATTCTCATAAGTTTCCTGAGCTTCCTCAGGAATCCTAAGCACTGGCATGTGGTAGCTTGAGAGGCCTATAAATGTTTATATTGACTTAAATTATTCTTGCTCCTGAAGATTTAGAACCTAAATATCTTCCCTAAGAAACTTACTTCTTCCTCTGTGAAGTGTCCTTTTTAAAATGTAAAGGTTAGATTTGGTTTGCATGGACTGATTACTTATTGCCTTGTTGTACTGCTGAAATCAGAGGGCAGGAAAAATGACCAGGCAAGGTGGTCATGTTTCTCCCCAGCTCTGGCAAAGCACTTGCTGTTTGGTTGTTAATGCCCCATGTTTGTATAGGGCTTCATAGCTTACAGAACACTTCCTATTGTGTTCAAATTCTAACTCTGATGTTTAATAGCTGCGGCTTAGGAAGGCTCTTAAACACTCTGTGCCTCCATTTCCCCATCTGAAAAATGATAATAATATCTACCTTATCTAGTGGTGGATTAAAAAAATAAAAATTAACTGAAATAATAATGTATGGGACAGAATTTAGCGCAGTGCTTCAGGTTTCATAAGAATGCAAATACTAGTTTCTGGCAAGGTCTCTGTATGGCTTTCAAGAAAGGAATAATTATCCCCATTTTACTGAAGGAAAAACTGAAGCTTAGGGAAATTGAGTACCTTGCCCAGAGGTGGCCAAGGAGCCCTGAGAAATCCACAATTCCCTAGACTTTCCACCTGGTCATTCGAAATCCTTGATTCCCCTGTCTACCCTTGAAATCTCCTCTTAGTAATAGCTCCAGTAATGATGAAACTTTGAGATGAGTTGACTTTTCCTATTTCAGTAGCTTTCTTGGGTGAGAGGGCTCCCACATTGGTGGGAACATGGTACCAGTTACACAGAGTTGGATGTGAGGGCAGAACCTGTCCACAGTGTCGTCTCGTATACTTTCCCCTGAAGGAATATGAAGGCAAGAAGAAAGAGGCATGCATTCCGGGTTTCCACTGAGGGACTACTTGTGCATGCTTCTAGTGGGAGGCTTTCTGAAATGAGTCAACTTGGAATTAAAGTATTCCTCAGGCCCCCTTCTGTCTCTCCAAGGAGATTGTACAGAAGAAACCCTAACCAGAGCAAAGGGCCTTTCATGGTTAGCCTTTGGATAGGGTGTTTCTTCCTACTTGGTCTTTTCCTCTACATACATTGCATAACCAGTCTTGTGAGACTCCTTTAAGAAGGATTTGCCGGGATTTGATTTGAGTTTCAGAATTCATTGGTTGCCTCCTTTTATGAATGATTATCAAGTGCTCTCTCTTTATGATCACCCAGCAGTTTAATTTTAGTCCTTGGGGTGGGTGGAGGGAGACTTCCTGATATGTGGATATGTAGATAGAACCATATGAAATGACCAATATTTAACCATTTTTTACCTACAAAAATGGCAATTTTATCTAGTTCAACCAAAGATTTGGCAAAGATGTAAACAGTAACAGAGGTTAGCATTCTATGACAACTTAAAAATTATCATTCTTTCTTCACAGGTGCATTTGGTATCTTGTGGCCTTGGAAAGCTCAGGGATGTCCTGTAATGGAATCCTTCCTTGTCTAGTTTGTTCTCCTCTTTCAGTGGATTTTGACCATGCCTCTGACATTGTGGCTATGGCAGCAGGCAGTATGCAGAGTGGAGAATTAGTTATTATATGCTTAATTATTTTTAATTTCATAATTCCTAATTGGTTGGCATGTAGCTCTTTGCCTTTATCACAGACTTTAGAATTTGAAACTGTTGGCCAAATCGTTTCTTAGTTTAAAATATTTTGTGTATTCCTTGCAAAATTCCCCAAGTTATATATTCACGATCATCAGTGATCTAGGATTCAGGTGCAACTCCTTAGCCATGCCTACAACTAGCTTTTGAAATAAAAAATAGATTGAGGTAATGTATGTGGACGTTTCTAGTATTGTGCCTGGCATATAATAATCACCCACTGATTGCTGGCAGAATTTGAAATTAGAGTGGAAACAATGGTGATTTGGGGTTAGATTTCTCATAGACATTAACACAATAGGGTGTTCTATAAAGGCAGAGAATAGCGGACCCATGGCCTTCATTCTAGCCATCATCAGAGTAGGTGAGCAAAGTCCTGCAGGATTCTGAATTGAGCATTAATGCATTCAAAGGTATTTGCTTGGCTTTGTTTCCTGCTTATGGATGCCACCAGGACAGGTCTTACATTTAAGTACACACTATCGTTGGAATTTCAGGAAATGCATGGATTGACTGTTCGTGAACAACCAGAAGAACCATAAGCTGCCGATAGTGGCAAATTGGCTGAGGCACAAAGCACAAAGCTGACTTACACAGGCTGGTGTGAGGGAACTGGTACCAAGCTGAGGAATGAGTTTCACTCTTGGCCTTCCTCTACAGATTATTCCATTACCATATTCCTTTATATCTACTTGTTTTGTGGGTATAACAATGTGGTCTAGTGCTTCTTCCAAAACTGAAGATTCACTGCACTCTAGAGACATATCTACTCCTGAATTTCAAGGATCTGATGTCTTATTTAATTTTGCATTTATATTCTGCTACCTCTTGAAGATTCTATGGTGGCTTATGGGTTTAAGCATGTAATATGGCAAAGATGCCAAAGAAACAATCCAGACCTCTTTAAAAGAGCATGGTGAGTAAGTGTCAGGCTTTTGAGTAGGTGCCTTGATAAGAATAAGTTGTCCCTTAATATATTTGTGACTGTATGTTTAGTGGAGTGATTGTTTACTTAAAGTCAACTCTTGCCCAGGAGACTAGCTGCTCCTTGAGGGAAGGACCACACTGTCTTGTCTGCCTGCGTTTTCTGCCCATTGAATAGGACTGAGAAGAGAGTAGATGCTCAATCTGTATTTTCAAGGAATGAATGAGACTGTCAGGTTCCAGGTAATTGCACTGGGTGAAATCTCCAACAAGTGTCTGTAGTCCCACTCTGTCTACCTCTGTTGTCTGTCTTAGGGGACTGGAAGTCAGGATTTTTTTCTTAAAGTTTGAGTCCAAGTTTATGTCCTCTTCTGTGGGTAAAACCAATGTTTTCTGCAAAAACGACTTGATTTTTAAAAAGTAGAATTGATATATGTATACATTGTATAATGATTTCCATAATCAAAGTAATTGATACTTCAGTTGCCATGCATGCTATACCTTAGATCTCTAGAACTTGCTCATTTTTTAATTATTATTATTTTTTGAGACAGTTTCACTCTGTCGCCCAGGCTAGAGTGCAGTGGCATGATCTTGGCTCACTGCAAGCTCCACCTCCCGGGTTCATGCCATTCTCCTGCCTCAGCCTCCCAAGTCGCTGGGACTACAGGCACCCGCCACCATGCCCGGCTAATTTTTTGTATTTTTAGTAGAGATGGGTTTTCACCGTGTTAGCCAGGATGGTCTCGATCTCCTGACCTTGTGATCCACCTGCCTTGGCCTCCCAAAGTGCTGGGATTAAAGGCGTGAGCCACCACGCCCGGCCAGAACTTGTTCATTTTATGACTGAAAGTTGATGCCTTTTGGCTACCATCTCTCCATTTCCCCCATCCACCAGCCCCTGGTAAACCACTGTTCTGCTCTGTGCTTCTATGAATTCAACTTTTTATTATCTCACGTATAAACAAGATCATGCAGGACTTGTCTTTCTGTACCTAGATTATTTCACCTAGCATAATGTCCTTCAGGCCCATCCATGTTGTTGCAGATGGCAGGATTTCCCTCCTTTATTATGGCTGAATAATATTTTATTGTGTGCATATGCCACATTTTCTGTATCCATTTATCCTTTGATGCGTTGCACACTTAGGTTATTTTCATATCCTGGTAATTGTGAATAGTGCTGCAGTGAACATGAGGGTACAGATATCTCTTTGAAATACCAATTTCCTTTCCTTTTGTCAATGGGAGTTCTTATGGTAGTTCTATTTTTAATATTTTGAGGAACTTCCATACTGTTTTTCATAATGGACTCTTGACTCTCCTTAGCCAAAACTATTTGCCTAAAAGGTCTTAGGGTTTCTCATGCAACTCAATAGAAGAGACTTTGACCACAAAGTTTTTTGGATAGATAGTTCTGGTTCTGGCAGGCTAAAAATGAATGCTAGTGACAAATTACATATTCGGAGAAAGGCTGTACTAGTGTCACATAATTTAACAAGTCTCAGAGTGTCTCACACTTCAAAATGATCTTTCACTTTCAGGAAATGCCGCTGGTATGAAAATTCTGCCATTATGAAATTACGTGAAGAATGAGCCCTTTTAGAGCTCTGGGTATGTGAAGTTCCAGATCATTGACATATATCCACCCACCCAATCCTCTCAGTAATGGTGGGAGATAGATATCAGCATTTCATGTTACAGATGACAAATCTAAGGCTTGAAGCAGTTAATAATTTTCTTAGAGTCTTGTGGGCATCTGTCAGGGAGCCAGAACCAGATATGGAGGAGTCCAAAATCATATTCTCTTTTTTTTTTTTTTTTTTTTTTATTGATCATTCTTGGGTGTTTCTCGCAGAGGGGGATTTGGCAGGGTCACAGGACAATAGTGGAGGGAAGGTCAGCAGATAAACAAGTGAACAAAGGTCTCTGGTTTTCCTAGGCAGAGGACCCTGCGGCCTTCCGCAGTGTTTGTGTCCCTGGGTACTTGAGATTAGGGAGTGGTGATGACTCTTAACGAGTATGCTGCCTTCAAGCTTCTGTTTAACAAAGCACATCTTGCACCGCCCTTAATCCATTTAACCCTGAGTGGACACAGCACATGTTTCACAGAGCACAGGGTTGGGGGTAAGGTCACAGATCAACAGGATCCCAAGGCAGAAGAATTTTTCTTAGTACAGAACAAAATGAAAAGTCTCCCATGTCTACCTCTTTCTACACAGACACGGCAACCATCCGATTTCTCAATCTTTTCCCCACCTTTCCCCCCTTTCTATTCCACAAAACCGCCATCGTCATCATGGCCCGTTCTCAATGAGCTGTTGAGTACACCTCCCAGACGGGGTGGTGGCCGGGCAGAGGGGCTCCTCACTTCCCAGTAGGGGTGGCCGGGCAGAGGCGCCCCTCACCTCCCGGACCGGGCGGCTGGCCGGGTGGGGGGCTGACCCCCCCACCTCCCTCCCGGACGGGGCGGCTGGCCGGGCGGGGGGCTGACCACCCCCAACTCCCTCCCGGACGGGGCGGCTGGCCGGGCGGGGGGCTGACCCCCCCACCTCCCTCCCGGACGGGGCGGCTGGCCGGGCAGAGGGGCTCCTCACTTCCCAGTAGGGGCGGCCGGGCAGAGGTGCCCCTCACCTCCCGGATGGGGCGGCTGGCCAGGCGGGGGGCTGACCCCCCCTCCCTCCCGGATGGGGCGGCTGGCCAGGCGGGGGGCTGACCCCCCCCAACTCCCTCCTGGACGGGGCGGCTGGCCGGGCAGAGGGGCTCCTCACTTCCCAGTAGGGGCGGCCGGGCAGAGGCGCCCCTCACCTCCCGGACGGGGCGGCTGGCCAGGCGGGGGGCTGACCCCCCACCTCCCTCCCAGACGGGGTGGCTGCCGGGCGGAGACGCTCCTCACTTCCCAGACGGGGTGGCTGCCGGGCAGAGGGGCTCCTCACTTCTCAGACGGGGCGGCTGCCGGGCGGAGGGGCTCCTCACTTCTCAGACAGGGCGGTTGCCAGGCAGAGGGTCTCCTCACTTCTCAGACGGGGCGGCCGGGCAGAGACGCTCCTCACATCCCGGACGGGGCGACAGGGCAGAGGCGCTCCCCACATCTCAGACGATGGGTGGCCGGGCAGAGACGCTCCTCACTTCCTAGATGGGATGGCAGCCTGGAAGAGGCGCTCCTCACTTCCTAGATGGGATGGCGGCTGGGCAGAGACGCTCCTCACTTTCCAGACTGGGCAGCCAGGCAGAGGGGCTCCTCACATCCCAGACGATGGGCGGCCAGGCAGAGACGCTCCTCACTTCCCAGACGGGGTGGCGGCCGGGCAGAGGCTGCAATCTCGGCACTTTGGGAGGCCAAGGCAGGCTGCTGGGAGGTGGATGTTGTAGCGAGCCGAGATCATGCCACTGCACTCCAGCCTGGGCACCATTGAGCACTGAGTGAAGGAGACTCCGTCTGCAATCCCGGCACCTCGGGAGGCCGAGGCTGGCGGATCACTCGCGGTTAGGAGCTGGAGACCAGCCCGGCCAACACAGCGAAACCCCGTCTCCACCCAAAAAATACGAAAACCAGTCAGGCGTGGCGGCGCGCGCCTGCAATCGCAGGCACTCGGCAGGCTGAGGCAGGAGAATCAGGCAGGGAGGTTGCAGTGAGCCGAGATGGCAGCAGTACAGTCCAGCTTCGGCTCGGCATCAGAGGGAGACGGTGGAAAGAGGGCAGAGGGAGAGGGAGGGGGAGGGGGAGGGGGAAAGGGAGAGGGCCAAAGTCATATTCTCTTAAACAGATATTGGAGAGGGAGAGGGAGAGGGAGAGGGCCAGAGTCATATTCTCTTAAACAGATATTGTCACCTAATAATTGTGGGCAAGAGGTAATGTGGGAAGCCAATGTCAGTCCCTTCTGTCTTGGTGTGAATTTGTTTATCAGCATCTTTTCAAGAAAGAGGTTGTGGAGAAGTAAGCATGACATCAGGTTACGGAGAAGGCCCAGATTCCTGGAGAGCTGTGCTTGAGAGGAAAGCCTGGAGGAGGAAACGGAAAGCAGATAAGCCTGTTCGATTCTCTGTTTCACCAGGGGCCAACCCAAGACACAGCTTTGGAATGTCCTGTCCTTAGAACTGTTGCCCAGGGCCACTCATGCCTAAAATTACAACACAGTAATAAAAACTACCGGTTGTTGGGCACATATTAAACATCACGAATATATCCTCTTGTCTAATGACAACCACCACCCTAGGGGGTAGGTGTTATAATGACCATTTTATAGATCAGGCCACTGGGGTAATTGCTGAGCATCATCATTTAGTAAATGCCAGAAACAAGATTTGAATCCAGACTTGTCTGAACCTAAAGCCTGTGTTACATCCTCTAAATATCACTCCTTAGCCCTAATCATTCCCCTTTTGTGTTTGTGTCCAGCTTCTAGCTTGATGATTCCTTTTGGAAGTGCTAGGAAGTTTTAAGGAGAGTCACTCTGAAATTGTAGCAAGAGAAAGCATACACAGAATGGGATACTGATTGAATGCACACAAAGGTATCCTTGGGCCTTTCTGACACTAGTCACCAGTGGAATTTTTCCTCTCATAGGGTCTACCATCTCTAAAAGAGAACAGAGTTCAGCCATATGAGTATCTTTTGGGAGCCTCCAGAGTAAGGATAGACTTCTAGAACTTTAGCTACAACTCCCCTCCCAGGTTGCTTTCTTTGTTTCAAGGGAAAAATTGAGAAGTTGGAAAATAATAGGAAAAAATATTCTAGGCACTTGGAAGCAAAGTGGAAAAAGATAGTCACTGGAGGAATTTGAGAATCTTGCTTTCAATTTTTTCTCTAGAGATAATTTTTTTTTGTATCCATATGGACTTACCCATTTGCTGTAAAGCAGAGAAACTCTTAAAAAGTTTTTTAAAAAGGGAATTTTTGACAACATCTTGGAAAGCTGAAGTTATAAATATTATAAACAGTATGGTGGATAACACTGCCAAATTAAAGGCAGGAGCTGGGCAAGGTGGAAAAGCAGGAGGAGAAGCAGTCTGGCATAGGGACTCATAAGCTGTGTCCAGCCCGTGATTCCCACATTCTTAAGCTTTCCTGTTTCAAAGCCACCATGAGAGCTTGAGCCGGCTTGCTGTAAACGTTGATGCTTGAATAGCCAAAGCTGGGACAGAGTCACGGAGCCCCTCTTATGACAGGACGAAGTTGGCTTTCTTTATACATCAGCCTGAGTAGCTTACATTACAGAAGGGCAGGCCCTGATGCTCCCGAATATTTCCATACCTAGGAGAATTGGAAGCACCACCATGTGTTTCCCTCATTTCTGAGGTCCGCTTCTAAAATTAAAACTGTAGTGTCAGGACCCCGCAAGCTCTGCCCTATGGAGCTGTGCATCTCCAGGACCACACTGTGCTGCATAAGACATGTGATCTTGTGAGGTTGCTAGGCCCCCAACACTGATACAGGTGGACAAAAAAAAGAAGGTGGGTAAATCGTGCATAAGGCTGTGACCTCTAGGAGTATAGAGGAAAGAGACAGATAACACTACAAGACAGACATTTAGGAGGGCATTTCCCTAAAGTTCATTTTGCTTTTTGGTTTGGTTTCATAGTTTTTTTCTTCTTTTTTAGTTTTGGAAAGAGACAGAGGAAGGGGTATTAGAAGGACGTGGAGACCTCTTAGATATGGAACAGACATTTCTGGTACATGTGACCACAAATGTTGATATCTGCCTCCCATCCCACCCCTTCTTTGTGACCAGCCTAGAAGCCACCTTGAGGCCACTGTTTGACCCATCCCCAACATGAAACAGCCCATCCTCCAGCTTTCAGATAGGAAGGACTTGGCTGGGCTGCTACTTCCATGGTAATGGGGCAGGTCGAGGTACTGACAAGACTTCCCAAGGAATGAAGAGACCCTTGCTTTCGCTCCTTCTCCATGTCAACTCCTTTATGTGGTCAACATGCCCCAATGTGGCCCCATCTACTCTTGTCAAGGGACCTCTCATTGCCCTTCTCCCTTGCCTGCCATGCTCCAGCCATTATGACTTTTTTTGGGTTCCAGAATGTGGTATATTGCATCCTGTATGGAGTCTTTTAGCTTTAGATTCCCTAGGCTTGGTAGGTTCTTATTCTCCCCACTCTTGGTGCCTGGCTAACTCCTTAGGTCTCAGCACAAATTTCTCTTTATTCCTTCAGTAAACAAATATTCTTGAGTAGATCTATTATGTGCTGCACCCTATCCTAGGTGCTTGGGGCTACATCAGTGAGCAAAGCAGACAAAAAACCCTATCCATGGACCTATGTGCTGCCTCTTCCTTAAGAAATTCTTGTCTGTTACCCTCCCCTTGGCCGTGCTGCACCCATAGGCTAGATTAGGTCTTCCTTCCTGTGTACACGTTCCCAACACTCTTCTCTTTCACAGTAACCATAACAGCTTGTCATCATATACTTATTTGTGCTTTCTTTATTAAATGCTGGTTTCCCTGCGTTCGACTGTAGGTTCTACAAGGTTGGGGATTATGTCTGTTTTATTCACCACTATATACTCAACACCAGCACATTGCTTGACACCCAGTAGGTGCTGAGTAAATAGGGGTGAAGGAATAGATAAATGAATGGGTGACAATTACTTTTGATGGCAAATAGCAATATCAGGTATGAGGGTCCCACACACTTCTGGGAGGAAGTTGAGTTGACATATGAGTTTTATGAAGAAGCTACACTGTGCTTCCAAAGTCACCAGAACTTGCAGGTTCTCACTTAGCCTTGCCTGGGGTCTAAAGCTCCTACTGCCTAAGCTTTAGGCATTTCATGATTTACAAAAATGGTTGTGACCATGCCTGACTTTAATGCAGCAGCTGTTTGCCTCTCCTTCCAGACTGGAGATTTCCCAAGGGGCTTGGCAAAAAACTATTAAACCATAAGAACTACAGTTCCATTTATTTGGTATGCCCAGAATGTCATCTTCCCCTAGGCTGTGGTAGCACCCATAGAGATGGTCTTCCTTTGCATTAATTATTTTCATGCGCTTTGCACTCAGCTACACTGGTATTCGGAGAAAAATGCTGCCATGACAACTGCCACAACAGATGGTATTTGATCAGTCTCTAAGCTACCAGGGAGATATATAGCAGTGCTTCCGAGGTTTGCATATTTTACGTTATCAGGAGACCCAAGTCCAGCCTTAATCATGATTGAAATGCAAAGTTTTCCATTTGCTTCCTATCTCCTGATTCTCTTTCCAGTTGTTTGGCATTTGTTTTGATTTTTCTAACTCCCTGGCTCTCCTTGGTGGGGAAATACTTCAGGATATGGGAGACAAAGGCTGCAACACAGCCCATGGAAGTTGCCCTGCAAGTCTAAAGGTCAGGGACTGTTGAGAAACTAAACTTTGGGATGGCAGTCTCAGCTGAGATTGGCAGAAAGGCTTAATTGCAGCCTCTCTCATGGATGTTCAGGCACTGCACAAGGTGGAGGCCACATTTGGCTCCAAACAAAGGGAATTCTGGGGAGGTGCATCCTGGTCTGCCCCTTTTCTTTACCTCCATCCTTCACTCAACACCTCTCTGCTCCCGGAGTCTCCAAGCCACGTGGTAGTCCCTCTCCTGGGTTTCCCCCTCTACCCCAGCTAATGCTGCAAATTCCAGGAACTCAGTCCCAGAGCTCTTGGACCCATTTCTATGGCAACAACTACAATAGCTTCTCACCCAGTCCCCAGCCCCCTTCAAAAACACTGGAATGTCAGACTTCATACAGATTTTTTTCAGCTAATTTTGGAAAGTAGTTTATATTGGCCACTACATGCTAATGAACAAGTTTGGTCTTATTTACATACTTTGCTGTTTAAGAGTCTTTTCTTTCACTCTGCCTCCCAACTTTAATCAGATCCTCATCTCATGCTGTGTGTCTGGATCACACATAAGTCTTGTTAAAGATGGGCACGAGGACATCATTGTGCTGTAATGACTACTGGGGTGCTGCTGCTGGGGCTGTTCCCCTCTTGAGATGTGGTAGGAGTTTGCAGTTTCAACAGTACATGAAGATGGATTGTGTTTACCTGTACAGTATTTAGAAGAAAACCTTAAGGTGAATTTTAATCACAAGAGGGCCTGGATCAAAGAAACAATCTCCCTTTCTGATCTCCTTCCAAATGAAGCCAGGAGGTTGGAAGCCACATCTGACCCCATTCTGCTTCCCAGCCTCACTCTCTTCCTGGGGTGCAGATGAAAGAGCGTGGGTCTCGGCCGCCTTGTCAGGAGTGATTTTTAACCTTAATGGAATATTATTAAAGAGTGGATTTCAGACTTGAGGAATGTTTTTTGAACTCCTTCTGTGAACAGAGAAATCATAGTAGAAGGGAAAAATTCAAGGCACTTGATGGACTTACGAATGATCTTTTAAATAATGACAAAGTTCTAGTTTTAACATCTTCTGGAGTGCAGACCAGCCATCTGGTTTTGGCTCCCTGTATTTCATCTCTTTAGAAGAAAACAATGGTGCCCTCAGGCCTTCCCTGTTCACCTAATAAAGGAAGATCCTAATGCCTCTCTTGTCTATGTGCTCTGATTCTTCTAGAGAAAGACAGGAATCAAGGTGTGTGTTGAATCGCACTGTGGACCCTAGAGAAGGATTATCTAAATTCAGGCTCCTATGTATGACAGGGAGGAGGACCTCCTGGTTTCTCACCCAGCTCTGCCATTGACATTGACCTGTGTAATCTTGGTCAAAAATCTGACTTCCTTACCTCACTTTCTGTATCACGTAATACTTGCTAAAACCAACACCATCCAAAGAATTGAGTGCCATGCTGGCACAGAGCAGACATCTACACAATGATGTTGACTGAATGAATGCTTGAAATAATCCTATAACTCAGGGCTTCTCAATCTCAGCACTGTTGATGTTTTGGACTGGACAGTTCTTTGTTGTGAGAAGCTGTACTGTGCATTGTAGGATGTTTAGCTACATCTTGGCCTCTATCCATAAGATGCGAGTAGTACCCTGCTCCCATTGTGACAGCCCCAAACGCTGCCAGACATTGACAAATTGGTCCCTCACCTCCACCCTCCATCCCTAGCCAGTGGAGAACTACTGATCAAAATTATAAAATTCTGGGAAAAAAATGACAGGACTTTAAAAAGTTAACAAAGAAGAAGTATTCGGGTAACTTATTTATAATTATTCATTCTTTTAATAGAATCGGACATTAAAAGAAAGTCCAGCAGATGGCTGAATTGAAATGTATCAAGGCTAGCCTTGCAAACAGACACTATCATGTACTTTAAATGATGCTGTATGTGTTGAATGTTCCATAAATATAAGTAATGTACTTTATGCTTCTTGGAATGTGAGTTCTATAGAAATAGTGTTGTAGTAGAGCAGTGCTTTTCTTGAATATGTTGGTGGTTGTCTTTATTTTTTTCTTCAGTGCCATATTGCTGGACTATTGCTGAAAAATCTTAACCTACCTCGTCAGCCCACCTCCGTGACACTTCCCAGAATAAATATCGAGTGTACTATTTTTGATTTTGCAATAAGAGATTCCGGGATGGTGAGCTTTTTCTTTTTCTCACTTTCCATGGGGACATAATTGCCAAAGCCTCACTCACCAGCCATGTGCAAGATATTATATAAAAGAAGTAGGAGAGAATGATAGGAAAAGGCAAGCAGTAGAAGAGAGATTTTATAATTTTATTATTATTTAAATACTAGTGTCTCTTTTGGGGGGCAACAAGTCCTTTTGAGTGGATTTGGTATATTACCACTGTGTACAAAAGTAGAAATAAGGACTGATAGTTAACATTTGTTCTCAAAAGCAGGGTTTCATGGTATGGTGAGGTGGCATTTAGAGACACAACTGTTATTGCACTTACAAATGGGAGCAGATTGCTCCAAGACATCACACACAGGGTACTCCCAGCCAGTATTGTGTTTACTTTCCCCTCCCTCATTCCCTCTAAGCCAATAGCACCTGGTTGTCTGCATTTATGTAAATGCAGGCTCCTGTGTATAACAGGGAAGAGGACCTCCTGGTTTCTCACCCAGCTCTGCCATTGACATTGACCTGTGTAATCTTGGTCAGAAATCTGACCTCCTTACTTCACTTTCTCTATCACATAATATTTGCTAAAACCAACACCATCAAAAGTGGTCATCCACGGGGCTGGACAGAGGACAGGAAAGATGAAAAGAAAACTCACCTTTCCTCCATGTGTATAAGAAAGGACTTTCTGCAATGATGAAAGGCATAACGCATAGCATCAACATTTAGTTTGCAGCAAATTGCATTCTGCACCTTTTTCTAGAGATGAGAAAATGTCTTCCAGATGAGGACCTTGAAGTGTGAGATGGAGGTTGGAAAGGAGATGGGAACCTATGCTAAAAATGCAAGGATGGAGTAACTTCAAGCTCAGGGTTGAGTAGAGTGTATATTATGGGTGCAGTTTTATTCAGGTATCCCATAGCTTAATTTAAAGCACTTGGAAGATGTGAAGACTGGGAGTAGATAAGTCATAAAATGCCAAATGTCAATAGGTGGGTGGATGTGAACTTTGGGAAGACTGCCTTGGAGCTAGACGCTACTCAAATTAGAGCTCCTAAGTGTAGACACTTTACATTTTCTGTGGCTGTGAAGGAGCATTGGGAAATTGCTTGGAGTTGAAGAAACGAGAAGGGTCACATGTATACTGTGGAAGGCAATCATTTATTAGTTCAAAATAAATTCCATGGGTTAAATACTGATTTGAGTTCATAGGAATGTTGACGGAACCTGGGAAGTAATGAGGGGTGGGGTGATTGTGGAGGGGAATGAGTGGGGTCCCCATTGTGAAATGCAAATTGTGTGAAATTCAAAGACCTCTGTGCCAAGTCTAAAGCAATTTCTTTTACTTATGGTACCCGTTGACATTAATCAAGCCAGAACATTTTCCTTTAAACCAAAAAACAATTAGCCCTGACAACTGAAGTAAAATTAGCTTCTTGGGAATGACCTAATTGTTCTTTTGGGAAGGCTGGACACTGGCTTGCCCTTGGCTGTGGTGTCAGCCCTGGCAAACCTGGCAGATCTCACAGACTCTCGTGGGTCCTTTCTTGCCACAGAAAGCACAAAGGACAGAGGGGTTCAGGAGGTCACAGCCCTCCCCAGTCATTTGCAATGCCTGCCATCCGGAGAATTTTGTGAGTAAATGCTACCCAGATTCCTGCGAAAACTCCCATTCACTGTTGGTACATTTGACTGCCTGCCTCTTTGGTGGCTGGAAATTTCTCCCAGCTGCTGGTAGATGGGTGTGTCCACTAACCCTTTCCCCACCTCCATTTTTCTGGCAACTGCTCAAGTTTTCAGGATTGCACTGGTGGTGACAGTGATCAAGATGAGAGCTCCCATTCCACCCTGGTTATTTTTGGCGGCTGTGAGCAATGCAAGACCTCAACTTTTGGCACTATGTGGTTGGGATATTAGGTAACCTTTTTCCTGTGCAAGTACAGACAAAAGAGAGTGTCCTATCTTGGCGTTCGTTCATCGGCCGTTTTTACAGCATTCTGTTTTCCCATTGTTCCTCATAAGAGATGGCTCTGGAGAGGCTGAACATTTATTAAGTATATATTGTTGTTTTTCCCTCCTAGATTGAAAACATAGATGCCTGCTTGAATTTCCTGGCAGCTAAGGGAATAAACATCCAGGGGCTGTCTGCAGAAGGTGAGTCAGAGCGCTTGTCACGAAGCTGCCTCTTCATCATTAGAAATGCCCACCTGTTACTTATGAATGATATTAACACCATTATGACAAGGGATGCTTGTGGGCTCCTCTGGTTTTGTTTTCCTTTATGTTGCTCAGTGGTTGCCTAGACTTGAGGATGCCAAGGACTCACTCCAAGAATGTGGATTCAACCATACCAGCCACCTCTGCAAGACCCTGAGAGGGTAGTGAAGGGGAAGCTGTCCTATTTGAGAAAGACTTGCTTAAACAATGCTGATTTGATTCACCTGTCTAGTAATTCAGTTAATTATCAAGTCAGGCCTCATCTATGGGAGAGAGCATGCTTCACCACAGAGCATATTTCAGCTGTACAGTTCCCGGGGAAAAATGCTTAATCCTTATCTCTTTTATTCGAGGAAGCAGCACTTTTTCTTGCTCTTAAAAAAGCATGTGATTTATTAATGCAATGCTGTATTTTTACATTGTGATTAGTTTTTAATTAAATTTGGTGGCTAATTAGCACATGAGTGTTCACCAGTGTTTTGCTATTAAATTAGTTATTGGTCTGGAGATGGCTGGTTCGAATTCTCAGCCACCTCAGACAACAAGTCAGCCTGAAACTTTCACGCTCTCTCCTGTTTGTAAATACAAGCAGCTGCCAGCTCAGAGCTGCCATAGGCCCAGGCATCCTCCCAAGCTCATTAGGCTGCACCTGCCTCCAGTTTTCCCAGAACAGGTAAAGCAGTTTGGGCTTCAGATGATAGCACCTTTCCCTAGTGAGACTGCTTTTTGAAAGGAGGCCTGTTAGCATGGACTCTGGTGGTCAGAGTGGGGCAGAGAAGAACAATGAGGAAGGAAACAGCCAAATTGAGCAGGTAAGTTTGCAAGCATGATGGATTCCATCTGGGACCTGTTCCTTGCCTTTGCTCTGCTACACGGTGAAAGCTTGGTTTTCCTGGCTGCGTTTCTGAGTGGTAGTCTCTCCTGGTATTGGGGGTGGGTGGTATAAATGACCACTATTAATGCCTCGTGGATGTATTGCGTCTCTGAGTGGGACTGTAGGAATTCCTCAGTTAATAACTCTGATGTGCTGGACCTGTTCCCAGTCAGGCACGGCCACACTGCTTCCAGAGTTCGCAGAAGCAGTTGTCGTGTGGTCAGTCCTAATCCCAGAAGATTCCCCAGCCCTGGGGTACGGACCCTCATCCATGGGGATAAGATCAGGGCTGGCTGACATGTGGAATATGCTTTGCTGGGGGGCGGGGGTTTGCTGGGAGTAGGAAGATGCAAATTCCCATTCAGAGGAGCACATGATTTCCTCCTGGTAGAGAGTTCTTGTGCTGGCTGGTAGGTGGCAGGGCATACTCGTCCTAGTTTCTGGGAGTGCTTGAACTCCTGGGACAGGCCTGTGTCCCCCAGCAGAGCACCAGCAGGGACTTTTACAGAGGTGTGTTTGGCAGCAAGTGGCAGCAGGGCCTCTTGGGTATGCAGACTCTGCAGGCCTGCTTCATCCTGCCTGGCTGGTAGTGACCCCTGGCTACTCAGCCATCTACCCATTGGCCTGACTTCTGCCTCATTTGTTCTCCCCATCTGTCCCATCCTCTCTGTACCCCAAGGCATAGAGAATCTATGCAATAAGTATTTGTTGAAAGAACAAGTACCAATTGTACTTTGCAGGATTTTATCTGTATTGGCTTCAGTTCTCACAACTAAAGTTGGAGTTTATAACAGCCTCAGTTTATAGATGAAGAAACTTTGGTTTAAAGAGGTTATGAGCGGCATCCCTGAAGCATGTAGCTAGAGAGTGGCAGAGCCAGGATTTACACCCAGTTCTGTGTGATTTCAGAGCTCATGATTATGGCGTCTTCTGGGATAGAGGTGGATAAAATCTAGGTATGCCATATAAAGGTAAAAGAAATGAGGTTTAAACTCTTTGTCACCTGGAGCATTGCTTCAGAAGATGTTATAGCCCATGGAGGCACATCATGCAGAAAGACACTCAGCTGTCTGCCCCTTTTTGACATTGAGATGACCCTTGGAGGCTCTGAGCATGGAAGAGCATACCATAGCCAGTGTGCTGTGGTATCAAGCCATTGTGGTACAACCATGAAGGAGTTTTGTGGTATTTCAATAACTGCCTTAACTGTGCTATGTTGAACCCCCATCCTTCCTGCTGGGTCAAGACTCACTTAATGATATTTTGGCCAGGATATATAACTCTGTAGTCATCTTCAAGTTGTTACAATTACTTGATGCCCATATTTATGACTCAGTGACGGTCATTTTTAAACTTCAATCTCAGACTCTACTCAAAGCTCTTTACCCTCATTCCTTCCAGTGTAAATGGCTTTAGGAGTTTGAAGAGAGATGGGGGCATGCCGGCGTGACTTTCTCTCCTTTCCCCTTCCCATGTTCTTGTGCCAGAGCCCCCAGGATTGAGGCAGCACAGAGGAAGCAGAGTTCTGCTGCTGGGGAAGGTGCTGTCCTCAGTATACATCACTGCCACTGTCTCAGCTGGTAGTCTCAGCAGGCCCTGCTGACCAGGACTTACTCCCATGTAGCTCCCGGGGCACTAGTGGTCTTCTGTGAGACTTGGCCAGATCTTTCACCTCAGTCTTATGATCCCTCCGGTACCTACCATAGGACTAGCAGGAACGTGTGGGCTCCATTTTCCACTTGCAGTGGGTGGAACTGCAAGGCCTCCTGTCACCTGGCAGCGGTCCCCCACCAGACAGTCTCTCTCCGGTTCTTTTCCTCATTCAGGTGGCCAAGAGGCAGATCAGCCGGGTCTCTGCTAAGCGGATGTCCAATTTGGGACTGGAATGCCAGGCCCTCCTTCTTGCCAGCACCCCCACTTTGAGCGATTCTTAGAGCTACCACTCCCTTGACTTCAAGGGGCCCAAGGACTCTGCTGCCTTGCCTCCTTGGTGAGGGGAGGAAAATATCCTTTCTCCATGATCATCAAACATTGTCTCCCCAAAATGACATTCTGTCATCTAGATCTTCTTATATTTTTTGGAGGTTGGGGAGTGATGAAGATATGAGTGTTAAAAATGTGAACTGCTGCATTCCTTTGGGAAAGTGGCCCCAACGTCTGCCACATTCTCAAACTTACAAAAAGCAAGGGTACTTACAGCCTTTAATCCTCAAATTTGGCCTTATTCATAATTTCAGGGTACAGGCAATATCTCACTTGACATCATGTTACATTACAGGGATAGATTTATTGAGAACTTACCACATGTCAGTCACTGAGCTAAGTGCTGTGCATATTTATATCTTATTTAGTACCCCCAGCAACCTTATGGGGTCAGTATTAGTATTATCCCCCTCATGCAGATGAGCAAACCAAGGCCCAAAGAGATTAAGCTACACATTATAAAAAGGAGGCCCACAAGATCAGCAGTGGCTAAACTACCCACATCTGCTGATTCAAAGGCCTGGTGTGTGCTACTGCACATTACTGCCTATGTTTCTATCCACCTGCATAACTACTAGCAAAGCAGTGTGGTGTATTAAAAAGTAATGCAGATTTAATGCTTTTTGTTCTCCTTTTGAAGATGACTGAGTGCCCTGAGGCTCCTTCTCTGATGAAGAAAACATCAGCAGTTGGAAGGCCCCATAGATACATCTCCACCCTTTCCCAGTCTAAAGCTGGGTTTGCACTCAGGAGGGTGTATGCACCTGTCCTCAAAGCATTTCAGCAGCTCAGGCCTGCCCCGACCCGCCTGCTGGAGAGCCACAGGGAGCCTTTGTTCTAGGGCACAGACGGCGGATGCTTGGGGGCAGAGGCTGCAGGCCTGAGTGAGCCCCATGGAGGTGCTGCTGGTTTGGGGAACTTCCCTGGACTAGGCCTCCCTGCCCTGTCAGTTTTCCTGAAGATTGAACCCATCTATTTGCTCTTGGAGATGTGCCAGAGTCCTGTGAGCTTGGGCCTCCCTTTGCCCTGGGGTGGTGTTCAAGATCCCCCACCAACCCTTCCCCAGAACACACCACCTGTCACAGCCATCTGTAAAACTGCCCCTGTGAGGAAGGATGGCCTTTATTTCTGGCCATTTTGAGAACACCTGGGGTTTGTGCTATCTGGCCCTGAGCCCATCCTCCTGCAATGGAGAAATGGAGGTTGGGGAGTAAGGCATATTCTATCTAGTTCAGCAAATGTTTCCTGGGCACATCCTGTATGCCAGGCCCAGTGCTAGGCACTAGGGTACACCAGTGATCAAGCCAGTCATATTAAACTAACCTTGATTCCAGTTAATAAGACAGAGCTGTGTTAGTGGTAAGCACAGGATCCGGTGGTGACCAAAGACAGGCAAATCAACTTTTGCTGGGGCTCTCAGTGGGGCTACACAGAAGTGGGACATTTCCCCCCAGATTTCATGGGATGAATAGACATTTGCCAGACAGAAAAGGAAGGTGAAAGGAAATCTAGACAGAAGATCAGGCATAGGTAATATTAATATGATGGGGGGAAACCTTGCAGACATTGGATAAACAAAAGTAGGAACATCCTTCCAGGTGGAAGGAGTGTATGCTTTGAAGTGAAACCACTTGCTGATTTGATTAGCTTAGTCCTGGGTTTGCTGCCCTGATGGCCAGAGAGATCTAGGTACTGAGTTTTCTCCTCCTTTCATCCCAAGCTAGAAAGCAGGAGGTCTTTCTGGACCCGTACGGTGAAAGCAGCAGGTGGAACATTTCCATTTCCTCCTACCTATATTACCTGAGTATGGCATTGACTGAGACCTTCAGTTTCTGTTTCTTAGCAGAAGGGTCCCCATAGGCTCTGCTCCCATCCTCTCATCCCACTTCTCCTGTGGGTAGAGTGATTGGCAGACTTGGAGAGCAGCAAGAACACAGAGGGCTGTTGAGTGGAGGGGCAAGTTAAGTGGTGAATGCTGATTATGCAGCCGGCCCAACTGCAGGGACAATGCTGCAGAATCCACAGTCCTTAATCAGCTGGGTAAACCTCACACAACCATGGCTCAAAGGAATTGAATAGGAGTTCTGCAGCTCTGTGGTTTGCACAGCCCTCCCTTTGGCTTTGAATCCCTTATACCCTACAAAGCAGGTTTCTTTGTATTAGATTATTTCAGCACTTGTGCCATGTAAACCAAGCCTGAAGTTTCTCTTTAAAAATGTTGAAAGAAAATAACTCCTATTTATCTTACTCTTCATGCCTGACATTACCCACAGCATCTATGCAGATTAGGACCAGCCAGTGGGAAGAAAGCGATTAGTCAGAACCCAAAGAAAGTGGAGTCAAGGCAATACTAATTCAAATAGAAATTGGAATATGAGAATATGGCCCATGCAATTTGCTTTTCTGTTGCCACAAGAGTGGCCACAGGAAGAGAAAGAACAGGGCTCCAGGTTGGGTTTAGCCACAACTGGCTAGTGTCTCCTCAGGCAAGTCAGTTCTCTCTACATCTACATGTTTTTCCTTCTCTAGAACTCCAGAAAGTGAGGTTAATCAGATACAAAATAGTAACTCCTTTTCCAAAGCCTTGGGGAATGTCATGAGGGAAACATTCTTGTGGGGCTTTGGGGTTTTTTTTAGGCTTCCTGTGGAGCTGGCTTACCAAGCCTCATGGAACACAGACAAATACCATTTGGAAATATGGAAAGAATATAATTCTAGCTATTTTAGATACTGTCTGCTATAGACCACCCATGGTAGAAACTGTGTGGCTGTCAGCACATTCAGCACTCTTGAGTTTTTGTAATCTGAAAAGAAAATTAAACAGTTATAATGTCCATCAATTGGTGAATGGATAAACAAAATATGGTGTATCTATATGATGGGAATGTAAAAACTGACAAATGCTCTAACATCGATGAACCTTAAAACAGTATGTTAAGTAAAAGAAGCCAGTTGCAGACTGGGCACAATGGCTCACGCCTTTAATCCCAGCACTTTGGGAGGCCGAGGTGGGTGGATCACCTGAGGTCGAGAGTTCAAGACCAGCCTGGCCAATGTGGTGAAATCCCATCTCTACTGAAAACAACAAAATTAGCCGGGCGTGGTGGCATGCACCTATAATCCCAGCTACTCAGGAGGCTGACTCAGGAGAATCACTTGAATCCAGGAGGCAGAGGTTGCAGTGAGCTGGGATTGTGCCACTGCACTCCAGCCTGGATGACAAAGTGAGACTCTGTCTCAAAACGAACAAAACTAGATGCAAAAATCTATATACAGATGCTCCTCAACTTACTGTAGGGTTATGTCCTGATAAACCCACCATAAGTTGAAAATAAATGCATTTAATACATCTAACCTACTGAACATCATAGCTCAGCCTAACCTACCTTAAATGTGCTCAGAACACTTACATTAGCCTATAGTTGGGCAAAATCATCCAACACACAGCCTGTGTTATAATAAGGTGTTGAATATTATATGTAATTTATTGAATACCATACCAAAAGTGAAAAACAGAATGGCTGTATGGGTACTTGAAGTACAGTTTCTACTGAATGCCTATTGCTTGCACACCATAGTGAAGGTGAAAAATTGTAAGTAAAACCATCACAAGTTGGGGACCATCTGTATTGCATGATTCTATTTATGCGAAATATCCAGAAAAGGCAAATCTGTAGAAACAGAAAGCAGATTAGTGGTTGCCTGGGAGTGGGTTTGGGGATTGATTGTAAATGAGCACAAGGAATCTTTTTAGGATGATAGAAATATTTTAAATCTAGAATTTGCTAAATTTACTAAATATCATTAGATTGTATACTTAATTTTATGAAATTATAACTCAGTAAAACTGTTTTTAAAACCAGAAAGATTACCATTGAGTTTTCTCTAATGTTAGATCATTCGTGGTTTTCCTTTCTGGACACCAGCGACTGTGGCACACAGGGGATGAGCAGAGAGAATGGACCACTTCTTAGGCTTCCTTTGGGTGAAGAGCTCTGTGGTGGGTTCTGAGGAGGCTGCAGGTAGAATGGCCACATTTTCTCAGCCAAAAAAGGGAAGTACAGAGTCGGGAAGTATCCTAGGTGCACTCAGTTTCTTATGTATTTATTTATTTATTATTTATTTAGAGATGGAGTCTTGCTCTGTTGACCAGGCTGGAGTGCAGTGTCGTGATCTCGGCTCACTGCAACCTCCATCTCCCGGGTTCAAGCGATTCTCCTGCCTCAGCCTCCCAAGTAGGTGGGACTACAGGCACGTGCCACCACATCTGGCTAATTTTTTTGTATTTTTAGTAGAGACGGTGTTTCACCATGTGAGCCAGGCTGGTTTCAATCTCTTGACCTTGTGATCTGCCTGCCTCGGCCTCCCAAAGTGCTGGGATTACAGGAGTTTACCACCATGCCCGGCCTCATTTTCTCATTTAATCTTCAATTAACTTTCATAACAATCCTACAGGAAAGGTACAGTAGGACATATGCCCATTTTAAAGAAGAAAACTGAGGCTCAGAGAGATTGAATCCTGTAAAATCTCAAAGTGTATAAACGATGGACTGTAGAGATTTAACCACAAGATTTTCTGGCTCCAAAAAATGAGAGCTGTTTGTTATAAAAATGCTGCCTCCTAAGAGGAAATATATTTATTGGAGGAGCACTGTAGTCTCTGACAAATGAAAAAAATGGTTTAGGGAACAATGGCCATTCTGATCAATAAATGACTAAATGACAATGGTAGGTAGAGAATACAACAGGACTGATGCTGTTTGCACTGGGATTGGGCTGGTAGGTTATGGAGGGAGCTGATGTGAACGTGCCTACTTTTTACAGTGGATGACCCCTGATCCTCCAGGTATGCTGAATTGTTAGTTCCTCTCCTGTTTTTTCTTGCATGGTTAAAAAAAAAAATGCATCACAGAATATTTGACATCCCAGAAAAATAAAGAATACTCAAATGCCTACCAGCTAGGATTTTACTTATTTATTTATTTATTTTATAAAATAAACATTAAATATATTTATATATATTTATATATTTATTTATCAATAAAAAATATTTATTTATTTAAATAAAGAATACTCAAATGCCTACCAGCTAGCATTTATTTTATTTATTAAAATAAAACATGATGGCTATACAAGTAAGTCAAGTTACACAGTGTTAGGAAACTGGACCCTGAGTCGGAAAACCTAGATTCAAATCCCAGCTCCAGTGTTTATGACCTTGGACAAGTCATAAAACCTTTCTGAGCTTCTGTTTCCCCTTATGTGAAAGAGGGATAATCCTACTCACTTCCCATATTGTAAGGATTAAATGAGATCATGCATATAAAGAGCTTAGCCTGATACACACTGGTTAATAATAGCTCTTATTGTTATAAACTATATGACTTGATAACTGTAAAAGGCACTAAAAGTAAATCTTACATAGATTTCATCTATCCCCATAATTAGCAGTACTTTCTCCCTCCAGTGAATTCAGTTTTGAGGGGAAATTGTTTTCTTAACTTTAATAGACACTAACTAGCATGTCAGACCTTGCTTGGCTTATCTTCATTCTTTTTTTTTTTTTTTTTTTTGAGACAGAGTCTTGCTCTGTTGCCCAGGCTGGAGTGCAGTGGCGTGATCTTGGCTCACTGCAAGCTCCGCCTCCCGGGTTCATGCCATTCTCCTGCCTCAGCCTCCTGAGTAGCTGGGACCACACGCGCCCGCCACCACGCCCGGCTAATTTTTTGTGTTTTTAGTAGAGATGGGGTTTCACCGTGTTAGCCAGGATGGTCTCAATCTCCTGACCTCGTGATCCACCCACCTCGGCCTCCCAAAGTGCTGGGATTACAGGCGTGAGCCACCGTGCCTGGCCGGCTTATCTTGATTCTGTCCCTAGCTCTTGTCACTGCCCAGTTGGGTGACTATAGATATGTCACTTCACCTTGTGGGCCTTTGTTTTCCCATAAGTAAAGTGAGTAGCCAGCTGAATTATTTCATCCAAGCCTCACACTCTGTGATTCTCATGTACCACTGAGAACATTTGGAAGCAGAAGTGGAACATGCTACAGGTGTGTGGCTCTCATTTGGTTTCCTTAGTGTGGGGAAGGAAGCATGGCTGAAGGATTAAAGCTGAATTACCAAAAGAGACTGAGGGGCTGGCCCACCCCTTGGACATTTCTCTGCTTCACACATCACACAGAGTGGTTTATAAGCAGTGACTTTGCATCCTGACTTGTCCACATCAGTCCTGGCTATCAACTGTGGTCCTGGTATAATTAAGAGCTCCCCACTCCCTGGCTTTCATTCTCAGAAGCGTCATAGTTAGCACAATAGGTTAAAAGGTCACCATAGTAAAAACTGTCATTTTTAAGGTATGAAGCTGGAGCTGTATGAGAATCTCATTCAGGATTCTGGGGCTATAGTCATATAATAACCAAGATGAATGAAGGACTTCACTGTTTAAAGTGTGCTTTTGCCTAAGTGCTCCCATTAGTTCTGCAAAACAACCTTGTGCAGTGGGGCAAAGCGGTGTCCGTATTGCCCTTTTACTGAGGCCCGGAGAGATTAAGTGACTTGCCTGGGGTTGCACAACTAAGAAGTGGTAAGAATACAGATTGGAACTCACGGCTTAGGTTTTCCAAATGCTATGCTCCTGTCTACTTTGTCCTGTGATCAGAATCTGCTAGCTCCCAAAGTAGGGTGTGAAGGCTGGATTCTAGAAGTTCGTATTGTCAGTTTCTTCAGAGCCTGGAGAAAGGGATGCTCCAAGGGAAATAATTCAGCCTGACCTAATCAGCAAATCACACTGGGGGGAAGGCACTGGCAGGGCGCACTTCCTCCTCTGCGTGGAAAGGAGCTTGCTTCTGAAAGGACTCCATTCATACTTTCTGCCCCCCAACTAAGCCTTGGAGGAAACTCTTGTTCCTTCACTAGCAGCCTCTTTCCCAGCCCGGGGCTAACCTGTAAGTGTGCATTACCTACCCCTCTAACAAGGCCTTTGAAGCTTTCTTGCTTCACGTCTGCCTTTTCCCCCTTGCCAGTTAAGAAAAACCCATCCTAGGATGACAGGAAAGCAGAGAGTGTTGAGTAAGTTTGCCCCCAAGGTTCCCTTTCCTCTGTCCCTCACGCTCAGTAGCCCCAGAACTTCACTCTCAGGATCTGCTCAGACTCTGGCCATCTGCATCTAGCGTTAACTGCATAGAAAGGAGGGATCTCCCAAGGAGAAGCCCCTCGTGAGCCATAGCCTTTGCCTGTGAATAAATATTTTATTCTCCTCTGCAACTCTTTATGCATACTTTGAGGCAAATGCATTTTAACATTGAAAAATACTGTCTGGAATAAAAACAAAAATTTGTTCCCACTCTGTTCTAATTTCTTTTAATGTAGGGAATATTTTGTATGAGTCCATTATGGAAGCAAGTCCTTCTAGCCTACCCTATACCCACCCCAAATTAGAGTTATCTGTTCAGCAGATGGGGGACACAGAGCCACGTATTTGAGAGTAGGACGACTGGGGAAAGCAGAGCGCAGATCATGGAGTGGGACAGCAGCCACTTGGCACACTCACTGTGGCTTGAAGCTTAGAACATGGACTTGGCAGAAGCCAAGTGCACTGTGAAGACCCATGAGCTTCCCCCAGTGCCAGAGTTCCTCCATCCCCTGCCTGTAGAACAAGCACGGTCTTGCTCGAGACGCTTGCTTTTTCATTGGTGTCCTTACTGAGAATTTCCTCTTGGCACCTACCAGACATCCAGTTGCACTTGCCTCCTGTATCCACTCCAATCCTAATGGCGAGAATAAGCTAATTTCTTTGTGGTATAGGCCTGATTTTAATTGCCTGTGATACCAATGAAGTGTTCAGGAAGCCTGTCATATCCTAAAGAAATCAAACTCACGTGCCGACTGAAACAGCCCATTGAACAGGAAGAAGAGCTCCCCATCTGACAAGAGTCTCTTTATTGTCTTGCAGAGATCAGGAATGGAAACCTCAAGGCCATTCTAGGCCTCTTCTTCAGCCTCTCCCGATACAAGCAGCAGCAGCAGCAGCCCCAGAAGCAGCACCTCTCCTCACCTCTGCCGCCCGCCGTATCCCAGGTGGCCGGGGCCCCCTCCCAGTGCCAGGCTGGCACCCCTCAGCAGCAGGTGCCAGTCACTCCCCAAGCCCCGTGCCAGCCTCACCAGCCAGCGCCACATCAGCAGTCAAAAGCACAAGCTGAAATGCAGTCCAGGTGGGGGCTCCTTGCCAACTGATGGTTCTGTTTTTCAGGCACCTTCCTCCACCCCAACCAATCTCTAGGCTATCCTGTATGGCTTTTTCATTTGTGCTTCTTCAATGCTGAGAGCTACTGGTGGTTAGTGGGAAATTAGCATGGCCTTGAAATGCATGCAGTGAGGAGCCCTTCTTGTGTCTGGCAGAGATGTATACTTTTATAGGTCAGAATTGCCAGCAGCCAAAGCTAATTACCTGCTCCTGCTATTACTCCGGCCTATTACACACATGCTCGTAGACAATAAACAGCCCCTAAAATAGACTTCAAACACCTTTTGTGTGTCTCCCTACAAGCTGAATGTTCACTGTTATAAATGAGAGTAGTTTTACTTAGTGGAGGTAAAAGTTCTATTCCTGTGGATGCCTCTGCTTTGCCAGAACAGAAATATAGAGGGCACCAAAGAAAGGTGGCAAGGGAAGGAGGCAGCCATCCCTGAGCGGGGCAGTATCGCCTAACGGGAGCAGTTACCATTAAATGTGACTGTGTTGTGTTGAACTGAGATGGGGAGAGTCCCACAATGCAGGAGTAATCTGCAGGGTTGGGGTCTGGATTTTGTTCCCAGGGGGACTGACGTTTGCCAGTCATACTCACCAGGTACAAGCCAATTGCCACTGTAGTTACCCTCTACTGTGCTACAGTGGAAATAACATCACCCTGTAAAACTTTTGTCTTAATGGTAGAAAAAAAAGGAAGACTTTAGGAACTAGAGTTTTTGACTTGAGGTCAAGTTCTACAGAAAAGTTCATACTGTTTTCTTTTAAGCCACAAGACTTCAGCTATAAACCCTAAATGTCACTGATCAGATTGATTGCTTGATTTCATCCAATATGTGCTGAAGAGTAATGGCCTTTTCTTTTCATTCCCCCAAAGCACCAGCATTAATAATCATAAGGCTTCTCACACACCTTGATATACCTTTTATTACCCATTTAGTTGGACAGAGCACAAAGCCGCTCAAACACAGCTGCTGCCTTTTAGACAGTTACAGCCTTCTTTTTTCCCCATGAGAAGTGCTATTTCCCAGTTGTGATGATGTTAAAACCAGCACTGATGGGTGTAATGCAAATCAGGTCCCATAATTAATTATCTATTTATATCCAGTTTGCATTGTGGGAATTTGTGGGGTGGGAGAGATGCCTGGACTAGCAATGAGGAACAGACAGCCTTATCAGCCATTTGCCAAACCCTTTCCCTGGAGAACTGCCTGAGTGGGAGTCACTCCCAGTCAGAGCTTCCCTGATGGACATGGGTTATTTAAATGATCAGGGTGTCATTTCCCAGACTGCATTCTGCTGAGTGCTCATTCCCTGGGATGTTAACTTGGGTCATATTGCAGTTCTGTGGGGGGAAAATATTGGGAGATAATTTGGGTTAAATTGCTATATGGCTCTCATTGTAGGTCTACTGAGATCCTTGAACCTGCCAATATGCATTTGTTTATTTAATTGGTATTAAGCCTCCCACATGCCAGACACTGTTCTAGGCACTTGGGAGTCAAGAATGAATGAGATTGCCGAGGTGCCTGCTCTCCTATGCTCCTAGAGGAGGCAGGCAAACAAGCACATGAACAGGAAAGGGAGCTATCAGATAGTGGTGAGTATTATAATAAGATGATGGGATTCAGAGGGGCTGGGTTGCTAATTTAGGTTTGGTTGATAGAAAGGTCTCTCTCAGGACATGAAGGGTAAGCTTGGTGTGTTGGAAGAGCATAAACAAGGTTATTATAGCTTAGTAGGGGAGGAGAGGGATCAGTGATAAGGTAGTTTGGAAGGAGAGAGGGCTGCTACCATTTATGTGGATGACAGTGTGACCTGTGGTCCCTGGAGTTGCACATTGCTGTGGCACTCAGGCCCCGTCATAGAGTACCAGTTAAACTGGATAGGGTTTGGACTCCATTCTAAGGGTGACAGGAAGCCATGGGAAAGTCTTAAAGTAGTAGAAAGACTGGATCTGATTGGCAGGTCAAAAAATCCACCTTTGCTTCTCTTTGGAGAATGAGATTGTGGAGGAGCAAGAATGGAAGGAAGGACCTCAGTTGAGAGGACTTTGCAATCCTACAGATGAGTTGGGCCAAGGTAATAGAAGCAAAAATGGAGATGGACTAATTCTGAATCCTTAGGGGGTTGAGCCAAGAGGCCTGCAAACAGATTAACTCTCGGGAATAATGGAAAGAGAGGAATCACAGATAAAGCCTAGATTCCTGGTTTGAACAGTTAAGTAAGTGGTGGTATTATTCTTTGAGATGAGGAAGCCCAGGAGAGCAGGTATGCATTATGAATGTTCAGACAGGTGGTGACACAGAAAGGAGCATTCTACAAACTTGGCCACGTCACTCTTCTTATTTTATAGAGCATCTCACTGCATAGGGTTCCAAGGAACATGCATTGAGAAATAGTGGCTTGTGTCACTGAGCTTTGCTAACCTGAGGCATCCATTTCCATGGTAGGCGTTTGTTTTCTTAAAATAACCAGATATTCCAGTCAGAGCACCCATCTCCCAGTAAGCCAAAACATCCTACTACTAACGAGTGCTTTACCTAAAGAAGAGCCAAACTTACTTGAGTCAGGTTTTTACATTCATTTATTCCAGCTACAAAGTGTCCTGCCATCATGGCCCCCTGACCCTACAGTGGTGACATAGACCGGGCTTTGGAGTTGCTGTATGTCCTCATCCCTTCATCTTGCCCAGGTTGGGTTACTTCTGCAGAAGACTGGTTTTATTCACTATATCCTGATACTTTCTAATTGTATTTCCAAAGGATAATCTTGTTCTCAAGGTCTAGGGATATGCTATCCCATGCTAACACTCTGGCTATAAATTTAAGAATGATAAAATTACATCAGTGGCTCGGTCTCCAAATTCTATCTTTGATAACCAAAATTCCAAGGGCAGTGGTTTGGACGCTTGATTATTAATGTCAAATGTTGATGCAAACCCCCCACATGCCAGGTTTGTTTTGTTTTTCTGTTAGAACTCTGCCTAAAAACTATTTTGAAGCTATCTAGGTTCAGCACCCCTGGGGGGTAGCAAATACTAAAGCTTGGACAACATTCCATGAAGTTTGCTGGTAAAGGAGCTATGGAAGTTGGCAAAGAAAATCTGAGATTTTTTTTTGCTCCACTGGCATGAAGGAATCAGAGCAAATCTTCCATGACAGCTTCATAGAGGCTCACTTTGCTTCTTCCCCTTAGCTCATCTCATAACTGACATGGTGGCCAAGAACTTAATCCACATTTCACCCTGTGAAATTCCCCACTGGTCTAGAGTCCAGGAGAGGAGCATAGTCTCCAGGACTTGCTTTTTTTCCTCCATCTGTGTCTACACAGATAATCAGTATTCAGTTGTTAAAGAATAATCCAGAAAATGACTTTATATTTTTCTCTATTCTCCTCTGTCTCTTCACTGCCTAAGACTAGTAAAACCAATAAATTATTTCTTACCTCAGATCCTTTCATGAACATGGTACAGGATGTATGGATGCAAGAAAGATAAATATTTCTATCTTTCAGAAAGCAGTAAATAAGTTTAACTTTTTCTTTTATTAAGCCTAACTAAAATTCTTTATATGTACCAATTTATAGTACAAGAAAAACAGAATTTAGTGAGTTTAACAAGCATTAAATGGTCATTTCTATAGCATTAAAAGCAAAAATCCCCAAGGCCAGCAACATCTGGGTATAGGTTTGCAAACATCTTGTTTTGGGTCACCTTTATGGGATACTGAGGACATTCATCTGAAAAGCACCCCAGTAGAACAAGCATGTGAAATAGAAACATCTCAATACTTTAGAAAGGCATAAAGTTTGTTTACTTGTGAGGGACCCCATATTTTGAGAATAAGGCCTTAAGGCAAGAAAGACATTTGATGTTTAAAGAAACACACACATGAATACATACACACAAGCATTCTTAGATAATCTTAAAAGCAGTTTCTTCACATTGGAAATCTATCAAATCAGTAAACTGAGACCTAGAAAGAAAGCTGTGTGTCATAGAAAACAGTGGGCAGGGGGGGAAAGAAACAGCAACATCCCCATTGTCAGAAGACTCTTAGGATTTGTGTGTCTAATGTATCTTCTCTCTCCTCATTCAGCTCTTCCACTTTTTTCTTTCCTATCATGCAGTGCATCATCCAAGGACTCATCTCAAAGCAAAATCATCCGCTTCACTCTGGGTCAGAAAAAGATCTCTAGGTTAGACTTTCTCTGTGTCCTGCAAAGCATGGTTTAATCCCAACCCACTGTTCCATTGTTCCCTCTGTTCTGGCTGAGTTTGCCTTTGGTCCTCTCCTCGTTTCATGTTTGCAGTTCGAGAAAACTAAATGTGCTTTGGCTAATGGTCCCATGGTGCAGAGCTTTGAAAGTGGCCATGGGATTGTTGCAAGTGTGTGTGGGGGAAGTGACAGAGTGCAAGTGAGATTGAGGTGTACATGACGTTTCGCATTTTCTTGACTTTTGGCTTTGACTGCTTTGTCATCAGACTCCATTCTGATTTAGGTAAAGGTGAGTTTCTACATAGTTTTTATAGTGGTTTTATGATGAGTTTGCTTCCTGCTTCGTCCTGGCCCTAATCCCACCTCACCTGCATCTCATTTATGTGTCTTGTGCTTTGTGTTGTTGTTGTTGTTGTTGTTGTTAAAATTACTAATGTGGGTTTGGTTTTCCCTTGAGTTATAAAGACTTGAGCATGAATCCATATTGGGCAGAGGAGACAAAACAGCAAGGCAGCTATGTCTCGTCTTTGTTTCTGGATGCTCTTAGGTGCCATGGAGACCGCCTCAGTTCCCTGAAAATAAAAAACAGGCTTGCTCACAAGCTAGTTCTCTTAATTCAGACTTCAACCTGTCTGCTGCCTCCTATGAGGACCCATCCTATGGTATGGGAAAAGCCAGTTATATCACGTTGCATCATTGCTTCTACTGTTATTTTCAAGGTATCAACAGCTAACATTTATTGAACGCACCAGTTCAAATGTGTCATCTTATATCATCCTCATGCCAGGCTTCATGAGGTAGGTCATATTATTGTCTCCATTTCACAGATGAGGAAACTAAAATTTAGGAAGTTACATCATTGTGCCCAAGGCCACACACATAAAAAATGGACGAACCAGGATTTGAACACAGGTGGTCTAACTCAGAACCTTCACTATAACCACAGTGCTACACTCTCTTCCCTCTCCTTCAATTCTGGTATCTCTGTGGTTGTTGAGGCTGCTTTTTAAAATCTTACGTTTCAACCACTACTCTTGGCTTTTTCTCTCACACTGCCCTTGTGGCATCCTAACAGAAATTGCTGCTGGGGTAGAATCTCCTTATTATGACTGGTATTTATTTTTCATTGAATTCTTATTGAATTCTTATTCTTATATTTCATTGAATTCCATATTCTTATTGAGTATTGAGTCACCCTATTCTTGGTTCACAGTATGAATTTACTCTTGTTTAAATTAATGAAGTATTAAACAAATTTGCAAGTGCATCATTTTAGTATACATATCTATAGGGTTAGGAGGATATTTTATTTGCTTTTTGGCTTTGTATAATTCTTACCTAAATGATTGCAGAGATATCCAAGTGAAGTGTACTTCTACAATTTCAATACATATTCTTATTGAGTATGGAAAGGGAAATCCATACTCATGTCTGTCTTCATTTATCACAAATACATACAAAATAACTGCTCACTTGCTACCCCAGTGTGTTAGCCTCTAGGTGCCTTTCCTAGCCAGAGTTTACTTTTCTTTTTTTAGACAGGGTCTTGCTCACTCTGTTACCCAGGCTGGAGTGCAGATGCACTTTGAAAATGTTCATCTCAGACTCTTGTGTATTGATTTTTGTCCAGTTCTGATACTTTAACCTAGACTCATGGCGCTATCATGGCGCTATCATGGCTCCCTGAGGCCTTGATTTCCTGGGCTCAAGCAATCCTCCCACATAGCTAGGACTACAGGCACATGCCTCCATACCCAGCTAATTTTTTTTTTTTTTTTAAAGGTGGGGTCTCTCAATGTTACCTAGGCTGGTCTCCAACTCCTGGGCTCAAGCAATCCTCCCGCCTTGGCCTCCCAGGGCGCTGGGATTACAGGTGTGAGCCACTGAGCTGCCGAACCTAGAGTTTGGTTTTCTGAAGTGCTTACACTTGGGGAGACCCAGGTCAGGCTCTGCCTGGCTGGCGAGGGGAGAAACCGTATGGCAGTGTGCTTCTCCATAGAGCAAGTCCACACGTTACCCAGACTCGGTGGAGGAGGACAATAGGGAACCCAAGTTTGTCACCGCTTCTGGTAGCCATGCAGAAAGTGGCTGCTTTCCCTAACAACACCAGGCCCAAGTCAGAGTGGAAACCCACTGCTCTGGCAAACTGGTCCCTTCTCAGTTAGGTTGAATGTCACACAAATGCACATACATAGGAAAGGAAAGGGGAGGGATGAGCTGGGAGGAAACCTGAAATTTAGTGCCTGTTCCCACGATGTGCTCAGTCCTGCAAGATAAAGAAAACAGGACCTAGCTGGGGAAATATCTAATTGGAAGCACATGCCCATCCCGTGAATGATTTGTTATCAGTCCCAGATGATGGAAGAAGGCAGGGGGAAGAGAGGAAGCACTGGAAGATGAGGGCGTGTCAACCCTGTCCTGAGGCTGGGCTGGGCACAGTGCTTCTGGGTTTACCCTAAGCCAAGATCTGGCTTTCCCTTAGTGTCATATCCCCTACTTAGAGTTTCTTTGAGATACGCTTTTGTCTCTGCTGAGGCCAATGAAGGGATGCTTCTTTGTTTCAAATGAAGCCTTTGAAGGCTCTTCCTTGCCTTCTCTACACCCCCCTTTCCCCACCCCCAGCCTTGAGCAGGATCCTGTGAAGAATTTTAGCTGATCAAGCACCACTAAGCACAGCAGTAAAGTTTGGTTGCCAAAAGAAGCAGTCCTACCCCTTCTGGCAGAGTAGGCCACCTCCCCTGGAGCTCTGGAAATAGGTCTCCTGTTGGAGACCAAGCATTGGTGGAACACCTGCCAGAACCCAACACTTTGATGGGCACCAGGGGTATTGAGAAGAATGGGAAGCCTCACCCTTGAATCTGGATGTGGGGAGGGGCGTATGGAGGGAATTGATATAAGGGTGAAAGCTCTCCATGGACTTCTGCCTTTGACCACTCTTATTGCCTCCCGGCCTCCCTGGTGAGCCCAGGGAGGCTTATTTTACCTGCAGGAAGCAGAGAAGCATAGTGGATATGAGGTGCAGTTAAACCTAAGCGAAGGCCCATCCTTACCACTTACTGATGGTGTTACCTGGGCAAATGATTTGATCTCTATGAGCCTGGGTTTCCTTATTGGTCAAATGGGGTAGTCTTGCCTTGCTCACAGCATTGTGAGGCTTAAAAAAGTCATTTAATGAATAATTATAAATATAAATTAATAAAGTCTTTCCTTAGTCCTGACATATAATCAGTTCAGATATGGCAGTGTTGGTATTTTGGGTTCATCTGGGTCAGGTAAGGCAACCAGGCTGCCTCTAGAAAGTCCCACAGAATTGATCTGTATGCAACTATCTTGTGGAAAAGAGGCAGTGGGGTTAGTAGTTTGGTCCTCTCTGCCCAGCTGCTGGGCTGAAAAGCAGATGCCATGGAAATGAGAGATTTAGTATGTAATCATCTCGCCTGGCAAAAAGCATCTCTGATTATGACCGCCCCCCGCCAAACCCCAGCATGTGCACACAAGCTGCCATGCTTCCTGGGAGGGGGCATCCTCTGCTCCCAGCCTCTGAAGTGGTTTTGGGGGAAAGAACTGTTTTTTTTTTTTGCCATCAGCACGTACATCGCGTGGAACAGAGGAGCCGGGATGCACTCGTAGGTTATGTGCTGGGAATGACAGTTTTACTGCTCTGCTTAATTGGCTCTGCACACGTTGGAGAAATTGACCATGGCTCTAACAGCAGCAGGATTGTTCCCCCACCGCTTACACCACTTCCCTTAAGCTTAATATTTTAAAAACTCAACATGTATATGTTTCAAAGGACCCGTCTGTGTTCTCTGTTATTTGTAATTGTGTTTGGACATACAGTGATTATGAGAGGTCAAGTTCCTCTTGGGAAGGAGCTATTGGGACTTTCTGGTGCTGTAAGGGATGCAGGGTTGACCTGCCACGCTCCCCTCTCACCACGCTGCCTCAGTGAGGCAGGCCCAGTAGGCAGCATCCGTTGTGATACCTGCAGCTGTTCCACAGGAGCCAAGACCTAGCTCTTCAGCAAACAGGGATTCTAATGCTCCAGATGGCAGATGCTTCCAGACTGGAGGTTGATAGACATTCCCATGATACACAAGGATGTTACCAATAATGAATCTCAAAATGTTAGCCAGAGGCCTCGGCTCTGTACCACTGGTAAACTGGAAGATATTCTGCTTTTCACCTCTACCTGTGCTCTCAGCCTCCTTAATTAACACCACATCCCTGGAGGGCAGGACCAAGTCCAAGCTCCATAGTGTAGCATACAAAGTCTTCCCTTCCCTGCCCTGCTTTCTTCTCTAGCCTCGTTTCCTCCCACTCTGTCCCCCGAGTCCCAGCACACACCAGCTCTTTCTTTCCCCTGTACTTTCTACAGGCTTTGCTTCAGAGTGGCATGCTCTGCCCCCTGCTTTCCCATCCCCTACTCACATTCCCATTCAGCGTGCCAGACTTGCTCTGGGGTCTTTTACACACTACCTTTCCTGATCATCTCACCAACCTCCGAGATCTTCATTTCCTTCTCTGAATACCTTCTGAACTTCACGTATTTTACCAATACATCTGTAATCTAGATGTCAGCTGGGGTCGACAAGCCCCTTGAGATCCGGGTAAGATTGAGCATTCTAGCTCTGCCTCTTTCAGTTTGTAGAAAGTCCAGTGGCCTCCCAGGTTTGCTTGGGTGTCTCAGGTTCTTGTGGTCACCTTTGGCTTTGAAATCCTGCACTTGAACCCCAGTACTTAAAAGTTCAGTCTGAATTAGTTCAGTTTGTGGATGGACTCATCATCCCAAGAGATGTTTTGGTTCCCTCCTGGGTGAGTCCGGGCTTAGCTTTTTTTCTTTCTTCCCACTTACCACACAGTCATTATGGCCTTTGTTTGTGAACCAAATTTTGCTGAAAATGTCAGACGGAGGAGGCTTACTTTGGAGCAAGCAACGATCTGAGCCCATTTACAACAGAACCTAAGTGTTAAACTACAGAGTCAACATAGATTCTCTCTGAATGGTGGGAAAAAGTACATGATCTCCATCCAGTTTTCTGATTTGATCAAGTTCAGGGAGCTGTCCTGACTAGAGTGTAGAGGCGATAGTGGTCAAGGGTGGACAGGAGCTGGCTTGAGCTTTTTGGTGGCTTTTGACGGCTATATGCAAACCATTCGCCCTTTGCCATGTCCACTATCCTCACAGTCCTCAAGAACTCCTTCTCCATGTCCCAAAAGGCTTGGCACAATGCTGCAGCCATTTGAACGATGTGCTGCTCCCATCAAAAGAGTAGCTAGCCACTGACTCAGTGAAAAGAATCTGACCATGACAACCCAAGGAAAACCCAGAACTATCTTAGTTAATCCCAAACCACGGATGTTTCATTCCAGAGAGTGGAGCCCACAGATACCCCAAGTATAAGATCTCAGTCAGCCACAGATACTTGGATTGAGTAGTTTCTCTTCTGGAATGTTCCTAGGGAGATGATGAGCCCTGCTCGCCGAAGCCTATCTTGCCTCTTTGAAAATGTTCATCTCAGACTTTTGTGTATTGATTTTTGTCCAGTTCTCTCTGATACTTTAACCTAGACTCATCTATTTTCTTGATTTATCCAAGTATTTCTTGTGCCATAGCATGTTTCTTTTATGCCAGTGTCCAATCCCTTCATGAACCCGTGTTCACTGGAGAAGACGAGAAAGGAAACTAACATACGGTGGCTGGACATTAAGCCATTTCAGATTTACAGCTATACCCAATGGTATAACTGTTAACTATTGGGTATAACTGTAAATCATTATTCATCATTATTCCAAAGTTACAGGTAAGGAATTTGAATCTCAGAGAAGTTATGAGACTGCTCCAATGTCTTGTGTATGGAAAAACCTGTATTCTATCCATTACACCATGCTGCCTCACAGAGGACCAGACTGCCTACCTGATTTAAGGTTGTGTCTTTCCCATCCTATGCTTTGATTGCTTGCCTCTATAAAGTCCTTATCCTGTCCTAAAAATCTGCTGTGGTTCAGCCTAGGGTCAGCACAGCAGGGGCTCTCCAGCAACTCTGAAAGAATGCATCTTTTCCCTCTTCATTGCTTTTTGCTTCCCTTCTCTTTGCAAATTCCACACTGTGGTAGAATACTGTGACCTGCGTTCCCCTACACCACTTAATACCATTGCTCTGACATCATCTTGGAACAAGTCCATAATCCTTTTCTAGGCCTATCTGTGGGCATAATGATTCCCAAAGACTCTGTCTGGTTTAAAAAGTCCAGCCCAAGGGAGGCCCAGATCTTCACCTGCAGAAGCTCTTCCATTGGATGTGAGTAATCAGATAACACTGACTTGAAGGACTTGCAGAACATTGTTTGCATTGGAAGCAGAACCAAGAGGTACTAAGATCCCACTGCTGGACCTCCTTGGCCAGATGTGCTAGCCACATCTGGTCCCCAAACACAGGCACTGGCACTGCTAGTATTTTGTACTCCGTTCTGTGCCTGTCTTTGTGGAGTGAATGTCCTCTCCAAAGGAGATGAGGTAAATTAACCAAGGTACAAATCCTCGCAGCACAGTGGGAAGTAATTCTCACTGCAACTTGTTGGGGGAAGAGCTAACCCCCTTCCTTCTCTCCCAGCTCCCAGTCAGGGAATTGGGCCAGCTTCTTTTTAACTATATAATTTTTACAGTCCCCTCACACCAGCTCATGTTCTCTGTTTACTCTACAACCATCTTTCTTGCCCAGCCAACAAGAAAAGTTTAAAGTGATTGCCTGCTTATATCTAAAATGCTTCCAGACTGTAGACTTCTTTGGTGCTTACAGATTTGCATGGAAAGAGAAGGCTGAAAGTTTTATGACTTGAAAATTCAGACTTGTCACTAGATCTAATGCTAGTCAGCTGAGGTTCCAGTGGCTTTTAAACACAGCTAAGTGGATTTCAAGCTGAAAGATATAACTAAACATTTCATCATTTATTCATCTTTCAACTTTAATTATTGGAAACAGCCTGCTTAGTAATTCCCTGGACCAAAATCCTGATTTGAGGAGTCTTACCATTAACTCTTTGGTGAATGGGCCATAATATCTTTAGACACATTATGGATGGTGACTTTATTTCCCAAGCCACCCAAAATGAGGTGTTTTATTTAAAGGGAGAGTGTGTGTTTGTCTTTAGGCCAACAAATTCCTGCCAGTTTTACAGGAAGAATATATGATGTTATCCATCTACTGTGCAGATAAGTTGTACTTCAGCCTCAAAATAATGCCTTTGGAGACAGGTCATCAGGTGTTGAAGGGAAATGTATGTGTGGGCAAGTGTTTCCAACCAACCTGAAGTTTTCATTGCAAATATGTTGGATTCTGAGTGGTAGTAATTCACCTTCTCACCACTATAAATTGTCCTTTTCTTGATACTTACAACCCCAGATTATGGCAAACAGTTTTTATACCTATCAGAAGAGATGCACACACAAGGTTATCAGTTTAGAATCCTCTGAGGGCTTTATGTTCCATGCTTGATAAAATTAGAAATGACTGGCTTGACCCTATTCAAAAGTAAAAATACTTATCCCAGAGGGAAAAAAAAAATGAACTTTGTTTTTGTTTTGTTTTGTTTTGAGTCAGGGTCCCACTCTGTCACCCAGGCTGGAGTGCAATGGCGTGATCTTAGCTCACTGCAACCTCTGCCTCCCAGGTTCAACTGATTCTCCTGTCTCAGCTTCCCAATTAGCTGGGATTATAGGTGCCCACCACCATGCCTGGCTAATTTTTGCATTTTTAGCAGAGATGGGGTTTTGCCATGTTGAACTTTGTATTTTTAATCCACAAACATATTTCTTCATCAAAATTTTTCTCTCTGCTCAAAGGGAAACTTCACATTTTGCTGTTGGACTTTGCTGGGGTCATTACTTGCCTACATGTTTGTAATGGTTCCACCAAATTCTGTGACTGGCAAACCTCCACACAATGTCTTGGATAGTTTCTTTTGCCTCCTGCATGGTTGCAGTTCCTTCTTCCTACACACTGTTATTCTTCTGAGACTGAATGCATTATCCTGTTGCTTTTGCATTTTAGACTTCCAGGTCCTACCGCGAGGGTATCCGCTGCAGGCAGCGAGGCCAAAACACGCGGAGGGTCAACTACTGCTAACAACCGACGCAGCCAGAGCTTTAACAACTATGATAAATCCAAACCAGTCACCTCCCCACCCCCACCGCCAAGCAGCCACGAGAAAGGTGAGTCACCTTCTTGAGGAGCCTTTTTGGTATTTTCCTTCAGAGCACATCTACCTAGTTCCTTCGGGTGAATTGGGTTGGGTCATGGGGAGGGGTTGCATCTGTGTTGAGAATGAGTTACAAGGACATATTTGGTAGGCAGGAACTTTAGTAGCCAGAGGTATTAATAAAGTGGGGGAAAATATTGTTATAGTCACTAGCAAAAATAATTTGCTATCTTTGTTTGGGTGGGGCCCCATAGACACCCGGCTATGCATAGAAGCAATATAGCATTTGGAATTTGAAAATAAATTTTCATGGAATATGTTCCATATATTAAGTAGTTTTTCAGAAATGCAAGCTTCTTGGAGCATGCATTTTGTGAACTGTGATAAGCTTTTTTATCCGTCAGAAATAATGTGAGGGGAGTTAGGAACAAGAGGTTTTTCACCCTTTGAAAAAGTCAGGAATGTGGATTGGCTCATTGAAGATCTTGGCTACATATAAGGAGTGGACAGCATTGCTCTAGGAGTTGTGATGATGTAACTTTTGCCATAAAAGGATATGGATTTTTTTTTTTTTTTTACTATACACAGTACTGAGTTTTTAGGATGGAGAAAAATAGTGAATAGTCCCATGGGGGTGCTGCCCAGAATGTAGTAAAACAAACCTTTGCTTGTTTCAGCCTCTATCTCTTGAGACATTGGAGAAACTAAGGTAGTTTCAAAGATTATTCAAAAAGAGGCAGAGCCTTCCTTCATTCCTTCTAGGCAAAGTAGTCTAGACATCTTTAGGAAATATGTCCAGGTCTCCTGGAAGCATTTCCTACCTGGTGGTGTAGAAGATTCCTAGGGCTGTCTACGTGGTGTTTCTCTATTTCCCTGACGTCCAGGAAAGCTGCCCCCTCACTCCCTAAAGTGCCCCAGGGACATGGGCAGCCCTCCTACTGTGAATGAGCTGGGAACCGCCGCCATTTTCTCCTCTAACTCAGAGTCACTTGATGCAGTGGAACTGAGTTCCCCCAAGAGTTTGCTAATCACTCTATCTTTTCCTCCCTACATATGAAGGAAATGTATACAGGGCTGACAGATGTGTATGGAGAAAGGTTTCCCAGCCAAGGCACTGGGAACTCTGCAAATGGCACTAACGCCATCACCAGGATGTCTTAACCTATCAAGACTTTGTCATCCAGCCCTTAGTTTCTGCCTCAAGCAACCATTGTTACTCTTCTTCTCTCTCTCCTTTCCTGCTTCCTTGCCCTCTTCTCTCCCACTTTCCTTTTCTTCACCGTACCAGTGTGTTTTTTAAGTGTGCTTAGGTTACAAAAATAATATATGCTTGTAAAATGGTACAAGTATCAGATAAAAGTTCTCCTGCATATTCTCCTTAGAGTACAAATATACACCATTCTATATATATCCATCCATAACTTTCACAATGCATATATGTGTATGTATATATGTATTTGTGTGTGTATATATATATGTAACAGAAAGTTTTGTGTTTTTACATTGATGTGTAAAAGCTAAACTTTATGAGTACCTACCATGTGTCTTATTTTACCCCTATTTTACGAAAGATGAAACTAAAGCAAAGAAAGTTTAAGTACTTGCTGAAGTCATATCAGGGATAGTGAGAGATGGAGTTGAATTTGAACCCAGGCACTTCGGTTTCAGAACCATGATTAATACCGTGCTTTCCCTGGAAGTGGGAAACAAATGCTTGAAGCTTCGCCTGTTGAGGGCTGGTTGACTGGCACAGGAGGAGAAAGTTGGGAAGGTGTTAGGAAAAGCCTGCGCTGGGCCTCTCCTCGCGGGCCAGTCTGCCCTTGCCCTATACTCATTTGGGGAGAAGCTATCATAAAAGAGTCTGAAAGATGGATGTGAGACTCAAGTCCAAAAAATTGAGAAAATAAAGATAAAAGTTCCTGGTGGATTTAACAGGTATAGAAGTATACTGTGTTCTACAGCTGCCTATGGGTGTGCCCGCCAATGCTAGGACAGTGACTGACCTGACCCTGCCCTGGGCAAAGGCTCCCATATCTGCTCTGAGCAGCCTGAGAACAACGAGGCCCCTTAAAGGACCATGGTGCAAATTCCAGTAGAGGCAATGCCCCAGGGAAAGACTTTAGTGTCAGAAGAAAGAAAGGGAAGTCATACTTATTTTTTTATTTAGAGATGGAGTTTTGCTCTTGTTGCCCAGGCTAGAGTGCAGTGGTGTGATCTTGGCTCACTACAACCTCCGCCTCCCGGGTTCAAGCGATTCTCCTGCCTCAGCCTCCCTAGTAGCTGGGATTACAGGCATGTGCCACCACGCCCGGCTAATTTTATATTTTTAGTAGAGACGGGGTTTCACCATGTTGGTCAGGCTGGTCTCGAACTCCCAACCTCAGTTGATCCGCCCGCCTCTGCCTCCCAATGTGCTGGGATTACAGGCGTGAGCCACTGTGCCCGGCTATCATACTTATTTATTAAGTGCATATTATATGCCAGGAACTTTGATTTTCTTTCTTTTCTTTTTCTTTTTCTTTCTTTTTTTTTTTTTTTTTTTTTTTGAGACAGAGTGTCACTCTGTCAATCAGGCTGGAGTGCAGTGGCACAGTCTTAGCTCAGCCTGCCAAGTGGCTGGGATTACAAGTGTGCAACACCATGCCCAGCTAATATTTGTATTTTTAGTAGAGATAGGGTTTCACCATGTTGGCCAGGCTGGTCTCTAACTCCACTACAGATCACTACAAAAGTGATCTGCCCGCCTCGGCCTGCCAAAGTGCTAGGATTGCAGGTGTGAGCCACTGCGCCTGGCCTGATTTTCAGTATGGTACCTGATCTTTACAAATATTCTGTGAGGTAAATACTGTTAACTCAATTTTACAGGCAGAGAGAATGAGATTAATAGAAATTAAGTAACTTGCCCTCGCTGGTAACTAAGCACTGGAATTGTATCCAGGTTCCACTCGGGGATTCAAACTCTGGCTTCTTCCTGTCCTTGGGGAGGTCTGTTATGAGGATAAGGTACCTGTGAGAGTGTTATGTGAGCTGTGACGATGGAAAACTCCTGTGAGGATTCACAATGATAAAAATAACTGATGGTGGTCCCAGTCTGTAGAAGGGTGCATTTATTCTCTCTCCTACCCTGGGCTGTCCCAGGTTTTTTTTTATACTAACTTTTTCAACCATCCTGAGGTAAAAAGCCAGTGGAAGTTTACTTTCAGAAACTTCTGCATTTCCTTCACCTTTTTCCTTGGTTTCCCTTGAGTCTGACCTGTTGATTGCAGCTCCTGAGGTAGCCAGCCCACATGCAGAGTGAAATAACCACCCGGGTAAGACACAACAGGTACCTGGATGAGGTCACCTCTTGTCCTTCACCTTGAGTTCTGTCTCGGGGAGGGACGCTCTTGTGAACAGATAAGCCACAGTTTGTTGTGGTGGGTGCTGTAGCTGAGGTGTGGACTGTTTTCAGGTGAGGTAAAGTCCGTGATGTAATCCCATCACCCCTGCTCCTTCACCGAAGCCTTCCTGTAAGTGAGTCAGACTCTGACTGTGTCAGGATCTGGCATTGCACTCTCAGGTGAGCCAATTCATAGACTACTTTTTCAAAAAGTAGTGGCAAAATACCTATAACATAAAATTAACCCTCTTCACCATTTTAATCAATAATGTTAAGTATATTCACATTGTGGTACAGCCAATGCCTGGAACCTTTTCATCTTGCAAAATTGAAACTCGGTGCCCATTAAACAATAACTCTCCTTCACCACCTCCCACCAGCAGCCCCTAGCAACCACTATTCTACTCTCTGTTTTTATGAGTGAGAACTCTCGATACCTCATGTGAATGAAATCACACAGCATTTGTCTTTTTGTGTATGGGACAGAGCTACTGAAGAATTAAATAATTACTTATAAAGCACTTTACTGCTTGGAAAATAAACACTGAGAAAATTTTATCTATCAAAATGTGATAGGATATGCATAAAAATATGGAATAATATAAATAATGGGCATATTTCACTTAGCATAATGTCCCCAAGGGTCATCCATGTCATAGCCTGCAATTCATAGGCTTTAATGTGTGACCCCGTTGACCTAAGAATTTCACTCGGAGGAATTGTTCTAATGACATCAGTAAGTTAAATTAGAATTTCATTATTCTGTCAGTAAGTGACAAAAATATTTCAACATTTAGTCCCAATTTTTAAAAAATATTAAGAGGGACTGTAAACTAGTTCAACCATTGTGGAAGTCAGTGTGGTGATTCCTCAGGGATCTAGAACTAGAAATACCATTTGACCCAGCTATCCCCATTACTGGGTATATACCCAAAGGATTATAAATCATGCTGCTATAAAGACACATGCACACATATGTTTATTGCGGCACTATTCACAATAGCAAAGACTTGGAACCAACCCAAATGTCCAACAATGATAGACTGGATTAAGAAAATGTGGCACATATACACCATGGAATACTATGCAGCCATAAAAAATGATGAGTTCATGTCCTTTGTAGGGACATGGATGAAGCTGGAAACCATCATTCTCAGCAAACTATCACAAGGACAAAAAACCAAACACCGCATGTTCTCACTCATAGGTGGGAATTGAACAATGAGAACACATGAACACAGGAAAGGGAACATCACACACCGGGGCCTGTTGTGGGGTGGGGGGAGGAGGAGGGATAGCATTTGGAGATATACCTAATGTTAAATGACGAGTTACTGGGTTCAGCACACCAACATGGCACGGGTATACATATGTAACTAACCTGCACGTTGTGCACATGTACCCTAAAACTTAAAGTGTAATTAAAAAAAAAGGGAATTAAAAATTGTAACAGGCAACTTTTCAAAACCCATAGAGCACTTTATGCTTTGTAGGGAAATCCTAAAGAATTTATCTTAAAATCATGCCCCCTCCTACCATCATCACTGAATTTAGTTCTGGTTACACAGAACAACCCACTGAGACATGAAGCTAAAGAAAAAGTGATAGTATATAATACTTCTTAGCTAGAAAAGGCCTAGAGACTCCCATGAAATTCATTCACTTGTTCCATAAGGTGGTGACCAAGTACACAGTTCATGTATAAAAAACAAAAATATTCCTGGACAGCAACATAACCTACTAGTTTTCCCAAAGACTGATCTCAGATTTTGCCTGTGAGGTTTGGAGGAAAGTCTGCAGAACCTTTAGGAAAACCTGCAAGTTGTTTGTTGTATCATCATTGCCATCATGGTTAGATTTGCCTTTGATTTCGTTTTCTCTCTCCTGCAAGCAGCAATGAGCCACAGCTGTGCCTGACCTGTGATTTATATATATATATATATATGTGAGCAGATTTGCCCGCAGGAAGACTACTCACTTCTGTTGACTCCAAGTGGCCCTAGGGCTCCAGACCAGAATCACAGATTTTCAGGGGCAAAGAAATAGCTGTCTTTTTAAATATTTGTGATATTACGTGTTTTCTCTTCCTGTCCTCTCACATCCTTTGAATAAATTAACACTGCCTGGGATCTAGTACATTTCTAAAGTATTTGGTCCATATTATGAATTTGAAACATTTGGTATTCCTAGACTGACTTACATGCATATAGAAGATACTTTCTTCTGAATAATACGGTTTTCTTCATTTTACAGAAAGCACATCTTGATTTTCGTTACAAAAATAATGGAAGATATTCAAACAACATAGAAATGTATTCAAAGACAAAGAACCCTACATAGCCCCACCTCCTAGATTAGCCACTGTTTATCACTTTGTTTATATTATTCCATATTTTATGCACATATGATCACATTTTGACAGATAAAATTTTCTTAGAAAGTGCTTTATAAGTAATTATTCTTCAGAAGCTCTGTACCCGTACACACATTGATATTACTTTCAAAATCTTTTAAATGAAATCATGAAGTCATGGACAGCCTTTCTCGTTTGTGCACATAGGTCATTCTTTCTTCCTAATAGTCACATAATATTCCATTGTATGGATTTACCACAATATCGTTTAATCACTTTCATTTATGTTGTTTCCAATTTTTTGATGTTTTAAATAGTGCTGAAATTAATATCCTTGTATGTTTTTTACATGTATATAACCATTTCAGTGTAATTGCTGTATCAAAGGGTATGCATAGTTTCCTTAATACTTCCAAATTTTGCTCCCAAAAGATTATACCTATTTATATACCCATCAACAAGATATGAGAGGGCTACTTTCTCTACATACTTGATAGCACTTTTATCACTGTCTTCGGCAAAAAATACTTTCATTCTTTTGAAATGAGGCAAATTATTTTAAGAAGCTGAAATAACAAGACCATTTGATAAAAACTGGACTTGTTTACTGACACTGCTTTGACAACCAGTTGCCTTAACATAGTACAAAAAAGCACTTGAGTTTGAGGTCAAACTTTCTACTCTCAAGATACTTCTCCAGACTCAGTTTCCCCTCTGTGAGTCTGAGGTCCTCCATCACTAAACCACCGTGAGGTGTGAATGAATTCTTCAGTTGGCGCTGGCTATTGCACCTCATCTGATGGGAGCGCCATCCGTGATCCATGCTTTCTGGTGGGTTTCCTCCTCTAGTTTTTGTTCTGTGTCATTCCCTTCCTCTTTGTTCACTCCTTGTCATGAGCAGAAGAGAAGAGCCAGACATGGCTCGAGACAGAATTTTATAACCTTCAGCACTATGTCATGTCTGAGTAACTTTGGGGCCATTGATTTAGAATCTCTATAAACATGTCACTTTATGGTTGGCAAACCAAGTTATTTATCTGAGCTGGTGATTAGATGTAACCATGGAAAAGTTGCCCACGTCCTGCTATTAACCAGGATTCTGACATAAAATTACAGGTTAGACTAGATGAAATTAATTCAGTCATCCAAGTCATGCAGACAAAAGTACAGTTGGGGTGGCCTGTTTCAGGTTACTTTCTTCATTTGTTCATTTCATCATCATTTATAGAGCACTTACTATCTGTCCAGCACTGGACTGGTTGTCGTGACAGGCAGAATTGAGACACAGACTCTGCTTCCCAGGGACTCACAGTCTCAGAGAGGAATGATGCTCACGTGTTCTATAATAGAGAGAGGCTCAAAGTTGTGAGGAAAAAGATGAACATAGCTGGGAAGACTCAGGGAGGACTTCCGAGAAGTGATATCATTTGTATTGATTTCCATTTCAAAATTTTTGCTTAGAGAAAAGGAAGGCTGGGAAAGAATGACTTGTCCTGCCCTTCCTGATCTGGGTGTTAATCTGACAGCAAATCTGCTGGGTTCACTGTGTTATTCAACTCATATTCTATGGAGGGCTTGTAGAGTGTAAACTTCTGCAAGATCATTTCTGTGGTGGGGTAGGGCCTCCCTTGGTCATCAAGAGATCTTTGTCATTGCTGGAGCTATTATCCCAGGCCAGGGAGAGCTTAGGTGTCGGTTGGTTAGAGTGGGTGATAGCCATCTTTTTTTGGGAATCAGCTGTGATGTTATTATGACCTTCTAGCTAGTACCCATAGTTGTCAAAGGGCTTAGAAAGCCAACCTAGAGGTGTGAACCAAGGTGGCATCATTGAATTTAAAGAATTCTCTGGGATATTGCCTGGAATGGAACTCAGTGACCAGTTAGACCACCTGTTGAGGCTAAGTAGGCAGGATGGATTAGATGCTGCCAAATTTAGGGACTTCACAGATCACTGGAGGAATAAACAAGAAGTTGTATCAAAGTCTCGGGGCCAGTGTTCAGTTATCTCAGGAGAGGAGTTTTGGGGCCTTGCAATCAAAGAGAATGCAAGTACCGTGAAGGCAGACCACTGTGTTTGAGTATTGGCTCTGCCGCTTCCCAGAAGTATGGCTCTGGCCAAATGTCATGGTCACCAATGCATCTGCTCAGGATGACCCTCAAAAGACCATCACAGGCCATGCTTAGCACCATTCTAGTGCTGTACCCCTGCATTCCCAGGTAACAGCTCAGGTGTGAGGGAATAAGACTTGAATAGGGCAGGTGCACAAGTCCATCCAGCTTAAAAGTCACATACCCCAAGGGAGTATGTAACAGCCCCATAAGTATAAATTCTAGGGTTCCCACAAGGATTAGGCCCAATCAATTGTCATAGAACTCAGAGAAGCTCAAAATGATGGTGTCCTCAGGAAGTATTTATACCTCATTTATGGTTTTTCCCATCCAGATGTGTCATTTTTACCATAAGCAATGTGCTTAGTAATATAGTGGGCATTCTATCTTTATCACATTTCCAGGGGAACAGTTAGCAAGTTAACCCAAGGTCAAATTCTCGTCCAAAAGAGGAAAGGGTTTTGTTAATCCTTTTCCAACAGCAAGTTATCTTACCTCTCAGAGATTCAGTTGATTTATCTTTGAAGTGGCAACAGGCTTCTATAGCCCTAATGTTGGGAGAAAGTTAGATGTGAAGCATTCTTTCTCATTTTTTGCATAATCCAATTAAAACTCTAGACTGTTGTCTCTCAAGGTGTGATTCATGAGCCATCTCATCATCCCTTGAGGTAATTGCTAAAAAGACAAATCCCCAGGCATTACAAACTGAGTCCTTCTAATTCATATTTTTGAATAAAAGCCTAGAAGTTTACATTTCACACCCATGAGATCTTAAGGCACTGGAGCTTGAGAACCCTAGTTTTAGCAGGACTTCTTGGTTACCTTTAAAAGAGAACACTGCCTGCCGGGCATGATGACTCACGCCTGTAATCCCAGCACTTTGGGAGGCTGAGGCAGGAGGATTACTTGAGGTCTGGAGTTTGAGACCAGCCTGGTCAACAGAGCAAAACCCTGTCTCTAATAAAAATACAAAAATTAGCTGGGTGTGGTGGCGTACGCCTGTAGTCCCAGTTAAGTGGGAGGCTGAGGCAGGAGAATCGCTTGAACCTGGGAAGCAGAGGTTGCAGTGAGCCGAGATCACACCACTGCACTTCCTCCTAGGCAACAGAGCGAGAAAAGAGAACACTCCCTTTTAATTGCCCTTTAATTCTCAACAACTACTTTGTAGTACATTGTTATGGGGAATGGAGGTAATATAGTAAGACACCCAGACAAATGCCTAGCACATAGCAGGAGATTAATAAATGGGGAATCATTTAAATGTATGTATACATTTTGTCATATACATATTGAAATTTATTCTCAGAACCAGCAACTTACACTGGGTAGACTTAACTACTTGCATAGGTCTTATTTTCTTTTGGCTTTGTGCTATTGCCTCACTAACCTTTAGCAAAGTTCTTTCTTGCATTTTTCATTTTTACATTTTCATTGCTGTCTTGTTTCTGCTAAGCTAACAGATTCTTCCTTAGACTGGCAATATTAAAAAGAAAGTGTCCCTTTGAGGTCTAAATAGGGAAGCAGAGGGAATACAAGACAAAGAGGTGCTCTGAGGGAGAAGTTGGCTCACCTTGCCCTAGCTGGAGAATCATCTTTTAGCTCTTTGTCTCCTTGGCACTTGCAGAGCTTGGTGGTACTTTATGTGGAGGAGAGCACTGTCCTGTTCAGAGGAAGGGCGAGCACTATTAAAGCTGCCTAGAGAGGCACCTGAGTGACGTGCCCAACTGCCCTTACTCCACCCTAGCTTTTGTCCTTAACCTCAAGCATTACAGTCAAACATCAAGGTGAAAGAAATTGTATCCAGTGCAGTCTTTTGCCCCCTTTGGGAGTCATTTTCTTGATCTACTGTGTAATTTAAAAGAGCCTTCAGAAGAGGAGACACAAAAATCCCTCTAATGTGTGAAACTAATAACCTTTAATGCTGAAGCCATCCTTTTTTCACAGAGAAGAAGAATGCCACCATGTTTGTTTGTCTCTAAATATGGATACATTTCAAAACCAATGTGTGAACTTATGGTTCTGCTATATATCCTTTCTCTAAAATACAATAAACCTGGCTTTTTGTAACAAGGAGTAGAGAAAAAGAGAAAATATATCATTTGGAAAGATGAAAGATCTATTTGATTAGTCTTGTCTCAGGAATTGAAAATGACTAGTTGATGTTCATCCGATCTTCAGATGATAAATCTCAGCATTTCTCTTGCTTCCATCTGTTACGTGGAAACTATCACACATACATGAATTCAGTTTCATTTCAAGGATCATTGGGAGGGAGAAGTATTTACCTTTCTGGGTGCTCTCATAATAGTCATTTTTATCAAGCTCTCATCTGTAGTCAGGACTTAGTTCGGTCATCCCTTAGTTTAAGGTCCGCTTTAAAAGTTTATGTCCTCCAAGTTTAGGTATTTGACAGTGTTCAACAGCATGAGAAGATACATATATTTTGGGATAAATGAAACTAACATTTCTGTGAGCATATGTAGCCCATGTTCACAATGTGAAGTGCAAGCATGGAGTGCTGAGGAGAGAGACCCTGAACAGTAAAGCCTGGCAGCTCATGTAGCTGCAACTACTTACTGAGGAGTTTCTTGTGAATGTGCACTTGGCTGCCTCTCTGGGCCGAGGACATGACATCCTCAGGCTTCAGTGACTCTCGCAAATAAAGTGCTTGTTTCTTAGCTGCAGCTTGCCTTTGTGATTCCATCAACGTGTGCATTTCATTAGGGTACCAGTGTGTAGCCCACGTGCCAGGGAGCCGTCTTCTCCTGATGAAGGTGTCGGGGTTGCAATGAGAATATTTGAGACAATGGTCATGGTATATCTACTTGGTGGTGAGAGTGACACATGGGCCATTTGCAGGTGTCACACCCTGTGGACGAATGGTCATGCTACACGGTGGTTTGTGCCAAGGCCTCATGGACACAGTTCACATTCTTAGTGTCCTAGGAGCTCCTGCCATGATTCCTTAGCAGTGGTTATGCTTGTTTTTATGATGGCAAGGCTCCCCAAACTTTGTGGACAATGCACAGATAACAACTGCTGATGGAAATCAATGGCCTGGCCTGCTTCCTTCATAAGAGCAAAGGTAAAGGCAGCCTCTTAACATCTAATGCTCCCTTTGCCTTTTTCAGAGTTGGAGAATCACAGCATTTTTCTGAAATGTGGAGTGGGAAATCTAAATGTGGAGTGGGGAAGCTATAATTACATAGCTTGGAAAAAGAAAAGTTTAAGAAAAAAAAAAAAAAGTCCTTTGGCTCCAGGACAGCCTAGGACTGTAAGTCACTGCTGCCCCCTACTGCCCAAGTTTTGTGTGTGTTTCCTAGAGGATCCTTGGTTTCTAGCCTGGCATTCTCAGGCACTGTGCTTGGGAGGATAATAACTTGCAGACTGTCTAAATGCTTTCTTCCAGACAGGGCCTCCCCACATTTGTTTCCTCAATTTAGGAGAATGTATGTGAAATGGAGAAAACCCACAGTGTGGGTGTGATCAGGTTCATGTGGCCTAGTGGAAAGACTTTCTCTTGAGTGGTGAGGAACTGACAGCAGGCCTGAGCTAAAATTGGTCTTCACAAAGCCGTCCACCCACTCACTTGGGCAGGCAGCCAGCTGGTGGATTCAAGGATCAGGTTTAGCCCTAAGGAGAAGGATTTTTGAAGGCACTAGTTGATTTTTGCTGCAAAAAGGTTATGCTAGATTTGGTTCCATTTTTAAGAGGCAAATAATTCTAAACCAGACTGTATAGTGTGGAATAAATGATTCTCTCCCTTATTTATTATACATTCATGTACTTGGAATTCAGTCCTTCATATATTCATGTGTCTGAGGTTATTTATTGAATGTCTTCTATGTACCAAGCATTATGCCAGTCACTGAGTATTCAAAAGTGAAAAAGCAGATTATTTCTGCCTGCATGGAACTTAAAGTCTGATGGAAGAGACAGTAAACAAATGCAAACAGTATCATTACATTTTGTGGTAACTGGTCTTATAAAAAAAAAAGAGGGGTACTATGAATGAACTTAATTCTCTGGATTAGGTAGAAACTTAATTCTCTGGACTAGGTACAACCTCTTCAGGGTGAGACCCATAGCCAAAGTTTGCAGGGTCCATTGTGCCCATGATCCCCATTCTCCCACACAATGGTTGGAAATAAAGGATGTTTTTGAAAACAGTTTTATGGACAGAAACCAGTTCCCTTGCACAAATGAAGATCTATATCCTGAACTAGCTTTTTTCTTCTCTCTCTGGACATAGGGAGTAAAAGTAAAAAAAAAATACAGGGAGGCAAACTTTGGCTCCATATGTATATTGTGAAAAGAACTTTTCACATTTGTCTTCTCACAGTTGAATAGGCTCTCTTGAGAGTAGTGAGTTCCCTGACCCCAGAGGTATTCAAATAGAGGCTGGAATATCACTTGCTAGGGATGCTACAGGTGAGGTTTCTTACAATAGCCGGTAGGTTGGAATAGATTTTCTCTCAGATTGCTTGCAAATCTAGCATTTAATTACCCCAGGCAAGGGTAAAGTTGGTGTGATTTGTTCTGGAAGAGTCTCCTCCACCTCAGTAATTTCACACATATCCCCACAGTTTATTAGAGTTCCCAAAACCCCACCTTTGGATTGGTTCCCTTAAAAGTATTCATTCATTCCAAAAATGAGCTTTATTTTTGAGGGTGCTACTTGTACTCTAGGATTCATTTGTATGCTGGAAAAAGGCTGCATCTTACGTGGATATGCCTGTGTGCATTTGTGATGACCTCTTTTACTCCATTCACATTCTTGAGAAGATTTCTCCCTTAACTTCACTTAAATTGTCTTGAACTTGCCAAGTTCATGCTCAGAGGCCATCAGAGAGTTCACAGGCAAGGATGGGTGCCACACAGAAGAAATCATGGCTACTTCATGAGAAGTCACATGTGTGGTTTCCACCATTTAACACTTGGATAATTCCTTGCCCTCATCTAAGAGCCAGATAGGAATGTTCATGCAAATTATTTTTTAAAAAATCTATTTCACTGACATGCTGTAGGGGGCAGTATTCATTAAGGAAAACCAGGGACAGAGTCCAGGAAGAGCCAGTAATTTCGACCTTGTAGGGAAGAAACTGGGCCCTATTTTTAACTATTTCTGTATACTAGAGACTCATTCAGTCTGTCCTATTGTTCGTGCATGAATGAGGCTCTGACCTTCAGTAATGAACCTTCTTAGGGGGCCAGGATTAATTTGGCTTATGTTAAATTCATCTGGCTTGGAGTGAAAACCAGTGAATACCTGTGAGGGAGAGGGACTTTTCCATATAGGACATATGTGCTAGGGCAAGGATTCTTACCTAGGTCACCTGACTCCAAGCTTTTGCTCTTTTAGCCACAATTTGAACCATTTCAGGCTCATACCTTCCAACACAAGTAGTGTTTACCTCCCCCAGAACATCTTCAAACCTGTTACTGCCTAGGAAATAGATAATAATAAAACTTGTGGGAGCGAACCTTTTTTTGGACCCTCTCACCTTGATAAGTTTGGTGAAGCAGGTGCCTTACTCACCCCTATCTTCCCAGCCCCTCAAAATGAATGTTTTCAAATCATAGCCACGTATGATTTCTTACAAGCCCAAGGCTGATGGGACGGTCTTGCTAAGGTGCACCAGCTTCAGGGGGTCTCGGCTGGGCCTGCTCCTATGTCTGAGGGCATCTGGCACATTGACTGCATGCTGGCTGGTCTGTAATGGCCTCAGGTGAGACAACTCAGAATTCTCTACATGGTCTTTCATCTCCCAGCAGTCTGGTCTAAGCTATTCTTCTGGTGGTAGGTGAGTTCGAAGGCAGAGAGTTGAAATGTACAAGGCCCTTTGAGGCCTAAGCTCTGAAAGAGGACACCAGTTTTTGTCTTCATTCTGTTGGCCAAACCTAGTCACGTGACCTGCCCAAATTCTTGTGATTGGGAAACAGATTCCACCTACTGAAGGAGGAGCTGCAAAGTCACATTGCAAAGCGTACATGGCACAGAGAGGGGTGGACACTAGGGGCTGTTTTTGTAATCAATCTACCACAATAAACAGGTTGCACCCAGTGAATTTGTGTTGATGGATTGATTTCAGTTGTCAAGGTAATAGTCTCTTTCCACTGTAGTTGCATGAAAATGAGAATGCACTGAGCTCATTTAAGATGTACTAAGACATACTTGCAGTTTCCTATAAGTTATAGGGGCATGTAGTTCTAAGAACTCACGGGGGAGAGCAGCCAAAGCATCCTTGGTTACCCCAGTCCCATAGAAGGTGTCTCTAAGAAGCAGATGCTGGCAGGTCGGTGAAGGGGCACAAGCACCACTTGCTTTATGAGGCCCCTGTGGCCAAGGAAAGAAGGTAGGAACCAGCTGTTAAAGTAGAACTCCGCAAAACAGGTCTTACTCCACTTGAGTCTGTTCTCCAGCCTTTGGGATTCTTGGTATTCACAGGCCTACACTTCTCTGCTTTCTCTTTCCCACACCAACTGGCAAAAGTTGTTGTGTGATGAAGATGATCCAAATGTCAGACTTGGGCTCAGGACACCTGGGGTCTGGTCCCAGCAACTCTATTTGATGGCTGTGTGGCTTTGATGGGTCATTTAACACCTCTGAACTTCACATTCCTCAGCTCTAAAATGGAAATGAGGATAGCACCAACCACATAAAGTTATTGTACGGTTTCCGTGAGATGAAACCATACAGAAAAATACCCTAAATTGTGTATATAAGGTTTGTTGAATCAATGATTTCATAAGTGTCCAAAAGTCAGAAATGACTACAAAGGGGAAAGTAACCACAGCAGCTGAACTGAGAACCTCAGAGAGCCAGTTCTCCACTCCTGGTCTGTTGCTTCAGATCAAAAGTCTGAAGCACCCCTGTAGCCGCCTCTTCTTGCTCATCCTCCTCTCTCTCTGATAAACCGTGATGAAAAGTGTTTTTGAAAACCAAGGGACCAAGAAACACTGAATGACCTTCACTGAAAGGACGACTTTTAGCAAATGCACACTTGACATAGTTTGGTAAATATCCACCCTGTTATCTTTTGCTCCTGGTGTCTTAGAAATGTCACTTATTGATTCTTGAAATTCCCCCACTGCCACTCATAGGGGGAGGGGGAATTTGAGACAGAAGTATTGATTGAAACTAGTGAACACTGAAAGAAGCATTTGTTAGGTGGTCCTTTCCTTTTTTATAAATTGGCTAAAGTAGACGAAAGAAGATACATCTTTTGGCGGAGTTTTAAACAAAAGGAAATTAGCCAATTATATTCCTATAAAACAATGTTTGAAAGTCAGAATTGATTATTTTTCCACAGTGTTTTGGAACAAAGTACTCTGATAGGTGAAGGATCAAAGGTCTTTTCTCTGAATATGATTTTATTTTTCCTTTTGTTTTTTATCATCCCTCAGTCTGGGTGCTCTGATTGTCTTAATGCATCCAGACCCACAATTTGCAACTTGCTGCCCCATTGCTGGGGGCTGGTGACTACAGTGTCTTTGGACAGATTAGAGGAAAGACATTGTAGCTGAACTCCCAGGCAGCCCCCAGGAAAGGAGCAGGGAGCTTTCTGTGTTCCCTTCAGTCTGAGCATGCCAAGATGCCCTGGCTCTGGCCTTGAGGTGTTAGTCAGCATTAGCACTTATGATCTTGGCAACCGGAATGGCCACTGCTGGCCGGAAACTGATCAGAACTGTTCAGTCTCATTAAGGAGCCCCTCAGATCACCTTCTCAGATGTAACGCTTCAGAAATCATCAAACGGCTAAGGTAGAGGCTGGCTTCCTTGAAGTCTTTCCAGAGGCTTTGGCATATCTGCCTTTTGGATGAGCTTAACTAAACAGAGAGCTTTTGAGGTCCAGGGTGGGTGTGGGAGCTCTCAGGGCACTGGAAGTAACACTGTGGTGGGGTGGGAGGAGGGTATACTGAGCTTTTCTTGGCCCACCCGTTCACTCCCTCCTTCCTCCGTTAACCTCTTCCTCATCCTCACTGGTAACTCTCCAGCACCAGGAGGAGGAGACATTTTGCAGAGTGCTGGTCTGTATTTAATAAATAAATGCCTCTATCCTCTGCAGCACTGTCCAACGGTACTTTCTGCAATGATGGAAATAGCCTACGCTCTGTGCTGTCTAATATGGTAGCCACTAGCGCTACATGTGACTATTAAGCAATTGACATGTGGTTAGTGTGGATGAACGAATTTTTAATGTAGTAAATTTTAATTCATTTAAATGGCCACATTTGCTAGTGGATATGGTATTTGACAGCACAGCTCTAGAAAATTATTCATTGAGCAGCCAGTGAGTCTGCTGCTGAAGTCTGTCATTAAAAAAATGTCATTCTAGACACAAAAGGCCAAATATTGTATGATTCCGTTTATATGAAATCTCCAGAGTAGGCAAATCGATAGAGACAAAAAATAGATTTGTGGTTGCTAGGGCTGTGGGGTGGGAGTAGAGGAGGGATGAAGAGTTGCTAGAGTTTCTTCTTGATATGATGAAAATATTTTAAAATTAGATTGTGGTGATGGTTGGAGAACTTCATGAGTATGAGGATACTAAAAACCATTGAATCACTCTAAATGCATGAATTTATGGTATGTGAATTATATGTCAATATAGTGGTTTTAAAAATGGCTTTCTGTTCATGCCATATTCAAGTAGATGTTATAACTCTAGCTCTTCTACCCCAAAATATTAGTGGTTAAATGTCTCCCCTTTCTTGGACCTCAGTTTCCCCTCGATAAAAAAAAGTATATTGATTTTGCATCAAGGATACTGAAGGAAAGAATTTCTGGTCCTCCTTTCCCTGTATATATTTAACTTTAATCTAGTTCATATGGGATGGGACTGTATGTACCCCCTCCTTTTGAGACCCCAATTCTAGACAGTGCCCCATTCCAGGAGTACCCAGGCAGTAAACAGAGCATTGACGCAGGTAACTGGCCACCCCACTCTGGCCATTCCCTCTGGAACCACAGCATAGATAGAAGGCCTTTGGTGCTGGCCTAGGAATTTTAAGTAATGCCTGAGACGTTTATCTTTCTGCCTCTGATCCAGATAAAAACAGATTGTAACTTTGAGTTGTCAATTGATCCTAATGCACAGAAACCACTTTCCATACCCTCAGTGAGCAAAGACCCTGGCTGGGGAAGAGGTGGGGAGTTGGGAGTAGGAGGAGATTCCTGGCTGTAAAACATCTCATGGTTTTCTGTGGTTTGTGGTCCAGGGGTCCTGTGGAATCTCTCTGGGAAGCACATTTCTTCAGGAGCAAGCTTGGTCTTTTTCTTCTCCCACTTCTCGGCTGCTCTTTTTGAAATCAAAAGCCTGCCATAGGGTTGCAAATTAGTGACATCAGACGAAGTAATAGTTGCCATCATGTTCCTCCTCCTCCTCTTCATCACTATCCTAAAGCCTTCCATGTGTGTCAACAGATGTTACAAACGCCTGCCTTATAAATAACTTTATAAAGTTATTTATAAGGCATATATAATAACTTATATAACTGCTTATAATATAGGTGAGGAAATGGACTGTGAATAGACAGGGGGCACTGAAACAGTAACAACAAAGAAAATGGTAACAGTCACTGCCCATCGTGGGGTGATTGAGTTATTATGTGCCTGGAGGTGTGTTAGGTATTTTGCATACGTAGTCTCATTTAATCCCTCACATCACTACTAGGAAGTGTCAGTAGTAACATCTCCATTTTATAAAGAAACTAAAGTTCAGAGTGATTAAATAACGGGCCTACATTATGCAGCTAAGGGCCAGTGTTGACATTTGAACCAGAATCTGCATCATTGCAAAGCTAATATTTTGCTTTTAACCCTCATGCTATCATACAAGCTAGTTTTTACTAAATTCACTAATCATTGAGCCCCTCTTTTATGTTAAATGCTGTACAAATTGCTGGAGGTGCAACTATGAACAAAACCAGCCAATGCCAGATGAGTGGTCCAGGCAGTCAGAGTCATGGAAATTCAGAGAAGAAAGTGGAAGCTTAGGGACTGGGAGAAGGTAGGCAAGGAGAGTTCATATAGAATTGGAGCTTAAAGGAAGAGTATGAAGTTCTTGAAAAACTGTATAGGGACACTGTAAATCAGAGGCGCCCTGGAGTTTGTTTTCTGACATATCAGCATGTTAAGAAAAAAACATAACTAGCCAGGCGCGGTGGCTTATGCCTGTAATCCTAGCACTTTGGGAGGCCGAGGCAGGCTGATTGCCTGAGCTCAGGAGTCCAAGACCAGCCTGGGCTACGTGGTGAAACTCCATGTCTACTAAATACAAAAAATTAGCCAGGCGTGGTGGTATGTGCCTGTAATCCCAGCTACTCGGGAGGCTGAGGCAGAAGAATTGCTTGAACCTGAGAGGCGGAGGTTGCAGTGAGCCGAGATAGTGCCACTGCACTCCAGCCTGGGTGACAGAGCGAGACTCTGTCTCCGAAACAAAATAAAATTAAAAAATAACCAAACACCACATGTAAAAATATCATGATAATTTGAACTCATTTTTATGAGGACAATGATCACTTCTCCCCCAAAATGCCCTTAAGTGTAAGGTAATGCTTAATCCCTGTCTCACTGGCTTTTACAGTATCATCATTTTGCAAGCACATTTTTTTTTTTTTTTTTTTGGTCTTGATTTCATTTAGGGCAAGGACAGGGCTTAGCAAATATTTGTGAGCTGGAAGTGAACTGTAGCCAACTCTGTTGGCTATATGGTGCCTGAAATCCCAGCATGTGCCAGATGCTGTGCTTGGAATAGGGACAGGACACGTAGCACAGAAACAGACACTTGTAATATCCTGTGATAAGTGTCTATAGGACATTTATGTCTGGAAGGAGCATCCAATCCAATCTTGGAGGAGTCAGGAAGATATCCTGGAAGAAGTGAGGTCTAAGCTGAAAGGTGCATTAGCTATATACAATAAGGAAAGCGTATTCTAGACAGAACAGCGTGTCCAAAGTCTAGATGGTAAAAGGGGACATGGCATGATAGAGGGAAGTTGAGTGTGTATATGTGTGTAGGTGTCTGAATGAAGTAGGCAAAATGACTCTCTCAATTCTACCCAGCAAATTGGTGCTAGACTCCAAGTTTTGTGAGGGCAGGGAGCATGCCTGTCATGTTCAATAAATCCTTGTTGAAAGAATTGAGAGGACGGTGGCCAAAATGGGATCAGAACCCAGGCTTTCTGAATCTCTTTGGTGTTTTATCCTGTCACCTCACTCTAAGAATTCTTCATCAGTTCCAAATTGACCTCAGACAGTGGATGACCTAGAATGCCTACCCAAGCCAGTCAGGGCAGAAATCAATTTCTTGGTGGGGGACAGAGCTGCAGCAAAGGCGGAAAGACTCCAAACTTCTGTCCAAGGAGCTTTGCTAATAACTTGGTTGACTTACAGCGAAAGGGAGAGCGCATCTTGATCCAGTGATCGGTTTATTTGTGGACATGGGGAAACCTGAGAGAGCTCTGTGGTGATGAAGTTCTGGGCCACCTAAATTCTAGTAGGTTTCAGCATCTGTTAGCAAAAGGCAGCCCTCAACCTTTGAGAGCACAAGTGGTAACATCTGCAGCCACTCTAGCGATTCTAACTGGCAAAAATGATGGATTGCAGGCATTTCATCATTGAATTTCTACTAGGTTACATCCTGACTTAATCTTTTGGTGCTTACATTCTAATTTTTAAGCAGAATGTCTGTGTTTGGTAGTAGTTCTTCAACTTTATCTCATTAAATAAAGTTTAGTGAACTGCCAAAGACAAGATGAGCTAGGGCCAATGTTTTTGAAATAGAAAAAATGGAAATGGAATTTACATCTGGACTCTAGGACACTTTGCTGCTTCATTTGCAGAATAAGAGCAAAAAAGTGATTCTTGTATGTTTCTATATCTCTTGCAAAAGTCCTCTTTGCTTTCAAACACCCACAGCTTTGAGCAAATGTTTACATTCCACTTAAACACATTTGGACTTTAATGTCTGTGCTGCTGATTACGAAAATGTTAAATAAATGAAACAGAAAATAAAATTTGTTTCAAGGTAATATTTTAGAATGCCTGACGCCCCTTACCCAGCCCCATGAGACTGGTCACTGTTGATCTTTGTGTCCCCATAACTGGCACAAAACAGAGATGCATTAAATGAAGGAATGCATTCTTTAGAGTTCATGTCGAATACTCATTGTCATGAAGACCGTCCTTTAGTGTAACTGGAAACCCTTACCCTTGGGACCATGTCCTTATAGGCATGTTTCTTCTTCTAACCCTGGTGTAAATTTCCAAGAGACCCAGACTGTGCCTTATTTCTCTTTACACCCAGCTAACCCCTCTGAGGAACATTACTGTATGTATACATCTTGCTCAACCAGTGTGTTTGCTTACAGACTGACTTCCCTAAGCTGTACTGCAGTTCAGAGAGAAACTAGATTGAACAGAACCTTTTAGTGCATTGTGTTACTAAAGGCAGGATTAAGGCATGTAATCCGAGTTGTCCAGGGAAACCCATGCATTCCTGGCTGCTATTTTAAGACCCTCCTCCTAATAAACTGATATCCTTCAGGTTTATTTGGTTTAACTCCTGCTCTGGCAGTTTGGCTTGTTTCTGTGCATCAGAGTCGCCATGAAAGCTACTCCTCCAGGATTACAGCTGGACAGCTGCAGAATCGCTGGCATTTTTCTTTCCTTAACTCTGTATTGACAGCAGGTTTGAATCACTCTGTCCTGTTTTGTGTAATATAACCAGGTCAGAAATCATTTGAAAAATAATTAGGGTACCTAATTTGATCTCATTTTCAGCAAAAGAGATGCATTGCCTGGTACATTTTGTATTTTTTGTGTTTGCAGCTTTATTAAGAAAATCAAAGGACCTCCCTCTTCTGCCCTTCTATTTCCTGCTAATTAGCATGAGAGTGTGGGGGAGCCTTTCCCAGTCTGTAATATCCCATCAGCCCCACATCCTTGTATGTTGTCTTGTAGAAACCTGTCTGCTCATTCCTTCACTGTTGGCCACCCCAGTTGGTCTTATCTTCCTGTCAGCTGGGTTTCTGGCTAGCTTTCTTAAGCTCACACCAATCCCTGGCAGAGCTCCTCTTCATACAGAGAGAGGCAGAAATCCTGCAAATTGTAAACTAGCAAAATGTACAAATTTAGCCAGAACTGTCTATGTGTGCCCCTGCCCGGTTATAAGCCAAATTCATGCCGTGCCTTTGCCTAAGAGGATGAGACTTCGAGGCACAGAGAGAAAGGAGGGAGGCTGTCAAAACTCTGGTTCCAGATCTGCTACTAATTCAGAGTGACCTTGAGTAGCAATCACGCACTCTGGGCCTTAGATTCCTCCATCGCAGTGCTTCCTTTTAGTTCTATGTACTTTGATCAAACGATAGTTACCTGATGGATGGTGACTAGCTCTACGCCTTTTTTTAACCCTGTGCCTACCTTAGTCTCCTATAGGGACCGCATAGTCTCCAAAAACTACTACAACTCTGGATAAAACCTTGTCTTGGCAAAACCTAAGCAAAGGCTTGATCCGTGGAAACTGCCTTTAACCTAGACATCAGCTGTGGACTCCCCGAGCCAGTGTTATTGCTGGAGTCAGCTCCTACTAGCACATCAGAGCGAATTTTTTAATTTTCAGGAGTTTTGCAAGCCTGTTGATGTCATGCTGGTAGCTAGACATCTGCCATAGCAGGAGTATCTACACCACAGGAATTGGCAAACACTATGAATGAGAACTTTTCTTTTTTCCCTCCAGAATCAATTGTTAGTCATTTGCCAGCCATTAAATGTGAATTGGAGAACTCACATGTGGAAGACCCAGTGTCCTTTTTAATCTTTTTGGAAGTGTTTCCTTTTGCTTATTTTGTTTTGTTGGGAGAAAGGTGGTGTCACATTACTGTCGGTCACTATTTTTGCCTAGTCTGTTCTGCCGAAATACTTGCACTTACAGGTCATGTATCTTCATTCTCTGTGTAATATCCCTCTCTTACCCATGGGAACCACCCCAAATCATTCTCAGAAAAGTGATACAGGCTTTGGGCATTGTGGACTATTCCTGAATGTTTAGGGCCTTGGAGGGGTTATACGATTGCAATACAAACCGCTTAAAATTTAATATTGTTGTTCCTGTTCTTTTTTTTTTTTTTTGAGACGGAGTCTCGCTCTGTCGCCCAGGCCGGACTGCGGACTGCAGTGGCGCAATCTCGGCTCACTGCAAGCTCCGCTTCCCGGGTTCACGCCATTCTCCTGCCTCAGCCTCCCGAGTAGCTGGGACTACAGGCGCCCGCCACCGCGCCCGGCTAATTTTTTGTATTTTTAGTAGAGACGGGGTTTCACCTTGTTAGCCAGGATGGTCTCGATCTCCTGACCTCATGATCCACCCGCCTCGGCCTCCCAAAGTGCTGGGATTACAGGCGTGAGCCACCGCGCCCGGCCTGTTGTTCCTGTTCTTAAAAGTTCTTCAGCTCCCTTGCCACTTAGAATTTCTCCATGGCCACCTTTTGTTTTGTTCTTAATATTCCAGCCTTCTGCTATATTGTTCAGCCATGCCTCCCTTCTCCTCTCCTTTCTACTTTTCTCCCCTTCTCTCCTCTTTTTATACAGAGAAGTTTATCTCTGTTTTCTTATCTCCTTTCAGAACATACCCTTAAGAGCTTTGTCTTCCACAGTTGGAGTAGCCTGTCCAAGGTTAGTCAAAGTTGGTGCACAGCTTTGCTGCACTAATCCAGTGCATTCATGTGGTACATATTTGTGGAGTCCTGACTTTTTCTAGCCACTGTGCTTTCAAGGAACTCAGTTGATCATGGAGTCCACCAGGATCTAGGTTTTCAGTGGGGCACTGGGGAGAAATCCCCTGTCAGAAGTTATCTCATTTTCGTAAAGGGAAAGATGACTTGTGTTGAGAAGAGGGAAATTGTAGCCAGGTAAACTTCCTTCACATAAAATTTGGAACACCGAATCACCATTTCTCCTCTCTCTTTAATTATTTGAAGACTCTTCACCATGGCCTATAAGACTCCGTGAGCTGGCCTCATTTTTTTGCTGTGCCCTCCCTTCTCACTGGAAGCTTCTGCCATATCCAATAGTATGTGTTTTCATGCAAAGGCCATACTCTCTTATAATCGGCCTCTGCCACTGCAGCTCTCCATTTGAAATGCATTCCACTTTCCTCATCCTTCTTCCCACCAAGTCTCTAACTCATCTTTTATGTTTTAGGTTAGATTTTGTTTCCTCTAGAAATCTTTCCCTGACCTCTGGAGATTGAGTTTGAAGCCCTTTCTCTGAGTTCTCCTGCACCCTATTCTCCTCTCTAGTTGTCCTCCCCAGGTTCCGTGGTTATCTTGTTGGTCCTTCATGAGCAGGTTAGCTCCTTGAGGTCAGGGACTGAGCCTCATTTTCTTCTCTCTCCATTGCCATTACAGGACTTGGCATACAGAGACGTTAAAGTATTTGTTAAGTACTTTAATATTTGTTGGTATAGTGAATAAATGAGTGAGCTATAGAGTAATTATTTACAGCTCAGACTCTGGAGCCACACAGATGTATACCTGTCATCTGACATTGGACAAGCTACTTAGTCTCTTCAAGCCTCAGTTTCCTCATCTGTAAAATGGGGGTATAGCAGTATCTACTTCATAGGGTTATTGTGAGGAGTAAATTAGGTGATGCAAGTACAATACTTAGCATAGTGCCTTTTACACAGTATATACTTAATAAGTTATTAAACTGTTAATGATTAAAATCATGAAGAGCAAATGAAAAGGAAATAAACTAATGTTTTTGGTATATGTACCAAAAGCCAGTAACATCCACCATTTAACTGGAAGATAAATTATCCTATTCCCAAATATCTTCCAAGGCTATACCTGTCATTTTCAGTACCAGATACTAATGTTCAGCAATGCAGCCCAAAGCATCACAGGGTTTTCAGTTAGACCCAATTTTACTAAGAAAGAGAAATAGAATAACATGCTTTTGAGGAAAAAAAATAAAATCAGTATGCATTAATACATAAAAGTTGCTGTTGCTGTTAACTGGCTTAAATAGAAAATATGGCTAACTAGAACATCTCTTTTCAGTTTAAAGGATTTCCAATTAGTGTCTTTGCAGTAACAACTGTGTTAAATTGATCTAATCGTGTCTGTCTAACCCTTATGCATGCATTCACTCACTTTATCAAACAACATTTATTCTGTATCACATACTGGAGATAAAGAGATGAATGAAACAGAGCCCCAGGCTTTAAGGACTTGATATTCTGGAGCAAGGGATAGCAGACTTTCTTTTAAATGGCTGGACAATAAATATTTTGGACTTCGAGGGCCATGGGGTCTCTGGTGCAGCTATTCAATATGTAAATGAATGAGTACGGCTGTGTTCCAATCAGATTTTATTTACAAAAATAGGTGGGGAGCTGGATTTGGCCTTCAGGCCCAGGCTTACTGGCCTTCATCCTAGAGGAGTGAGTTAAGTCTGTAGCAGGCTACTGATAAGTACAGAGGGCCAAAATCTGTGAAGGATAGAGAATGGGGAGATGAGAAGACAATGGGTTAGGAAATGGGTTATGGAACTGGGGGTACTTTGAGAAGTAAAGGAGAACAACTAAGGCCAGGAGGAAGAAATGCATGGCTATCCCTTGATGCAGAAGCAGGCAATGCTGGTGTAACTAAGAGATCAGGTGTCCTGGATCAGCCCTGCCCAGCCTAGATGCTTCAAGAACCTACCTGCCTTCTGGAGATCTGATTGGACAGTATGGAACCTGCCTCAGGATTTCTGTGAGTTCCCATGAGGTGCTGCCTCCAGCCTTTCTGTGAAGGTGGTTTCTACTCCACTCCCACATTCTGAACAAGAAGCCCACCTCCTTGCTGGTTTCCAAGAGATACGCATTCACAGCAAGCATTTCATATTTTTAGTAACTTTTGTGACAGTATATTGTTGAGGGAGGGGGTGTCACAGGGAGGGAAATATTGCACACCCCATGTTCCCTAGCAATTTTCTGCCTTCTGTAAGGCAGTTGCTGTTCTCCTAGGGCCTGAGTTTCTGGGCCAGGTGGCTTCTCAAGGAATTATTCTACTAGAGACAACTCTCCCCTGTAACTGAAATGTCGTTGCCCCTCTTACCCTCACAGACAGTGGCTTCCAAGAAATATTCTGCTATCCCCCTCTCATCTCACATCTACCTCATTTCATAGCTTTGTTCTCACAGGTCTGTTTTTGTTTTTGTTTGAGACAGTCTCACTCTGTCACCCAGGCTGGAGTGCAGTGGCACGATCTCAGCTCACTGCAACCTCCGCCTCCTGGGTTCAAGTGATTCTCCTGCCTCAGCCTCCCATGTAGCTGGGATTACAGGTACTCGCCACTACCCCTGGCTAATTTTGTATTTTTAGTAGACACAGGGTTTCGCCATGTTGGCCAAGACAAGCTGGTCTCGAACTCCTGACCTCAGGTGATCCGCCTACCTTGGCCTCCAAAAGTGCTGGGATTACAAGCGTGATCCACTGCACCTGGCCAGGTTTGTTACTTTTCACAAAGGAGAATGAGACTGAGGCAACAGGCTATAGCTTCCCCATTGGACAGACCTGGATTTGAATCCCACCTCTACCTTCTCCAGCTTTTTGATATCAGGCCAATGACTCAACCTCTCTGAGCCTGAATTTACTGTTGTGTAAAATAGGCTTGATAATCCCCTCTTCAGGGAGAGAACCTGGGTCCATCAAGCCCAGTGCACCTCAGTGTGGAGCTAATGCTGGTTGTCTTTTCCTGCCTTCATCTTCTCCTTTAAGTCCCAAACTGAGAGGATAACATTGCATTCGGGTCTGCCATTCATTTACATCTTTAGTACAAAATGTGACTCTTGCTGGAGAAAGTTTGCCATTTGTCTCAAACTACTGGTATCTGGATTGACAGCTGGGAGTGGTTGGGTCAATAGTCAGTTTGATATTATCTGAAACCATCAACTTTGCTTCTGGCTTGTCAGCCAAATTTGGGGAAAAAATGAGAGTTGAGTCTGCATGCCTGTTTTTTTCCATCATGGACTGGGAGGTGACTTGTAAGCATTCTTCATTGTGGAAATAAATTCACGACGTGCAACTGAATGAAAAAAGTATATGCCTGCTGTGTGAGCAGAGAAGAACAACATTCTGGTTGAGTTATATGTCCCATTTTTCATTATGCTTGGGTGGAATAGATATGCCCCTGGAATTCCTGGTTATGATTAGTATCATGAATGTATTTGGCTGACCAGATTTTGCCCTGATCAAGTGCAGAATCTATATATTTTGTTATCTTGAGTTTGATTTTAATCACTAGGCATGGACCCCAGGACATTTTATTTCTTTTTCCTACTTTGTAAAAGGTTTAGTTCTAGAAGTTTCATGCAGTCATTCAGTGACTTGAATGAATTCTTGACTCCCACTTGCCCTCGGACTGAGTTAGGCAACCCCTTTTGTGATCCACAGGTCCGTAAACCAATCATCACGATAGCTTCTTGCTTTGTCCTTCCTTCTGCTTTATGCTCTGTTTCATCCCCAAGACCTGGAACCCCTTGAAGGCATACACCATATATCCATTGCTGTATCCCTAACACCTGGGAAAGTACCTGAAACAGAAGAAATGTCAAAAGAAAAATAAAAGTTGGAAGGATGGGATGAGATAGGGTGATTGGAGAAAAAAACATGCAACGTTGTGGTTATTTTAGGATTCCGAAGAGAAATGTGGCCAAATAACTTTGAGCCCAGTCATATCCCTGGTTCCTGTACATCCAGAATTCATTATTCAAGATGACAAAGATTCTCTGAAACAAAATTTAATAAGCTTGAGAATGTTTAAGTTGGAATTAAAACCTCCAAGCTGGTCTGTGAGTGAGCCTGGTTTCCGTGTTCTATCTCGTAGCCATGCACGTGGGTGAGAAGCTCCTTGAGTCCTTGTTCAACAAGGTTCATATGAAGAGCTCTTTGAGCCTTAAGGAAACAGAGTAGATGTTGCCAAGAGTGACTGAGTCACCACTCCAGACAGTGAGAACTGTGTGTTTACTGGGCTGCTTCCAGTCAGCCTGGTGAAGTTGACGGGGCACACAGGCCAATGCCTGTAGGGCACAGGGCCCTGGCTCAGAGTGGGAATATGGCAGAGGTCAGCTTGGGCAGGGCCGTGGGAGCCACGTATGAAACTATGGCACTGGAAGGACAGTTCTCCCTTTCTCCATAGAGTTGGGTTAGAGACCTGGTCCCATCTTGCTTATGAAAGAGAATAACGCCACCAAAATTTGGTGTAGCTACACCTTGCTTTAAGAAAGCCCAATATTAGTAGAGAAGAATAAGAATTAATCTCAGGATTTTGCAGTTTGCAGTGTGCTTTCACATCATTGCCCTTTTGCTGCTCATGAGGGAGGAAGAAAGCTTTAGTCACCATCTCCATTTAATAAAGTCCATTGATTAAGAAGAGCATGGGGCCAGACACGGTGGCTCACGCCTGTAATCCCAGGACTTTGGGAGGCCAAGACAGGAGGATTACTCGAGCCCAGGGGTTCGAGACCAGCCTGGACAACATAATGAGACCCCCATCTCTACAAAAAATAAAAAAATTAGCCGGGCATGGTAGCATGTACCTGTGGTCCTAGTTACATGGGAGGCTGAGGCAAGAGGATTGCTTGAGCCCTGGAGGTGAGGCTGTAGTGAGCCATGTTTGCACCACTGCACTCCATCCTGGGCAACAGAGCAAGACCCTGTCTCAAAAAATAAGAAGAGCATGGACTTTATTGTTCAAATTCTTACTCTACCACTTATTAGCCATGACTTGGGCAAGTTGCTAATGTCTCTGAGCTGCAGTAAATCCACTGTATAAGATACTTGCATGAATTAATGAAATAATTAAATAAACCTGTTAAATTATTATTTATTTATTTGAGACAGAGTCTCCCTCTTCACCCAGACTGGACTGCAGTGGCTCAATCTCAGCTCACTGCAACCTCTGCCTCCCAGGTTCAAGCGATTCCCCTGCCTCAGCCTCCCGAGTAGCTGGGATTACAGGCGTGTGCCACCACGCCCAGCTAATTTTTTGTATTTTTAGTCAGGACGGGGTTTCACCATGTTAGCCAGGATGGTCTTGATCTCCTGACCTCGTGACCTACCCACCTTGGCCTCCCAAAGGGCTGGGATTACAGGCATGAGTCACCGAGCCCGGCTAAATGAAATTATTTAAAGCACTTAGTACAGTGCCTGGTACAGAGGTGGCATTCAAAAAGTACTAGTTATTAGTATTAGTTTTATTTTTACTTATGAATAAACTGGAGCTTAGCTAGACTCAAGATTACCAAGCCTTTAAGTTGGACTTGAACCCATTCACAAAGTTCGATGATTGCATAATTCTAAGGGTAGTCTGAATATCACAGAACAGAATAAGATGATTATCTTGGCATTCTTTCCACTTCATTATAATTATCTGATTTTTAAAGGTGTCTTAGCCTTACAAAAAATTGTTAGGATTCCTCTAAATGGGTGCTTCATTTGCAAAACCTCAATCTACCACCAACTTGTCACAGCCAGACCTATTACATAAAATAAAACAGACACGTGGAGGAAATTGTTTCCTGATTTAGGTGAGTAAAGCTAGTGAGAAGTCTTTTGAGGCATTTTCTATCTCACTATGTTTCATCTTTTCAGAAGAATTCTGTTTTCCCATTAAGAAGACAACTGTCAGGTGAAAAGGCCCAGAAATCTAGTAGGGCTGTGTGTGGATCAGTCACATCCGTGAAGCCCTGAAATTGTTTGATCTATCTGATACTAAGTGTCTGCATTCTTGGCAGAATCAGGATAAATGACTCCTTTTTTTTCTTCTGTTCCTGCACATTTGGCATAATACAATCATAGAGAGTGAATAATAGTCCAATTCAGCTCTCAGTTTCTGCATTGATTCCTCCAGAGAAATATAATAAGCTCGTTCTTTGGTTGGCTCCTGATTTTGATTGACAGAAAAAATAACAGCAGAAAGATTACATTTTGCCAGCATCCTAAATTTTGAAGAACAAAAACCATATTTAAATGACTGCTAAATTGTCTGACGTTCCTATTTTTAAAAAGAACCTCCTGGAGGGAAACATTGTCTTTGTCTTCAGGGAAGGAGTTAAAGGTCAACAAACTTTGTTGTAAAGTTTCTAAAAGCTGTTGACAGAAGGCTTGATGAAAATACTATATCTTGTACCCAGAGAAAAGCACATATTTTGAGAGTCCTGTTTATTGTCCCTTCTCAAGGTGGGGTAGACTAGAAGTGCAACTTACATGTGTGGACTTTGAAATAAAGTTGCCTAGCTCTAATCTGTTCGATCTTGGGTAACTTACTTAACCCCTATGCCTCAGTTGTCCTCACTGGTAAAATGGGATCATTATTACCTACCTCATTGGATTTATAGCACGAATAAAAGAAGTTAAAACAATAAAAATGCTTAGCACTGTGCCTGGCACAAAGGGCATGCTCTGTAAATGTTGAATGTTATCCTTCTTAACATGTGTTGTTAGTAATATTGCTATATATGTGTGTGTGTGTGGGTATATAAATATATTTTGCCATGGAAAATTTTTGTCCAATAAAATCTTAGATGTAAAGAGAGCTGCTCTGGTAGAAGTGGAGCAGAGAATATATAAAAACAGGCTGACTCAATTCCCCTTTTCCACAATTGCTGTAAATACTCTCTGACCTCACCCTCTTCAACTGTCCCCAAGATTGCTCCAGGGAACCCCAGGGCTCCCCCTAACACCCACTGCTGTAATGGGTCCTGGGTCTCTCACTGTCCAGACACTCTTGTTCAGAATGGTCCTGAGTCATGGACTGCTCTGGCAGGTGTTGCTGTAACTTTTTTTTTTTTCTTTGCCTCCCAGTGTCTTTGGGCAGAAAAATTGAAGGGAAAGGAAAGCCACCTTGTTCAGAAGAGTTCTTCTACCGTTGCCTTTTCCTTCATTGTCTGTTCTCTAAAGCTGAGGGTCTCTGTCATTTTGGCCACTCTTCCTTGAGCATGGTTTAGGGTCATCCTCGTCCTTTAGGGCAAACTATAGTTTCTCAGTGTGTGTTGTAAGATTTGAACTCTATTAACACCTGCTTTTTGAACTTCGGTATCTATTACAGTCACCTGGGGAGCTAGTTAAAACCCCTGCTTTTTGAGTCCCTCCCCAGAGATACTGTGATTTTGTAAGTTTGGGGTAGAGCCAGGGAAGCTATGTTACTTAACAAATTCCAGAGTCCCAAGTTTAGTAGCAGCTGTGGCATTTACTGAATGTGAGACCTTGGAGAAGTCATTACCTGCCCACGGTTCTGTTGCCCGCTTTGAGAAAAGAATGCCTTAAAGTAGCTGACCTCCAAGAAGCCTTTCCAGGTCCAAAATTCTAAGATTTCACCATTCTAGCTGTGGTCTGGGCTGTGTGCAGCAAAGCAAGATCCTCACCCATCTTGTTCTGAATGTCATTCCTGTGTTAATATAACCCAAGATCCCATGGATTTTCATGGCAGCCACGTCTCTGTAGTGAGTCACAGTGAACCTAACTGTTGATAGAAATCTTTTTAGGCATACTTCTGCCTGGTAGTAACCTACTTCCTATTTTCATGTAGCTTTTGACCTCCATGCAGAGTAAATAAAAGAAAGCAGGTATACCTTATGGGTGTTTAATGCTCGAATGCATGAAAGAATCCCACATTTTACTAGATTATAACATCACAGGGGGAAATAAGGGCTCATCTTCTTCTCCCTTTTTAATTGTCCTCGTAAGTGGCCAGTGGACATCTGTCTTTTCTGATTTAGCTTGTAAACCCATTTTATGCCCCCTTCATTAGGACAGTGTTTGTCAAAATGCATCCCATGATAGGCTTTTTCTTTAAACTATCCCATAAAATCAGTTCCCTGGCAAAAATACATTTAAGAATCACACTATCATCCCATTATCCTTTAGGATATTCTCAGTGCAAATAGGCACATTAAAGGTTCTGAGAAGTCCTGTAGACAAAAAAAAAATTATTTGACTACTATTTAGACCTCCATTTTCCAAACTTACCTGACCATAGAATCTCTTCTTTCTTTTACTGTCTATTTATATTGTTCAGTGGAAGCCATTCTGGTTTAACACTGATTTGGAGGCTCCTATTTGGGGCTGCCCATCCTTGCCCCAATAGAAAGCAGAAAGATTGGGCTGGGCTCCTAGAGGAAGGGGCCTACAGAATTCCTTAACTAACTCTATCTTAGAAGGATGTATTTACAATAGTGTACAGCCATTGCATTCTGCCAAAAAGCTGCTGGTTGTGAACAATGACCTCTTGAAAGAATGGGATTTGCCCCCTGTAAAGTGTGTATAATCTGTCTGTGAAATTTCATACACTCTTGGAAAAAGGGAGATGGTTTTCTACAGCCAATTTTGTACTTTCTTATAGCCATATATGGTACAAGATAGAGAAATTGCTGACCAATTAAAGCAAAAGTTTTCTCCTGGGGATTTTGAACAAATAAGTTCAAGAGAGAGAAAGGATGTATTTTGAGGGTGATGTGGCTTCAAGAACTGAAAGATAAAGAATAGGCATGTCTTATATTTTTAAAGGTATCTTCCTTCAGACACCAGCAAATGATCCGTCTCCTTACCCAGCTGAGTGGGAGGATTTTTAAAATTTGTGTAGAATACATTTGATGTAAAGGGCGTGTGTGTGAGAGAGAGGGAGAGATTTTAAGAATTTATTCTCTTTTTAAGGTGTTATCATAGGGTCAAACATAAGCCCAGCTGCATATGAATATTTCCAGCAAGTTAACCTTTGTTTAGCTTTACCAATTCTTTATAACATTACGTGGGATTTAAGAACATACCTTGTAAAACTGTTTGGAGAAAATGTAGTGAAAACTACTTTGGAAAGGGGTAATTCTTTAAAAAAAAAAAAAAAACAAAAAAAAACTGGTTTTTAGCTACCAGCAGACAAATGAATTACCTCATCACCCATGGTTTCACTTGGTTTTATCCAAAATAAGCCACTGAAGAAAAAGGATTACCTTGTCACATATTACAAAGAAACACAACTGTAATTGCTCCAGCTGTCGAGGGCCTCTTCTGCTTCCTCTGGGGTGAAAAAGTCACTGAGAAAAACTGGGAAATGTGTGGTTCATGCAGGACAGAGGAGGGTTCTGTCTGTTAGGATAATGTGCTTTTACATTCTGCATATTTATTTTTGATCAAACTGTCACAAGATACTGGAGTATTCATACATGACATTTTAAGTGACCCAGTAGAGAGCAAAATCTCCACCATGCATAGAAGAAGAAAACATTGAAAGCATCACCAAGATTTCTAGTCATTGAGTTCAGTTAGTTTTAGAGAGAACTGACATGGTTAGTCAAGAGGGGGACAAGTCAGGAGCACCTGATTTTAATTTTGAGCGCTGTGGAGAGATCTGGTGTGGATAATAGTTTTTGTTTGTTTATTGATTTTTCTAACCACCATTTCAGGAGACCTAATAAGACTTCAGGCATTCTTGGAAGTAAGCTAAGTCAGGTGCATCTACTAACCACAATGCAGGATAACAAGGGTCAGGGATGCTTATTTTTTAAATAGTAGGCATTCCAATGGGCATGAAATGGTATTTGTTGTGGTTTTGATTTGCTTTCTCTAATGATTAGTGATGTTTAATGTCTTTCCATATTTTTATTGGCCATTTGCATATCTTCTTTTGAGAATATTCAAGTTTTTTGCCCATTTTAAAATCCGGTTGTTTTTGTTGAGTTGGAAGAGTTCTTTATATATTCTGGATATCGGTCACTTATCAGATATGCGATTTATAAATATTCCATCCGGTTCTGTAGGTTGCCTTTTTACTCTACTGATAGTGTTCTTTGATGCACAGAAGTTTTTAATTTCCGTGAATCCAACTATTTTTTCTTTGGTTCCCTGTGCTTTTGGTGTCATATCCAAGAAATTATTGACAAATCCAAAGTCATGAGGTTTTGCCCTATGTTTTCCTTTAGGAGTTTTATAGTTTTAGCTTTTATGTATAGATCTTAGATCCATTTTGAGTTAATCTTTGCATATGATATAAGGTAAGAATCCAGGCCGGGTGTGGTGGCTTACGCCTGTAATCCCAGCACTTTGGGAGACTGAGGCGGGTAGATCACGAGGTCAGGGGTTCGAGACCAACCCGGCCAATGTGGTGAAACCCTGTCTCTACTAAAAATACAAAAATTAGCCGAGCGTGGTGGTGCATGCCTATAATCCCACTATTCAGGAGGCTGAGGCAAGAGAATTGCTTGAACCCGGGAGGCGGAGGTTGCAGTGAGCTGACATTGCGCCACTACACTCCAGCCTGGGCAACAGAGTAAGATTCTGTCTCAAAAAAAAAAAAAAAAAGAATCCAACTTTAGTTTTCTTTTCCATGAGAATATCCAGTTTTTCCACCACCATTTATTGAAAAGACCATTCTTTCCCCTATTGAATAGTTGTGGAACTCTTACCAAAAATTGTTTGACCATATGTGCAAAGGTTTATTTCTGAGCTATCTAGTCTAGTCCACTGGTCTATATGTCTGTCTTTATGATAGTACCACACTTTTAAAAAATTACTTTAACTTTGCAGTGGGTTTTGAAATCAGAAAGTGTGAGGCCTCCAACTTTGTTCTTTTTCAAGATTGTTTTGATTTTTGGGGGTCCCTTGAGATTCCAATGAATTTTAGGATAGATTTCTGTATGTCTGGAAAAAAAAGAAAGTCACTGGAATTTTGATAAGGATTGCATTAACCAAACAACTTTTAAAAAACATTTGATTATAAAAAAACCATTTTATTGTATAGATCCTCATCCTTATTCTAGCTTAGACTTTCTAGAAGCATATGGAATTATAGACACAATAAGCTCCTTGAAGCATGTGGATCCAAAGCCCAGCTCGCTCTCCCTCCATGCCCTCTCACTCTCCTGTCTCCATTCTTTGTTTGTCCTCGTGCCCCGCTTACCTTCTTTACTTCTCTCTGTACCTCCAGGGATCCTCTCCAAGATGGAGTTGGAGAGAAGACTGTGTTTAAGCTATATCCTTAATATTAGACATTGACACAGCAGTGCTGCTGAGGAGGCTCCTCCAGCCAGGCTCCAAGAACCTTGCAGAACCTCTAAGTGGATCGAGACAGGTTCACCTGCCCTTCTGTGGTCTGGTGGCTACCAGGTTGTCAAGAACTGACCAGGATGACTCTGAAAACAGTCTCTAGCTCATGTGGCTGGAGTCAATACACTTAAAGAAAAAAAAAAAAACAAAAAAAACTAGTTTCAATTATACTAACCAATTTGAATACTCAAGATTGACACCTTGACAAATTTTAGGAAATTGCAGACATTTTCCCACACCCAATTATCAGGCCTGTTCTCCAAAGACTTGGGAGAGGATTTAGGCCAGAAACCTCCCCAGGGCAGATTTAAAAATCACAGTAGCAGTGACAGGAGCTGGGATCAACAGGACACTCTCCCTGAGTGCCTGTTGGCATCAGGACCAGACCACCAACATCTCCCTAACTGAAAAGCTGGGGACAGGAGAGACCTGGGGCCAGTGTCCGCCCTCACTGAAGGAGAGAGGAAGAAATGCTTTATTTATCTGCTTTAAACAGTATTTTCATTTAGAAAGCATTTTGGTTCCTGTCAGGGAAGGTTAAGGCTGGTTGCCAGAAAAACCAAACCAAACTTTTTCCCTCCCAACCGGAGGATTAATACTCTCTCTAAACTCCGAGAAAAAAAATTCCTTTTCTTCAAAGCCATCCTGTCTGCAGTGTTTCAAATGAAACTTTTCCTTCTTACAGTGGTTTGTCAGTTGGTGGTGGGCCAACCTTGTAAGCTGGTCTTTTAGAACTGAGGTGTTCCAACTGCAAGGCACAGCCCACTAGTGGGGCATAAGACCTGTTTAAGGGCCAGGCGTAGTGGCTCACGCCTGTAATCCCAGCACTTTGGGAGGCCAAGGTGGGAAGATCACCTGAAGTCAGGAGTTCCAGACCAGCCTGGCCAACATGGTGAAACCCCATCTCTACTAAGAATACAAAAATTAGCCGGGCATGGTGGCAGGAACCTGTAATCCCAGCTACTCAGGAGGCTGAGGCAGCAGACTTGCCTGCATCTGGGAGGTGGAGGTTGCAGTGAGCACTCCAGCCTGGGCAACAAGAGTGAAACTCTGTCTCAAAATAAAATAATAAAATAAATAAAATAGCCAGGTGTGGTGGTATGTGCCTGTGGTTCCAGCAGTGAGCCGAGATTGCACCAGTGCACTCCAGCCTGGGCAACAGAGCAAAACTACATCTTTTAAAACAAAACAAAACAAAACAAAACAAAAAAAACCTGTTTAAGGGCTCTGCAATCAGCATTTTAGAACAGACTAGAGTAGCATATATCAGAGTTTATTATACATAATAAGAGTATATCTTGATATTTTTCAGTTTAACATGTGGAGAAGTGGCTGTTTATTGGATGGCAATATATCATTCTTACTGTGTTTTTACTATGTGGTCAAAAATTGTCACAGCTACTATTTTAAAATTACCTTTGGCTCAACAAGGCCTGATCATGTTTCCAGAACTGGCAAAATATCACATACTACACAAATATATAGAAATAAATAAAGCTCTAAAAACTAACCATTTCAGGTTCGTTTTGAACCTAGTCCTTATTTGAGCCTTCTGGTTTGATTTCTATTTGGTTGATTACGTTTTTCAAAAGAACACATTTAATATGAGTATATCTTGATTTAATGTAACAGTGTTTCTCCCACTTCAGTCTTACATAAAATTTCTGCGTGATTTTTGCCAAATCTGTGAGCCACTTGTGTTTTTTATTTGTATTTTCCTTAAACTAGCTCAAATTTTAAATCTACATTTAATATCCATGAAACTGTTAATTTATATATGGCTAGTTATCATTTTCCAATATGTTTCTAATATATCTAATAAGCAATAAATATGACTTTTAAAATATAAAAATATTCATGTGCCATCCAACACAATCTCATCCACTTCAGTGGCCCACATATCATCATTTGGGGGATACAGATGTTCAAAACATTCTTTTATGCTTTTCTTTTTCCCCCTTAGGTTCCTTTGCTTTAACAAAGGTTCAGATATTTGAGGAAAATAACAAGAGTTGTTAGTTATCAGGGAAATAAGTGCTTTTCATTTTGAAGAACTCACGCCACCCACCTTCCCCCAAACTGGTTTTCATAGGATACTAGCATTTCTGAATTCACAAGCAGCTCATCTAATGTTGACCATACCTTGACCCAGCCGGTTTTCTCCATCAAGATTGGAAATCACCCAGCTGCAGGGGTCGTCTCAGAGACTTGCCCAGATTTGAATAGAAGCAAGGCTAAAAGGACACTAGAGAAATAGCTCATCCTCTTTCTAACAAATGGGGCAACTGAAGCCAAGAGAGGCAAAATGGCATATCTAGGATCACGCCATGAGTTGGGGACAAAGTTCAAGGTCCAGCCTACCCACCCACACCTCCCCTTTGTTTAACTTACTATCTGAGAAGCCTGTTGAGGAAAGCTTCATGCTAGGAGTCATAGGACCCCAGGATTAGAAATGGACAAAGAAGGCCAGGCGCGGTGGCTCACACCTGTAATCCCAGCACTTTGGGAGGCTGAAGTGGCTGGATCCCTTGAGCTCAGGAGTTTGAGACCAGCTTGGGCAACATGGCGAAACTCCATCTCTACAAAAAAACACACACACATACACAAAAATTAGCCAGGTGTTGGTGGTACTCGTCTGTAAGGCTGAAGCTGGAGAATCACTTCAGCCTGGGAAGTGGAGGTTGCAGTGAGCCAAGATCGAGCCGCTGCACTGCAGCCTGGGTGACAGAGTGAGATTCCATCTCAAAAAAAGAAAAAAAGAAACAGACAAAGGGAGGAACAGGCCCCAAACAGCCACTCAGCCAAGCTCTGAGATCACTGGTATGATATCCTAGGAATGATAGAAATGTATCAAGTTACTTTGTACAAGACCACTCATGACTTGACATACCCTTCATGTCATAGGGGACTTCTGGCTGTGACATGAGTGTAGAATGTTGATGACCTGGTCCTCAGATGCCCTAGTGCCCCCTATCTAGCACCACTCAAGACTCCTGCTCTAGAAACCAAATTCAGAATCATACCCAGGTGCTACCTTTTATAGTCGTAATGAGTAGCCTTGAAATGCCCCCATGACTTAATAACCAGGGGAGCCCAGACTAAATACTACATAGAAATTCTGATTCTTTGAGTTTTAATCTGAATTTTTTCCTGAGTTTAGGCTTAAGAGTTTTAATAAAACCCTAAAGACTCATCACAAATCCTACATCTCTGTTACCTTAAATATGACTTGCAAATGTCAAAATTACCCACCAGCAATTCATAAGTATCTTTATGCTCCAGCAGGCTTTAGAACACAAAGATGAGTCAGGGCGGGGAGTCTCTGTCCTGGAGGAAATCCCAGACCAGGGGAATAACTGACCTATAGCAGAAGCACCACGTGGTAACACAAGGATCACTTCCTCCAGGAAGTTTTCCCAAACTCTTCAGAGGGAATTAGTAGAGTCTACTAATTCTCCAGTTCTCATAGCACCTCATAGAGCCCTCTACCACTTTTTACACTGTTTTCATGGTTTGTTTTGAGGTCCATTGCACCCTGAGACAGTGAGTTCTAGGGGGCGGGAGCTTTATTCAACTCTGTGTTCCCAGAGCATTGTATAAAGTAGCTGCCCCTCCAAAATCATTCTATGGAAGAGGTATGGACGGAATCCTAGTGAAGCACAACAGTAGGGGAAAATGTCATGTGATATAAACCAGGCCTGAGAGTCTCAGATGGCCATTTCACCAAGACAAGCCAAGTATCTGTTTTCTTCTGGGTCAGTTATTAGCTACTTAGTTGGTTAATTTCTAGCTGCGATTGTTAGTGTTAAAAAAAATAGAAATTATAGTGGAGACATCCATTTCTGAGCAAGCCTCAGAGTAGTTCCAAGCGGTAAGATCACATTGATCCATGTACACGTGGGGACTATGCCTAAAACTTCTTTAGGAAAGAGGAACATACCTTTGAATGTGATCTTGTAGTTCCTATAAGGACAGTGTTGCAACCTGCCCCTAAGACCCCCGTCCTTTTCTTTAGCACTATTTTTTAACAAATAATATAGTTTATTTAATTAAATTTATTATCTGTTCCTTCTTGCTAAAATGTGAACTCCATGAAGGCAGAGATTTCTATCTGTTTTTTCATCGATGGATCCCAAGTACCTAAAACAGTATCTGACACATATTAGGAGCTCAAAGAATGAATAGATACATATGAATGAATATACTGAATGAATGAATGAAAACTTTACATCTGCCCCAGATCTAAGTTCAGGTAAAGGGAAAGGCAGTTTTCCTAGGAGGAGTGGTACTCAGGATTGGTGGGTTCACTATTATTTCAGCCAGAGAGCCATCCTCTGTGATGTAGGCTGCTGTATTTCAAATGGCAGGGTTGGTTTGTACTCCACCATGGATGTCATGAACATACATAAGCTAGTAGAATGCGCAGTTCCTAAAAGTGCTCTTGTTGTTTAAGTGGCTGTTTACATGCATTCTTCATCGAAGGAGGTAGCTATGACACCATGTCAGGAGACCTGAGTTCAAATCCCAGATATCTGCATTTCTGGCTGTGTAATTTAGGATTATTCTTTAGCCCTACCTAAGTCTCAGTTTCCTCACTCTTAAAATAGGGGCAGGAACTCCTTTTCACAATGTGCTGAGCACTGAGCCTCCTGACACCAAGCAGGCCGCTGATGGGCAGCGTCAAGCCTGTAGCAACCCTCTAACAGGCCAGCAGTGTGGGTGGGTTCTCGGAGCCTGATTCCAAGCCAGTCTCCCCAGGAAAACATCCAACAACACCCCTTGAGTTTTGTTAGGGAGGATTGTGAGGCACCCTCCCTCCAAACCCAAATCCCCAGTAAGTCAGGAAGATATATGTGTTTTAAAACATTGGGAGGTCTGCTTTGGATCACCCTGGAGCTGTGGCTTCCCCGAGCAGCTGAGAGTGAAAGGAGGCAGTTCCTTTACTGTGAGCTCTCACGGCACGGTGCTCACGCCCCACACAGGGGCTGCCTTCACTCGGCTTCAGCAGCCGTTGACTTTTAAATCATAAAAAGCCGCTCTATATACAGTTTACTCTGTTGCTAGAAGGCAGTGGAACATAGGTATTTAAAAAAAAAAAAAAGCAGAAGAAGCAGCCGTTAATCCCGCCAGGCTTCTGGGCACTGGAGTAGTTGTGGATGACAAAAGTTAATTAGAAACATGAGCAGTTTAACCGAAAACACTTGTGACAATTGGAAGGGCAGCCTCTCCGGTTGGAGGATTTTTCCTAGGGAATCATTGCAGGAGAAAGTGGCTGCTGCTAGGTAAGTCATGTCATTGTGAGTTTGCAGATGCAGAGGTGCTTTTTGGGGGGCTGAAGGGGTGTATCCTGTCTGCCGTGCACACTGGGCATGGGGTGTGGGTGGGTGCGGGCACGGGGCCCAGTGGAGACGTGCTTTGCCTGGCACTTTCTCTCCAACAGCTGTCCTTCCTTGAGAGATAGGCTGCATCATCCGGGGCACTGACTGAAGCAGGGTGCTGCAGTTTCCATTTCTGTCACATTGGCCACCTTGGTGACTAGCTGTTAGTTTGGAGCCTGCCCTCACTAGAACAATTCTGGCTCTAGTTTGGAAGTATTTTGAGGCTTTTCTGAGAAAAGAGTCTGGCCAGGGAAATACTCACTGAGCGCCAAGGGGAAGCCTTGACTTTCAGATAACCTGTGTGTTTTCTGGCCCACAGTGAACCCATTGCATAGATTACACTCTTAAGCAAAAAAAAAAAAAAAAAAAAAAAAGAAAGAAAAGGAAAAAAAAAAAGCTGTTTTTAAGTCCAACCTGAACCATGTTTGCAACGTGTTTTGGTTTTTTGGTTTGTTTGGTTTTTTTCTGAGACAGAGTCTCACTCTTTTTCCCAGGCTGGAGTACAATGGCATGATCTCAGCTCACTGCAACCTCTACTTCTCCTGCCTCAGCCTCCCAAGTAGCTGGGATTACAGGCATGTGCCACCACACCCAGCTAATTTTTGTATTTTTAGTAGAGACTGGGTTTCACCATGTTGGCCAGGCTGGTCTTGAATTCCTGACCTCAGGTGATCTGCCCGCCTCGGCCTCCCAAAGTACTGGGATTACAGGTGTGAGCCACTGCACCCAGCCATTTGCAACTTTTAAAAAGTGCCAGCATAGGAAAAACTTACATGCTTTAATAGGCTTTAACAACTTTTGTGTGTAATTATTCTTTTTTAAAGATTCTACATGGTTTCTCCTTCTTTTCTATTTTTGTAATTGTTGTATTTTAATGTCTCTGATACATTGTTTGCTTAAAGTTGGATAATTCTTGATTCTTTCCCATAATTGGGAAACAGGCTATGGGATGAATAATTGAAAACGGTAGGTATTTCCTACTCTCTCCTGCACTGGCTGTATTAACGGTGCAGGTGTCTGTTAAGATTTGTTAAGACCTGCATGCTTTCACGTGGCACATGCCACCAAAATGTGATGGGGTTGGGGGGATGTGAACTGTGCAGTATGGAAAGCAGGAGGAAGTCAAGCCAGAAATTAAAACCTAACCACAGATAATCCACAAAGTGGGCAATGGAGCTATACGGCATTTGGGTTGGGAGTGATTGGTTGTGTGGCCATGGCTGACCCTCCCTGGTCTTCAGTGCAGGTCAACAAGTATGATTCAGGCCTCCTCTCTTCTGTCTCTGCAGAGCCTTTGGCAAGTTCAGCCTCCTCCCACCCCGGAATGAGTGACAATGCACCTGCTTCCTTGGAGAGCGGCAGCAGCTCCACCCCTACTAATTGCAGTACCTCCTCGGCCATCCCGCAGCCCGGTGCAGCCACCAAGCCTTGGCGCAGCAAATCCCTCAGCGTGAAGCACAGTGCCACGGTATCCATGCTCTCGGTCAAGCCTCCTGGGCCTGAGGCCCCCAGGCCCACACCTGAAGCCATGAAGCCGGCCCCCAACAATCAGAAGTCCATGCTGGAAAAGCTGAAACTTTTCAACAGTAAAGGGGGCTCAAAGGCAGGTGAGGGGCCGGGGTCCCGGGACACAAGCTGTGAGCGGCTGGAGACTCTGCCCAGCTTCGAAGAGAGCGAGGAGCTGGAGGCCGCCAGTCGCATGCTCACCACCGTGGGCCCTGCTTCCAGCAGCCCCAAGATTGCACTCAAGGGCATTGCCCAGAGGACTTTTAGCCGGGCACTGACCAACAAGAAGAGTTCTCTGAAAGGCAATGAGAAAGAGAAGGAGAAACAACAGCGGGAGAAGGATAAGGAGAAAAGCAAGGACCTTGCCAAGAGAGCCTCTGTGACGGAGAGGCTGGACCTCAAGGAGGAGCCAAAAGAAGACCCCAGTGGAGCAGCTGTGCCCGAGATGCCAAAAAAGTCCTCCAAGATTGCCAGCTTCATCCCCAAAGGGGGGAAGCTCAACAGTGCCAAGAAGGAGCCCATGGCCCCTTCCCACAGTGGAATACCAAAACCAGGAATGAAAAGCATGCCCGGGAAATCCCCAAGTGCCCCAGCGCCTTCCAAGGAAGGGGAGCGGAGCCGGAGTGGGAAGCTGAGCTCAGGACTCCCCCAGCAGAAGCCCCAGCTGGACGGCAGACACTCCAGTTCCTCTTCCAGCCTGGCGTCCTCAGAAGGAAAAGGCCCAGGAGGGACCACCCTGAACCACAGCATCAGCAGCCAGACTGTCAGTGGGTCTGTCGGGACCACCCAGACCACAGGAAGCAATACCGTCAGTGTTCAGCTACCTCAGCCCCAGCAGCAATACAACCATCCCAACACTGCCACGGTTGCACCTTTCCTGTACAGGTAGGAGCTGCCACCCACCTGTGCTGCCTGGGACATTGGGTAAAAGTTCCTTTATAGTGGATTCCGGGTCTGTAAGGGCAGAAGCTAGACTGTGCTCCAGGAATACTTAAGTCAGTAGCTAAGAAACCACGTGATGAACTCCTAAGAGAAGCAGACACAATGTGCTCCAGGGAGCAGTTCATACAGCACAGGTTGGGGAAGGAACAGAGAAAGCTGAAGAAGGGAAGTAAAATGTGAGCTGATCCCAGGATGCATAGGAAAGTGGGGACCCCAGGCCTTGTAGCAGCAGCTTCCCTGAGCAGAAAGCATGAAGGCCTAAATATGAGGGTGGGGGCGGTTTGGTGTCACCCGACAGTCCCCAGCATTAGTCCTAACACATCCCAACATACTTAAAAAATAAATAAAATAATAAACACCTGGCTCAATAACTAAGATTTCTTATAGCAGGGATTGCCTTGAACATCCAGATCCTCACAGTCCCTGCTGAGTGCTGGGGCTTTCTGAAGGGAGAGGGACATTGGGGAGAAGAGTAATGGTAGGGGAGGGGCTGGTCTAGAAGAACAAGAGCTCATGTTCTGAGGAGATAAGCCTGGGTGTTTGTGGAGATGGATGGATCCTTCTGTCTTTATCTGTCCCCTAGCCCCTGTCTCTTTGATGGCACATCCTCAGGACCATGGGAGACTGTGTGGAGCCAGTCCACACAGTGGTGCTGCTGCTCTGTGTGATTCTGGTCAGCGACATTGCTCATTGCTCAGGCTACACCACACCCCTTGCTGAATGAGGCACATGGGATTCAGGGGCCACGTCATACACATGGATGAGTCCACTCCAGGCAGATGGAAGCTCCCCAACCCCTGCCCTTAAAGTTCTTATCATTCCCAGAGCTTTCACTGACAGTGCCTGATTCGATCCTGTGCTGGAGATGAGCAGTGCATTTGGCCACATTGCACAATTGGATAACTAATACTTGTACACACAAAAGAGGATTAATGATCAAGTGTCACATTCTAGACACGTATTTTACAGTTGTAACTCAAGTGCATACAGATGCACAGCTGTACACTCACACTCATACAGCCATACATGTGGACACACATTAAAAGTCACATATAAGCATGGACACAAGTATACATTCATACATAAAATGCAAAGGCACATGTGCATACCCGTATTTACATACCTGTTCAGGTGCATAGGTGCATGCCCAGACTTTCAGCTTGCTATGTTTGTATGATTCCCCAAAGAATTCGATATTCCCTCTTTCCTCCTGAGCTGTGTTCTAGTGGTCTCTGTTACAGTTCCTGCCAATAGCTGGTGGAGGGACTGGCTTAAGTGCTTTCAAAGGAAAGCCAGCCAGCACCAGGCCAGCAAAGGAATGTCAGGCATTGCACTCCTTCCTTTTGTTCTGCTTGCATTCTCCTTCAGTGAGGGTCATACCAATCTTTTTAATTGGGAGAAGGTCTCATTTTATTGAATCAAGTCATCAGCTCAGCTCACAATCCTGAGAGAGCACCAGGGCTTAGATAATGACTCAGCTGGTCTACATACACGGCTTTTGTTTTGTTTTGTTTCTGTTTTTTTTTTTTTTTTTTTTTTTTGAGATGGAGTGTCGCTCTATCGCCATGGCTGGAGTGCAGTGGCACCATCTCAGCTCACTGCAACCTCTGCCTCCCAGGTACAAGCAATTCTCCTGCCTCAGCCTCTCCTGAGCAGCTGGGACTACAGGTGCATGCCGCCATGCCTGGCTAATTTTTTTTTTTTTTTTAATTTTAATACAGACAGGATTTCACCATGTTGTCCAGGCTGGTCTTGAACTCCTGAGCTCAGGCAGTCCACCCTCCTCAGCCTCCTAAAGTGCTAGGATTACAGGCATGAGCCACCGCGCCCAGCCATGAACTGTTCTCTGAAGTGTGGAGGCAACTAAATAGCTCCATATGAAATTTTTATAATTCCAATAGCATTATTAGTCTTAAGGTAATACATATTCAGGATTCACAGCTTCTCAATTTGCATTTTCAAAATTAAAATATGACAGTCTTTGATCACCATCAATCCCATTCCTTCTTTTTTTGTTGTTCGCTATAATCATTTGAAAGATTATAAAAGATATAACCTTTTTTTATTTCAAGCTTTTCTATCAGAAGAAAAAGTCTTAATGATAAAAAGCAAATGTCTGACAAAGAGGAGGAAGAGGAAAACGTCTATGATGTGGATCTGACTAGCCCCGTTTTTACGTTAATGCCCACTCTGGGTAACTAACGTCCTTCTGTCCCCTCTGAGTTGCCTTCATCTTTAGGGTAGTCTGGGAAGTGACGCTGGAAATAAGAGCACCAGGATACGAATCAGGACACCTGGGCCCTGTCCTTTATCAGCCCTTGGTGCCCTCTGAGGTCTTCGGCACTGGCTGCAGGAACAGGTATTGATCGAGTGTGGGTACAGAGTCCGCTAAGGGCTTTCCACATCTTAGCTCACTTCATTCTTCCCACACCTCCATGAGCTAGCAGCTTAGAGGTAATTAAGCAATTTGCCCCAAGTCACAGAACTAGACTAGAGGGGCTCATGTTTAAAACCAGGTGTAGGCTGGGCATGGTGGCTTACACCTGAAATCCCAGCACTTTGGAAGGTCAAGGTGGGCAGATCACTTGAGGTCAGGGGTTCAAGACCAGCCTGGCCAACATGGTGAAACCCTATCTCTACTAAAAATACAAAAATTAGCCTGGCGAGGTGGTGCACGCCTGTAGTCCCAACTACTCCGGAGGCTGAGGCATGAGAATCCCTTGAACCTGGGAAGCGGAGGTTGCAGTGAGCCATGATCACGCCACTGCACACCAGCCTGGGCAACAGAACGAGACTGTCTCAAAAACAAACAAACCAAAAAGCCAAGTCTGTCTAACTAGTGAGACCAGGCTCTTAACCACCAGTCTTGACTCTAAATCACTTTATCTTTATTGTCTTCATCTGGAAAATGAGAAGATTGGATTAGATTAGATTCTATAAAATGGTTTATTCTCCTTTTCTGCTCTAAAATTCTCTCCCTCAAGCTTATGGTTCACTATATATAACTTATAATTGCTCCCCCCCCGCCCACCAAAACCTCTCCATGTTAAAGTTGTTACCAAGGAGTAAAGGGAAGATGGGTCATTTTTTTAAAAATCACTCAGAATGAATTATATTTATCAATTCAGAAGTAACAGTGGATTCATCTATCACTTTATCACTTTATAGTTTACTAAGAGTTGTGTGTCACATCACCTTTCATTTTTATAGAACCAGAGGAGATTGCTATTATTATCCCCATTGTACAGATGAGGATGCTGAGATTCAAAGAGGTGGAGTGACAACTCAAGTTTTGCATGGCTAACAAGTTATAGATCTTAGACCTGGAGCTAGTCGAATATTTAGACTTCCAAGTCTAATGTTCCTTCTAGTACCTAGCATCTTCTGAGACTTAAACATTTCTTATTTATCCAGTCAACACACCCTTCTTGCGTTGCCTGTGTAGCATATGAACTTGAACTAACCTTTGCCTCTGAAGAGCTCTCAATCTAGTTGAGGAAAGATTTACATTTTCGCCAACAGGAGAATAAGGAGAGTGCTATAGGATCACATTTTAGCCAACAAGAGAATAAGGAGAGTGCTGTAGGAACTCCTGGCAAGGAGTCAAGGAAAGCTCTCAGGAAAAGATGACATGGAAGCTGCATCTTAAAGACAGATTAGCAGCGAACTAAGGAAGGAGGAGAAGGGCCTTTAGGCAGAGAGGTTGTAGTTACTGCAAAGATAAACCTGTTAAAGCCATGTGGAGAGAAGCCACATGTGGGTGCAGCATAGTAGAGTTGTATGTAAAGAGTTGGAAAGGCAGGAGATGGGGCTGGAAATAAAGGAAGAATGTGGCCATCATCTACCACAATAAGGGGTTTAGACCTTATTCTGTGGGTAATGGAAACCACCGAAGACAGTGATGTCATCACGTCAGTATTACAAAAGTCAATGAAAGATCGTGTGGGGAGTAGACCAAACTTAGGAAGAGTGTAGAATGGAGATCACAGATTCAGATGCCTAATTGGCCTCTAAATGGTCATCTAGATGGGTGGCTCAGGGTGAGTGGGCCTGTGGCAGAGGGAGCCACGCCTCTTTAGAGGGTGCAGCCACCACTTGGCACCAGCAGGTGGCGATCTGCAATAACAAAGACAGTCCTTTCCAAGCTTTATTGTTTTTACTGGACGAAGGCAGAAATGCAGATATTTATTGTGAAATATCCCGATTTTTAAATGTTGAACTAATTTTAAAACTTTAAAATATTATGCAGACCAGTAGGAATAAGTTGGGCTGGTTTCCACACCGGGCTGCCATTTGTAACCTCTAGGTGTGAGGTACCTGTTTCAAAGTACTCATAAGGCCTCAGCAGAGATGATGAGGGCTTGGACCCTGGCTGGAGGTGAAAGGAGCACAGGGAGTATGAAATCCTTTAAAGGTAAAGATAACAGAATTGAGAACGATGGCCTCAGTAGGAAGAACAAAGGAGGGAAGAACAGTTGGATGACTTGAGGTTTATCAGTACATCCCCCGTGGTCCATTCTCATTCTGGGCAAACGTTTTCTTCACAGGTAGTGAAATCGGTTGAATTAGTTCAGCATGCCAGTGCGTTAATAATGTTACATGCAGGGTCATGCATCTGAGTGTAATTATGCATTTGCATGCCATGCCTGAATGAGCAGAGGTAGCTGTGACAAGAAAACATTGCATGAAGCTGTTGCTTCAATTTGCTTGACAAATAAGGGCATGGAGAGGGTTTGGGGAAGTACAGATTTCAGTCAAGTGTTGAAATAATGATCAATGAGACCTTTCATGTCAGAAGAACTAAGCTCTGAATCAGAGACCTGGAGGGCAAACACACCTGCTTGGCACCCACTTCCGACTGGTTTTATGGTCACCTTTATAGAGAAAACCATGTCAGGAGAATTTTGGGGTGGGGGAGCTGTTAATAGAGTCATCTTTATGTTTGACTTGTTGGCATGGCTGGTTACTTAGAAGCTGTTCTTTGGCATAGGTTAAATTATTCAAATCACCCCGTACCCTCCAGCATGTGTCTGGCTAGACCTAGCATCCTGACGGAGGTTCAGAGAAGCATTCCCCAGTGAGGGATTGCAGACCCTCCATCTGGGCAATGAAAAGTTTATCTTTTACAGTTCAGCGGCTCTCTCTGTTCTTAGGACATTGCTCCACATACGGCTAATGAATTATTTAGCGTCAGTCTGCTGGTCCACTCTGTTCTGAAGCTTCTTGCTACAGGAGGTGATGGTGAGGGCTGTGGTTAGACCACAGTGGTCCAGATGTGGTAGTTGCCTCTCATGACAAGTGTGTCTGCTTCGGTTTGTGTGTGAAGGTCTCAGACGGACACTGAAGGGAATGTTACTGCCGAGTCAAGCTCAACAGGTGTGAGCGTGGAGCCCAGCCACTTCACCAAGACTGGACAGCCTGCTCTGGAAGAACTCACTGGTGAGTATGGAGCCTCAGAAATCTGTGTCTGTTGGTGATGAGGCCTTCCACGCAATACCTGCTGGAACAGCATGAACCCAGCTTGATTACGAGTTGCATTATGTTTGCATTGACTTTGAGCTAAACAAACTTTCTTTCTTTTTTTTTTTCCTATTATTTTTCTTCTTGTTTTTCTTCCCTTTTCTCTCCCTCTTACAGTTTCTTCCCTCCTCCCCAGAATCGTAAACAAGTCTCTTACTGGTGTGCAAATCCTATTTTTAAGATACGTTCAGTTTTATTCATTTAGGGGCTCTGGACTGCACTGATACTTAACTTTGAATCTTCTTGTTTACTCTTCAGATAAAGTTGCTTTTCAACAAGATTTAGAATTCTAAAATAGTGGATTTCGTTCCTGTATGGAAGCACTGATTTAAAATATGTTCTTAGAGTCCTATGTGAATTGGGGGGGAAAATTGTAACATGCTTCTTTTTACCAGAAACAAAAAAAAAATATAAATTTTATTTAAATGTAATGTAGACAATGATGATTACAGGTACATTATACTGTATGACGGCATAAAATCCACAGTCGTTGTATAGTTAATTCTGCAAGCATTTATTTTTGGACACTATACTATCGCATTCTTAATTAAAGAAGAAAAGTCACACCTTAATTAGAATTCTTACTACGGTGGATTCCAGGCTGCTATCTTCTCTGTCTCTTTTCCCCATTCCAAAACTCTGTGTCCCAAGCTCCAGCAGCTTCTAGTCAGGGAAATGAGTGGTAAGCCATGGATTTATTAGTGGCTGTGTCATTCTTCTCATATCTTACCACTTCCACAGTCGGGTTAAAAACTGAATCCAGGCTTAAAATCCATTTATTGAACTGAATATCCCTGACTACAGCATTTTAATAGCCACATTACAGCTGTGGAATTGGTCTGCAGCCCAGTGATTGAACCTTACCCATCTAGCAATTAGCCCCAGTGATTAATTTCAGAGGATTCTGGTTCCACTGCCTGGGCACGGTGATGGTGCAGAGATTCTTCAAGCCATTTGTAAGCAGTCCATCTTAGAATGATTTGGGCCCCACATTTGGGATTGATTTTGTTTCCTTCTCTTCAAGGTTTGTATCTTTCTTTCATATGAGTACATGGATAGCACGGGAAAAGGACCAGCAATGAGAAGGGTGTGGAGTTCAGATGGCTGCTCGAGTCTCCATGCACATTCCAGATTGTGTTCTGATGTGCAGACATCAAAAGAGCGAGGCCAACGCTTCAGATCCCAGCATGGTTCAGATGTGTGGCCCGTGGAGCAGTGTGGATTCCTGTCAGATGCTGAGTCTCAGCAAAATCCACATTTGAAAAGCAAAAGCAGGAGCCGGAGAATATTCCAAATATTACTTAGATTTCAGAGTGACAGATTGCAGTGTGTGATCTTCCCCTAATTTTTCTTTTTATCTCCATGTCTCCCCTGTACCAGGCCTTAAGAGCTCAGAAACCCTGAAATGCTGTCAATCGGCTGCGGGGAAGAGACTGTGCAGCCAGTAGTGCTTGACTGTGCACTCTTTGGTGTCAAATCAAATGGGGTTGGTCGCTAACAAAAATTCCTTATCAGGGTGACATGTCTTTATATTCAAGCAGTAGAAGTCACACATGTGACTATGTTGAATTTTTTTTTATGGAGACACTGAATAATAAATAGCATGAGGTTGAATTTAACTTACCCACAGCCAATCCTTTGAAATGACAGTGCATGGTAGGACTATTTAGAAATGGACATTTACATAACTATTTGATCAATTGCTTAGTTCTTCCTCTTACTTATGCAAATGGGTGGGTTTTCCTATGGTGTGTGGTCATGTACAGAGCCTTACAGTTGAGAAATGCATCTTGCATGATAGAATTGAAGGAACCACACACACCTGCTTATCATACTGCTCATGAATTCCTTCTATAGCTTACTGAGGACTCATCTTTCAGCCTCTGCTTGAATATTTCTTGGACAAAATGTTGTTCCTTCATAAGGCAGCCCTTTACTTTTTTGCTGTTGTTGACGGCTTCAGCAGTTAATGGAGTTCTTTATTCTTACATTTCCAATCACCGGATATAATTCAGCCTTCTGAAGCCCCAGTTTTCATTCTTTTTCATGTTGTAACATATCCCTTAAGGTTTCTTTATTTCCAAGTAAAAATCCTGGATTTTTTCCATGGTCCTTTTGTAACACTTTGATATCCTCCAAGCTCAGTCATATTTGGTCACAATGCGATGCTCTCCCAATCATGACTAGTGGCTTGAGGTAGAGCCCTCCTTGGCAAGGTCCAGATCGCTACAGGTAGACACTAAAGTTTTAAGACCTCTCCATATCTGTGAGCTGAAAGCTCCCTGCTGTTTCCACTGGAGCTCGATTGTGTTTTTATTGTGTTCAGGCTGTGAGTTAGTGGGTATATCCTACATTCAGGTCATTGTCAGAGGAGGCATAATTGGCAGTTTAGAACGTGATCACCTAAGCATGTCAGGTGGGTTACTGTTTTGTGTTCCTACATTGCCCTTGGGATCTGATGTAGAGCCCTGGAGGAAGGCAAATATTTCCCAGCACGACCCACAAGAGGGAAACAGGACACTCATATTTACTGAGCCCTCATTTTGTGCTATGTGCCATATCATCTGACTCTCACCCTAACCCTTCTAGCGAGAGGTTTTTATGTCCACTTTACAAATGAGATCCAGAGAGGATAAGTGACTTGTCCAGGGTCAAGTGGCTAATAAGCAGCATTGCCACAATTTAAATATTTATCTGTGGATAACTGAAGTCCATGCTTTTCCTACAACCCCATACTGACCAAACATGTGTTGTATAATAAACATTTCTTAGACCTCTATAAATTGTGTGGGGGTTACCAAAAGGAAAGATGAGACACCATCCCCAACTCAAAGATCTTTGACTTTCTGTCTGGGTGCAGTAGCTATACCTGTAATCCCAGCACTTTGGGAGGCCAAGGTGAGAGGATCGCTTGAGGCCAGGAGTTTGAGACTAGCCTGGGCAACACATAGAAGACCTCATCTCTGCAAAGAAAACAAATTAGCCAGGCATGGTGGTGCATCTCTGTAGCCCTAGCTGCATGGGAGGCTGAGGTGGGAGGATCTCCTGAGCCCAGGAGTTTGAGGCTGCATTGAGCTGTGATCACAGCACTGCACTCCAGCCTGAGCAACAGAGCAAGACCCTGTCTCTAAAAAATAAAATAGTTGAATTTCTAACGGAGGGTTAAGACCAGCAACAATATGTCATTAATAGAGTGATGGATAAGTAAATATGGCTATTATATTTTGTGCGTGTGGTTAAGGTAATTAGTTGAGGTAATTTGAAAACCTATGCCTAGACTTAGCTTCATAATCAATATTTTCTAAAGGGCCTAGAGCTAACCTAAGAATCAGTATTTTTTTAACAGGCTTATATACATAAAATGTGGCCAAATTGGCAGTAAAAGATTTCACTGATGGCCCAGAAGGTAGATGCAGTTACATTCCTCCAAAGTCATTAGGGGAAGGTATAATAGACATTCATCTTTGCTTTTTTTAAAAAAACACATACATATATATGTATTTTAAAGCACTGGGAGGGAAATGCAAGTTTGACCACTTTTCAGATAAGAGAAAAATGCCTTCCAAATTTCTTTGGGTTAAAAGGTGGAAGGAGAAATTGGAAAGCACTTGCATTTTCAAGTAAATTTCCTCCATGAAATCATGGGTATATCATTTACTCCATCCCAGCCTCCAGGCACCACCATGCCAAGAACGACCTAAGAAAGTTGTCATCTATCTCAGAAGAAAAGTTAATTCTGTTATATTTCTTAGCTGCCTTGTCCCCTGTTAATGGCAATTGTTGGAAGTTCAACTTGGTGTCTGATGTCAATTCTACTTGCTGCTGCTTGATGTCTAATGTAAATTCTGCTTGTGCTATGTTCTAGATGGAGATTTCTTTGAAAATATTGCTCAACGCTTGAAAATAGTCCTAGGCTTTTAAAGACCCATGATTGTGCTTCCTCAGTCTTCTCAGCTCTCCCTAAAATTACTCTGAGGGAGAAAATATATAATTCTATTAATTATTATTGTAGTTATTGCACCTCTCCTCTTCCCTTTGTAAGGCTAAAAGAAACGGAACTAGGCCGTGTGTGGTGGCTCACGCCTGTAATCCCAGCACTTTGGGAAGCCGAGGTGGGTGGATCACCTGAAGCCAGGAGTTCAAGACCAGCCTGGCCAACATGGTGAAACCCTGTATCTACTAAAAACAAAAAAAAATTTAGCCGGGTGTGGTGGCGGGCGCCTGTTATCCCAGCTACTCAGGAGGCTGAGGCAGAAGAATCGCTTCAACTGAGGAGGTGGAGGTTGCAGTGAGCTGAGATCGTGCCACTGCACTCCAGCCTGGGCGACAGAGCAAGACTCTGTCTCAAAAAAAGAAAGAAAGAAAGAAACAGAATTGCCAGAGAAGGCAAAACAAGACTGCACTGTGTCCTAGCTTGTGTGTGGCATATTTCTCATGGTACACTAGTGCCAGCTCAGCTCAAATGCTGCTCAGCCAAGTGTCTTGTGGAAAGTTTTGCCCAGGGAATGGAATACTGTGGTCCTGACAAAGAGGAACCCAGCTGTCTGTTTTCTTTCCTTTTCTTTTCTTCTCTTTTCTTTTGCTTTCCTTTCCTTTTCTTCTCTTTCTTTCTTTTCTCTTCTTCTCCTTTCCCCTTTCCCCTTTCCTCTTTCCCCTTTCCCCTTTCCTTTCCCTTCCTTTCCATTCCGTTCCATTTCTTTTCTTTCCCTTTCCCTTTCCATTTCCATTTCCATTTTCCTTTCCTTTCCTTTCTTTCTTCTTTCTTTTTCTTTTTTCTTTCCTTTTCTCTTTTCTTTCCTTTCCTTTTCTTTTCTCTTTTCTTCTCTTCTCTTTTCTTTCTTTCTTCCTTCTTTCCTTCCTTCCTTCCTTCCTTCCTTTCTGTCTCCCCTCCCTTCCCTTTCTTTCCTTTCCTTCCTTCTTTTCTTTCTTGGCTGGCTGGCTTTCTGTCTGTCTTTTCTTTCTTCCTTGCTTGCTTGCTTTCTTGCCTTCTTGTCTTTCTGTCTTGCTTGTCTTTCTTTCCTCCTTTCCTTCTTTCCTTTCTTTCCTTTCCTTTCCTTCTCTTTCTTTCTTTTCTTTTCTTCCCCTTTCCCCTTTCCTCTTTCCTTTCCGTTCCGTTCCTTTTCTTTCCCTTTCCCTTTCCATTTCCATTTTCCTTTCCTTTCCTTTTCTTTCTTCTTTCTTTTTCTTTTTCCTTTCCTTTTCTCTTTCCTTTCCTTTCCTTTTCTTTTCTCTTTTCTTCTCTTCTCTTCTTTCTTTTTTTCTCTTTCTTTCTTTCTTTCTTTCTTCCTTTCTTTCTGTCTCCCTTCCCTTCCCTTCCCTTCCCTTCCCTTCCCTTCCCTTCCCTTCCCTTTCTTTCCTTTCCTTCCTTCTTTTCTTTCTTGGCTGGCTGGCTTTCTGTCTGTCTTTTCTTTCTTGCTTGCTTTCTTGCCTTCTTATCTTTCTGTCTTTCTCATCTTTCTTTCCTCCTTTCCTTCTTTCCTTTCTTTCCTTCCCTTTCCTTCCCTTCCCTTCCTTTCCCTGCCTTTCTCCCTTCCTCTTTTCCTCCCTTCACTCTCTGTTACCCAGGCTGGATTGCAATGGCACAATCTCGGCTGACTGCAACCTCTACCTTCTAAACTAAAGACATCGTCCAACCTTAGCCTCCAGAGTAGCTGGCACTACAGGTGTATGCCATCAGCCAGGGTTTTGCCATGTTTCCCAGGCTGGTCTTGAACTCCTGGGCTCAAGCGATCTGCCCACTTTGGCTTCCTAAATGCTGGGATTATAGGCGTGAGCCACTGCACCTGACCCCCAGCTGTTTCTTACAGGCTCCCTGCTCTAGAGCACCAGCTGGCTTGTGTTGAGTGCTTATGGTGGGCACTGTGCTAAGGGATCTCCAGGCCTGATCCCAGTTTGTCTCCACAAATGTCCTTTGAGGTCAGTACTACCACTGCGTTCCTTTTAGAAAAGTGAAGTCTGAAGGATAGAGAGGACCAGCACCTTCCCCACAGTCACACAGCCAGTAAGTAGAGGAGCTTGAATTTGAGGTGACATAATACATCTAACAAGGAAGAAGGCAACCTTTCTCTGTATAAATATTTGTGATTAACAGGTGCAGATCTTCTAGCTACTGCAAGCTATGCTTGCACAGTAGGGCCTAAGATAGCTGCATATATCACCAATAGGTGAGAAAACAAAATGCTTCACTCATTTTTGCATGGGTAGAAAATGACTACCTGGTTGGACCTAACCTGAGCATGTCTCTGTTGGAGACACTGTGGAAATGTGTTTACATCTCAGACTAGGCACTTGGCTTCTCCCACATGCTAGACTTCACCTATTTAAGGAGGCACCTGAAGGAAGAATCTCCCTGGACTTCACACTTCCTTTGGGCTTCCATTCACACTTCCATTCAATCATTCATTCATTGTCAAATCCTTATTAAGCACCCACAGCAAGGCACGTGCTGAGCATGGAATATGGTTATGGTCATAGACATGGATGCTGCCCTTATGAAGCTCATGGTTGGTCAGAGAATTAAACTAGTCTTAACCCTCATCTTTCTAGGGGAAGATCCTGAGGCTCGGCGGCTGCGGACAGTGAAGAACATCGCTGATCTGCGGCAGAATTTGGAGGAAACCATGTCCAGTTTAAGGGGAACTCAGGTTACACACAGGTATCTGCAGTGTGAATTACTTTACTGAACTACCTGGTATCCTAATTTTCTCCTGTGTTTGTTCATAGCAGTAGCAAAGCGATTTGGTTATAATGGATCATAGCCTCGCTTTCCAAATGTGCCGGAATTCACAAAGAATGCCATATGACATGCAGAAGAGAGTTATAGGAAATAAAAAATTAGTATAGACAGATTTTTCCCAAAAGCAGAAGGTTGCTAAATCCATTCAACAAAGGATACTGTAGACCAGCTCTATTTAAATTTCACTTTACTTGCATTTTCTATAACTGTCTGGTGCTGTGGAAATGAGCAGGTGAACTATATTTGACCTGTGTGATAAACTGAATAGCTTGAATTCCTACCCAATCTTCTGATATGCAGCACTCTGTAATATTGTTAGTCATGCACGTACATAAAACATGTAAGGAAATATTTATAAAAACTTATGATCATGTTTTAACTCTGATTTAGTTGGATGAAATCTAGTATTACATTGGAAACATCAGGTGCTTTCATTGTTGAACAAGAAGTTGAAGAGGATGCAACCCTGGGATGTCTTTTGTGATTTGGGCAGGAGGAGGTTTTATAGTTGTAGAAATCAAGGAAAGTTCTTGTTGTCCCCACTGAGCTCCCAGGGAGTCTCCTTTGCTTCTCCAATTTCAGTTTCTTTGATAAGTGGCTATGGCAAGGAAACCACAGGGCTTCCCCACTGTCAGCAGTTTTGGAAGATTGGGGTTAACCACTGTGGGTTCCATCTCCAATAGGACCGAGGCCCAAAACAAGGGGTCCAATCTGAGAAAAATAAGGCCACTTCCAAGATCAGAGGAAAACAAAAACAGCTTAAGGGACCAAATTGGCTCTTCCAGAGGAGAGTAAACTCGGGGGTTTGGGGGTGGTACCCTCTTAAACCTTTAGGTATCTGAATGAAGGGGAGTCAGATATTGGATCTTGTGACTCTACCATTAGGTGTGAAACATCCCTTTTTCCACCATCGTCACTGACACTGACTTAATGTTGGCATAGCAGTTTGACGGTGGGATGGTAATTATGACAGGAGGGAAGACTTCAGTGGTTTCTTCTGCAGGGAAGAATCTCATTCTCTGCTCAGTGAGGAAATTCCAGTTTTCCTGTGAAGGTGCACACGATAGTCTTGACTGGGCTGCAAGAAACTGCAGCGCTGTGAAAACAGTGGAAGACAGACTCTGCCAAGAGATTGAGCTCATCCTTGGGCAGATTCTAGTCCATGTAACTTGATTGAAGAGGGAACTCAAGCCCAGGCATTTACCAATCTTTCCAGGCTTTTTGGATGAAATATGAGAAAAGCAAAAGTCTGGGGGAAGTGAACTTTAGAGGGTTAGAAAATTAGAACTGTGTCCACTGCTCAGTTGGGAGGGAGCTGAGGATGTAAAATGTGGTATTAGGAACTCCCGGTGGGTGGAGAATCCCACCCTTAGGAAAAGAAGGCTGTGATGCAACATCCTAGAATGAATGGGCAAGCAGGAACCTTCATGCCCCATCCTAATCAGTTCAGCATTTTCTAGTATTTTCTTTCCCAGATTGGAAAGAAAATTCTTATTTTTTTTTTTGCCGGGGGGGATGGAGTCTCACTCTCTGTCGGCAGGCTGGAGTGCAGTGATGCAATCTCAGCTCACTGCAACCTCAGCCTCCTGGGTTCAAGCGATTCTCCTGCCTCAGCTTCCCGAGTAGCTGGGACTATAGGCACATGCCACTATGCCCAGCTAATTTTTGTATTTTTAGTAGAGATGGGGTTTCACCATGTTGGCCAGGATGGTCTTGATTTCTTGACTTCATGATCCGCCCTCCTCAGCCTCCCAAAGTGCTAGGATTACAGGCACTGCATCTGGCCTGGAAAGTGAGCCACTGCATCTGGCCTGGAAAGAAAATTCTAGTAGTTGAGGTCATTTAATTAAAGTAATTCGTTTCTTGTACCATGTTTTAGCAGGGAAAGTCTCCGGTAGGCTTTTCAGAATGTTATGTAGATGTGTAGCTTTCCTTTCTCATTTTGAGCAGAGGAAGCACATCAGGTGGTACATGGGGGCTGGCTGTTTTATCCTATTTTATATATGAGGATTATTTCATAATTCTAAATAATTAAAGAACATATAAACTGTGAAGGATACTAGGTACCTTTGAGTCTAATCAGGTTGGTTTTGTTTCTAGCACATTGGAAACCACGTTTGACACCAATGTCACCACGGAGATGAGTGGCCGTAGCATACTCAGCTTGACAGGGAGGCCCACACCTCTGTCCTGGAGACTGGGCCAGTCCAGCCCTCGGCTCCAAGCAGGAGACGCCCCCTCAATGGGCAATGGGTATCCCCCTCGAGCCAACGCCAGCAGGTTCATCAACACTGAGTCAGGTCGCTATGTGTACTCCGCCCCTCTGAGAAGGCAGCTGGCCTCCCGGGGCAGTAGTGTCTGCCATGTGGACGTCTCAGACAAGGCAGGAGATGAGATGGACCTGGAAGGCATCAGCATGGATGCCCCCGGCTACATGAGCGACGGGGATGTTCTGAGCAAGAACATCCGGACCGATGACATTACAAGCGGGTAAGTACCCGGGGCCGCCCTTTCTCCCAGAGAGAAAGAGGGCTTGGCACCTGGCTTCTCTTTTGTAGGGCTCTATTTGATTCTTCTGGAGGAGGTCAAACTGCCCACCTGAGTTTCTGCTGTCCATATCAAAGGCTGTGTGACATGGAGGGAAACGCTGCTCGGCTGTGAGTCTGAAGGCCTGGGTAGTCCAGGCTTGGCCAGTAAATCACAACAGAGTAATACCTGAAAACAAACCATGTCGCATCAGTCCCTTAAACCAAACCTTGCACTGAGGATGGACTACTTGCAGGTTAGACGGCCTCCCCGGGCCTATGAGATCTGGCCTGTACCTGCCTCTTAGATCTCATCTTCCTCTCTCCTACCTATTTCCCTGCTGCAGCTGTCCCTTCCAATCTTCAATCTTGTCAAGCTCTTTCCGGCCTCACAGCCTTGCACTCTGTTTCTCAGCCTGGATTCTGCTTCCCAGATCTTTGCATGGTAGGTCCTTCTTGCTGCTCAGCTGACACCTCCTTGGAGGGGCCCTCCTTGACCATGCAATTTGAAGTAGGTGTGTGTCCTGCCTCCTGCCCTACGCATCTCCACCACTCTGTGGCAGGCTCCTTTGGAAGATTATCACTATTCGAAATTAGCCTGATTATGTGTATATCCTCTGTTGCCTCCCGGCCCCCTCCTACTTGCAGCAGTAAGTACCATAAAGCAAGGACTTGTCTTGCGCGTTCACTGCAGAATCCCCAGTGTGTTGTGTATAATAGGAGCTCATAAATATTGCTAAATCAATGAACACGTGAATCAGTGAATGAATGAACAAATCCAGCCTCCCTGTTTCTCTGTGTGCTCATATATGAAGTGAAGGGGAGTGATGAGATGATGTCTAAGGAACCTTTCAGGTGGAGCCTGCCATGACTGTATAGCACGAGGCCTGGCTGGTAACTTGTTCATGCTCCCCTCTCAGATCACCCTGCAGACTTAAGGTGCAGTGAGTTATTTCACTTGCCTGGGACTTCTTCCTTCATCTGTTAACATGACTTGCCCAGAAGTTCTCCAAGATCTTTTCCACCTTGAATGTTCTAGCTGTTAAAGTTACAGATAAGAAAAAGCAGAAATACTAATTGTGCCACTCATTTCCATGAAAATAATGATCAAGAACCCAATGGGTGAGCCAGTATTTTTATAATTTAAATAATAGCTAACTCTCCTATATGCCAAACACAGTGCTAGGTGCTTTACTTTTATACTCTCTTGTTCTATCTCCATAGCAATCCTTTGAGGTAGATGATATCATAGTCCCCATTTTAGAGATGAGGAAGGTGAAGTCCAGGAAGGTTAAATAACTTGCCCAAGGGCTTGCAGCTATTAGGGACAGAGCGTAATAGTGTACCATCTTGCCAACGTTTTATTGCTGTATTGAAATACTACAACTACTAGAGTTTATTTCAAAATGAATTTGATTTTTCTCTGTTCTACCTCTGTGACTAGAAGTGTTCTTTTATTTCATTAAAAGCTGAGGCATAGAGGTGCTTTGGTTTTCAGCCTGTTACTTTTAGAACTATCTTGGGTAGTGAAATCTTTGAAAACAGAATCCACCAAACCTTTTGCAGGGGCAAAAGGAAAATTTCCCCTTTACCCTCTGAAGGTTCACTGGAAAATCAGCTCACAAAAGGCAGATTCATTGGAGAAAGGACATACAAATTTACTTAATGTATATACACAGAAGCCTTCAGAATGAATACCCAAAGATATAGGGGAGATTGTCCAATTTTATGCTTAGGTTCTACAAAGTACGGGCAGCTGTGTAGAAATATGATTGGGCAAAAAAGGTATGATCTAATGCTAGCAGATGGAGTGGGGAAACCAAGCAAGGTTCTTCTTGGCCCTTCTGAGAAGCATTCCTGCCTTCTGCGTATGGGGCAGAGCCCTCTCTGTAATGGAGGTTTCTACAATCAAACAAGGTGGGTCAGATAATTTCCTTATGCCCAGGCTTCACACAGAAAGGAAGAGGGAAAATTAGAATAATGTTTGGAGGTTTTATGACTGGCTTTGGGGAAAAAGGGTTCTGATTTCTATGGCCTACCTAGGGGCAGAGGGATTCTAGTTTCTATGGCTGGCCTCAGGGGAAATAGGATTGAGAGACCAGAGGGCAGAAAAAGGTCAGAGAGAAACTTTCACTTCTGAGGCCTTTATTTTGTAGTGTTTTCTGAGCTGCCCAACACCTTACAGTACAACAAATTTCTGCTGCCTGGAATGGCTGGCGCAATTAATGGAGTGAGAAATTAAATGACCTGGTCAACTTAGAGCATCCTTTTTTTTCTAGTTTTCCATAAACATGAAAAACAATAGCATACACCTATTACAACTGAATTTCACATAATGTAATCTTTGTATTATTGTTTAGAAGACTTTTGGTATCTAGCATGGACTCAGATTTATTATTATCAATTCCCATTTTCATATACTACCGAACAAATTGTGGCTTGTTTTGAGGTTTTTGTATCCTGTAATAGTTGATTTTATTGTCGAACCAGTCTTTCAATTCTAAAAAGATGGCCAGTGAATTCATTTTGATGTAGTGTTGATTATGTCCACAAGGTGGAGACATTGAAACACTCTAACCTGAATCTTAGTGATAGCCGACTGAGAAACTCCTGGTTTCTTTAACCATCCAAACCAGAGCCTTTACCTTTGCTTAAAAGCACCGATGTTTACATTTCAGTTCCAGCTTTGCCAAGTTTACGTTTTAGCATGTGTGATAGCACTTAGAGCAAGTGTAGATAAAAAGTTCAGAAACGTAAGCAAAGCACCCAATTACTGAAACTGGAGAACTTTGGTCTGGTTTCTCTTCCTGTTCCTTTTAATGTAGAAATGTACCCTCAGCATGAGGAGAGGTAGCCCAGATGGAACCTAATGCTCCTTCTAGTTGTAGCATTCTAGAACACTTGTTAAGCATGTATCCACTCTGTGGAAATGCATGTGAATTTCTGCTTTGAGGCCAAGTTACCAGTTTGTGTTTACACGCAGAGTTCAGAGCAAGACACTTAATGTCTTTTCTACTCATCATATTCTTCCTATAAACTGGCAAGGTTGTAAATATTGAAAGGCTGGTTATTCTGTGCTTCAGAATGTGCTGAATAAGGCATTGTTGAGGCAATTGATGTAGTGAAAGGGAAATAGACTGGGATATCATATTGGGCAGACCAGGGCTTAAACCCTCCCCAACCTCTTGCCAGCTCTGTGACGTTAGGCATGTCATTTGACTTCCCTGAGCTTTGAAGTGCTACAATTAATATGGTTTTTAAACCTTCAGCTGGATTTCTGTTTGCAGTTGTATCTGATAAAGACCAAAATCCCAGTCGGGGTCTAGATGCCTTATCTCCCTCAAACATCCAGGCGCTTGGAAACAATGAAATGATTAAAGCTTTTGTCCAGATGTTTATTTGGCTTAGTAGAAATGTAGCCTTGATGTATGAGTAATATATCAATCTGTACAGAGGCTCTTTGAGGAAAGTTCTTGTAAAAGTTTATAGTAAGTTTATTTAGAAAATCTGATATGGAAGTAAATTCTGGTTTCTAAAAACCTAAGACCTCTGTTTTTAAAGTGATGCTGTACTTCGGCTTGGCATAACAGCTATTTTTTGATGCCTCTAGTTCATTTTCTGTACTGGTGTGTGCATGTGCACCTGTGTGTATCCTTCAATTCTCCCTATGGTAGGGCTGAAATTACTTTATTACCATATTACCATGTAGTTTAGCTAAGAATTAAGGGCAAATGCCTCTTACACTTTGTGTGTGTGTGTGTTCTTATATTGTGCCTGGTATATACCAGGCATGTCTAAGTACTTTACAGGTTGTTATCTGATCTCACTCATCCCTTTTATTGGATTGATAAATTGGGCATTGGCTGTAGTGGGGAGGAAATTAAAATAACAGATGAAATTTCTCTTACTAGGTTTTGATCTGTGAAGTCAATCTTCTACTCATATTCTAAAAATTCAAAGTGCCATATGGTACAGAATAAAATTAAAGGGGCAGACTCCACGTCCATATGTTTGAAATGATTTTTTTTTTCTTTTCAAAGGAGGCACTGAGTTGTGTAATGTTCCAAAGTATAAGTAGATATCCCTTTATGGACAAAAAAATGACCCTTTAAATATAACATCAGAAGTTTCTCCCTCTCAGAACCTTTGATGGCTTCCCATTGCCTGTGGGAACAGATCTGAATGCCTTAACTGACTGTGGAGGCTCTTCATGGCCTTTGCCTCATCTGCCTTCGCTGACTTGCCCCCGGCCACATTTCCCTTCACACACTCCAGACTTCCCACTGCTCTAGGCTACCTGCCACCACCAAAAGCTGGTTCCTGCATTTGCAAAGCCCTGCCTCTGGTTCCTGCATTTGCAAAGCCCTCCCTCCTGGGACATGCTGCTTTCTTCCTGGAATTCCTTTCCCCTCATGCCCATCTGACTAATCCTGAAGAAAATGTCTCCCCTGTGATGTCCTCTGGGATTCCCCCAGTCACAGTTAGCTCAGTCTCACGTGTTTCTGGTAGTCTTGGTTCACACCTACCCTTATATATAAGCGTTTCACTTTGCATGGGAAGTGTCTGAAAGCCACTGGATGGTACTGAGGAAAGAGTATGTTCTTAAAAGGCAGACAGACTTGAGATTTAATCCTGGCTCTGCCAAGTGAACTGGAACAAGTTCTTAACCTTTGAATATTAGAGATAGAGCTTGAAAAGAACAGGCAAGAATCTGAGATGCACAAGAAATGTGCACGCGCGCGCGTGTGTGTGTGTGTGTGTGTGTGTCTTTCTCCACTAAACTTGGAGTTCCTAGCAGGCAGACAGCACTCATTATTTTTCTAAACCCAGAGACTGGGACTTAGCAGGTATTTAATATTTTGAGAATGGTCTATTCTTGATGCCTACTCTGGCAGGACCTTATGCTTATATAACTCGCTACCACACGCTATGAAGCTCAATGGTTCTATTTACAGAACACTTGGAGAAAGCCAGCTTAGCCTGTGGTGTCCATCTAGTGGTTGATAGAGGCTGTGGTCTCAATTCCTTTTCACTGTGAGTCATTGTGTTGGTTTAAAGCTCCTGGCTGGTGATATTTAGGGCTAAGGATGTTGGCTTTTGAGAATGAGGCTGATCAATAGCCTAGTGTAGAGAGAAAACAGGATGTAAGCATTTGGTCTTCCACAGTGGCTTTTTAGGGGCTGCTGTCTTCCCTCCTTGGTGGCAGGAATTACTCCATCAACAAATATGGGCACAGATGCCTGCGGGGAGACTCCGTTCTTCAGAAATTGAGGAACTCATTCATGCTGAATTAATTAAAGTCATCCCTCAGTATCCATGAGGGATTGGTTTCAGGACCCCCAGAAAATACCAAAATCTGTGGATGCTCAAGTTTTTCATGTAAAATTGCATAGTATTTGCATATAACCTATGTAGATCCTCCTATATACTTTAAATCATCTCTAGATTACCTATAATATCTAATACAATGTAAATGCTATATGGATAGTTGTTATACTTTATTTTTGTTTGTATTATTTGTTCATAAGAGGGTGCTTCGTGCTCTCATGCATCATTTGCATGTATAATACCTTGTATCTTTTCCTTTATTGCCTGTCAGGTCATCTCCTCTCTGATTCCATCCAAGCAGAGGTAGTGACCTTTCTGTATGCTTCCTTGTTACTTGCTGTATCTGTATTAGCACTGGTAGCACTACATCAGAATTGGTTTATTAGTGTTTGTATGTATGTATGTGAGTATATGTGTGTGTGTATATGCATGTGTGTGTGTGTATGTATGTGTATATATATGTGTATATATGTGTGTGTGTGTATATACATATATATATACATATATACATATATATATACATATACACACATATATATATATATGGGATAGGAAAGACAAAACCCAAACCTGTTGTAAGTTCTAAAGGTTAGGGTCAAATCTGTCTTGAATGCTCCTGTATCTTCATTGGCTGGCACTGTGCCTGCCTGTTGCATAGTAAGCAGTCAATAAATATTTGTTGGCTGGGCATGGTGACTCACATCTGCAATCCCAGCACTTTGGGAGGCTGAGATGGGGGGATCATTTGAGCCTAGGAGTTCAAGACCAGCCTATGCAATATAGTGAGACCTGTTGCAACAAATAATTTAAAAGCTGTTCATGGTGGCATGTTCCTGTGGTCCCAGCTGAGGTGGAAGTATCACTTGAGTCCAGGAGGTTGAGGCTGCAGCGAGCTGTGATTACACCATTGCACTCCAACCTGGGTGACAGAGCAAGACCTTGTCTGAGAAAAAAAAAATGTCAAATGAATGCTACAACTAACTTTAAAAATGGCAAGGCCAACCATATTCCGCTAAATGAATTTGTGCCTATGATTGTAGCACCATTGAGTTTGAGGACGTAGCCACATGTCTTTCTTCTTCTGGGCCCTGTCAGTTTAGACTGCCTCTAACCCTGTGAGCTTGACATTGTCAATACAAGAAAAAGAGAGAACTAGGGGCATTTGCCATGTGGACTGATGGAAGATAGACATGCCCCTGTTCATCTCTTCCTTCTTTCACTGAACATTATGGGACAAATGTGTGAGGTATTTCTCACCAAGTCAGCATAGAACATAGCAGACAGTACCCTGAATCAAAGGGGGTAGATTAATAGCATGAAAGGCTCTTTCTTATCTGGTGAATATGTCCAGACCAGACCTGGAGTGACCTTGATAGGCTGTTGTTTCTGGCAGACTGATAGGAGAGAAAGCCAGAGTGCTCCTTACAGCCTAACGCACCCTGGAGCCAAGATAAATGAATTTAGGAGAGGCTGTCCTGAAAGGCACTGATTTATGGCAGGTTCCAGCAGGGTGTGGCAGGCATCTCGAGATTTGGAAAGGATAGATTCTCGTTTCTCTAGGCCGATCCCACTGAAACGATCTTGGCTTTTGGCGCTCTTGGAACGCTTGGGAAGTTCAGGTTGCCAGCCAGCCAGTGGGCTGGTCTCAGTGGGATTAGGAAGACTGAGCTGTCAAGGAAAGGTAAAGACTCAGCTATGTGGACAGACCCATCTGTAGGGCTTGGAGCCAATGAATGGAAAGTCTCTCTTCCCAACACTCAGACACTAAATATGTGGGTTGCTTTCCCCACACAACCAATTCTCCTACACCAGCTGAACATCCTATAATTCAATTCAATTCGGACACAATCTACCTAGAGTTAGCCTAGACGCCACAGGTTAAGGGCTCAGTTCCACAAGATTACCACACCCCCGACACACATACACACACACACACACACACACACACACACGCTCTCTCTCTCTCTCTCTATCTCTCCAGATGCCAATCACAAGTCATAGGTCCCAAGGTTACCCACACTTCTGTCCAACTTGGCTGCAAATCAGGAGTTCCCATGACCTCCCTTACATTCAGAAATTTGCTAGAATGGCTCAGAGAACTCAGGGGAACACTTATTTACTGTGGCTGGTGTGTTATAAAGCATATGGTAAAGGATACAGTTGAACAGCCAGATGAAGAGGTGCATAGTGCACGGTGTGGGGGCGGTGCAGAGCTTCCATGCCCTCTCCATGAGTGCCACCATCCCAGCAACACTGTGTGTCCACCACCCTGGAAGCTCTCTGAGTCCCATAGTTGAATGTTTTTTTGGAGACTCTATTATGTAGGCATGACTAGTTAAATCATTGGCCATCAGCAATTAAGTCCATCTCCATCCCCGCCTTACTGTCTCCTTACTGTCTTGGAGGTCAGAGGGCAGGAATGAAAGTTCCAATGCTCTAATCCCATGGTTGGTTTGTCTCGCAACCAGCTCCTATCCTCCAAGAGTCACCTCAGTAGCATAAGCCCAGGTATGTTTGAAAGGGGTTTGCTATGAATAACAAAAGATGCTCCTCTTACCCCTATCAAGAAATTCCAAAGACTTAGGAGCTCTGTGCCAGGCACTGGGAGCAGAGACCAAATATGCATTTCTCATTATGTCACAGCAAGTCACTTGCCCCTAATGCACTGCCATCCTCTTAAAACAGACAGACTTAAAAGATGCAATGAGGCTCCAAGATGAAGGAACAGGCCCAGAGTAGCCCAATAGGTTGGTGATGGGGCTGGGCCAGATCCTGTCTAGGGTTCTTTTTGTGCCTCTCTGCTTCCCTCAGTGTCTACTTGCTGACAGCTCTTAATAGTGTATGAATTCACAGAAATCATAAATACTTTTCCCTGTCTGATATTTTCCTTGGTGTTAAATATCCCAGGCAAGTACAATGGTCTCTTTTCCTAAGCAGCTCTCTAGGTAGAGTGAGCAAGCGCAGAGTCATGCAGAGGGCAAGATTAATTTCCCCAAGTGCTGCAGAACAAATGACAGCTTTCCCTGCATGGTTGTGATGTTGTCTGACATGGGTGGTTTGGCAGATGGATGGCTCTGGCTACTAATATCAGTCATCCCTGATGGCTGGGGCAGCATAAACTGAACACCTCTTCTCCCTCCACGGTGGACCCACTTGATGTACTGAGTGCAGGAAACCTACTAGCCCTTATCGGCGTCTGGGTAGGCAGTCTCATCAGAGGAGAAAGAATAGCTGAGCTGCTAGCCCACTGGAGGAGGAGAAATTCTCCAGCACTCCCATGCGCACTCTGTCCACTGCTGGTGACGACAGACTTAGCAGGCTGAGACCTGGATTAAAAAGAGATTTACTGGGGGACAGCCCCATGGAGAAATGAAGTGTGGTCCAGCTTTGACGTGGGCAGCCCAGACTGCCACAGATGTCTAATGGCAAATGCTGGCTTAGTAATTTATGGGGAAGAGAGAGAGAAAAAAAAATAAATGGGTGTCTTGTCTTCTCAGGAAACTAGGGTTGGGCCTCGATTTCTTGGGAATTTCCTAACTAGCTTTGAGGCTTGAATCCCTTCCTGCCTCCCTCCCACCCCTGCATCCTGTGGGAAGGAAAAAGAAGACGGGAACAAAAGTGGGTGCTTTGGGAGAAGGAAGTCTCAGGCCCTTGTTGAGAGGCCTCCAAATGGGCTGTTCCCTGCCTGCCACCCACCCTTACAGATGTCCTCCTCCTCCCATAGCTTTCCAAAGCACAGGGTCTTCTGGCCTTGGACACTGGAATCCTTTCCTTTGGCCTACCTTCTGGGTAGGCTCCAGGCAAAAGGCAGTAAAATCCCGTGTAAAAAGTGTTTATTGAGTTTGTTATATGTTAAAGACTATGCTAAAAGCACTGAGACCAAGGGAAATGAGTAAGACCAGGTTGCCAAGATCCTAACGCTGTGAAGGAAAGATCATGCAACAGGGCACTGTGTAGGTCAGCATAAGAGTGGTGAGTGAAGGAGGCCAGTGAGGAAGTGATGGCTTGTGTTGGGACACAAACACCCTTACCATAAGGTGAGGGTCGGTGGGAAAAGTGTGGGCTGTGGAGTTTGACCTGCAGTCCAGGCTGGTTCCACTACTCTTAGCTGTGTGTCCTTTAGTAACCTATTTAATTTCACTGTGCCCATCTCATAGGTTTGATGTGAGGTTTCAGTGAGATCATGGTGTGTACTCTCAGCCCAGTGCCTGGCATGCATGCTTTAAGCACTCAGCAGGGTTCGCTACCATATTGTCCACCACTGTCACTACCAGCAGCAGCGGTGGCACCTTGAGGACATGTGAGCTGGGCCTCACAGGATAAACAAGGGCCCAGGCAGACCAATAGCCTAAGGACATACAGGCATTGTCATGTTATTATGAGGTTGGTGCTTGGGTGGGTTGCAGATTCAAGATGGAGGTTGGGAGGCAGTGGGCTCAGGTTAGAAGCTATTCCAGAGTCCACGCAGCAGAGCCACAGGGCTGGGTAAGGCCAGGGCCAGGGGAACAGATGCACAATGAGTTTAAAGACACTTTTTACATTAAACTCAGCCTGATGTGGGGGCCAGTTACACAGGGGACACAAAGGAGACAGAGAAGATAAGGATGGCTCCCCAGCTCCAGCCTGTGTTGTAACTGCTGGGAAATAGCTGATGTCTGTCCTCAGCATCCTTTGTCATTTCCTAGCTTTCCCTCTTGCATGTTAGCACCCACCCTGTGCTCCCAGATTGTCTCAGGCCTCTCAGGCCACCCCCAGACCAAGGTGGGTTGAATGTTTAAGGAGAGTGTAGAATATGATTCCAGGAGCCTTAGGAAAACCCAGTCCCACAGCCTGCCAACTCTTGTCCCCGGAGGAACTCAGGGCGCAGAGGGGAAGAACACCCTGCGTGTCCATAGTTCATTGCAACCCAAGGCAGATGGTGGTGAATGTTAACATGAAGAGGCAAAATGTGGGGGCTCCAAAGTGGATCTGAAACTAGAGCAGGTCCTGTGGGGACCTTGTAAGTTCTCACTTTCACATTCTGGGAAGCCCACTGTGCTCATCTGCAAATGAGAATAATAATGCCTGGAGTTATGGTGACAATTGAATGAGGTGACACAGGCAAAGTGCTAGCCCAGTTCCTGGGGCATTGCAGACCTCACCAAACTGTCCTCATAATGAGGGTGTTTCCTAGATTCAATCTGATATAACCAAATTCAGCGCATCGTGCAGGATAAAAGTACTTAACATATTTCATGCTCTTCCCCGCATGACTCCTCCCCAAGCCCCAAAGGGTAAGAAGCTAGTGAGCCCTCTCCTTAGACATAAGACCATAACTGATGTTCATGTGGGAAGCATGAACACGATACCCTCCAGCCGACAGCTACCGTGCTGGGCGAGAGAAGCCCGCTGTGACTAATCATGCTTAGCAAGGTGCTCCTTCTTCCCCCCCCACCATCTGGACTGTCTGCTGTCTTGTTGGAACGGACCTCCTGCCCTTCCGGGGCTCTTCACTGGCAAGCAGCATCAACAAAACACAGCCAGCATTTGGGTGTTACTGAGACTGGCCCAGATGTTTAAGGGAAATTCCACCTTAAGTCCATTAATCAACATGACCGAGACTCTGCATGTTAGTTGAATCAAGTTGGCAAGTATTTAGTAAGTTCTAGTCAGTTCCAGGCCCCTGACTGTGCCCTGGGGCTTGATGGACAAGAGGAGGAGTCGGTTATTTGTTCTCAAAGCTGGACCGTTTGATACTGTACTTTTTGTGCCAACTTTTGATCATTCAAGGTTCTTACCAGGGGCCCATGAGCTCACACTTAGTGAAGTGTGCTTACATGTACAGGAAAAACATATTCCATCCTACTCTGGAGCTCCGGGTGGCTTATGGGGGCTGATATGTGTGGCATCCCTTCTGTGTGCTAGGCATCTTATCTAACTCCCACACTCTGGCTTTATACTGTTTTTATTAATAAAGAAAATGAAGACCCTAGAGGGTAATTGTTACTTAATTGTCTTAAGCCCATGGAAGAGTTGAAAAAGATGGCCTACCATTTTATTGTCACTTTCCCTTTGTATCCTGGGATTCCAGTGTGACTTTGGTGCTCTTGTTGCTTTGCTATAGTTGATGCTGTCCTGCATCCTTTAGGGCCACCCTTTTTTAAAATTTTATTTATTTATTTATTTATTTATTTATTTATTTATTTTTTGAGACAGAATCTTGCTCCGTTGCCCAGGCTGGAGGGCAGTGGCACAATCTCAGCTCACTGCAACCTCTGCCTCCCGCATTCAAGTGATTATCCTGCCTCAGCCTCCCGAGCAGCTGGGATTAGAGGCACATGCCACCATGCCCAGTTAATTTTTGTATCCTTAGTAGATGGGGTTTCACCATGTTGGTCAGGCTGGTCTCAAACTCCTGACCTCAAGTGATGCACCTGCCTTGGGCCTCCCAAAGTGCTGGGATTACAGGTGTGAACCACTATGTCCAGCCCAGGGCCACCCTCTTTGCCTGGAGAGTAGTGGTCTGCAGGCATCTTCTTTCTCTACTCAGTGTTATGCAAATGGACCTGGAAGACAGAGACCCGAGGGCTCACAGACAGTCCCTGAGCCCCCCTGTTTTTCCTGCTAAGCCTTTGCATAGTTCTCATCTAGAAAACCAAATCCATATTTCTTTTCTTTTTTTAATTTAAAATTTTTTTCTCTTTTTATATAGTGATGGGGTATCACTAGGTTGCCCAGGCTGGTCTTGAACTCCTGGGCTCAAGCAGTCCTCCCACCTTGACCTCCCAAAATGCTGGGATTATAGGTGTGAGTCACTGCACCCGGCCCACGTTTATTTTTATCTTAAGCATGTAGATCACTCAAGTTGAAAATACCCTTCCCAGTATTTTTCAAGGGCCAGCAGCTACAGAGTGGCTCAACAGATTTATGATGGGAAGGTTGGAGAATACCAAGTTCGAGTTGAGGTGAATATGAAAAGAAACATTTGGACAAGGTTGGGAGTATTTTGGCCCTGAGACAGTCGGCCCATGTTGAAAGACTCAAAACAGAAGGCTATGTGTGCCTGTGCTCAGATCAAGATAAGAAGCTTAAGTTTTGTTGGGACCTCATGAACCTCTCATCAAGCTGTTCTGGAAGAAATGTACAATGGAAATGGAAGAAACTTTAGAGATAGAGGCAGAAGACCTGACTTCACATTTCTTGATTGGCAGCTGTGACCATAGGGAAATTTCTTCCTTTCCTGAGCCTCCCATGTGTTAAACTGTGGCGCACCTCTCAGGTGTGTGAGGAGGAGTAGAGGAGATGGTGTTTGTAAAGTGTTTGGCACAGGTAGCATGGTGGCTCCTTTAGCCCTATTGGAGTTACTACATCTGCTTGCCTTTTTAGTCTTTTATTTTATTTAGGACATTTACGAAGATGATGTCAGGCACAACATCTTATTCTTGAGCACAGTGACCAAATAGCTCCTGGCTGGATCAGAGTTGGTCTGTGCATTAGTCAAGGTTCTCCAGAGAAACGAAACCAATAGGGTGTGTGTAGGTTTGTGTGGGTATGGGTGTATGCATGTGTAGAGGAATTGGTCATGTCATTGAGCAAGTCCAAAATCTTCAGATGCCCTCGTTGCAGGCCAAGAGGGGATTCTACCTTTAGACTGCCTTTAGACTCGAGCTGCAACATCAACTCCTCCCTGGGTCTCTCAGCCTATTGGCCTGCCTACTGGCTGAGAGATCCAGAGTAGAGTCAGTGTGGCAGCTCAAATCTAAAGGCAGTCTTGAGGTAGAATCCCCTCTTGCTCAGAGGACATCAGTCTTTCAAAGCCTTCAACTGATTGGATGAGACCCACCTACATTATGGAGGATGATCTGCTTTACTCAGAGTCTACTGATTTAACCGTCAGTCTCATCTAAAATATTCCTTTGCAACAATATCTGGACTCTAGTGTTTGACCAAATATCTGGGTATTGTGGCCCAGCCAAGTTGACACATAAAATCAGCCATCCCAGCCTGTAAGCAGGCCTTGCCATATGATCAGTGGGAGTGAATCATGTAAGGGAGGAGGCAACTCACCTGTGGCCCAGGGTCAACACATCAGCTTTAATAAACATCTGCAAGGGCTCAAAGCTAACGCACCCTGCCTGGGATGTGACCACAGATCAAGACTCTATGCCTGCCTTGGAAGAATCATTGCATCCCTTCCTTCGTCCCCTGGGTCCTGGTAAGAAATCTCCCTGAGAAATGGAGGTTTTGACCTTTCCTCTTAATCCTGAAATAACTGCAGAGTGAGACAGACACACTGGCATGGACACCTCCAGAGAGCTGATGATTTTTGAGACCCAAAAATGAAATAAGATTCTGAGCCTAAGGAGAGGCCCCAAGTTTGTCTCCAGAGCCTTCTACCTATAAATCAAGCCCACATTCACTTCTTGATCTTGGGAACAGTGGGAGACAGGGTCTGTGGTTATCTCCACTGCATCACTGGAGTCTTGTATCCCTTTCCCAGAGCTTTGTGCTTGTAATCATCCAGTCATCTGTTTCGAAATTAGAAAGCTCACATACTTGAGCAGTGAAGTTTAAAGGGTGAAGTCAACTCAAGTTGTCAGAAACATGGGACGAAATAAATGTGGTGTTGGCTCTATAGAGAAGGGGGAAGGCCACAGAGGACTCAACAGCGCCTGCTAACCCATGACTTTCTGCCAGTCCTGCTGTGGTGGCACTGTAATTCATAGTCGCTAACTGCTTTGGAGAGTTTATTATGTGCTAGGCACTGTGTTGAGCTCTTTACATGCTTTTTCTCACTTACTCTTTCCACTAGTTATTTGCAATAGAGACTGTTTCTCGTCCCAGTTTTACAATCAAGGGGGCCAAAGCTCTGAGAGGTGAAGTTACTTGGCCGGGCCACACAGACAGTAACTGGTGGAAGCAAGCATTCAGCCAGGCTGATTCAAAGCCCGGGATCCCAAGCACCCTATAGGATGGCAGTTTACTATAGCTAGTCCCCACACTCTGAATATCCGAATATATGGAAGGCAAGACCAAAAAGGAAGAGTGTGCACCTTCTGAACATCGGAAGCCCTGGATACTCCCAGTGCCATTTGAAGGAGCTATGAAGGGACCTGAAAGTGCCATTTGGAAGGGTAAGGTACAGAGGAGTGAGTTATGTAGGAACTGAAAAAAATAGCTGGAGAATGCTTGTGCAAGGACCATGGAGGCTGTGGCAGGGGCAGAGGCAGATACTTCTCTTTGCCTCGAAAGCAATATTATGTGTTTAATTTCAATTAAATGTCACAGGTCTTTACTGTAGCATGAGAAACACTTGTGTCAACATTCCCCAGTGCTTATGCAGAAAGTGAATGGGGGCAAAACTGGTTCTCTGCGTGCTGGAAATGAAAACCGATGAGGTGCTCAGAGGCAGGAAAGTTCAGATCAAGAGCCAATTCTGCACAGTGATTTACCGAAGCGCCTTACCGCGATGTGGCTTCCTGTTGTTAAATCTCATGAAAGTGGGCATTTCAGTCACCTATGGTTTCTAGACATGATACCCGAATTTCTCTGAGGAAATTCCACTCCCTCAGCCCCTCACCCACTGCAAACCCAAACAAAACCCACAATTACAAGCTCAGCGCCACCCTGAGACCTCAGAATTGTGCACGGCAAGTTAGAGCTTTATTAATCGAGTGACTTTTGCCTTACTCTTTGGGAGTTGTTAATTAAAACCACTCAACCATTGAGTTGAGAGAGAGGGAGAGAGACAGAGATTGAGGACAGCTAACAGACTGGATTTTCTCCCTCCTTTGCAAGCTGGTGTAGCTATTTTAGAAGCTGACACGGACGTTACAGTTGACTAAACCATGCACCAGATTTGTATGTGAGGCTCCTTGGGAACAGCTTTCATTTAATGCCCTGTAGCCAGGCCCTCAGGGTACAAAGAACCTGCCTAGCCTCTGACCAAGTATATATAACGGTTAATAATAATGACCATTGTAATAATATTAACACGACTAGCTACCGTTTATTGAACACTTTTAAATGCCAGGCACTGTGCTTTATATACATTATCTCTTTTCATCCTCTTTTTTTTTTTTTTTATGAGACAGGAGCTTAGGAGCTCTGTTGTGCAGGCTGGAGTGCAATAGCATGATCATAGCTCACTGAAACCTCGAATTCCTAGGCTCAAGCAGTCCTCCTGCCTCAGCCTCTTGAGTAGCTAGGACTATAGGCATGTACCACCACACCCAGCTAATTTTTTTAAAACATTTTTTGTAGAAATGGTGTCTTGCTATGTTGTCCAGGCTGGTCTCAAACTCCTAGCCTCAAGTGATCCTCCTGTCTCAGCCTCCCAAAACGTTGGGATTACAGGCATAAGCCACCACAGCTGGCCTCATTCTACTTTTTTTTTTTTTTTTTTTTTTTTTTTGAGATGGAGTTTCACTCTTGTTTCCCAGGCTGGAGTGCAATGGCACGATCTCGGCTCACCACAACCTCTGCCTCCCGGGTTCAAGCAATTCTCCTGCCTCAGCCTCCTGAGTAGCTGGGATTACAGGTGCGTGCCACCACGCCTGGCTAATTTTGCATTTTTAGTAGAGATGAGGCTTCTCCATGTTGGTCAGGCTGGTCTGGAACTCCTGACCTCAGGTGATCCACCCCACTCAGCCTCCCAAAGTGCTGGGATTACAGGTGTGAGCCACTGGACCCAGCCTCCTATTTTAATCTCTATGTTCTAGGAACTCCTCTTCCCATTCTCCTGTTGAGGACACAGGGATTTGGGGGGGCGGGGCCACTGGTAACTTGCCTTAAGGTTGCAGAGGTGGTGAGCTAGGGAGCTGGGACTCAAACTTGGACAGCCTGACTTCAGAGCCTGAATTCAACCACTCATTTCAGGACTTTCACTGAAGCTGTGTACACATGTCTAAAATGTAATCGCTCTTCTTTCCCCCAAACCTGTTTTTCTTCTGTGTTTCCACCATCCATTTTTTTTTCCCACACCCAGAACCCAGAATCTTAGACTCTTCCATTCTCTTGTTCATGGAACGCCAGTCACTGAATTTGATGGATTCCATTTCTTAAGTATCTCTTACTATGGTTTTTCTCTCATCTTGCTGCTAATATTTCTCACCCAGATGATGACAATTCATCCTTTCACTAATTGCCTTTCTTCTGATCCCAATGCCCATCCAACAAATCCATTCCACACATTGGTGAGAGAGATCTTTCTAGAGCACAAATCTGATTATATTCTCTGCTTACATTCCTCAGTGGCTCTTCACTGCCTGCTGAGAAAACTCTGTGTTTTAGTTACTGTTTCTGTACAACAAATTACTCCATAATGTAGCTTCTTGAAACTACCATTTCATTATGTTCATGGGGTCTCTGCACCAGGAATTGGGACAAGATATAGCAGAGATGGCATATGTCTGGTCTGCCATGTGTGGAGCCTCTGCTTGGAAAACAGCAGGGCTGGCATTGACTTGATAGCTGAAGGCTAGAGTTATTCCAGAGTTTGTTCACTCCCACGTCTCACTCCTGGGCTGGGATGACTTGAAGGTTAAGATGGCTGCAGCCTCTCCACATGGCGTGGCTTCCTGGGGATTGGCAAACTTCTTACATGGAGCTCAGGGCTCAAGGGCAAAGGGTACAGTGAACAATGCAGAAGCTGCCTCACCTTTTATCATCTAGCCTTGGAAGGCAGAGACTGTCCCTTCTGCCATACTGTATTGGTCAAAGCAGTCACGAGCCCTCCAGATTCGAGAGGAAGGTGCATAGATCCCACCTCTCAGTGGGAGGATGGCAAGGTCACCTTGCATGTGGGATCCAGAGATGTTGCTGTGGTCATCTGTGGCGAATACAGTTCACAACAATATATCCCCATACCACCCAGTGTGATATACACGGCCCTCCCTCCATAGTCTCACATTGGAGTGTCTGCTCCATGGAGACACAAGCCTTGTCTTTCTTGTACATTATGTATCCCCAGTGCCTAGCACAGAGCATGGTGCATCATGGGCCCTCCTTTTGCATTTGAGAAGCTAACAAATGATCAACTTGCCTAGCCTCATTTCTTCATTTCCTGCCATCTCCTTCATCCCCTCACTGACCACCCGTCCTCTCCCCACCCCAGCTGCCATCCTGTTCCTGCCACTCTGAACCACAGACGTTTTCCTTGATACAGACACCATGCTCTTGTAACTGAGCCTTTGCATGAGTCTGCTCTGTCCATAAACTCCTCCCCATCAATTACCACCCACCTGCCACAATCCTTCAAGAGTCTACTGCAGCTAGGAAGCCTCCGCTGATGCACATTGATGGACATTGATGGTCTCCCTCCTCTGAGTTTCCAAACGCCTGGTAACAGCTCCCAGATGGCTTCTCTTATGTTCTTTGGGCTAGTTTGTCCCCCAGGCCAGAATATCCTTGAACAGAGGGATTGTGTCTTTTTACTCTCTCACGTTTCCAACTTCTTCTACCAGACCTGTTGTGTATGCTTGGGTAATATGAGCGGAATGAAAAGAGAGAGAAAGGGGGTGATAGTAGGAGCAGTGCTGCTGCTGCTGCTGCTATTAATAATACAGGTCGTGTTCATTAAGTACTTTTCATGTGGCAGGTGCTTTTCAGGCATTATCTCATTGAATTCTCGTAGAAATCCTGGAAGGCCTATAACATGTGATTGTCCCCATCTTACAGATGTGGAAACTGAGGATGACAGAAGTCCCTTGTCCAAGGTCATACTGCTACTAAAGGGTGCGGCCAGTTTCAGGAAGCTTGAGAGCCAAGCCTATTCTCTTGGTGCTGCCGCCTGTTGCACTTTAGGCTCTGTAGACCCAAGGATTTTCCTACCTTTCCTTAGAGCTCTACAAAGCCTAACCTTCAACTGGATTCATAGAATAAGAATATGGGAAGCAACAGAGTTTCTGCTAGCTAGACAATATCAAGCTCTGTCTTATTCTCGGTGCTAGGTTTTAAGGGGTTCAGAATAAGGCAGAGGTTTTTTTTTAGGAACAGGTAACAAGGTGCAGGATTCAAAACCCAAAACATAATAGAAATGTTTGTAGAAAGTACAAATATTGGCTTGGCATGGAAAGTACTTAGAAAAGCAGTAGGTTCCAGGGGACCAAACTTGAACCATAGGTGGAAGTTAGACAGGTTTTTTATTGCCTAGACACCAAGGTGACCATTAATCAGCATAAGGAAAAATGTGCCCAAAAGTAGACCTGTTAAAACTAGAGGCAGTTTTGCAAGGACATGAGCCCTGTCACTCCCTGTTCCTGGGAATATTCACTCAGAATCTGGAAAACTCTGTATCCCAGATATTACAGAAGGGGTTCCTGCATGAGGTGAAAAGGAGACAAAGAGGTGATCTTTCAAAGGTCTTTCAGTTTTATGATTCAGGGTATCCAGGTGCCCAGAGGAATCATTACAGCTGGATTATAGACTGAGCAGACTGGGTATTGTATTCTGGAGATAAGGATCTCCTTGGAAAGCCACGTTTCCACAGGTCCTGCCAGCCTGGGGGTGATAGTAGAGGCACCAAAGACATTTCTTCTGAAAAATGTTTAACCCATGACTCCTTCTAATAAATACAAAAATTGTGCACACCTCCCTGCTGCCCCAGGTTCTGATCTGGAAGATAAGGAAGTGGACTGTGGCTACAGTCCAGATAAGAGTATGAGGACCGCTGGAAACACAGTGTCTGCACACCAGCTGAGATGTTCATGAACTTTACTACCTAGAGTTCATATGATGAAAACAAATAGGGTGTTGTTGTTGATGTAGTTTTGTTTGTTTGTTTGTTTGTTTTGAGATAGAGTTTCACTCTTGTTGCCCAGGCTGGAGTGCAGTGGCGCAATCTCGGCTCACTGCAACCTCCGCTCCTGGGTTCAAGCTCCTGGATTCTCCGCTTCCTGATTCTTCTGCCTCAGCCTCCCAAGTAGCTGGGATTACAGGCACATACCACCACACTCAACTAATTTTTTGTATTTTTTTAGTAGAGACGGGGTTTCACCATGTTGGCCAGGCTGGTCTCGATCTCCTGACCTCAGGTGATCCACCCACCTCGGCCTCCCAGAATGCTGGGATTACAGGCATGAGCCACTGTGCCCAGCCTTAATAATAGGTCTTTAAAGTGTAAACATGTTTTACTGTTGAATGTGCTCTCTCAGTATGCAGATCCTAGGGAATTCTGCTTTGCCTTCAATCCCATTTGAATTATGATTTTAGCTTATCTGTCTACCTTCTTGTGGAAGTGGAAGCGTTTGAACAAGTTAAAGAGTGAAAAAAGTCAGATACCCCATTATTTGGTCTGTGTAGCAGTATCAGTCACTATGACCAGCTCCTGGTGCACTGATAGAAGGTAATTTGAGTGTCCTATAGGCAACTGACCATAGCTTGGCTCCTACTCTGGAGGTCATTGGCCTGTGTTTCGGCGACTTCTCAGCCTGTCTTTCCCCCCAGAGTGCTCCGACTGCTGCTAGGGCACCCCTGCCACACCCTGTTCCCAACCGCCTTGGCTTCTCCTTGTCCGCAGGCTGGCTGGGTTGCCTGGGTGCTTGGCTGCTTGGCTTCTGAGTGTCTCATGCCCAGGTTACCTCAAGAGCTCCAGCAGCTGCCTTCCTACAGGGAGAAACGTGCTCATCCACACAGTTTGTGCCACACCCTGTCCCTCTTGTGAACACACCTGTGGTACTGTCCTGACCTATACATATTGAAATTCTAAAAGAGAAACACAGTTCTTTTGCTTTTCAAACTGTGCTCCCCACTATACTGCTTTCACTTTTCTAAGAATCAAATACAATGGGAAATTTGGCCATGGAGAAATGAAACTCGCTTCAGCTCAAGTTCAGGATGCCTTAGGGTGTGGCAGTAACATTGTTCCCAATACAGTGGACTCTTTGCTGGAGCCATGCTGTCCCTTAAATGAGACCCGGAAGGCCCACATCTTCCTGGAAGTCCTTTTTGGACCCTTTCTGTATCATTGTCTACTATTGATAGTATTTGACTTATCTCTAAAGCAGATGCAAGGATGCATCTTATTTCTCTTTGTGTTCTCCAGATGCTTAATGCATAAAATATACATACACTATTCCTCCCTTTTCCATAGGAGATATATTCCAAGACCCTCGGTGGATGCCTGAAACTGCAGACTGTGCTTAACTCTATATAAACTATGGGGTTTTTTTCCTATGCATACATACCTGTGATAAAGTTTAATTTATAAATTAGACACAGTAAGAAATTAACAACAGTTGGCTGGGCGCAGTGGCTCACACCTGTAATCCCAGCACTTTGGGAGGCTGAGGCGGGCGGATAATGAGGTCAGGAGATCGAGACCATTGTGGTTAACATGGTGAAACCCCATCTCTACTAAAAATACAAAAACAAAATTAGCCAGGCGTGGTGGCAGGTGCCTGTAGTCCCAGCTACTCAGGAGGCTGAGGCAGGAGAATGGCGTGAACCCGGGAGGCGGAGCTTGCAGTGAGCCGAGATAGCACCACTGCACTCCAGCCTTGGTGACAGAGCAAGACTCTGTCTCAAAAAAAAAAAGAAAAAAAGAAAAAAGAAATTAACAACAGTAACTAACAATAAAATATAACTATTGTTACAATATGCTCTAATAAAAGTTATGTGAATGTGGTCTCTCTCTCTCTCAAAATATCTTATTGTACCATACTCACCCAATGTGAGACCACAGTTGACTGTGGATGACTAAAACCATGGAAGGTGAAACCACAGACAAGGGAGGACTACAGTGAAAGCAGTTTTTTGTTTTTATTGAGACAGAGTCTTGCTCTGTTGCCCAGGGTGGAGTGCAGTGGCATGATCTCAGCTCACTGCAACCTCCACCTCCTGGGTTCAAGTGGTTCTCCTGTCTCACGCTCCCAAATAGCTGGGATTACAGGCATGCGCCACCATGCCTGGCTAATTTTTGTATTTGTAGTAGATATGGGGTTTCACCATGTTGGCCAGGCTGGTCTTGAACTCCTGGCCTCAAGGGATCCATTTGCCTCAGCCTCCCAAAGTGCTGAGATTACAGGCACTGCACCCAGTCCAACAATTTAATTGTTGATTGTTATTTATTCTTTCTTCAGTATACCAAGAAACACTTGGTAGGTACCTATCTCGAGAGTTGAAGGCACAGTTATAGGGACTGGGGATTTTGAAGCAAAAGTATTGGTTCTGAAATAATAATAACAGAGCTACCTTTATTGAACTTGTTGGGTGAAGGCTGGAGCACAAGAAGAAAGACAAGCCAACAGTTATAATAAATGTGAAATAAGGGAGCCAGGCTTCAATTTTATCATAAAAGACAGAAAAAGGATTTATTGAACACACAAATACATTTAAATGAAAAAAACCTTAGTGACTACTTTCTACTTGTATTTTCTTGGACAAATCACTCCAATTCTCTGAGTCTTCATTTTGCATCTGAAAAATCATTAAACCAAGTAATCTTTGAAATCCCCCCAGATCTAATGTTCTGTAGTTCCATGAAACTGCCTATCATGAATGTTTTTCTCAATGCTCTGTTGCACTTAAAATGAGGTTTTAGAGTTCACACCTTCTCAGTGTGGTGTCCTCAAGTGGGAGGTGGGGGAGATGATCTAAAAGACATCCTGTATTTCGACATTAATATGCTAGATGAGGCAGACCATCATGGTGTGGGAACACTGCATGCCCAGGTGAAGATAAGCACAAGTGTTTTAGTCATTGAGAGCACATCATCTGGTTTTGGGGAGTTTGTGTCATGTCTGGCCCCACAGGCACGTTTTTGAGTAGGACACACTTTTGCCAACCTTAGTAGAAAAGGGCATTTTTCCATTGCTCACTATGCGAGGGACGGGGGTTATGTGGTATGTGCCAAGCTGAAGAGGTTAGAGTGATTGTTCTTTTCTTGTGGCCTGTGGTTTGCATAGGGTGCCTTTTCACTGTGGGATTTTATCTTAAGACTTTCTACCATGGCCTGTTTTCTTTTTAGGGGGCAAGGGGATGGAGAGATGGGTTTGGGACCTATTTTGCAGGGTATAAAAAAGCCTTTTTACACCCCAAAGAGAGAGCTGTGAGATTTCCCTTTCCTGGCTCAGGGCATGGGTGGGCCCCCCGGTAACACCCCAGCCACACAGCCTTGTTTCCCCCCATGTGAATGTATCATATGCAACTTTTGTGGATGTACAACACACTTTTGGATAGTTCCTGTTAATATGGAAATCTGGTACCTTAATTAGTTCAAAATCTGAACTCTCCAGGAAGACAATGACTGATTTCCATCCTCACATATTTTAACTCAATGTTTTTCAAACTTTTTTCTGTTTTGAGACAGTCTTGCTCTGTCACCCAGGCTGGAGTGCAGTGGCACGATCTTGGCTCATGCAACCTCCGTCTACTGGGTTCAAGCAATTCTCCTGCCTCAGCTTCCCAAGTAGCTGGGATTACAGGCACGTGCCACTATGTCCAGCTAATTTTTGTATTTTTAGTAGAGACGGGGTTTCACCATGTTGGCTAGGCTGGTTTTGAACTCCTGACCTCAGGTGATCCACCCACGTTGGCCTCCCAAAGTGCTGGGATTACAGGCATAAGCCACTGTGCCTGGCCCAAACTTTTTTCTTTTTAGATGTCATGCCCCATCCTGAAAGATCTCACACCCTGACTTGGGGGTGAGGAGGTGCAGAGCTGGAGGGTAAAATTAGATGTGGCTTTTCAGAATCACTGTATCTTTAATAGCTCCACAACAACTCAAATTTTGTCAAACTTTAGCTACAGAATGCATTATCAAAAACATTGGGCCTTGAACATACTTTTCAAATTCCTGCTCCCTCCCTGGAGATAGGATCATTCCTACAGACAACCAGTGTTCTCAGCTGCCTGTGTACAGTTTCTGAAGGTGACATCTGGACGAGTGACCAGGGCCAGCATTTCATGTTGTCAGCTGTCATGTCTGCTGTTCTTGTGGATTCAATGGCTGCTAATTTGAGCATCCGATAGTCACCTAGTTTTGCTTAATCCTCTACCCTTGAAGGCCAAAGGTCTATATATCTGTTTCCTTGGTATTGGTGGTTTATTTTTTGAATCCCATTTAGAATAAGTGCCCAGAATAATCACTGTCTTGATGAAAATATCACCTGGTAGAAACTTAGCATAGAAAACCATACACCGAGTTCACTTTACATGTTGGGTCCTTTGTGTTTGTACATGCGTGTCTGTGTGAACTACCTGATCTCCCTCCCCCAAGCCAATATTGCCTGGCAGACACCTTCAAGATGCTATGGGAGGCTTTCTTTCTCTAAGGAGCCTTTTCTGGCCTCTCTGTGCTTTGGCCTTTACTGAACCCCATGCAAATATTTACACATCTGCTTGCCCCAAGCTGACACTAAGCCCCTCAAGCTCAAGGACTGAGTCTGATTTTTATGTCCCCAACACCCAGGCTAGTGCCTGCCTCTCAGTAGGTACTACATAAATGTTTGTTGCACAAATGCCACCACCTTAAACATAGGCCTCCTCTGGGCAAAGTCCTACATGTGACTCTATGTGAGCCCTTCCTGCAGCCTCCCTACAGTGCTTCCAGAAATCTAGTTGTTCGCTGAGGTTGAATGATGTTCCCAAGGTCTGCTTTTTGCCTTTGTCTACAGCAGGGATTGTCTCACAATTACAAATTAGTCGCCTTCTCATTCTGTCTATTCTCAGTACACCGTGGCATTCTTTCAGCTGCAGTCTAGAAAAGACAAGGTGAAACTTGCATGAACCTAAGCCAAAGTGCCAGCTGATTTCTCCCCAGTTTGGTAAAGACTTTTGTTGTTACCTGGGGGGGTCTACATGAACCCAGAAGGGAAACAGACACTAGATGTCAGATTCCCACCCCTACAGGCTCTAGTCATCTTCCAAAGGGAACATACAATCCTCAAAGCCAACAAAAATTCTGCTGACTTAATGTGAAAAGTGAGCCTGTGTCTCAGAGCACTCTGAGGCTTGGGGAGCCGTAGCAGAAATCGCAGGAATGATAAGACTTACCAGCCCACAGATGATGATTGGCAGGTGTGTTTCAGTGCATCAGAAGTGTTCGGGAGAATGCATTTTCCAAAAGACGCATGAAGCTTGGTAGTATGTTTTACCACCACACAGAAATTCTCTACTTGATCAATCTCTCTGCTAGGAGATTGGTGAAAGCCAAGACCCAAGCAGTGGTGAGATTAAGCGTGTGTGCTAAAATTCAGGGTAACATGTGAATTGTAGCATTGCCATGAGCCACTGCGGAATTGGTTTATAGCAAACAGACAAGTCTTGCAATGTAGAAACCATTGCAGAATACGTTGAAGGATCTACTCAGCCAGGATCCACTTCTGTCATATTCTGTTGACAACGTAGAAGGCTTTTCCAGAGGAAGAGCATCTGATTATGATGCCACACTGAGCTACCTGTGTGTTGTCCATAATGCTTTGAATTCAGCATGCCTAATACTGCTCCCTCTTGCCACTTGCCAGCCATCTGAGTTTCCAACAGTCGGACTGTCCTGAGGCCGGTAGGCATTTAACTATGAGACCATGAGTCACTTGATATTTTAGAAGAAACTTAAAGTAGTAACAACTTTTATCAAGCCTTGATTTGAGATGGAGGAAACATTGGGGATCAGCTTCAACCTAGGTTAATGTGGATATTGTCCCCTAACACAGAGGGGGCCAAGAGTAGTTACTAAGAGGATCTGAAGTTTAAATTACTGTTACAGTGTAGCCACATTATAGTCAACTAATTCTTAGGGAAACTGAATCCAATCTAGCACACAGTTCTTCCGCCCAGGTCTCATGATTTAAGGCAACATTTCTCACAGTTTTGGCCTGACTACCTGCAAGAGAATTACTTGCATGTCTGTTAAAAATGCAGACTTGGGGGAAAGGATGAATAGGTGGAGCATGGGGCATTTTTAAGGTGGTGGAATTATATTCTGTGATACTGTAATGGTGGGTAGGTGACATTCTGTATCAAAATCAGTAGAGCTGTAAGACACAGAGTGAACCCTAATGTGACTTTAGTTAATAATAATGTATTAATATTGGTTCATCAGTTGCAACAATGAACCACACTAATACAAAATATTAATAATAGCCCAGGAGCAGTGGCTCACGCCTGTAATCCCAACACTTTGGAGGCTGATGTGGGAAGATGGCTTGAGCCTAGTTCAAGACTATCCTGAGCAATGTGGCAAGACTCCATCTCTACAAAAAATTTAAAAATTAGGGCATGGTGGCATGCGCCTGTAGTCCCAGCTGCTCAGGAGGCTGAGACGGGAGGATCCCTTGAGCCCAGGAGTTTAGGACAGCAGTGTACAGTCTACCTTGGGTGACAAAGCAAGACCCTGTTTCTAAGAAAAAAGTGTACATAATAATAGAGCAAAGTGTTGGGGGGAAGAGGGGATATAAAGGAACTCTGTAATTTCTGTACAGTGTTAGAGAAATAATCTCTTAAAAAGTAAAGTCTGTTTTTTAAAAATATGCAAGATTTGGGCCTCACTAAATACATCTTGCGTGTATGAAGCTGAGGCCTTGGAATAAGCATTTTGGTCAGGCTCTCCAGAGGATCTGCCTGTATTCTGAGGTTTGAGAATTCCTGGATATCAGTCCATCTCCTTTCACCATCTGTTTCATTCTAAGAAAGAGCTTAAAGGGGCTTTGTCTAGAGAACTGTCTCTTGTGTGTTAGGATGTGTTTCATCTTTCAGAAGGTGGACAAAAAGCTTCCTGCTAATGCTAGAAATATTTGCTGCAATTCCACACTGACAGTTGAACCACAGTAAAGACAATTCAGGCAAGACCAGTTTCAGACACAGGAACTGTCAATTTTCGAACGTGTGCAGCCTTTCTTCAGAAGTGTGCCCTGCCTGCGTCCATTTCAAACAAGCGTAGCCATGGATTATAATTAAAATTTTACATATCTCTATTGGTTTAAGGGTGATAAGTACACTATTGTTATAATCCTTGGCTCTTTGTGCATCGGAGTATGTATTTTATTAGGGCTATTATAGGCCTTTCAAATTAAAATGCTCCTGGACTTTATATACGTATAGATCTTTTTCAACCAAAATGCTCTGGAAATTAGTATTAGATGGAATTTTATTAAACTTGTGGAAAGTCACATTGCATTTTGCAAAAGACACACAAACCTTGGTAGCCTGTTTCACCACCACACAGAAATTCTCCACGTGATCAATCTCTCTGCTAGGAGTTTGGTGAAAGCAAGACCCAAGCAGTGGTGAGATTGAGCCTGTGTGCTAAAACTCAGGGTAACGTGAATTGTAGCAATGCCATGAGCCACTGCGGAATTGGTTTATAGCAAACAGACAAGTCTTGCAATGTAGAAATCATTGTAGAGTGTGTTGAAGCATCTGCTCAGCCAGGATCTACTTCTGCCCTGTTTTAGCAAAGTCACTGCTAAGGTGGGGCCTCGAGGTCTGTGAGCCAACTCATGCTGGATGTGAATTTTGCACATATGTGAGATGAGGTCCCTAGCTTTCACTCGTTTCTCCAAAGAGGTTAATAAGAAAGTTTAGGAATTTCTGATTTCGATAATGGTCTGTAAACTGGATTTGGTTGTAGTTGTTTTTAAAATATATATGTGCCATGCTATTGAAATATTGCATATACTCTATAGCGTGCAAAAACATAGGAATCAGAAAGATCTTGATGAGAAATAAATATACGTAGAAGCACTTGCGTTTTCACTCCTGGATCATCTGTGCTCCCCTCTACAGAGACCACTGCCCGGGTCCAGTGCTTCTTTTTCTTTAGTGTGCACACAAATCACCTGGGGGGTTTATGGAAATGTTGAGTCTGATTTAGAAGGTCTCGGATATTGCTTTTTAAGACAGCTTCCAGGTGATGTTGAAACTACTGCTCCATGGCCCGTATTTCAAGCAGCAGGTAGATGGAGAGGCGTGTGTTGAGTTGAGCTGCAGACAGCGACTCCCACGCTATCTCTTCTGTCTCTCTCTCTTTCAAGCAGTCCTCAGCACTGGCTTTAGGAAGTAGAAATGGCAAAAGTCTGTGACACCAGTTTTCCCTGGCGAGGCTGGCAGGGGGCCCCTGGGACCTTTTGACTCCTCTTTAACTCAGGCCCACCTTTTCCTGCTGCTGCCTCTGTCCCCATGGCCTGCTAGATCTGAGCCCTTGTTTGATTAGCTTAGCAACATCTTTGCAGTACTCCCCAGTGAGGTGTGCTCTGTTGACTGGGACTAGCCAGAGTCAGCTCCAGAACTCCTGAGTGAGTTCACTTCTGCAGCAGCCTTGACTTCCTGCTGTACCTTGACCAGAGGATTTATCTGGGTTTTCCTGGTTATCTGGCTCACTTTGCAGCAGAGAAGCAGGGGCTGGTGCCCCTTCAACTGTGTGTTCTCCTGGGGGATGGCTCGTGGCCATTGAAGAAACTTTGCAGCAGTGCAGTCTATATGCCATGGTCACGTCATCCTATGCTCTGAACCAAGGTGGTGTGTGTTGTGGCCACAGGAGACTGTTCCAGGCTTGAGTGACATAAGGGAAGATTTTACTCACGATGTACATTGAACTCCCAAATCCTCCTAAAAAGAACAAGTCGCTATCAACTTGGTGACATCCTGAAGAGCTGACAGTCCTGGAGGACAGTAGGAAATCGCATAAAGGGTGCCCCAATTTTGCATCAAGCAGAAAGGTAGGAAACTGGTTGGATTCTCTAAGTCACATTTCCCACTGGCCTCTGTCAGCGGTTGTTGGAAGCATTCCCCCAAAGGCATGAAGGCCAAAGATGTGTGGGTCTGTCCGAAGAATTGCCCACTAAGTCATAAAAATGAAAGATTACATTTCTTACCCCTCTTCCACCTCACATCCTCTTGTTTCTTAACTGTGTGGATTGTGCAGTCTGTCTTATTTATGGTTAAAGTCCTGTTACCACAGGGAACCCCAACTGAGAAAGGCATTGTCACCTTGGGCTTTCTCTCCAAAGGTTGTTGTTGGTTTTGTTTCATCTTGTGTCAGTTTGGGGTGACCCATAATCAGGAAGAGGCAATACTGTGTTCTTCGCTTGAATTTCACCTTTATTTGATTCTAAAATATGTAAGAATATGCTGTGAGTAGGATATTAGAGTCACTGCAACATGTCTCTGAACTTGTCGTGGGGGACAAAGGTTTTGATAAATATGCCACGTTTGCCTGAACATTTATGCCTAAAAACTCATTGAGGACAAAGTGGTTTCCATGTGTTTCCTTAGCAAAATTTTAAGTATTCACTAAATTTTAGTGCTGCAGTTTTATAATTCGCACTGAGAAATTAAGCCCTTTTTTTTTCCAGTCATATTTTTGCATTTCAGAGCATTCTCTTCTTCCTTGAGCCAATGTGGCCACTGCTTTTCTTTTCAGAGAGGTCAACTTTTTTCTTTTTTTTTTTTTTTTTTTTTTTGAGACAGGGTTTCACTCCGGTTGCCCAGGCTGGAGTGCAATGGCACAGTCTCGGCTCACTGCAACCTCTGCCTCCCGGGTTCAAGCAATTCTCCTGCTTCAGTCTCCCGAGTAGCTGGGATTACAGGCGCCTGCCACCACGCCCAGCTCATTTTGTTTTTTTTTGTTTTTTTTGGTTTTTTTTAGTAGAAACGGGGTTTCACTATGTTAGCCAGGCAGGTCTCAAGCTCCTGACCTCTGGTGATCCACCCACCTCAGCCTCCCAAAGTGCTGGGACTACAGGCGTGAGCCACCACACCCAGCAAGGTCAGTTTTTTTTTCAAAAGGATGCAGGCAGCTTTGTTAGACTCGCTGGCCGGTGCATCCTCCTACGACCCGGAGTGAAGTTGATTCATCTGTCTTCTCAGAGGCCCTAAACTAAAGGGATTCTTTTCCAGGTCTGTCCAGAAACTCGATTTGCATCCTAATAAACTCAGAGAATGAATGTCACACTGTATTATAACTGAGTAGAGGGGCCTGTGAAAGCATATGATGTTTGGGGATCTGGATGTTGATGACATTGCTCAACAACAAGGGCTTTTCGTCAGCCCCCATTAGTTTTTTCAATCTAATGCAACAAAGTATGTGTTGATATATACGTCCAGATATTTATATTGTTATTGGCAAGGAATATTACACACACATTTGTAATTATTCCATGTTTCTGTGTCCACGTTTCAACCAAAAGTGTGTCCAAAAAATAGAGACAGGCTGACGTGTCTTCGAAGAAAAGTAATTATGTAGGATTGATTTGTTTTCTGTTTGTTCTTTCATTTCTTGCATCTGAGAGGTTTTTTTTTTTTTTTTTTTTTTATGTCATGCTCTATTAGAAATGCACTCGACTAGAGCAAGTCGGTACGTATTTCTTTCCTTCTCTGTCCCCTCTCTCCTCACACAGTTCTTGACAGAGGTGATTTCTGGTGAGATTAGTGGCAGTCAGTTTGTATTACTTATGCAGGCCATGTTGAACTGTGAACTTTGGAAATGAGAAGCCACCTTTCGCCGCTTCTGAAGGTGACTCACAAAGCCAGTTTCACTTGGTTCCACATTGTTGCATCATTACATTTAAAGAAAGGGAAGAAATCTGTTTACTAAATGTTAGACTTGAAGTCTGGAGTATTTGTTCTAGCAGGTCCTGTTAGATTCCACAGCTTTTTCATAGCTAGTGTCAGTTACCAACCTATTCTGTAGAGAAAGTTCCTTTTGTAAAAGGCATGTTGCCTTCACAGGTCTGTCTTGACTGGAGGGATGGTGAGGACTACCCTTCAAGTCTGGCCAGCTCCCAGAGGTCTGGGATGACTCAGACAGGACTAGGAAATGGTGTGTTCTGAAAAATCTGTAGAAGAAAGTACTGATGAGAAAATGCCCACCAAAAATTGAATACAGAATGTTGGAAGAATCGAAAAGTCGACGTTCTCTTTGAAACAGAAGCCAGAGCCTGTTACTCATTAGTACCTTCATGTATCCCCCATCTTACAGGCAGAGGCCTGGCATCCAAGATGTTCAAAACCATCCCCCAGGTCCCATGCAGCCCAGTTCCTAGCTGTGATCCCAGTGTTCTAACAATAGTGAACTACTTACCCTTCTCTGAACATACCTTCCCCTCTGCCATTTCTCTCTGCTTTTGCATAGGTTATCCATGTGTCTAGATGGATCCTCTTTTGGCTGGCAAACTCCTCCGCACCCTTTAGGGCCAACTTAAACAGCACTCCTCTGCGACGCTTTCTCCCGTGTGTTCTCAAAGCCAGTCATGCATTCATCTGTTATACCACTTTTATGTAGCAGTAGAGCTATTTGCATGTCTTAGTCCCTAGTAGGTTTTGAGCTTCACCAGAGCAGGAACTAGGTCTTGCCACTCCTGTAAGCAGCTAATGATTAGGAAGTGCTCCCTATATGCCAGGCACTGGGCTTTCTAAACATATGCACTGTCTCATTTAACCTGCCACAATCCTATGAGGGAACTTAAACTAGAAGAAATTGCGCTGAAATGCGACAGTTGGGATTTGAACTCACCTGCCTGCGCTGGGATCTTAACCACAGCTCTGTTTTCCTCATCTGAACAATAGAGATGACAATAACACTTGATAAGATTATTTTGAAGGTTGAATGCCATGATTTATGTGAAGCACTTAACACAGTACCCAGTGAGCATTTAGTACCATTAGTGCTTACTAACAATGATGTATACTAGGTCCTTCAGCCAGCAAGGGGCAGAGAAGGCATTTGAACAACTTGGGTCTAACAACAGTCATGTTCCTTAACCCTGATGCTCATGGGCCACCCCAGGGAAGCAAGAAAAACACCCCACAGACACCTTGTCCCTTTAGCAGAGGCTCTGACTCTTTCCATCCAGGGGTCTCTGGGGAAGCTTAAGAAGGTGGATGCGGAGAGCCGCCTCCACCCACCTATCATGGCAGAACTCGGGAGGGTAATGGGGAGATGGTTCAGTAGCTTAGCAACTGAGGCAAGAGTCCACTCAGAAGACATTAGGATGTTACCAGCACCTCATTAGGCTCCAGCACTAATTATTTATCTCTCCAAGGAGAAGGAAAGTGTGGCATGGGTGTTCTGAGATTGAGTTCTTGGATCAGCTGGTTCCTTTGCTTGTGACCTCAGACAAGTCATTTCTTCTTCACCCAGTGTGAGCCTCTTATAAAAGCTCCTCAAGTGGAGGATGAGGCCATCAGTCCTCTGGCTCCCTGAACCTTCAGAAACACAAGCTTTTTTAACACTTCTGGGCAAAAGCCAGTGTTTCAGATAAACACACCCGTGGCTGCTTCATCTGTAAATTATGCTTTCTTAAGGCCTTCACTTTGTTAAGGCAGTCTATATTGATGTATACAATAGCCAATTCCTATACAAATTTTGGTCCAGCAAACCCAAATTTGTATATTTTTCATTGACTGTATAATACAGGAGTTATTTAAAAATATATACAGAGCTGTTTGTAAATCATTGTAATTGGTGGATAATAATTTAGAAACATTTTAAATTAATTTCTTGAGTGTGAGGCTGGCTCTAACCACAGCTCTGTCTCTGGTGCTGTGCCGTCTCCCAAGGAGAGACATACAACAGAATTTATTTCAAAGAATATTGTTGTTTAAAAAACAGTTGAACATGTGTTTACATATCTCTAAAAGAAGAGGTAAGTTCCCCATTTTCCTTATCACTCTGCCTGCCCTCCCTCTACATGCGCACGATAAGTGAAATAGACTTGCAGTCTTGAAACTAGATCATTGTCAGACTAGTTGCATTCACCTCCCTGACTTTCATTTCTTCCTACAGTTTGAGAAGGCAGAAGATCCTGATTTAGCTTTGCCTTTCCCCTCCCCTCTGCCAAAACAAAGTCAGAATTCCCAACAGCAAGCCCAGCTCACATGTTCAGTTCCATTTCAGTCCCATTTCTCAGAGGCTTTCCCGCTTTTCTGGGGTTGTCGTTTTCTGATACATCCACGTTGCACCCGGGTGTAGCTGGGCTGGGGCTGCAACGTTTCTCAGCATTCTGTGTCTGGAATGCTCACCAGGCCCCACAGTCTGGCCTTAGCAGGAAGCCAGGGTTCTGTACATGTGGGCCTTGTCTACATGCCTGTGTGTGTGTAATTACCCAACCGTGTGTGTTGTTTCACCAGCAATAAAAATCCAGCAGGGAAATGAATGCTAAAATTAGTTTGTTTGTCCTTTGACAAGATCTCCCCAGTTGAAAGAATTTTGTTTATCTAACTGGCTGGGCAGACTTGGCTAAGATCAAAATTAACTGCCTTGCTTAATGGTGTAATAGATGGTATTTTGAAGAGCTTCCACTGAGTTCTCCTTGAAAGGACGTGGGGTCTAGAAAGTCCAGCCTCTGGCAAAGTTATGGCATTTTGGTGTAGGTGTTTTTTCCTCCTTGTGCTACCTGTAGGATGGATGCCCATAACCCATTACTCTACCCTGAGTCACTCTATCTGTTGGAGGGTGGCTGGATGGATGGATGATGGGTAGATTGGCAGATCGACAGTTTAATTTGCTTGTCATATGTCTTAAATGTAAGTTTGTTAAAGCTTAAGAGGAAAGAAAACCTGTAATCAGTGTTCTTGCAAAAAAAATTTGCACAGCCCTATGGCTGTGTCTTTGGGCTTCATTCATTCATGTGTTCATTCATTCAACAAAAACAGCATTTAATAAGCACCTAGTATGTACTAAGCTCATGGGATATAGATTTGAACAAAATAAGAATCTCTGCCTGCAAAGAGCTTACTATTTAGTGTGAGAGACATGCATTGAAGGGCAATTAAACAAATAATTATTTAACTATAGCTGTAATCATTTTTTATATTTTTATTGAGATTTAATTCATATATCATGAAATTCACCATTTTATTTATTTATTTTTGGGGTTTTCTTTTTTGTTTTGTTTTTGTTTTTGTTTTGTTTTGTTTTGTTTTTTGAGACGGAATCTCACTCTGTCGCCCAGGCTGGAGAGCAGTGGCACGATCTCGGCTCACTGCAACCTCCACCTCCCGGGTTCAAGTGATTCTCCTGCCTCAGCCTCCCAAGTAGCTGGGACTACAACAGGTGCATGCCACGTGCCCGGCTAAAAATTCACCATTTTAAAGCATACAATTTGATGGTTTTTAATGTATTCACAGAGTGGTTTTTAAAATGATAAAGTTGAGTGAAAACTTCAGTCTCTTCTGTTGCATTTTCAGCACAAGCACAAACACTTAGTCTGATTTACTCCAACAGATTTCTCATTATGTTGATATTGTGACCTTGGGGATCATTAATGTCATAAAGGGAGGAGCAGGGAACATTGGAGGTGTTGAATTTAGCCACAGTAGCTTAGAAGCTTCCTGGGTTCCTCTTACCCATTCTGGAAGGTGCTTTTCACATGAGATAACTCCAGTGAGAATTTTCTTCTCTGCCCCTTACTTGAACTTCCTGGTCTGGGCAGCCTCGTCTGCATCTCATAATTCTGTTCTTGAAAAATATATCCTAAAAAGGTCCCCAGCTACAGGTAGAAGAAATTCAAGGATTGGGAACCCTCAGGGTCGACTCCATATATGCAAAAGTTAAAATGGCAAGTGCAATTAAGCTTTCCATGACGTAGCTCAGCTGACCCTGTTTCAGAAAAATAATGACTCATTGGTCCTCTTACTACATATTACTTGATTTGAAATGTAAAATGCTTGCATTTTCAGATACCTTGCAGGGTGATCTGATGGGGCCCATAAGGGATTGAAGGGATCCAAGTTTGGTTTCTGGCTCTGCCCAAGTTTTGCTTTGCCTTCCTGTTCTCCTCTGAAGATGAGGGAAATGACAAAACCAGTCTCCTTTATGGGGGCTGTGAGGAAGCCAAGGTAGATATGAGGTACAGCTGCCTTGGACTGAGCTACCTCCTACTAGTGGCTAAGCTTTCAGGAACTTGTCTGGTTGGTAGACAATCAGCCATCTGTACAGAAAGTTCCAGACATCCTCCCTCTCAAGAACAGCACTGATTTCATCAGAAGACAGCTTTGTAGTATTACCAAAAAAAGAATAAACTAGCATTAGTGTTGTTCAGAGTTTTGTGGCAACCCCCTGAAAACATCAGTATCAAGGGTGAAATTCACCTCATGATCGTGACAACCGTAATGTCTTCCACTTATATAGCCTTACACAAATTTCAGTGCACTTTCATATTCCTTATCTCACTAATTCTCATGCCCATGTTGTGATATTCCCACATGTCACAGGCCGTGATAGTCCTATAGCCTGGGTGAAAAACTCACCATCCAGGGAAGGGACTCGCCTGTGATGGCAAAGGCCACTCATCTATCCTCTCTCCTTTCTTTCCCCCTCTCTCAAAAGCCTGCCTGCTTTTTCCACTCACTGTTCTGTAATATTATTGCCTATGATTTGCTAATGATTTGTCAGTTCCATTTCCGTTACTCAGGTAAAACACCTGCTTGTATAATCGCTGACATTGAAAAGAATGTCATGAATCCATGTGACAGTTAATTTTATTCCCTAGTTCCCGTCTGCGTCGTAGGTACCTGTGAGTTTGGGTTAATTAAGCTGAGTTCGCTCTCTTTTTTCACCTTTTTGTTAGCGAGCTGGGGATCCTCTAGGTTGGATCAGCAGCTGAGTTATCCTTGGGCTGTGATCAGTGCCAGAGCCTCAGGGAATCCTCCGTTTCTTCCCCCTTAGAGCACTTGGCGGCTGTACAGGCTTCTGGATATGAATGCAAGCCTGGAAGCCACTTGCTTTGGACATTCATGTGCATCATCTTCTTCTCCTTTTAAAGATACATGACTGATGGTGGACTTGGCCTCTATACCCGTCGCCTGAACCGGCTCCCTGATGGGATGGCTGTGGTACGGGAGACCCTGCAACGAAATACCTCCCTGGGCCTCGGAGACGCTGACAGGTAAGCTTGCTGCACTTGGGGCTGGTCAGATGCAGAGGTGATCCCAGGGGGGCCCTGAGAAATGAGGGTTATGATATTGGGAGAGTGAATGGAGACTTGAACCCACAGAGAGGGAGGGGAGGCCTGGAATCTGTACCTGGGGTTAGGAGCAGGTACAGTAGGTAGGAAAGGGCTGCCGAGGGTTCTTGAGTCCTGCTTCTGTGTAGGGTGGTGCTTCTGACAGCAGTAACACAGGGAGTTCAGGCTTGGGTGGTTTTGGTTATTGTTTTGCTTGTTGCTACTGTGTCTTTGTCAGTTCAGCAGGCCCTAGGGATGTGCTTTACTTCCTCTCTCATTAGCCAGCTTTCTAGGTATTGCACCTTGTGGCACAGAAGGTCTGTGTGCAGAAGGGATCTCTCCTAGCCTTGGCTGAGCAGCCTTCACCAAAAAGCCTCCTGTTGCATGGTAATAGGAGGCAATGCTTAAGGACATGGGTTTAGACACCACATGCTAAGTAGTTGACATCATAGAGGTTGATCAGGCGTCACTGCCACTGCTGTCAGGGAAGAAAAGAGGTTCAGAAAATACTGTGGTAATAAAAGAGGACTATTTGGCCTCCAGGTTCTAGTTCTTACTCTGACAAACTGATTCTATGACCCTGAGCAACCGATGAAGTGAGGAGTTTGGACTATATGATTTCTATGATCCCTTCCAGTTCTAATGTTCTATAATTCTGGATTTCAGTGCAGATTTCAAATACCCTTAATGATCTGGCTGTTTAAGGATTTGCTGGAACACTTGACTTCTTTCCACATCTGGGTTGATGAGATGTAACATGGAATTTAGATGCAAGTGGTTTAAAATGACCATAGACTTTTTGGGTACTAAACCTTTTATGTCAGAAAGCCAAATAGTAGCACAACAACAGCTTCCTGCTGTTCCCAGGGCATGCTTTTTACAAAGAGCTAAGTGACTTCTGTAATTGTGTGGCTTTAGAGAAATAGGACAGCACACCAAAGAGACAGATACTGAAATCACACCCAGAGATGGAATTTGCTGAAGAAGAATCTTCATGTTCTCTCAGGGAAGGCTGGGAAACACTGAATGAGTTGTTAGGAACTTGGGATCTGGCCCAGTCTCTACCACTAACTTGAATGTGTCCTCCTTAGAGTCCCCCCAGTGCCCAGGCTTGTGATTTATATCAGGGATGTTAAAAGGCCTTCCACTAGGGTTCTAGCTCAAGTCAGATTTTTTCCTGTAATTAACAAAGAAAGGAATGGGTTTGAAAAGTCCATAGAAACATGAACCATTTGAGAAAAAAAAGTTTTTTTTGTTTTTTTGTTGTTGTTTGTTTGTTTGTTTGTTTTTGAGACAGAGTCTCACTCTGTCACCCAGGCTGGAGTGCAGTGGCATGATCCTGGCTTACTGCAACCTCCATCTCCCGGGTTCAAGCAATTCTCCTGCCTCAGCCTCCCAAGTAGGTGAGATTATAGGCGTGTACCAGCATGCCCAGCTAATTTTGAATTTTTAGTAGAGACGGGGTTTCACCATGTTGGCCAGGCTGGTCTCGAACTCTCGAATTCAGGTGATCCACCTGCCTCGGCCTCCCAAAGTGCTGGGATTACAGGCGTGAGCCACTGCGCCCGGGCTGAGAACTGCTCTTACTAAGGAGAAACTAAACTCTCTGTAACTAAAATCTTTATAGTAAATAATAACAGTAAAAAAAAATCAGTTGCTACAACACCCCCACTGGAGATTTGACAATTTGCCAAATTATTTTGCTTATTTGTATTCTTCTATCCGTTGTTTAGTAAATCTATCCACATAAAATACAGTCCTTACAAGATACAGTTTTCCTTGTAGCAGAAGAATCTATGCTAGGCAGTTTAATTTAATGCTTCATTGTAAGATTAATGGGATTACTATAGATCACAGTTGAGCTTGTTTCCTGCTTCTGGAGATGGAGGATGAGGGTGGGGTTGAAAAGATAGGTAGCACTTGTTAGGTTGTTTTAGTTCAGCCTGTATGGTTAAACCAAATGGACAACAATGTCCTTTGGTTCTCTCCAGACTGGAATGCTCCGATATGATCATTTATTTAAAACTGAATGAGTCCGGGCATGGTGGCTCACGCCTGTAATCTCAGCACTTTGGGAGGCCAAGGCGGGCAGATCACCTGAGGTCAGGAGTTTGAGACCAGCCTGGCAAACATGATGAAACCCTGTCTCTACTAAGAATGCAAAAATTAGCCGTTTGTGGTGATGCACAACTGTAATCCCAGCTACTCGGGAGAGGGAGGCATGAGAATTGCTTGAACCCGGGAGGCAGAGGTTGCAATGAGCCGAGATTGTGCCATTGCAGCCATTGCATTCCAGCCTGGGCAACAGAGTGAGACTCAGTCTCAAAACAAAAAACAAACTGAGTGGATAACTGACAAAGTTTTAAAGAAAGAACTCAGATGGCTTTTTAAAGACATAGGATTTGCAAAAGACTACAAATTTACCCTTGTTTTACATAAGTTCTGGCCTATAGGCAAGGAGATATTTTCCATTATTCTAGAATATGCTAAATTTTTATAACTTCCAAAGTTATTATGAGCTGACCATAGTAATACTTCATCTTTGGCTAAGTTGAAATAGTACATTTGTTTCTGTAAAATTCTTTATGTAAATCGCAAATTTAGTCTCATGTAGTTACAAAATCTATATTCTAAATGAGTGTTTCCCAAAGTGGGAGGCTATCATGGTGGTATAGGAGATAGTTTTAGATGGCAGATAGGAAAATACTCCTTTTTAATAATTACATTTTAATTTTAATATTTTTTTAAAAACTTACAACTAGCACATCAAACCTGTGATTTTACAAATGCTGCTTAAGGTAAGGATAGTGTAGACTTGAGACAATTTAATGTGAAATATCAAGGAAGAATATCACAGGTGGTATGTAGTTATATCAGAAAACAAAGGTAGTATGCAAGTGGCTGCAATTTCGATAATACTGTTCTTGTCCCTGTAATTGGAAATATGTTCTTTAAACAACTTAGATAATTGACCCGAATTCTTTCCTTTAAACCTGAAAATCGAAGGTCCCAGAGCTAAGGTTTTTCCAGGAAGTTCTGTATAAAAAGATAGCCTGGTCCTTTTTCCATTCACACATAAGCAATAGACCACATGAGTTCTACAAAGGAAAGAGGAAAAGTACTGAGTGATTAGACCTGATTAGACCTCAGCAAACGAAAGAAAGGCAGATCACTGTGTGAATAAGAAAATTAATAACCACAGCCAAGCAGCTGGGGAGAACAGCTCTTCCAGGAAAAGACCTTAAGGGACGCTGGCCTACCAGGCAGAACTTGCCTGTTTGCAGCAGAATGTGGCTGGGGTATCTTCAGGGTTATTAAAAGTAACTGATAAGAATGGATGCCTTCAGAGCCTGGGAGATAGAGACTGTGTCAGTTGGTGAGTCTGGTATGTTACCAGCCAGCTTCTAAGAAATAATAAATGAAGATAGTAAAGTGTGCCCTTGATCTCTTGTCACTCTTTAGGGTTGCCACTCCTGGGCTCCAGGTTTTTCCTGATAGTGATCAGTGTCTACTTCCAGCAGACTAGAGCCAGGTGTCTGAGAAGAGAGGATCAAAAGGGACAAATGGAGTGGCTTATTACACATCATAGGCTCCAGATAACAGACAGATAAAAGGAGCTTTGGCATGGAGGTCTCCAAACTGGCAGACTGGGAAGAAGAAGAAATATGGCAAGGAGGGCCAAGACTAGGCTAACAGACAGTCAAATGGCTCATTGAACTCCTGCCAGTTCCTACATGCACTGCTGTCCTCTCAGAACCCATCAAAAGTTCCCGAACTCCAGCAAGTTGAGAGCTTTGATAGTGTAAAGATCAGCTCTGGGAAAGTTCTAAATCTCTTTCTTGGTGACTGCAAAGCCACACCATCCTCCTCATCCTTTTCTTTACCAACCTGTGTTTTAGCACACAACGGGCTGAGCCAGTTAGATGCTCCTCTCGAATGTCATCCCAAGATCACATAAACGCCATTGAGAGCACAACGAGGACAGAAATCAGGCTTGGTGTGACATTAGATCAGGAGGAGGACTTTGGAACTACTTGGTAACTTTCTTCTAAGCCGTTAGAATACTTACTGAACTTCAGTGCTTTTTATTAATTTAGGCGATAAGGCCATATTACTTCAAACCTTCTAAAGACAAAAAAAACAAATGCTGTGTGGTAAAGAGTCAGCCTGAAACTTGAACAAAATGAAAATCGCCCTCCACCTTTGAGCCAGGAAACCAAGCAGAAAGGAGAGATTTTTCTTTTCTTCTTGTTATAAGTTTTTCATTACCCTTCAAATTCTGAATGTTTTAAGTACTGAGATTGCTGTTTCAGTGAAGGATTCAGAGTCACTGTACAGACTTTCCAGGCTGCATCCAGGGCCTTGGCACTCAGAGGCGTCCCAGTTTCAGCTTGAATTGGGAGGCCTCTCTCAAGGAGAGTCTCATGGTGTGAGAATGTAACTATGCAACCTGGTATTTGAGCAGCCTGCCAAGCTGAGCCCTCCTTCCTTGCTGGGAGTGTCATAAGAACTCCAAGAGCCCAGGACACTGCTTGGCTTTGTGATTCATATGGAACAAAGCAGGCCTCCTGGCACCAAGCAGTGCATTCATGGATTCAGGTCTGATCTGGAGGAAAGAGTTTAATCCAGGCCAGAGGTCCCCAGCCTGCAGATGCAATTGGCGCCCTTACCAGGTGGTAGGTCCCCAACAAGCCAGTTATTTCTGAAGCATAGTCCCTACTGAGAGCCACATAAGAGAAGCAGCAAAAACGGGAAGAGACTGCTCCCCTCACGCTTCATTCTAAGCCTGTGGTAGGTGTAATAATCATCCCCAAAGATGGCCACATTCTAATCTCCAGAACCTGTGGATATGTTAAGTTTCATGGCGAGGGGAATTAAGGTTGCCAGTCAGCTGACAGGGAGATTACTCTGGCTTATTCAGGTGGGTCCAACATAATCACAAGGTCCTCAAAAGTGAAAGAGGGAGGCCAAGAGGAGGAGGTCAGAATGATGTCATGTAAGAAGGACTCGTCATGCCATTGCCAGCTTTGAAGATGGAGGAAGAAGGCTACAGCCCAAGAATGCAGGTGGCCTCTATGTAGGGGAAAAGCCATAGGAACAGATGCTCCTAGAGCCTCCAGAAATGAATGTAGCCCTGCACATACCCATCATTTTAGCCCACGAGACCCATGTCAGCTTCTGACTCACAGAACTGTGAGCTAATCAATTTTTTTTGTTTTTAGCTACTAAGTTTATATTAACTTGTTATGGCAATAGAAAACTGACATAAACTTATGTCAGCAATAGAAAACGAATATAAACTTATATCAGAAGGTAATAAAACCAGTAATAGTTGCCATTTCCTGATGGGTTGCTCTATGCCAGGAACTGTGTCAAGCACCTTGCAAATATTATCTCATTTACCCCTGACCCTTTGAGAGGAGATGTTATCCTGGTTTCATAGATTTGAAGCAGTGGTGCTCAGAGAGGGTGAGTAAACGTGCCCAGGGTTACACACCTAATGAGTGTCCAAGCTGGGATTCAAACCCAGGCCTGTCTGATCACCCCCCAAATCCTCCGGTCGCCTAACATACTGCTTCTTTTAGGGAGCTCTCTTTGTAGAGATTCCCTAATTTTGAGTTCTTACCATGGTATCGTCTCTTCAAATGAGCCCTTAGCCACTGAAAATACAAGCAATGCCCAAACAGCTGGAAAAGTGAACTCTGTCCTTCAGAGACAATGCAAAATGATTCACATTAAGAGGAAAAAGGGAATAGTTCTTGACTTGTCTCCCTCCCAGACCTGTTGCACATGGACCGTGCGAGTGGGCTTGCCCTCACCCCTTTTCTCATCACTGTTCTCAGACTTCAAGGAAAAGGTCCTTTCTTACACAGAGCTGGGCCAGTTGCCTCCTTGGCCTTCTTGCAAGTTTAGAAAAGGGATGCCCATTTGTGAATTCTGACTTATTGCAATTTTTGTATTGTTAGTTGAGGGAGGAGCCTGCAATGTCAAGATCACAGGTCAGGGGTGATGCTTCCCTTTAGTGAGCTAGGAATTCCAAGGCCACCAGATCTGCAGAGATTCTGCAGTCATTCAAAAACTTTTCTCTCCTGGTCTTGGCTAACCACTACATGGACCCTTAAGCAATTGCTAGAGGTTCTCTACCCAGAGCTTGGGGATCTGTAGGGCCTCCAGAGGCTGGGACCATGGTTTAAGAAGGGCACCCTAAAATACCTTCCCCCTCCCCCCATTACCTCCCCTCTCTACTTGTTATGTACGGTCTGTTCCTAATCTTCCCACCGTCATCAAGTAAAGCAAAGGTGATCTCTCCTCTTTGACCACTAATCCCACTTCATACAATCTCTAGCTGCCAGTATTTGAGCCTTATCTCCCCTACATACATGTGGTAGAGGTGAGAGAATCTAGATCTGTGCTGCCTACTATAATGGCCACCACTATTTAAAATTAATGAAAATTAACTAAAAGTTTGGTTTCTTAATCACACTAGCCTCATTTCCAGTACTCAAAAGTCCCATGTGGCCAGTGCTCTCCTAGACAAAGAACAATTCCCACACTGTAGAAAACTCTTTTGGACAGCACTGATAGAAACCATCACAGTTATATTGCCAAGGAAGCTATAAAGAAAAGATGTGAGTTTTGCTGTAAACATGCCCTAATTCCAGTCCTCACTCTCCATGTCACTTAACTGCCCTGAGTTTAGGTTTTTGTCTCTGAAATGAGGGCAGTATTCATACCTGTCTCACAGGACTGTTGTGAGGATCAAATGAGGTGAATGAGGGTGGTGAAAGTGTTTTTGCGAAGCACCTAAGACAAATATTTTATTTTTATTTTATTTTTTGAGACAGTGTTTCACTGGCCCCATCACCCAGGCTGGAGTGCAATGGCATGATCTTGGCTGACTGCAACCTCCACCCCGGCTCAAGTGATTTTCCTGTCTCAGCCTCCCAAGTAGCTGGGATTACAGGTGCATGCCACTGCACCCGGCTAATTTTTGCATTTTTGTAGAGACAGGGTTTCACCATGTTGCCCAGGCTGGTCTCAAAATCCTGAGCTCAAGTGATCTGCCTGCCTCAGCCTCCCAAAGTGCTGGTATTACAGGTGTGAGCCACTGTGCCAAGCCTCCAAGATAAATACTCTAATTCTTAGGTCCTGCAAGCTACTTAGGACAATCTAGGCTCTACCTCGTTGCAACTCACTTTTCTTTATATTTAATTAATTAGCTCATAATTAACCCCTTTTATTTCTATAACAGCTTATAATAACTGCATTTAATAAAAAGAACAATTATAAAATAAACGAGTATAGCATTAAGACTGTGGGGAAATGATGTGCAAAATATGATGTGCAAAAAAAGGTAAAAATAGAGAACACGGATTGATGAAACACAACCCGTGTTTCATCCCACATGGTTGCATTTTTTAGTAATTCAGCATTGAGCTTCCTACTGGCCCAAGTGAGAATGAACTTGTCCTTGCTTTTCCCTCCTTCCTTCATGACTTCTCTCGTATTATTTTGTCTTCATCTTTTCTTGCTAGGGTCAATCAATTGACCCTCTCTCTGACTCTCTGTTATTCTTTACCTCTCATTCCCAGCCCTTCCCCTCTCTTCCTCTTTCATTTTCCTTGCCTTCTCCTTTTGTCTGCCTTATAACTTTCTGTTATACTATTAGTGCCCCTGAGCATTTTTCAGTCCTGCATTCAAGAGTTATACTCATTGTCTTGGGATGAGAAGATGCTTCCAGCACAGTGGCCAGCATTAACGATCTTCACTGGTTTCTTTCCATCCCCTTTCCTCTTCTCCTAGTTGTGTATAACAACTAGAAACAAAGTAAGAGACAGTGAAAGTCATTTTCATTTTAAAGCTCATAAAAGGAGCCTTAGAGGCAAATGCCTGTTTCCTCAGTAGCAGGGTAATAATAACTACATTGGCCTTGCCCAAGAGGCTCTTTTATGCTAGTGCCACTACCTGTAGGATCAGTGGCTGGAGCCACAAGTGCTGAACAAGGGATGGTGCTGACAGGAAGTAAACCATCTGTAACTTAAACCACAGAGGAATTCTACCAGGGGGTTATAAAGAGAGGAGAAGGAATAGTCTGCAGAGTATCATTCTTGTGCATGCAGTGTTTTCACTTTAAAAAGGAAAGAGCTGTATGGTGGCCTCATGAGAATCTCTCATTCCCTAATGTTGCCCAACTTCATAACTTTGTTCCATAACTTTTTTACACTATAGTAAAAGCAGACCTGAGGGTCAGAGAGAGTATAATCATGCTCCTGAAGTACTTTTTTTTTTTTTTTTTTTTTTGAGATGGAGTCTCGCTCTGTTCCCCAGGCTGGAGTGCAGTGACACGATCTCAGCTCAATGTAACCTCTGCCTTCCAGGTTCAAGCGATTCTTCTGCCTCAGCCTCCTGAGTAGCTGGGATTACAGGTGCACACCACCATGCCCAGCTAATTTTTTGTTGTTGCTTTTTGGTAGAGACAGGGTTTTGCCATGTTGGCCAGGCTGGTCTTGAACTCCTGATCTCCGGTGATCCACCTACTCAGCCTCCCAAAGTGCTGAGATTACAGACATGAGCCACTGCGCCCCACCTGAAGTACATTTTCTAAAAATGGTAACTGTTCAACAGTTGTTTAAAGGTGATTGTTTAAACTTAATCATTGTTCAAAGTGTGGAGGAAAAGATGTCTAGCAATATGAAAGCAAGAATAAGAGGCCAAAGAGAAAGGCCAAGATGGGTCACCTTTCTCTATGCCAACTCCCCTGGTCACCCAAAGCATAGGCCCCAATCCCAAGTCAGAATTTGACTATATCTGTGCCCTGCAATAGAAAATAACTTCATGTGTTTTAATCTGGGTACCTGTGAATGTTTTTGTATGAGTCAGGATAGCATAGGTTATGCTGCATAACAAACAATTCTCAAAAAACTCTATTTGGCCATAACAGGTCAGTGGAAGGCTATTTGTACATCATTCTCACTCTGGGATCCAGAGTTAGAGGAACTACCATTTAGAGCATTGACAGTCTTCACTGCAAGAAGAAAGAGAGCATGGTGAACCACACACAGTTTCTTAAAGCTTCTGTCTGGAAATGACCCACGTAACTTTTCCTCATTATTGGCCAAAGGAAGTCACATGGCTACACTTAAATTCAAAGGTGAAGGGAAGTACAGTTATACCATATGCCTGCAAGGAGAACAGAAAATATGTAGTGAACTGCACTAATGACTATCATGCTTTTATCACATGCAAGTGAGTGCCTGTGCTTGATGTTTCCCCCCTCCCCCCGTTATTTAACCAACGCCTTATCATGCAGTTCATCACGTATTTACTGCATGCAGTAATATCAGATGCCAGGCATTATGCCACCCAGTCTGATCACATGGCCTCTGGTAGCTCCTCTGGGTGGAGAAGAGTGAGCAGGTAAAATTGTCTTCTTGGTAGATGAAGGAACATAATAGTTGAGTTGGTTAAGGAATTTTATTCAATGCTATGAGTCAGTTGTATTTCAACAAAGTATATGGACCATGTTTTCATATGTAATGGCTCATAGAAAATGCTGGTGATTGTTTAGAATTTACTGAGCACCTACTATGCAACGGGCTCTTGGGATCCAAGGATGAGTGGGATGTAGTCCCTGTACTCAAGAAGCTTACGATCAAGTAGAGAGAGAAAGACCTAAGTAAGCCATTGTAACGTGATGTGCCAAGTGCTATAGAGACTTTAACCATGTGCCTTGGGTGCAGAGAGGACCAGAAGCATCGGGGACTGCATATGGTCCTATACTGGGAACTTGCTGTTATCCTAATAAAATGCAGGAAATTTCCTTTTCCTGCCAGTGATGATGTGAAAGATCCTTTAGAAACATTACCCAAGTGTCCAATAGTCCTGCTTATCTCATCAACCATTTGGGATTTTCGTTTTATTTCCCTAAGTATCTTTTGTCATGTTGAAAGGTCAGCCTAGGGCCAGGCGTGGTGGCTCATGCCTGTAATCCCAGCACTTTGGGAGGCTGAGGCAGACGGATCACCTAAGGTCAGGAGTTCGAGGCTAGCCTAGCCAACATGGCAAAACCCCGTCTCTACTAAAAATACAAAAATTAGCTGGGCGTGGTGGCGGGCGCCTGTAATCCCAGCTGCGCAGCAGGCTGAGACAGGAGAATCGCTTGAACCGGGAGGTGGAGGTTGCAGTGAGCCCAGATCACGCCACTGCCCTCCAGCCTGGGCGACAAGAGCAAAAAACTCTGTCTCAAAGAAAAAAAAAAAAAAAAAGAGTAAAAAAAGAAAGGTCAGCCTAGCCATGATTTCTGTTACTGAAATGTAAGATCTGATTGAAATAAGCCCAGAATATAAGGCACTTACGGTGGCCTATGGAAAAGGGTCCCTGGTTTCACTATAACCTTTTGCATTTGTCATGCTGGACAGCTGTGACACCCAGAGTTGTAGTGAACCGATGTTTCTATCCAAGATTACTTTGTATATAAATGTATTTTCCCAGGGCTGTCTCTCCTCAGCCAGTTCACACCAGATAGAAGCTTTCAATGTCAAGGTTGGGTTTGTTCAGAATCATCAATTGTAGCCCTGTCATTTTGCCAATGAGGAAATTGAGATTGTTAGTAGCCCAGTGACTACTCTCTGTCCTCTAGCCTTCGGGGGTAAGGTCATCTCTTGGGTTTGGAAAGCATGAACTCTAAGTAACTCTGATGAAGGCACACATTATTTATTTGGTGATGATTATGAATGCAATCCAGGCGATAAGGAAAGGAGTGCAGTAGGAACCAAAAGACCTTGTTCTATACCTGGCTCTGCCACTAGTGAATTACCTTGGGCAAGATGCTTCCCCTCTCTGCACCTCTATTTGTTCATTTGTGTGGTCAGCCCAGCTGATCTTTAAGGTCCTTGAGCTCCTGTAAGTCAGTGTTCTTGTTTATTACTTGAAGGGCAGAGTTAACAGAATGACTCATGGGTATAGCTTATCCATGCAGGGCAGGGACTCTGTGAACTGTTTGTCTCTGACGGTGATGATGACATGTGTCTCATTTGATGGTATTTCAGTTAGGAGTCAGGTTCTTGCCCAAGGCCCTTCATGTGTACAACTCCAGCAGGCTGAGTGGCTTCTTGCAGCTGGCATGCCGTGGGGCCCCCTCTTGTGCAGGCAGCAGAGGAGAAGGCCTTAAGGTGTCCATTCTCGCTGTACTTCAAAGCTAAGCCTAGGGTAAGCTGTAATGCACTTCGAGGTGTTTGAGAGAGGTGGATAGCTGTTGTTGCTGATGGCAGGTAAAGAAGAATGTCTGGACCTGAAGAACCAGAATGAAATCTTCCCAAGGAGAAGTGCAAAGAGGACAGCTGCGGTGGAGAGTGGTGGGGTCTTGGACTTTTCTGATGCTTTGGAGAAAATCTGCTATTATACATTGCAATGGATTTTGTTCTAATTGGAGCTTCACCAAAATTATATTCAGAGATGACACTCATGAAATTGTAGTCTTGTTTTCATTGAGATAACAAAATTCCAAGTAACTGAATTGTTTTTATTTTTTTTGGGTGCTTTGACTCAGGATTTAATCAGACTTGGATGAACGTTGTTCCCTAAATCAGCACTAATAGTGGGTGCTGCCTGTCCTGAGCAGGGCAGTGGTCAGCCTGGAGAATGGGCAATGTCAGGTCATTTGGAGGGACTCTCCTATGCTGTGATTTTTCATGCAGTTGACAGGCTTTGCATGGTACTCCTGAGTGTCAGAGGACAAAACAGCTCTTGGAATGAGTTGTAAGTTACACAAGGAAAGGATAGGCTTACAAATAAGGAAAATAAGGCTCAGAAAGGTGACATTTCTTCCCCAAAGCCACAGTGCTATAAGGGGCAAAGTTAGGATTTGAATTAAGGTCTCTCTGGCCACAAAACTTCTGCTTTTAATCATTGTGCTTGCCTCCCTCTTTGTTTAAAGAGTCAGTTGTTATCCTTCCAAAAAGCAAACCTTGTTTAGACCTATATGAGTAATAAGTGAGCATCCCCTAGGGCCTAGCACCAACTGAGGTGCTTGCAAAGCCACTGCATCTGGATTTCTGACCTTTAAGCCAGTCCGCCTTCCAGGTATCATTTTCCCCATCTGGGAGGCTCAGCAAAAAGAAAGCCCAAGAGTGTGGCTCAGGCTCAGGCCAAGCTCTGCTATTGCTGAGGGAATTCTATCCTTTACTTAAGAAGATCTTAGGGATGCTTGAAGCTGTGAGTATAATATTTTTCTCTGAAGGACATTTAACTGTTTTATTGCCAGAACCCCCAGCTGAGGCTTCAGAGTTTCCCCTGTCATGTTGATCACACCAGTTGACCTTCAGGGTCTGTCTTCCATTGCCTCCTCTAGGAGCAGCCTCTGCTGTAAACCCCTGTGGCTGTTTTGCGTCTCAGTAATGCAGAAAGAAGAGGCTAGCCTTGTGTGTTTCAGCTGCAGTCCTGTTATTTTCGCTCGTCCACTGTGCTCTTTGATTTATCTTCCTCATTAATCTGTGGCGCTCAGTACTGTAAAATTGCCTGAAACGAGATCTGAAGAGAGACCCTGACATTTTGAGGGATGTTGCAGGATTGTGTGGAGGAGATTAAATGGGGACAGAGGGAAATGAGGTGGCTGCATGGCTCAGTGGGCTCAAACCTCCAACTTGAGGATTTCTATTGGTACCTCTTTCTTTAGCTGACCCTGAGGTTTGGAGAGAGAGACTCACAAGCCTACGGTTTCTGTACTGGCAAAATAAGGCTTGAAAAAAATTCTCCCTGGCCGCTTATTTGAGTTGCCTGGACATTGCTTGTGGGCAACCTATGAGTATGCAGTAATTGAAGCCCTAGAGAAGATGTGAACAGAACCACAGGCCATTGTAGTCTGGGTAGGAGTCTGTCATGTCACCTCCTATGGGGTGCAAAGTTTGACACTAGAAGGTGAGTGCAGGGACGACTTTGGGTGCCCTACACCTAACCAGAAGCTGGTGGAGCACTATGTGGGGAGATGTTGGTGGGCCTCCAGGGCCCCTCCAACTTGTGGAAGAGTTTTGTGGAGAGAATAGGTTCATTTTTCCATTGTCAGTGTGGTAGCAACTCATGAGAGCTCTGGGTACACCAGAAACAGAGGCTCCTTGGGAGGCTGCTTAAACTCTACCGTAGGACTCTTGACAGTTTGGGATCAGTGGTCCTAGTCTGAATTTCATCATCAAAAACAACAATTTTCATTCACTGAGCACCTGCTATGTTCTAGGTGTTCTCCTAGGTACTCTACATACTAGCTTTAACCTCCCAGAGGACTTACCACATCAGGAATTATCCATATTTCACAAATAAGGAATCCTGGCTCAGTGAGCTTATGTGACTTGCTCAGGGTTACATAGGCAGAGAGTGGCAGAGCTTGAATTCTAACTTAGGGCTGTCTGGCTCTAAAGCCAGTGTTATATCAGAGACACCAGGCTGCCCCATCTCTAAAAGGGGAGGGCAGGCCGCTGTTGACTAGTCGGTAGATCCAGCACCAAGAATAATCAGGAAAAGCTTCCTGGCATCCTTTACGTTATCCAGGGAATCCCGACTCATGGTCCATGGCTGGCTATAGCCCTGCCTTCCACACTCCTCCCTCCACCCCAGGTAGGATCCTCTGGGGGCTCTCATCTATCCGGGGTCTCTCCATAACCATGTTTTGTTCTCTGGTAGCCCTTAACATGCCTTTGGAACAATAAGCTCCTAGGTATGGTCTCCCCCAAGACTGAGAGGAAGGAAGCAGAACAAAAGTGTGTTTTTCTCAGCATTCCCAGGCTTTGCACAGAGCTGGGCATATACAGTAGGAGACGTTTGCTATATTTTAGGTAATTAATATTATCCTAAGATAATTGATAAGACTGACTGAAGAGTTTTCCTCCCCCTTTTCCTTCCAGTCGGCAAACTCCCCCCAAACAGTTTCAAATCTCTCAGCTTCTCTCTGTCTCTGTGTTTCTCCCTGTCTCTCTGCTTCTCTCTCTCCCTCTCTCCGCCCACCTCCCTCTCCTTCTCTCTCATTGGCCATGGTGCAGGGGTCTAGGCTGCCGTCCTCTCTCATCTGAGCTCTCCCACTGCAGCCTTCCAGGCCCACTGTACCCACCAGGGCCTTCATGCGGTACGTTCTCCACCCAGAAGCTATTGTAACCTTAACATATACATCAGATCTCCTCTGCCCTTGCCTGAAACCCTCCCTTAGTGCCTTTCCATTGCACCTAGAATAAAGGTCAGACTCCTTGCCGTGGCCTCCAAGGGGGTGTGTGTTCTGGCCCCTGCGCACCTCTCCAGCCTCACCTCATCACGCTTTACCTCCCTGACTCCTGCCTTCATCCATTCCCCTGGACGTGCCGGATCTTCTCTTTCGTCAGAAGCTTTGCACATACTGTCCCCTCTGCATAGACTGTGCTTCCCCCCCTCTCTCCTTTTCTCCTTATAAGCCTGGCTTATTCTCTTCCTTCAGGTCTCAACTCAAACTTCACCACTTAGAGAGGCTGCTACTGACCACTCAATCTAAAGAAAGTTTCAGCTGTTGGTTTCTTTTTGGAAACTGTTTATTTGACATCTCTTACTTTCATGTGTGTTAATTTTTATTTATTTGCCTGTTATGTCTTTCCCACTAGACTATCAGTATCAATAAGACAGAAACCAGGTCAGCTCCGTTTGCAGGTGAATCCCCTCTCCCAGCACAGGGCCCGTCCAGAGAGGGTGCTTATTACATATACCATGAAGGAATAAATGACTGCCAGGCACTGTGATGCAGGGCTGATGTGCAAAATGTTTAAAACCAGTGTGCTTCTGGTGCCAACCAACCAGAATAGGGCACTAGCCAATAACCAGAACAGGGCTGTGACCCATTAGAAAGGGGCATCAGTCGGCTGTAAGCCACTCATGCCTGGCATAAATCAACCCTGCTGTTGTGGCACACAGTGAACCCACCCACTCAGTCCTCAGCCAGTCCTCAAAGAGAGATAACCATGGCCCAACTTGCCTTCAAAAAAATCGGGTTATTCATGTTCAGGAACTTCTCTTGTGGGAGACTGACTGGTTTAACCCAGTCTATTATTGCTTTGGGAAAATGTGGGGTTTTTTTGGATGGAGTTTTGCTCTTGTCACCCAGGCTGGAGCACAATGGCGCAATCTCAGCTCACTGCAACCTCAGCCTCCCGGATTCAAGCAATTCTCCTGCCTCAGCCTCCCCAGTAGCTGGGATTACAGGCACCCGCCACCATGCCTGGCTAATGTTTTTGTATTTTTAGTAGAGATGGGGTTTCACCATGTTGGCCAGGCTGGTCTCAAATTCCTGACCTCAGGTGATCAGCCCATCTCGGCCTCCCAAAGTGCTGGGATTACAGGCGTGAGTCACCGCACTGGGCCAGGAAAAATGATTTTAACCTATGTGACACTCTTACAAGTTCAGATGCTGACTGTGCTGCTACGTAGAGGTCAGTTAACCATCCTGAGCCCCCATGTCTTCATCGGGCTGCTGTGAAGATTAAATGAGACAGTGCCAGGCACAAGGTTAGCACAGTGCCTGGTCCAGTCAGTGCCCTTGATCAATGGCAGCAATTTTTATTTAGTCATGATCAGAATGCTGATTTCACAGATAAGGAAAGTGAGGCACAGAAAGTCTAAGATACCTAAATCGGCCAGGATATACATGTGGGTCCTCTCAGCCCCAGGTCCAGCACCGTGGCCACTGGCCTGTGTCACCTCCATGGTGCAGTGTCCCCTTCTCTTTGTGATCTGCTTTGGGAGGTCTCACTCAGCTCTTATTCCCTGACCTCTGTCCTTGGGGAACTCTGGCAATGAAAAAAAGGCAGAAGATATTTAAGGCCTGAGACCCTGATGGATAACTGGCAAAACCCGAAGTAGTTAACACGCTCCACATCCTGGCAGGAGGTCTCAATCTTTGGAACTGGCAGACTAACCACCGTGTAACAACATCAGAGGTGCAAACCTGTTAAAATCCCCAGCAAAGGTCTTGAAACAGAACATGAAAGGGTTTATGACCCTGTGGATTTGAACTTCTCATGGAGCCAAGCTATAATTCCAGCTCTGTTTTTGGAAGTAAAGATCAGAACCATAATTTGAGGAGGGCCTCAGAGCATGCACTTATTATGTTTCAGGACACAAGCTGTGGGATGAAGCTGCCTGGGGGAGGGCCCGGGGTACCGACCAGGAAGGGGTGTGGAGGGTGTGAGGAGAGTAAAGCAGGGTGTCTAGCTGAGGCAATTAAATGTACTTGCTTCTCAGTTTAAACAAAGGCCTCAAGGAAACCTCCCAGAGGGCTGCGTTCTTAATGATCTGGAATAAAGGGGTAGTGAGCAAAGCCAGCAAGCTGGGGGAGCTAATGGGAGCCCTGGCCTTGAATGTCCCTGCAGGAAGTCAGCTAGGGAGGCTTCTGTACACAAGCAGCACTTGTCATGCTAATGACCCAGCCTCTCTGGTGCCACAGAGGTCAGCTCTGAGACTTCAGGTTTGAGCTCCACTGGAGAGCTGGGACGAACGCTTCCTCTCCCTCCCTCATCCACTGCTCTGTAGCACGTCCTTGTGTGCTGCGGTTCCTGGCACTGTCTCTCTGCTCTCACTGCTACTGTCCTGCTGTGCCCGTCCTGTTACCCAGCGCATCATCCCAGCACAGCCACAGTGATCCTCCTGAAATGCAGATCTGATCCTGTGTGCCACCTGCCTGCTGAAAACCCTTTGTGGCTCTGTGTCACATACAGGATAAAGTGCAAGCCTCAGAGATGACCCTCCAGCCTTGGCCCCTGCTATCACACCCGCCTCGTCCCCAACATCTAAGCCGGCTGCACCAAACACTTGGCAGTCTCTAGCACGCTCCGGGGTATTGTAAACCTCCATGCCTTTGCCCCCTGGGATGCCCTCTCCTGACCCTTCTTTGCCAGGCTAACACATCCTCTTCCTGGATTCAGCTCCAATGCCCACTTCTAGGCATCTCAGGCCTAGTAAGTCCCTTCCTCAGGGCTCCCAAAGGACCCCGTGCTATCCTTTATTTTAAGTCTAACCAAATCTTTACCTTCTTTTTTCCTATTTTCCCTGTTGCTTGGCTTGAAGACAGGGATTATCTTATTTATCACTGGGTTTTCAGGACCCAAAAATATGATGTCTGCCACATAGTCGGTGCTCATTCAGCACTTACTGAAATGAACTCCAGTTTTAGATGGATGGGTTATCTCTCTCCATCCAGAGACCTTGGCTTTTTCACTATGAACACTGTTGTTTTTCTCACTCTCAGGACTGTCTCAGCCCTTAGCACAGTGGGTGACACAGAGTAGGTCTTCAGTAAACATCAGGGCAAGCCACCGCATGTTCTCACTCATAGGTGGGAATTGAACAATGAGAACACTCGGACACAGGAAGGGGAACATCACATACTGGGGCCTGTTGTGGGGTGGGGGGAGGGGGGACGGAAAGCATTAGGAGATATACCTAATGTAAATGTCGAGTTAATGGGTGCAGCACACCAACATGGCACATGTATACATATATAACAAACCTGCACATTGTGCACATGTACCCCAGAATCTAAAGTGTAATAAAAAAAAAAATCAGGGCAAGCCTCCCTGAGATGATGTGGGGGTGTGGCTGTCCCACCTGTTTTAATCCATTCAGGCTGCTATAACAAAGTAGCACACATTGTGTGGCTATAAGCAACAGGCACTTCTTTCTCACAGTTCTGGAAGCTGGAAGTCCAAGGTCAGGATGCCGGCATGGTCGAGTTCTGATGAAGGCCCTCTTCTGGGCTGCAGAAATTCGGACTTCTACTTGTACGTTCACATGGCAGAAAGAGGGCAAGCTAGCTCTCTGGGATCCTTTTTATTAGGCACTAACTTCACTCACAAGGGCTCTGTCTTCATGACTAATCACCTTCCAAAGACTCCACCTCTAAACACTATCGCATTGGGGGTTAGATTTCAATGTGAATTTGGGGCATGGGAAGGGGAATTCAGTCCCTAACACCTCTCATCAGGCATAGTACTTGCTGGGAACTCCTTGTGTAAGAGGTGCTTTGGGGACACAGAGGCCTGGAGTGGAGCCTTTTTCAAAGATCCCAAAGCCCTCTCTCTATCTCAGAGATCAGGTCGTGAGCGACTAAAGGAAGGGACAGCGCAGTCAGGGAGATGTCAGTGCGTTCAGATTCAGAGGGCAGAACAAGAGCACTGTAGCATGGGTCAGAAGGAAGGCTTCCTGGAGGTGGTAGGCTTTTAGCTGGACCTTGGAAAACAGGTGGGAGTTATAGGTGGTGAGGGAGAGAAACAGCAGTCCCGGTTTGGTAGAAAGGAAGACAGAATGTGCGGGAGGGATGGAGAAAAGAGACTGAGCCTGGGGAGTTTTGTTCTCTGGGAAATCCTATCGTTGAAGGCCAACCACTTGTTTTCCAGGCCAGTAGGTGCCCCACTCTGATACTCAAAGCCACTGTAATAGCCACCTCCGGTAGCTGTGTTCCACTGTGCCCTTCAGAAGTAACCTACCCCAGCGCCCCTGGAACTGTCTGTGTCAGGGGTCAGCCTTGTGTTCTTGGAGAGAAGCCTTCCAAAAACAGACTCTGATAGGTTGAAGCAAATAGCTGACTTATTCATAGATGCCCTGGGGCTCACAGTATTAGAACTGGCCACCTCCTAATGATTAAACACTACACAAACACCCAGTGACCAGATTACCCCACCATAAATGGGCTGTAAACCAGAGTGGACAGTGGCTGTTCCACCAACTGGGAGGAAGCGAGGCTACAGAAATGCTTTCTGTCCTAAGCAACTAGCCCTTCAGGCAGAGCCCAGAAAACAAACGCAGACCTTTCCTGCACCCTGGGAGGGAAGTCGGAGAGGGGAAAGGTGGGATTCTGAGGTCACTGAGAGTGGAAAATGACAAGTACCTCCCTCCCCTCCCCTGTGCTAGGTGCTCTAAACATGCTGCACATTAACTTACATCATAACCTGGTGAGAACTGGCAATTGATCAGGATGGATTCGGATGACATCTGTATTGAGGGTCTATTTTATCTGCATATCCATTTATGAGGGGAAAAACTATGGCCACTACCCTTAAGTTAGTTGATACAGCTGATTCAGAGAGACTAGGTCTTTTGTCCGGAATCACACAGCAAGCAAGTGACTAGAAACAGGACCAGAATCCGGGTCCTCTGACCCTGCAATACAAGCCTTCTCCATTATCTGAAATGATTATACTGAGCGACTCCCAGGGGTAAATGACTCAGCGTGCCAGGTGTGGGACACTGCCTCTCTTGTTCTACCCACACCCACTTCCCTCCATCTCTAAGTTAGTTCTACTTGAGTTCAGCAGGTAAAAGAATCACCCCTGCTCTGGTTTGTTGCCTCTCCAGGAAGGAAGCAACTGGACCCTATTGGTGGGAAAGGTGAGAGATTCACATCCACCTACCTGCACACCTCCCACTGTTCTGGACAGGCCAGACCAGGGCTGTGGGCATGAAGCAGACCCTCACCAGTCTCTAAGAGCTGGGGATGAGAACAAAGCCCTTCCTTATTGCTAGCCTGAATTATTGGGATCTGTTGCTCTTATTCTTCAGTAAGAAAAACAGCCATTCTGTTCATTGGATTTGGATGTTCTAGCTTCTGGTTTTGTTAAATTGTTAATAATACTATCTATTTCTAGTTACTGCTAGAAAGTATGGAAGGCTCATGTGAGTTCAGGAATATTTGAGAAGAAAACATCTTAGGAAAATTGCATCCAGTCTGCATAAGCCCGTTCTCTTAACTTGCTGGTGAACTCCTGAAAATTGGTTCCCAAACACCAGGGGTCTTTAAACTCCAGAGATGGAGACACCTCCTGACCATCCAGAAGCTCACCTGGAATTCCTAGTAGCAGATGTTATTACACTGGTCCTACATTTCCCTCCATATCACCTCAAAAGGCTTAATTTGCTATTTTGTATGTTCACCAGAACAGTTAGAATTGTGATGCCAAAAGGTGGTAAGCTTGCCAGGCTAAAATATCCTCAGGAGGAATCTTTAATTTCACAATCCATGTTTCTGGTGTAATCCACACCTTTTTTGTGCTTCAGTTTCCCTTTCTGTCAAATGGGCATGTAAAGTCCTGGTCTCTCCTCTCCCCACTGCCGTAAGTCAATACTGGCGAGGAGCTTACAGCACCCCTAGGAACCCAGGGGCATTGTAAATGCAGGGCTCTGGCCAGAGAAGCCTGGCTTCTCTCTGCTGCCACTGAAGAAGTGACTGCAGTGGGCTCTGATGCTGGGCAGTTTTGGTATTCTGATCAGGTTACAGTGACTTTTTTCAGAGGGGCTCAGTCCTGCCATTCTCACATAAATTCCCTCTCCCTCCCAGTGCCTTAGTGTAACTTAAGGGGGTGCTGAAAGAAGATAGCACCTAAATCCACTGGGTTGCTTTTCACATTACAAACATGAAGCCCTCATCATGGACTACACTGGCCTTGGTTGTTGTTCCAGACACCACCAGATGTGTTTTAGGGAGTCAGGGTTTCTCGTCTGCCATTCCTTTTTTCCAATCCTTCTTTTGGTGCAAGACCTTGAACCCAAGGCAGTATAGCACAGTGGTTAAGAGCAAAGGCTCCAGAATAGGGTTCAGCTCAAATCCCAGCTCAGTCACTTGCTAACCAGTGAATGACTTGGAGTAAATTAATGCAGATAGTAAGAAGTGCTTCTTGGTGGAGTTGTGAGGCTTACTTGCGATAATCCCAATAAACAATAGCTATTATTGGGAAGGAAGTTTAAGCTCCAAGGCAGAGCAGGAACGGAAGTGTCTTCTGATTCATTCTCACTGGCCCACAAGCTCTCTGACAATAGAGACCCTTTCTGTCTGTCTTAACACTTTAAAGCCAAGGCCTGAGAAGAAACTGCCACACGATAGAAGTTCAATAAATGTTTGAGAACAATTTCAATCCCAAGTGATTCTGCTGAGTTTTAATCATATATATATATATATTTTTTTTTTTTTTTGAGATGGAGTCTTGCTCTGTTGCCCAGGCTGGAGTACAGTGGCACAATCTCAGAGGAACCTCTGCTTCCCGGGTTCAAGCAATTCTCCTCTCTCAACCTCCTGAGCAGCTGGGACTACAGGCGTCTGCCACCAAGCCCAGCTAATTTTTATATTTTTAGTAGAGATAGGGTTTCACCTTGTTAGCCAAGCTGGTCTTCAACTCCTGACCTCAGGTGATCCATCTGCCTCAGCCTCCCAAAGTGCTGGGATTATAGGCTTGAGCCACTGCACCCAGCCCAGTCATTCTTTAAAAAAAAGAAAAAAAAAAAAAACGAGAAATGAGTCCTATCTGTAATAAGACAGATTTTCAATAAGGAGAGGAATACAGGGACAGGGAATCAACATTTCTGTGCACTTCATTGTGCCAGGCAGTGAGCTGAATGCTCAAAGTATTTCATCTCACTTCACCCTTCAGAACTCCTGCAAGGCTGGTGTGTCCTTCACTTTTCATGCCAGAAAACTGAAATGAGGCTCAGAGAAGTGAACTTGCCTGAGGTCGGACAGCTGGGTAAGCTAGAATAATAGTAGAAGTAGTAATAGCAGCAGCAGCAGCTAACATGTATGTAGCATACACTGTGAGCCAGACACTTTACCTAAATTGACTCATTTAATCCTCATGACAACTCAGTGAGATTTCATCATTTTAAAGATGAGGGAACCAGCTGACTGCAGTGGCTCACGCCTGTAATCCCAGCATTTGAGAGGCCGAGGCGGGTGGATCACCTGAGGTCAGGAGTTCCAGACCCTGTTACTCCCTGTTCCTGGGAATATTCACTCAGAATCTGGAAAACTGTATATCCCCGACATTACAGAAGGGGTTCCTGCGTGAGGTGAGAAGGAGACAGAGAGGTGATCTTTCAAAGGTCTTTCAGTTGTATGATTCAGGGTGTCCAGGTTCCCATAGGGATCATTAGGGTTTGATTATAGACAAAGCAGACTGGGTATTGTATTCTGGAGATAAGGGCCTCCTTGGAAAGCCAGGTTCCCACAGGTCATGCCAGCCTGGGGGTGGTAGCAGAGGCACCAAAGATGTTTCTTCTGAAAAATGTTTAACCCATGCCTCCTTCTATTAAATATAAAAATTGTGGCCGAATGCAGTGGCTCACACATGTAATCCCAGCACTTTGGGAGGCTGAGGTGGGTGGATCATGAGGCCAAGAGATCAAGACCATCCTGACCAACATGGTGAAACCCCGTCTCTACAAAAAATACAAAAATTAGCCAGGTGTGGTGGCAGGTGCCTATAATCCCAGCTACTTGAGAGGCTGAGGCAGGAGAATCACTTGAACCCGGGAGGCGGAGGTTGCAGTGAGCCAAGATCGCACCATTGCACTCCAGCCTGGGCGACAAGAGCAAAACTCCATCTCAAATAAATAAATAAATAAATAAATAAATTAGCCAGGCATAGTGGCACATGCCTGCAGTCCTAGCTAGTCAAGTGGCTGAGATGGGAGGATCACTTGAGCCTGGGAGATTGAGGCTGCAGTGAGTTGTAATCATACCACTGCATTCCAGCCTGGGCAACAGAGCAAGACCCTATCTCAAAAAGAAAAACAACAGAGGACCAAGGTACAAAAATGCAAAATAATTTGCACATAATTGGTGGTAGAGCTGAGACTGGACCCTGGTTTCTAAAGATCATTTTCTTCTTTTTTTTTTTCTTTGGAGACAGTGTCTCACTCTTGTCACCCAGGCTGGAGTACAGTAGCACAATCTCAGCTCACTGCAACCTCCGCCTCCCAGGCTCAAACAATCCTCCCACCTCAGCCTCCAGAGTAGTTGGGACTACAGGTATGCACCACCATGCCCGGCTAATTTTTGTATTTTTTGTAGAGACAGGGTTTCACCATGTCATCCAGTCTGGTCTTGAACTTCTGGACTCCACGGCTTTGGCCCCTCAAAAGTGTTAGGATTACAGACTTGAGCCACTGTGCCCAGCCCATTTTTAGTAAGGGCTTTATTGGTGTAGTAAGGACTCCATAGGACTTTCTGAAACAGAAGAATTAGGTGATTAAGTAAAATGGTGGCACTGCTCTCTCTAACAGTTTTGAAAATGAGACTCTGTTCATATGCCCAGGATGTGTGAACAGAATTTTTCCTGGAGGTGCAGGGCAAGTTTGAGAGGACCTTTGAGTGGCCTTGAGGCTTTGCCTCATCTCTCCACATTGATTGGGTTGGCAGTATTTTCACTGAAGAAACTGATCTGCTTTTCTGTGGAGTGAAATGACAGGTTAGAAAGGCTCTCAAAGTCTAAATTTAGCCAGCACAGTGTATTCATGTGCTGTTTTGCACCCGGGTCACCAGGAGAAGATAGATTTGACAGGTTGGCTGGGGGACAAAAGCCAGCCCTTGAAGAAATCAGTTCTCCTTTGAAAGGTAAGTCAGACTAATTATTTTTCTCTATCAAGCCTGGTGTGTGAGCTCATTGATCAGCAGCTGCAATGGGAGAATGGAGTGGTGGTACTAGGAGGCACAACTGCCACCACTATGGGGCTTCAGCTGTAATCATCTTCCAAGATCAGCCAGTGGTACAGTAACTGCCTGCTATCCCCGCACACACTTTAGATCCTTTGCTTTATGATGCTGTTTTGGATTTGTAAAAACATTTTATGTTCACAAAAACAAAAAATATTTTTATAGAAGAGAACGTTATCATACTTTACCCCTTGTAGAAATCTTGTGAGACTGGTCATTGAGAGAGCCTTGTTTTATAGAGCAAAGTTGCAGAAACCAAATATTGCAGAACTGTCAGCCTGTGTATTTTAAGTTTAAATCAGGCCAGGCACGGTGGCTTATGCCTGTAATCCCAGCACTTTGGGAGGCCAAGGCGGGCAGATCACCTGAGGTCAGGAGTTCAAGACCGGCCTGGCCAACATGGTGAAACCCCATCTCTACTAAAAACACAAAAATTAGCCAAGTGTGGTGGCGTGTGCCTGTAATCCCAGCTACTAGGGAGGCTGAGGCAGGAGAATCCATGAGGCCGAGGTTGCAATGAGCCGAGATCGCACCACTGTACTCCAGCCTAGGTGAAAAAGTGAGACTGTCTCAAAAAAAAAAGTTTAAATCAGTGTATGTGTATGAATGCCTGTCATCTTCTCTGTCTTTTCTCTATCACTTTGACTCTTTTCAGCTACTTCTTGAGGTCCAAAAACTTCCAGAGAGCTTTTCCTGCCCCTTAACAGCCAAACAGAGACTTCAGGGACACAGCAAACAAGCATGCTTGCCATCAGCATCTTAAGCTTGACCCTTAGGATAGAGGCTCAGATGAAAGTCATTCACACCAAAGCTGTGTCCAGGCAACAGCCAACAGACTTTGAAAAAGGACTTAACCAGTATAAGAGATGACTAAATTTAGACTTGTGTATTTCTTTTTCTGTTGCTTGTGTCTTTGATCCACTTGGCAGTTAAAAATTGAAGTTCCTCAGACCTTTTTTTTTTTTCCGCCTGCTTGTTTTGCTAGATAAACCGTTTGCACAGAGTGGTGTGTGTGCTTGCACATGCTTAATTTCCCTGGCATCTGATAAATGTTTTGAAATAGAATAATGCTGGAAACATTTTTTATTACTTTAAATTGCTTTGCTTAAATAGAATTGATTCTTTTCCTCGACTGCTGTATTGTTGCTGCTTTTGTTTTTAAATGAATAAGATCACTCTAACTACGTTTCCTTCTTATTAGTCCCATCGTGTTCAACCATCACTTCCTGTAGTGCTTACTGGCAAATGAGACTTCCCATCCTCACGTGGCTACACAGGCATCAGTGAGACCTCTCTGACCTTGGGCTAGGAATTTGGAATTCCTGGTCTGTAACGGGGAGAGATGAAGCTGCAAAACAAAAAAGCATAGGTTGGAGGTTGGAGGTCTGAGGTTTAACCTTGGATCTATCCCTAAACTCTGTGACCTCAAGCAAGGTACTTTTCCCCCTGAGCTTACTTACTCAAATTTGGATTTGAGTCAAATGGCCCCTAATTTTCTTTTCAGTTGTGAGCGTCTAGAGTAACTTCAGTTTACTAGATAACCAACCCTGTATAAAATTTGAGATTTGATTATCCAAAATGAAGTGCATGAAGGCAGGTGCTCGTTGAACTCAATGGTGTCTGAACGAGCTCTAGAACCTGTGACAAATGAGCTGTGAGATAGTGTTATGATTTACAGCTTTCCATGGGGTGGACATCATAATTTTTAAAACGCTGACTTTGTCAGAGAAATTAGATAAAATGCAAACAGCGCTGTGAGATTTCTGAATTGGGAAGCAGAGCTGGAGTAATTTTCCTTTGGTATGTCTGCATCTCTGCTACCCATGGCTTTTCCAAAAGCAGTAAATGCCTGTCTATGAGCTTCCGATCCCCCTTGGATAAAGTTCAAACTGTTACCGGGCTTACTATGAGATCTGGCTCCTGCTATTCTTCCCCTCCTTCTCCTCTCTTCAACCACACTGAATTACTTGCTTCCCCAACGCCCCAAACCATCCTTTTTCTTGCCTTCCAATCTTTGCAGAGACATTCTCTTCATCCTCACCCCATCCCTTCAGGGCTCACGTTAAATGTCACCTCCTCCAGGAAGCCTTCTCTACCCCACACCAAAGACCAGATTGGGTGTCCCTCCTATTTGCTCCCATGATGGCCTGAACTTTTCCTTATCATAGTACCAAATACATCCTATTATAACTGTCTGCTACTAGCCTGTCACCTCATCTATACTCTAAGCATCTTGAGGGCAAGAACCTATCTTGTTCACCAGTGTTTCCTCATTACCCAAGCCACATGAGGAAACTGCTCAGACAGGTAGACTAGCTCCAGTCTGTATAGCTCAGCTTATTAGTGAAGCCAGAATTCACTCCCAAGCCTGCATCTCTCAAACCCCACCCCCTTCCCTTCTGTAAGACTTCTCATCCTGACCCATCTTTCCCCTAATTGTGAAGATGTCTTTTTTCTTGAGATGGCTTCTGTGATCTCATAAGAAGGACTGGGGGGAAAATGGAATTGGTTTTGCAGACCTTTGATTTAGAGACTCATTTACAAGATTGTCTGCTCCCGTGGATCAGGACTGCAAAGGAGAACACTTAGGTCAATTGGCTTAAATGGCACTGCGTCTGCTGTGCAAATAGGGGCTTAATAATTGTGAGTCTCCTTTTCTCCCTGGAGTTTGACATACTGTGCCATCCAGATGCATTTGTGAGATAAGCGTGACAGCCCCCCACCACCTTTTTTTTAATTTGCGAATTTTGAAATTCAAACACGCCTCTCTGTCTCTTGGATTCCAACAGCTTTAAATGTCCTTGGATTTTTTAGAAAGCGCCCAAGTCTATAATATATGTACAGCCGTGGCTTTTATCAAAATGTAGACATGCCTCTCATTACTGCTAATTGCAGTTCTACCACCGGGTGATCTGGGCTCAAACCTCCTAGTTCTGTGACTGGTTATCTGTTTTATAGCATTGGCTACTTAAGATACATTACAGTGTCTTCCAGGCAGCTGCTCTTTAGGTAAATTAATACCTGGGGATCTTTTTCCTTCTCTAGGAAACTTTAAGTACTGTAACAGGCTTTCATTTAAGCCTGTGCAAGGCTTATTTCACCAGATTGCTATTTAGAAGTTCTAACAAAACACCTTTATGAATAGTGACTGTAATACCCTTAATCCGCTAAACTTCCTGACATTTTAAACTAAGTGGATAGCTAGGAATGAAATCAGGCTTTCCCATCTCTCTAGTCTCTTCCTCTCCGCAGGCCTGCCTATGCATCTTCAGGATCAAGGTGCTGGGGTGCAAATTCTTTCTTGCTGTTAGGCCATCAAACTAGCAAAGACGAGGAAACACAATGCACTTTCTTCAGACTCCAGGTTTTGTAATTACCTGGCCTGACCCATAGCTTTTTTAAAAAAATGAGTTTTGGTGAGGTTTCTGTTTCTGATAAAAGATTGGGATTTAAAAATATTAAATGTGATTTTCTTGTTTTTTTTTAAGCCTATGTTTAATTTTGGAAAAAATATTGAAAATGCAGATAAGCAAACAATAGGGATAAAAGAAAAAGGTTGTAATGTTATATGACACAGAGAAATCTATCGTTAACACCGTGGTGCTTTCCAGGTGTTTTTTGTTCATGTAAGCACTTAGACATTTTGTTTTTTGAAAGACCAAACATGTCTTGAATACTTGCTTGCAATGAGTCACACACTAGTTTAAATTCTTTACATGTATTGATTCATTTGGTGTTTACAACACCTCTGGGAGTAAGAACTCATTGTACAGGTGATGAAACAGACACACATCGCTTAAGCAACGTGTCCAAAGTCACACAGCTAAAAGTGACAGAGCCAGGATTTGTAGCTAGACAGTGTGACTCTATAGTCTTTAATTTTAATTACATTATACAGCCTCTAAAAAATGAGAGATGTTTTATAATCTAATTTTGTAATTGTGTAGTACAGCATGAGCATTTTTCTTTATCAGGATTCATTAACATCATTCTTAATGGTCACACACAGGATTCCATTCTATGTGGCGGAGCCATAATTTGATTAACTGTCTTCCTACTGGTGAATATTTAGGGTATTTCACTTCTTTTGTTCTTATAAACAAAAATGCAAAGACCATTCTTGGACCTAATGTATGCACACTAGTGTGGGCTGCCAATAAAGCTTGTATTCTATATTTCCCTTATAATTCTGACATTTGTGTGTGCAGATGATGCCCTTGAGGCACTACAGAGGAGCATAGTCTCGAGTATCTTCTGGCAGTGGTGATGGGGCTACCCTGAACCATTCACATACTTTTTCTATCCGTACTCCATTGTTCCTGGTATGGTGTTTGGAAGAAAGTTGGCTGAAGAATGGAGTTTCTGTCTAGGTCCAGCTAGCTCCCTGCAGCTGAACCTCCACATATAGCATCAGTTTACATTGTGCTCTGAATTGAATGAGAACATTTATCTTTCTCTCTAAACTTAAGCAAAAATATAGAACTTGAAACTATTAGGTTGGTGCAAAAGTAATTGTGGTTTTTGCCATTACTCTTAATTGTGAAAACTGCACTTACTTTTGCACCAACCTAATACCATGATGGTGCCTACTGATAGAATCACCCACTCATGGCCGGGCACAGTGGCTCAAGCCTGTAATCCCAGAACTTTGGGAGGCCGAGGCAGGTGGATCACCTGAATCAGGAGTTCAAGACTAGCCTGGCCAACATGGAGAAAACCAATCTTTACTAAAATTACAAAAATTAGCCGGGCACAGTGGCACACGCCTGTAATCCTAGCTACTCGGGAGGCTGAGGCAGAAGAATCACTTGAACCCAGGAGGCGGAGGTTGCAGTGAGCCGAGATTGTGCCACTGCACTCAAGCCTGGGCAACAAAGTTAGACTCCATCTCAAAAAAAAAAAAAAAAAGAAGGGGGAAAAGAGCGACCAGGGGATAGGGTTGTTGTCAATACACTTTTAATACTCAAACCAGTGAAGTGGCTGTCTGTAAAGTCAAGAAAATCATCCCCAATGTGCCAATTACCAGTCTCAAGGCAAAAATCCAGAGGTGATAAAGAGTAGTTTTAAGCATGGGCTTTGAAATCAGAAGCCTGGGGGCTTACCAGCAGTGTGGCCTTGGGCATCTTACTTAACCCACTGCTCCCCAATTTCTTCATATAAACTTGGGATGATTATACCTACTGCATAGGGAATGTCAGAAGGATGAAATAAGACCAGAAAATTCAGCACAGTAAACACCATGATAAGAACTCCATAAATGGGAGCTTAAGAAAGCCCCAGAAGGACACTGATTTATGAATAAGTTGGACCTGGGTCCAGATTTTGGCTTTAGCATTTTTTGGCTATGTGACCTTGAGCAACTTACTTAACCTCTCTGAGTTGTAGATCATCTGTATATGAGAGATAATAAAATCTATCATACTGGGATATGTGAGTTTTGATACCAACGTTGTATACAAAGTTAGTAGAGTCTCTGGCGCGCTGTTGGTTTTCAGAACCAATAGCAAAATTTGTAAGTACTTTCTGTGTGCCAGTCACTCTATTTAACTTCTCTTCTTCCATTCAAAACAGTTTTTCTCTTAGAGACTAATGGTCAAATGGAAGGAGTTTAATTCTTAACCAGTCTATAACTTTTTCAGCTAGCCTTCCCGCTAGGCAAATACCTAGAATGAGTTGGGCTCTTTGCCAAACTTTTTTTTTTTTTCCTTTCATTGTAGACAAGACTGTGGTTCAGAGGTTGGGAAAGGTTTTGTGAACCTATTTTATAGTCCCTATAAACTCAGAAGGGAAACAATGAAATACCAAAGCTAAGGTATAGAACAGGTTTTCTTACAAGAGAAATTACGACCTCATGGAGCTGTAGGAAGGGTTCTGCGGGAAAAGGTATTTACAGCATTTCATACAATGCCCGGTCCCTAGAAAGTCTGCAGTAAATTCAAGGTCTGTCCCCAGTAGGGGACAGATGGATCATGAGTCAAATTCACAAGGCAAATGAATTTTCTTTTGAGAAGGAATTCAGTGGGAGATCTAGGGGTATAGTTTTACAAAACATTCATACTTGGAAGGTTCTTAGTGGACCTCTGGGGTGGCAGCCTGCTCAGTAAGCAGGAGAGTAATCTGAGAGCCACAGTCAGGAAGTGATTTGGCCAAAGTCAATGTGGTGACAGATGTAGGGGCTCAGCCCCAAGCTTCTGTTCTGTTCCGGTGTTCTCTCCTCTGCCCTGCAGCGCATCCTACAACATGAGGGCTGCATGACCGGGGCCAGTGGGAAAACTTTGGGTGAAGGAAGTGGAGTGAGATCAGAGTCCCCAACTGTTGGCTTAAGTCGCAGTCTGCCTAGGGGCTGCCAATGATGAGCACCTACAAGTTTCCTCTCCAATCCCTTCCTTCTCCCCGATTACACTTCCCCCTCCTCACCCCAGCCACCTGTCCCTCTCCCTCATTATCACCCTGTGGTAGACACAGTCAAGGATGTCCTTGGAGCTGGACTCCCATTGGAAAAAGCCAAAGAGTAGCACTGAAACATTTTCTTCATTCCCCATCCATCTTAATAGAGATAACAGTGCAGCTGCAAAAATAAACATTTGAACTCTCTCTGTGCCCCTACAGCACCCTTAATAAAATATAGATCCTCAAAGCCCATCATGTTCTTTTAAATCTCCTTTAATTTTCTGTTTAAAAGACCATGGCTAGGTGTATTTGGTCATGTCTGTAATATTCCAGCACTTTGGGAGGCCAGGGTGAGAGGATTGCTTGAGGCCAGGAATTCAAAACCCACCTGGGCAACAAAGCAAGACCCTGCCTCTACAAAAAATTTTAAAAGTTAGCCAGGCATAGGCCAGGTGCAGTGGCTCATGCCTGTATTCCCAGCCCTTTCGGAGGCCAAGGCAGGTGGATCACCTGAGGTCAGGAGTTCAAGACCAGCCTGGACAACATGGCGAAACCCTCTCTCTACTAAAAATACAAAAATTAGCTGTGTGTGGTGGTGCACACCTGTAGTCACAGCTACTTGGGAGGCTGAGGCAGGAGACTCACTTGAACCCGGGAGGCAGAGATTGCAGTTTGCCAAGATCACACCACTGCACTCCAGCCTGGGTGACACAGCAAGACTTCATCTCAAAAATAAATAAATAAATATAAATATAAATATAAATATAAATATAAATTAGAGGCATGATGGCACATGCCAGTAGTCCCAGCTACTGGGGAGGCTGAGGCGGGAGGATTGCTTGAGCCCAGGAGTTTAAAGTTTCAAGGAGCTGAGATTGTGTCACTGCACTCCTGCTGGGCAATAGTGAAACACTGTCTCAAAAAAGGTAGTTAATTAATAAATAAAAGACCTAATTGCCACATGGATTTGCTTCTTTGGGTTTTTTTCCTGTTTTCCTCTAAATAACCAGATTTATGATCATGACCAAATAGGCACGATAGCCTCACTTCATACTGTTCCCTGAAATACGTGTCGAGCATTGCCATCTGCTGCTACTCCTTATGGCCTTGGAGACAATGACACAGAAATTTTTGTGGCTGTTGTTCTTAGCCAGGGATGTGTGGGATGGGGTTTTATGGGGTAATCTAGGTTTTGCTATTTAGAAAGCTACATCTAGGGTCAAGTTTCAAGATTTTCACCAAAATTGTCAACTTTCACCATTGCACAGCATTCCTATACAGGCAGCCTGAGTACAGATTTTTCTGACTTTGTGGACAATAATTTCCTTCTCTTCTTCCCTATAATATGTCCTCACAGTTTACTATTTCTTTTTTTCTTTCATGGCATATCTCATGGATTGCGGTTAAATGTATTTGTTTTTTATTTGACTGCTTGGTACCCCCACATACACCCAATTATAAGCTCCACGAGGGGGTAGAGAGAGACATCTTCTCTTTGACATACCACTGTTTCCCCAGCACAATGCCTGGCACACAAAAGTCAATATCCAGCTGATATTTTAAAGAGAACAATCACTGCAAATATAGGAGGAGCGACTATAGTGTGGAATTTGGTAAATGACAGTATCTCAATTGGACCAAACCCAAAAGTATTAGAAGGAGCTGAAGGACTGTGGGATAACCTGTGAATGGCCCTGGCCCACTAAGTGTCTTAGTGTCATCTGTTGGCATAGTGACCTGGAGGTGTTCACTCCTCTAATGCCGTGTCACGGAAATCAAACAGGATTTGGCTCCAGTCTGTCGCTTGGCAGTTGTATGACTACGAGCAAATCATCTAAATTCTCTGAGCGCCGGTTTCTTTTTCATAACATGGGGATAATAACGCGTGTTAGAACAGTTCTTAGAATTAAATGAGATGAGATGTGTAGGCAGTAAAGCTTATAAAGTTTAATTATCGTTATTGTTGGGAGTAACTTCGACCTCTTATGTCCTTTACTGGAAATGCTGCCATTTTGGAGTTGATATAGCCGATTGGCACCCTTCCAGAAAAGACATCCCTGATGTTGGACTGAGGGTGGAAAGTCTGGATTTGTGAGTTGAGGCTGAAGATGCTGGCACCCACATGGTCCTGTTCCTTAGCTGTCTTTAAGGTTTTGTTAACAATCAGCTGGTTTCAGATTTAGAATGGGAAGGGCATAAGCATGGATAACAGATTGGATACTGTTCCTGCTGAATGAAATCTTTTGTTTAGAGATTAAGGAATATGTGTGCTTTTACATGTGAGTACTCACAAATGTGGAGTCCAGACAATCTCAACAATTAACCAACAAAAGGTAACAGAAACTGCAGCTCTATAAGATAAAATATTTGAAGCTGAAAGGCAGCTCATTCTGTTTTTGTAATATAATTGGAGCACAGTATCACCACTTCACTGGAAACAGTAGGGAGGGAGGGATCCACAATCTGGGTAAATGCAAAGAGTGAGGTCCTGCTTCCCTGGACCCAGTGGAAATAGAGATTCTGCATAAGAACATGAATAGGGCCAGGTGCAGTGACTCACGCCTGTAATTCCAGCACCTTGGGAGGCCAAGGAAGGCAGATTGCCTGACCTCAGGAGTTCAAGACCAACCTGGCCCACATGGCAAAACCCTGTCTACTAAAATACAAAAAAAAAAAAAAAAAATTAGCCAGGTGCGGTGGCGCACACCTGTAGTGCTAGCTACTCAGGAGGCTGAGGCATGAGAATTGCATGAACCTGGGAGGTGGAGGTTGCAGTGAGCTGAGATCGTGCCACTGCACTCCAGCCTAAACAACAGAGCAAGACTCTGTCTCCAAAAAATAAAAATAGAAAATAAAATAAAAGAAAAAGAACTTTAACAGGAAGGGAGGCCCTCTTGCTTATCCTTTAGGTCCTAATTCCCAGAAAAGAATAGAGGAAGTGGAAAAGGAATGGGGGAGATGCAGAGGCACACTGACTACCTTTCAAAGCTCTTTATTGATACTTTTCTAGGATCAGTTGTTATTAATGGTTTGAGAGTTCTCCAGAGGATAGTCTTTCTTTTCCACTAATGTCCCCACACCCGCTTACTAAGCTTCAAACATAGTAACCACCTTTCAGCCCCTCCAGCACACCCAGCCTCTCCCTCTGGTCTCTGCACTTGATGCGTCCCCCTTCCACTCCCCAACCCCTTCGTCTGGAACACCTGGCTTTCTCCTTCTGATGGCTGGTTGGTGCCCTCTCATCTTTCATGTCTTCCTTTAAATGTCACTTCCTGGGAATGGCCTTTCCCTACCACACTATTTAAAGTAAGTGCTTCCTGTGTGACTCTCTTTCACAGCACCCTGTTTATTTCTGTCATCACTTTCCCCGTAACATCCATAATGATTTTGCTTGTTTGTCTCCTCCATGTAAAGAGCTCTGTCAGGACTGGGGCATTTCCTTTTCCTCCGCCTTATATTCTCAGTGTCCAGTCTAGTATCTGGCAAAGGTTTTGCATTGACTATTTGTTGAATGTTGTTCATTTTCTACCCCAAAGCTGCCTAGTTTCCTATAATTCTTGTTGAAAATAATAAACTCCCTAGTATTAACTGCTGTACTTCAAAATCTTTGCTAAAGACTCTCCTTCCCACTGCCTGTTGCAGATCACACCCAGTAAAATTCCACACCAGGCAATGTGATGTGTGTCACATCTTTTAATGTGTCCCATACACACAGATCCTCTTTTAAACCTTTATGTTTTCCTTCTTGTTCATTCATCCAGGAGAGCTTTCCTTCCTCCCTCCCTCCCTTCCCTTTCTCTCTTTGTTCTGTTACTAGCAAGCAAGAAGAAAGCAACTGAATTGAGTATAATACTGATTCCCAAATTAAGGAAACAAAAAGTCAGTATAAAAGTGAAACTGCCAGGTGTGGTGGCTCACTCCTGTAATCCCAGCACTTTGGGAGGCCAAGGCAGGCGGATCACTTGAGATCAGGAGTTTGAGACCAGCCTGGCCAACATGATGAAACTCAGTCTCTACTAAAAATACAAAAATTAACCAGGAATGGTGGTGCATGCCTGTAGTCCCAGCTGTTCGGGAGGCTGAGGCATGAGAATCGCTTGAACCCGGGAGGTGGAGGTTGCAGTGAGCTGAGATCGGCCCACTGCACTCCAGCCTGGGCGACAGAGTGAGATTCCATCTCAAAAAAAAAAAAAAAAAAAAAGTGAAACTAAAGTGGTATTACAAAACTCAGAAGCAGCTGCGCTTAACCTGGGCTTTATGGACAGGATTCAGGGGATCAGTGAGTCCCTGGAAATTCTGTGTAAAATATTGTTTGTGTATCTTTTTTCTTATGGAGAGACGGGCCCCTAAGTGGGTCTGTGACCAAATAAAACCATTGAACTAAAGTCCTTGGAAGTACTACACAGTCCCCAGGAGACTGCATGGAATAATCAGTTCCATTTTGTCCTCCTATGCTTGGTTGATCCAGGACCACATCAGCAGTGATTTAGGCACTGGGAGGATATGGCTCAGAACAAAGGCAAACAGTACACCTGTGCTCGAGGAGCTCCCTGTGTTGAGGGAAAGACAGACTGTTGAAAGACAATGTGTTGACTGGTTGATGCCATGAAGAAAATCATATGGTGGAATGTAATTGGGCCAGAGTCTAAGAGGAAATCCCTGAGGAGGTGCCATTCCAACCAACATCTGACCCGTGAGAAGTGGGCCGCCAGTGGGAGACATGGGGAGGAGCATTCCAGAAAGGAGGCACAGTGCGAGGGCCTAGGAAGTGGGAAGAAGCTTGGTGCATTTGTGGGTCCTGTCTTTGGACGTAATGAAGAGGAGAAGCCAGATCACATCAGGGCTTCTAGGCCAAGGGAACAAATTTGAATTTTATTCTAAGTTCCCTGGGAAGCTATCAGTGGGCTTTAAGCAGGAATGTGACAGAATCTGCTGTACACTGGAGAAAGATTGCTGCCCCTGGGGTGTGCAGGATGGAGCCTAGCAAGGCATGAGGGAAGGCTGAGCGACCCGGGAGGTGTCTGTTGCAGGAAAGAGATGATGGCATCTTGGTCCAAGGTTATCTTATTGCAGATGTTCAGTAGTGATTGGGTTCAAGGTATATTTGGGGACTCTAGGCAAAAGGCCTTCTTAATGGATTACATCGGAGGCAAGAAGGAGGGAGAGAATTAGGACTGTTAATGTAGAGTCATATTCTGAGATACAGAAGACTTTGGGAGTGGGGGTGCGGACACATTGGAAGTTGGGAGCAATAGTTTTGAGTAAGGTAAATTTGATTTCAGATGTGTTGGGTACACAAAGGGGCCAGGCTAGAGATTACAGACTTTAGAGTTGTCTGCCTTCACCTAGTATTTGAAGCCATGGATGAGATCACCCAGGAAAAGAAGTTAGTTAGAAGTGGTAGTTATAACTTAGTTAGAAGTTAGTGAGAAGTTATAGTTAGAGAAGAGGAGGGGTCCAGGGATGGAGGCCCTGGAGTTCTGGAGAGGTGAAGAGGAGGGTGAGCCTAGGAGATTGAGAAGCGCAGTTAGGGAGGTAGGAACCAGGTACAGATGACAGTATGGAAACCCGGGATGAGGCCCACTCAAGAAGGGAGAATCTGTCGATGCTACCTGCTGCTGAAAACTCAAGTAGGGTAAGGACAGAGAGTTGACCATTGGCTTTGGCAAGGAGGAAGCCATTGATGTTCTCAGGGAAAAGAGAAAGTGGTCTCAGTGGAGTAGTGGGAACAAACATCTTGCCTGGTGGGTTGAAGGATCACGGAACATGAGAAGTACAGGAAAACACCTCAAAGGAGTGGAGGAGAATATGGGCATGAGGTAAAAAAAAAAAAAAGTTTTTGTTTGATTTGATGAGATTAGTGATATATTTTTCAGCCTGCAGGGAAAAGCCAGGAAAGAGGGTTGAATATGTTGGAAGAAAAGGAACGAAGTGTCTTCACTAGCATTGTTTTCATAAAATACTCATTAGAAATAAGTGAACATCTTTTTAGATTTGTGGTTTTCTGTTTTGTCTAATTATGTACTGTATTCCAAGAATAAAGTTTTCTTCTACTCTTTGATACCTGAGTAGAGTTCATCAACTACATCTTGGTTTTATAGATGGCTCTGTGAGTAACCTGGAAACCTTAACATCACTGATAACATTGTTTCTGTGGAGAAAAGTGTTATGAGTTCTGGGAGCCCTTTGGAATTTGGCCTGTTTAGAAGCAAGCGTCAAAAATGACAGAGCAATCCTGGCTCTTGAAAAGCGCCAAAGGGCATCTGCCCTCATGGAGTTGGTTTACTTTCCCTTTTCCTCTCTCGTTGCCTGGGTCTCCCTTATCCCTACTAATTATTATCTTTCAAACCATGAGAAAACCCTGACTCAATTAGAACCTGTAGCTGCAAATAATTCAGAGCCTCTAACATGAAAGGTGTGATTCTTTTAACCATAGAAAGAAAACTAAGACCTCCTTAAAGCACTATGTCTCCTACAATAAACTCACCCCTGTAAAAATCATGTGTAATCAAAACGATATGTTTAGTGTTGTACATTTACATGAACTTTTATAAAAAGAAGAAACTCCATCTATTAAACCTCCAATGTATCCTCTCTCCCTCAGAGTAAAAGACAAGCTGCTTACGCTGACTTGCAGGGCCCCATTTAGGCACTCTCCTCTCTCGCTGTACCCTTGGACTCTCTGGCCTGACCCCCTCCTCACCCCACTTTGGTTCACCGCTCACTGCTCCAGCCACTCATTCTTGGAATGCATTGCAAGTCGTATACTATCTCAGGGCCTTTGCACTGACCATTTCCTCTCTTGAAAGTCCCTTATCCCCAGGTATTCAGATACCCAGCTCCCATACTTCTTTTAGATTTGTAATAAAAACCATGCCCTCAGCAGACCTGCCATAGCCAGCCCATGTAAAATTTCCCACACCCCACCTTGACAAATCACATCTTCTTCTTTACAATACGTTGTTCTCCCGAGCATTTATTGCTAATGTACTGTAAAATTTACATTTTGTCTCATTTATTTTATAGTTCTACCACTGAAGCTAAGTTCCATTAGAGTTGAGATTTTTGGTCTATTTTGTTGACTGCTTGTATCTTCTGCACTTAGAACAGCACTTGCCACATTGCAGATGCTTTATAAATATGGTAGTTGATGAATGAATAAATGAATACATCAACATTTCCTAGCTTACCTTGATGACAAATCAGAATGTTTACCTATTATGTTTGCCTAGAGCGAGGAAACAATGGAAACTTTTTAGAGCGTGTGTGTGCATCTGTGCCCATGTGCCTGTGTGTCTCCATACACACAATCACCATCCCATTCCCAAGTTAACTCGGATGTTGGACAGATTCTCAAAGAAGTAATATCGTAAAGATACAGTCAGTTCCAGGGACAGCATAGAAGGTAAGGGGTGGTTTGAAGCATCCTTGTCAGCCAGAACTTGGGTCTGTCCCAACTTTTTTGTCTTAATATATCTGGACACTACTCCTTCCCTCAAACTCACCCACTGCCCACCCCCACCTCTGCTTCCCACTCCCCACGGCAGATGCCTCAGCAGTATTTCAAGTGGACGAGGGCCCTGAAGGATGAGATGTGAATGATTAACTTTGGTTGGGACTCCTTCGAGATTACAATCTTTTTTTCATTCACCTGGGAATCACCACCAGACCCTCCTCTCCTCTTTGAGCAGATCTTTTATTCCCTCCCTTTTCAGTGGGAGAGGAATGGCTCTTCATTCCCCTTTGAAAGCTTCTGTTTGCTGAGCAAATGCTGACCACACAGAGACCTCGCTTGGAGCCAGTTACTGCTTCCTTCCCTAACCATCCCCCAGGGCCACAACCCCCGCTCCCTGCTTCCACTGGAGAGGCCACCCTGGCCAGGGGGAGAGCCTTTCTTGGGGAAAGTCTTTGAAAGCTACCAGGAACCAACTGGTAGGATTTTTGGAGAGGGAGTCAGGGTTTTGGAGAACATCTTAATCCTTCGTTTTCAAATAAAGCTTGTGGCTATAACATAAGTTTGCTTTTGAGTTCTCAGTAGTAATACAGTTGTTCATTGTTCATAGCATCTGTTTACATAGTTCTTTCTGAGTGCCTTGATTACAGGTTTTAATAGGGATTAGTCCATGCAACCCCTTCCCATCCCAGAGCTGGGACTCTCTCCCACCCACCTCCCCTTCCAGCCTCTGTACCATAATGTTTAATGTAGCCATGCCTAGACTGAGATTCTTTTTCTTTTGAAATAAGTAGCCTGCGGAATTAATGCATATTTTTGTTGGCACTGCATCAAAATTGACATCACCGGAAATAATGTATGTGTGTCGTTGTTAACTGTACAAACAGGTATCATTTCCTTTTTAGGTTCAGAAATTCTCTCTGTAGGCTAATCTTTTCAATCGAATGCTTTGCCTTCAGACGTCAATGGAATGAGCTAAGAAATGTTATAGTCAATGATTTTTGCATCATTAAAAGTAGCACTTAGGGCTGGAAAGACTTTCTGCAATGTTTCTGTGCAGTCTGTGAGGATTTAAAGTAGTTTTTCATTCTTAGATTTTCTTCAATTTGACCCGCTGTTGCAAACTCCCCTGGGACCACATGGAGGGCCCTTCCATTCAGTGCTTTACGGTAATGGTTTCAGAGTTTGGTGTTAGCTTTTGCTTTGCTGAAACTTTTCACAGCTGACTTGATACCAGCACTGAGGCCTGACCTCTCGATCCTTCAGCACTTCAGAGGTTAATTTTGTTGGGGGATCGGATTTCTTTCCTGGCCTGGGGAATGGTGATCCCTGCTAGCTAGTCCTTTAGTTACAGAGTTGCTGGGTGCCTGGGATTCCCTGGCCCAGTGTGGGCTGGCTCAGCTGGCTAAAGGACTTGCCATCCTGTGAGATTCATTCAGCTTCTTTGTCCGCTGTTCTCCAAGGGCCGCAATGTAGTGAAATGCTCTGGCCTAGGAACCTTACAAGGTAGGACGATTTTCTAAAATTTCTGGGGCCAGGGGGTGGGTGTGGTGCATGTACTGCCTTGTCTTCCTTGGCCGGTATTGAAAAGCCTGGTGGAGCAGCCTGTGGTGCAGCTGCCTAAATCACTGTGAGCTATGTGGTGGTGTGTGAGTGGGGGTGGGAGGGGGCGGGGGGCAAGGTTGCTGGTCAGGAAATTCACCTCTTCTCCTCTTCCGCCCCCATTGATTCTAACCTTGATGGTTTCAGAGGAAACTGGGGCATTACCCGAATGTCCTGGGTCCACCTAGACATTTGGGTAATGTCAATATTTTCCAAACCGTCTTATCAAATTAGGCTACTGAGCCCGAAAATCTGGGTATTGATCACCTAGCTGTCTTAAGTCGTTATTCCGGACTTTTCAGCTGGTGGGGGCAGTACAGAGGGGTGAGCCGGAAAAAGGCAGTGTGGCCCCAGGCAAGGGCTGCTTGTGGTTCAGAGGGCCCTGATTAAAAAGACTTGCAGTTGGAGGTTTTGTTTGGAATTTAAGGATCCTGGTGAACTTGTGGTTGTGTTTATACAGCAAATTGCTGGGTGTGTGTGTGTGTGTGTGTGTGTGTGTGTGTGTGTAAACTAGGCTCCAGGAGAGATGGCATGGGAGGTTTAAGCATAAGGACTTTTCTTGCTACCTTATGACCTATAGAGCTGCCCAGGGAAGCACATTTCTGTTTTTAAGCCAGACAAGGGGAGAAGAAAACAATGTTCATGACCACCTACCACATGCCAAGCATCTAGCAGACATTGTGTCATTCAATTTCATTGCAAAGCCAGGGAGATTACATTCAATTTTGAAAATCACCAGTGGGAACCAAGAGAGGTTAAATAACTTGATTAAGGTTACACAGCTGATAAGAGGCAAAGCTGGGATTGGAACCCAGGTTCACTCTACCACCATGCCTTCCTGGGTGGGCTTGGCATCTGAGCTCGGAATGGTTTTACCTGTTAATTTTAAATGTGACTTCAGCTGGATGAAGGGCGTACTTTGTTGTGGAGGACTCACCGAAATACACAGGATGCTAGCAGCACAGCCTGCCTGGGCTTCTCGGATTCAGCTTGTTTCTGGAAGGAAGAGGGCTGTGTATTAAGAAGCAGCCCTGCTTTGGCAGTAGGACCTAGCTGGGAGTTCTGTGATCTTGAGGCTCCGGGGCTGCTGGATTGATCAGGCTGGAGCTTTAGTTTGTACCTGGTTCAGGAAGACTTGATCCCAAGTGAAGGTCAAATCAGGAAAGGCCAGTGACCTTGGAGCTGGCCTTGGGCTGCTGAGGCTGTGCCCTGGAACTCTGGGTCTGCTTCTTAAGACGCTGAATGTATGGAGTCTTGGAGGGAGAAGATCTACACCCAGCATATTAATGCTGACCAAAGCTATTGGCGCTAGCTGTTCACATGTGTGCTGGAGGTGCCTAATTAGCTAAAGCTGAGCTTCTCTTGGGCTGTAGAAATCTTGACCTGAGGTCCCTTCGCTTTCCTCTTACCCCAAGAAAGAGAGAGCTTAAGGGCAAGTCCTTGACAAACTGCAAAATGAGGCCAGCCTGTTTTTGGGAGATAGCCGCCTCCCTTGGCTGCCCTGGGGCAACTGTGGTTCTGTTTTGTGCATTCAGGTTCCCACATCCCTAAGATATATTGGGAGCTTAGTGGAGGGTTGGAGGGAGGGAGACTATGGGGGTATTGAACTCCTGTCCCATTCTACTTAGTTTTAAGACAGCTGGCCAATGCCCTGTCTGGGATTTGTCCCCCATCCCCTTTCCTTTAATTTCTTTGAGATGTTTTAAAAGTAACTTGATTGCATTAAAGTGTCCTGTGTATTTTGAATAACAGTTGGAAGTTCTGAGTTCTTATATGACCATGATCTATTTAGATGCATCTTTACCTCTGTTCTTAACATTGAGTCAATGTGATTTTAAAAAGCTTGGGTTTCAGAATCAGGCAGATCTGTATTCAAATCCAGCTCTGTTTGTTAGCCCTGGCACCTTGGGCAGGTCACATAGCCTCTCTAAGCTTCAGTTTCCACATCTATCCAAAGGGGGCATTAGTAGTTTGTGCCTGATAAGAAAGTGGAGAGGTGTTTATGGGATGGTGCTTAGCATGGTACCTGGAACCTATTATTAAAACTTTTCACCTTGTATAAATGTTTACTGTTATTTTCATTTGCTATAATATGCTGAACTCTGTTGATGTTTAGGGGAAATATATCTTCTGGTAAACAGAAAACTAGGATGAGTTTGTTGATATCCTTGGCAAAAGCCAGCCAGCAGTGGCCCAAGGGTAAGCAGCCCTCTCCAGAGGAGCCTTGAAGGAGAGAGGGCTTTGTGTAGCTGAGGTCAGCAGACACGCTGGTGCCTAGTGTAACAATGAGGGTCTAAGGCATCCGGAGCTTTGGTCTGGGCTTTCTAACGCGACCAAGCTCCTGAAGCCAAAGGGAAAAATTTCATGCTTACTCAGGGGACCACCTACTTGTCAAGGAATGAGTTACCAAAATGGGACAAAGGTGCGGTGGGGTGAAACTCAAGCCTGATGGCTGCTAAATCCCCTTGGAGCCTTTTTTATGCGGTTTGTGTTTTCCTCTCTCCACCTCAAATCACTGGCCTTGCACCTGGCACCGTCTGTAGACGTTGCTTCTCCCCTAGGACACTATCCATTTATGGCAGTAAGAAGCAAGTTCTTACACTAGAACTTAATCATCTGTTTGAGAATGTAGGCCTGCATCTCCTTCCTGCAGTCCTTGCAGCTTCCCTGGATCCTGTACTGCAACTGACATGCATGGACTCTCTCCCATATACATGGAGAGCTGTACTTAGGCTACCTGATTTGGTCCCACCAAAATGATTATGCTAACTGGATGTTATTAGAACAGTGCCACCCAGGAGGTAAAGGTGCCCTGATAAGGAGATGGCAGAGCCAGAATTCAAACACAGACCTATTTTCATTTTTTCTGCAGAGCTGTGGTCTCTCCATTTGGAGCCTCCTGGTATTAGTGGTACTAGATGAGACTAAATTTGCTGGGGTTAGTGACTACATTCTGTCCTTGCATTAATTCCAGTTTAGGCTCTGGATCATCTTGCACCAGAACTGCAAACTATGTAAGCTGGTCCCAGAGCTGTAGTCCAGAGACAGGTGGCTTGCTTATAGTTTTTTTTTAAATTTATTTTTTATTTTTATTTTTTTTGAGACAGAGTCTCACTCTGTCACCCAGGCTGGAGTTCAGTGATGCAATCTCGTCTCACCGCAAGCTCTGCCTCCCAGGTTCACGCCATTCTCCTGTCTCAGCCTCCCGAGTAGCTAGGACTACAGGTGCCTGCCACCATACCTGGCTAATTTTTTGTATTTTTAGTAGAGAAGGGGTTTCACTGTGTTAGCCAGGATGGTCTCGATCTCCTGACCTCGTGATCCACCCGCCTCGGCCTCCCAAAGTGCCGGGATTACAGGCGTGAGCCATCGTGCCTGGCCAGCTTGCTTATAGTTTTAATTAAAGTAACTGTATCTTCTTTGGTGTGGGAAACTTTGAAGTCCTTCAAAGTCTAATGAACACATGACGAGCGTTCATTAAAATGTGTAAAATGAATAGATAAATGCGATGGTTGAACACTCATGTGTCTGTGTTTAAATCTCAGCCTCAACATTTCTTAGTTGTATGACCCGTGGGACTATTTCTCCAATCCTCAATTGCCTCATCTGTAAAATGGGTATAGTGTTAATATTTATCTAACAGTAACTGGGAGAACATATGTTACATAACAACAGAGCCTGACACATAGCAAACCATTAATAAGTGTTGGTGATTATTTTTATCAGAGTTTGGAGGATTAACTGAAATAATGTATGTAGTGCAGTTAGCACAGGGGCTGACAACTGTAAATGTCGATTAAAGTTGGCTATTATTATGCTTTCCACATAGACTACAAAAGGTAGGACTCTGCAGGAGCCCTGCTTCATTCTTTGAAGGTGGATTTTCTTAACAGGCCCCAGCAATAGTTAGAGGAGATGATGCTCCCGAGAAAACCTCCTGGGGAGGAAATAGTTAACATACCTGTTTGGTGGGAAATGTAGGTAGCCAAACCCTTTCTCTTCCCCAGGGGTTACTACTAAGCCTACAGTTAGGCTTGCTCACTCATCCACACCAAAGGATCTCGTTCCGCTCGGGCCCCGGGGTTTCACGGGAACAATTGCCTTGAACAATAGCCAGAAAACGAGTTCCACCAGTCTGGACTTTTTTGCAACTGAATGCAGCTGTCTGGCGGGGGGCATGGGCCAGCCCTGTAAATGGGCTGTGCCTTGATTCTGGAGCAGAACTGGAAAATTGAGCAGGTAAGTCCTGGATGCAGCTGGTCACAGCTGCGCAGTGTGAGCTTAGTCACCTGGAAAGAGGCAGACAGAGGGGCGGGGGCTGGCCCAGACTGTTTCCAAGGACAGTAAGGGCCTCCTGGAAGCAGACCCAGCCTTTGGAGTTTGGGGAGGATTAGGATCCTTGCTTTGTGAAGACTGCTTTTCAGAACCGTAGTTAGAGAACCTCATCTCTGCTCACCGGCTGTGGTTTTATTAGTAAGTAGAGAGGAACTAATATATATCTACAATCTGATTTTTTTTACAGCATCGTTTAGCATGTCTTTCCCTTGAATAAACAACATTATCTCACAGGGAGTTCATTTGAAAGGTGTAATGATCCTCCCTCCAGATCCTTCAATAACTCCTCCTCCCGGAGTCTTTTGCTGAAAGCAAGGGTGTGTATATCCTAGTGGAAAAATCTGTTTAATCATCCCTGGAACCTTGGGATTCTATTTTGCTTTTTTGCTTCATGAGAGATGAAATTGTAAATATCATATCACATTAATTCAGGACCATTACAGATTCTTGCTTCTTTTAGATACCTCTCTGGAAGAGCTTGATATTAAAAATTTGCCTATATTAAATATAGTTTCTCAGGGGTCCCAGTGAAGTCTGGTTTACTTTCTCAGTTCTGTGGAATTCTCACTCCTCACAACAGTGGAGCAAAATAGATGTGTGAAGCTGACATGATTTATGCTTCTTTCACCTGCATTTTTTCATAGCAAATCGCTTGTCTTGGGGTTGTTAAAATTGTGCTTTAAGCCCTCTGAGTGGCATTTGGATTCCTGACACGGTGATGTCAGCATCCCTTCTAAGACTGAAACTGGATCTCCTGGTTTAATGGGCCCTTCCATGTTTGAATGGATTTTCTGGTCACTTTTGTAGAGGCTTTTCCCTTCACATCTGTATTTCTCCAAGAGGTAGTAGAGAAACAGCTGAGGCTGAGGCTGTGAGAGCCTTGATTCTGGTTAAAATGCTACATGTTGGCCAAAATGGGGTCTGTTCTTGATACACTTGGTGACTGCTGGTAGATGGAGGTTCTTTTTGATTAAGCTAGTTAACAGATTTCAAAGCTGATCTGTATGTACTATAGCTGTGCGCTACAATCTATAAGACACTGCCATCTTTCAGATGAGCTGGAAGGCTGCTTGCAGTCATTCTGCCGTGGTTTGAGTCTCATCCTTCTGATGAGCTCTGCGTCCTAAGTCTCCTTTCCATCCGGGGGAAAATGGGGGTGGAATAATATAAATAATGTGCCTACTACAGTGCCTGGCATATTTGGTAACGCTGTCAGTGGTGGCTTTAAGTATTAGGCAAGATTGCATCCTCTTTCTTTGGATAAATAGCATGGTCTGGTTCAGACACTCTATTGTGAGTTGAGTTGTAACGCCTCTATACCAGAGTTTGCAAACTCAAATTGCAGGACCAAGCAGGTAGCACATGTGAACTGAAAGGCTCCCATGGGGATTGTATCAAATAAGAGAACATACTTCTGTCTAAAAAGGGCCGCTAACTCAGGGCTACCTAAAAATAATCTGACAGGTGAAATCAGCAATGAAAAAGCCCAGACATTAGAAAATGGAGTTACCTGTTCGGCAGCTTTTACTGAACGAGGGGAGACCATTCAGTGTGGAGACCTCCAGTGTGCCCACTTGCCTTTGTACCAACTTTTCTCTGAGCATAAATGTAAAGGACGTCCGTTGGAAAGGAACCTTTGGGATGGCTTAGTCCAGCTACTCCATTATAAAGAAGAGAAGACTGGGGCCTGGAGAGGATGTGTCTTGTCTGAACCCTCACGGGTGGTAGTTCTGTGGAAGCCTGGAGCAAAGGCCTGGCTCTCCTTGCTCCTGGCTCTTGCTGTGTCCATGTGTTGAAGAAGAAAGCAGCATAGCTAAAAGCGTTGGTGGGCCCGGGCTTTGGAACTCTGCCAGAAGAGCTCTTTGTGCTCCAACTTGGCTGGTGGCTTTAGGAGATATGGGAGGCTATAGAAATGATGTTTGGAACCAGTGTTGTTTCCACTTGGTGCCCTTTGCTCATCTCCCTATTTTATGTTTTCATTTGTGTCTAAGCTATGTTCTTGTCTGTTATGTCTACTGGATCTATGGTCAAGGCAGGGAAAACTCTGAATTCTCACTGTATCCCCACCGCCTTGCACAGTGCCTGGCACACAGGGGCAGTGGCTCAATGGATGAGATGAAGAAGTGAATTCAAAGCCCTTGGCTAAGGGTCTAAAAATGTGGAGTTTATGAGAAGAAACATAGAAAATGTTTCATAAAATTCCTTCCACCTATACATTGGCTAAAAATATGTGAAGGTTATTTTAAAATCTGATCACTTATAACTCCAGTTACGTTCTTATCTGACTTGACCAATGTAGGGCATTTCATTAGTGGAGAAAAAGGTACATAGCTGTGATCTGGTTAGGAAATCATGCTTTTGTGTTGATTGTTCTGATGAATCAATGGAAGTATCTTCTAGCCATTTCTCTAGATGTTTCAGCCAAAGAAGTCAGGTATATCTGTGATAGGCTGTCTTAAAATTATTAAAAAACCAAAAAGATAGGGAAACCAGCCAAGCTCTGTGTCCCATATTCCTGTTAGTTTCCAGGAGGAGGCCGTGGGGTTGTTTTGCTTATTTCCCAAGGTTGTCAAACACAATGCTATCTCCAGCAACATTTTCAGAGCAATTTTGGAGCTGCTTTGAAAGTTTTATTGTGTAGAGTGAAGGTGAACTGGAGTGGCAAAACCTGGTGAGGAGAGAAGATGCCATCGTGGGTTCATTTATTCTTCTAGTCATTCATATAAAAATCATTGATTCATTCAAAAGATGAAACCTGCTTTAATACTTTAAAAAATATCTTATTTTTAAGAGTGCTTTTGTGCCCAAAAATAACTTCTTAGAGTTAACTAGGATTTAATATTTAATCGAAGTTTTCCGTTTTTTATCTAGATTTTCTTAGAAATCACATCTATAAAACAAGTATTTTGTTCATAAATTAAGATCATTTTCACTTGTTGTCAATTAGTACTTTATTCAGGCAACAGATTACACTTACCTACAAAATTAGTGCTGTTTGAAAGCTTGGATAATTAAATTTTCTTAAATATTTTAGACTGCATTTGTAAATTTAACATACCTGGTTTCCTTAAGCTCTTCAGATGTCTGACAGGGTAGATTTACCAGCCAAACAAGCAAAATCTTTCTAAGCACTTAAGCAACTCTTGCAAATCAAATAAATTAGAGTTACAAATGTCACAAATTATTTTCATAAAGATTTCAATTCTTTTTACAACCGTAATCCAATTCTTAAACATTTCAGCTTAAAAGTCTCAAGTAAAAAATCAATAGTCATTTAAAATTGAAATCAGAAGACTGTTTTGTCAGATCCTGTTATATGCTGTGTATTCTTTTAAATGTTATAAATACATACTGATTAACCCAATGATCACAAAGCCTTAATCTTAATATTATGATTTACTTCATCATTCTTTTTCATCTTTTTAAACCTTTCCCAGATTTAAAATCACACACTCTGAAATAAGGGTAGTCGGTTTATCATCTCAGGTGGGCTCAGCGCCATCATATGGTTTTTCTCCGACTGTTTCAGGACCAGGACACAGGAATGGTCCAATCCTCTTCCAGGAATGATGGTTCCAGAATCATAGCTGCGTACACTGTAGTTCTTTCTGCTGTGTTATCGAGGTCCCCAAGCCACTTCTCTGGAATTTCATTTCACCACATAGTAAACACGAATTCTCTAGGTTCCTTTCAAGTTGCTATCTTAATCACTTTTTGTAACTGCTTTCAACATTTATTGCCCGATTTGGGTCAGTGGACTTTTGTGCCTCATCCCAGGTTGTACCTAATTTCCTTTGTCACTTGATTAGATTCAACCAGTGTCCTTACTGCCTGAGTGAATTCTGCATGCTTTCCACATTTTTCCCATCTGACTCTCAACCACATATCTGGAGTTATTTTACAAACAAGTTACGTTTCCCCATTAGTTAGCATGAGTATGCCAAGTGACAAAAAGCAAAAGAAAGGAATTTACTATTTCTCATGGCTGGATCTCCCAGGGGTGCTTCTGGCTTTCAGTATGGCTGGATGTGGGCACTCAAGCGATGTCAAAGGCACACTTCCATCCCTCTCAGCTCTGCTTCCCACTGTGCCAGCTTCCTTCTCAGGGAAGTGAGAATCAAGTAGCCACTGGCAGCTCTAGGCTCTATTGCATTTTTCTTCATTTTCGCTTTGTGTGTGTGTGTGTGTGTGTGTGTGTGCTTCATTCTTCTCAGCGTTTCCTGTGTAGTCACATAAGTTTGGGGAATGCTCCTTTAGGCAAAGTTATGGTGATCTTTACTGGACTTCACAGCTGTTAAAATGTTGATGTACTGTTTACAGTGTGAATCTCCAACAAGGCAGGAGATTCCACATTCCCTTCTTAGGGCAACATTCTTATCACAGAGCATCTGGTGGAACTGGTTTTCCTCAGAATACATCTGCAAACTCACTGAACTAATCTTGGTGGCTCCTGATCATTTGTACCCTGAATGGGAAAAGGACAAGTTAGAACTAAGTGACTTTATGTCAAGATGAACTTGCCAGTATCCCAGAGACCCAGAAGCAAAGGAGACATGGCTGGTTTTCCAGCTGCAGGGGCAGCTTTGGTTTCTGGCCACAGACAGCTCTGGCAAATATCGAGGCTGCCCTTGCTCATTGTGGCCTTCCCTCGTGTCACTGCCCTTCATCCTTGTCATAAGTGTCCCCCACTCCCACCCATGGATTAGATCCCTGGCTTCCCCTCTTCTGGGTGGCTCAGTTACAAAGGCTTCCTGTCAACTCAGGGTAAGCACGCAGTGCTCCAGGCACTGATATGGGAAGAATCCTGTGTATCAAGGGCCACATGCCCCTCCGGAATATTATGTTGGTGTTGAAAGGACATGGGGGAAGAAAGGTTACAATTTCAAAGCACAAAATCTGGGACTTGGATTCATGAGCATCTGTTACAACTGCTCTCTTTCCTCCCTGCCAGCCACGGTCCTCTCCCACCATTCCCCTTTCTTCTTCATCAAATTATGAGAAATTTTAGATACATTAAATTCCTAACCCCAAAGAGCAGATGCAAGAAAAGACACATGAGATTTTCTTTTAATCACTAGAACAAATTTGAGTCCTTTTCCATCTGTGACGCCATGCTTTCCCAATCAGATCCTCCTGTGGTTACCAGCCTAGGTGAAACAGGCACAGAAGCTGTGACCCTGCAAAGAATCATTGGGCAGGGAGCTGGGCTTAGAATCCACTACTGGTGGTGAGTTTGCAGCAGAAACTTGCTCTATCTTGCCTCTGCACATTGAGTTTGTCAGGAGGTATTTAAGGAGCACAGACTGTGTCTTTGGAGATGGAAGGCACGTGGTCCACCGAATGAACTTGACATTGCTGCAGCATTGCCCCTCAGTCCTCACGGCCTCAGTTTCTTCATTATGAAACACCCTTAAGAGTGACTAGGAGAGTATGTGCAAATGTTGAATAGTTTGGCATGTGGCACAGGCTCAGGGAACAGCCGTTGTTGCTACAGAAGGCAGCATGACACAGACTAGAAGGAGCACATATTTTGCAATTAGACATTTGCTTTTTAAACCCAGTTCCAACACTGAATGACATCGGTCAGCGTACTTATTCTTTCAGCCTCTATTTCTTCATTTGTAAAATGGGCAGGATGATACCTACCTTGCAGGTATGATATGAGGACTGGAGAAACCTATAACAATATATTTAAAGTACCCAGCACAATGCCTGATCATGATAAGCACTTAGTTGTTATCGCTAAGCAGGCCCCTGCATATATTTGGACGATAGGACGGCCCTTTGTATAGAGAATAGCTAGAAAACTGTGTAAGAGTGTATAGAAGCAAATAGAAATGTGTGACACTATGTAGGAATTTAAAGTAGGAGATGATGTGGGTGGGCTGGAGTATTTGAAGAAAGCCTTAAAGGAAGAATTTGGAACAGGATGGAGGGCTGGGCACAAGAAGTAGAATTACAGGAGTGAAGTGTGCAGAGTTCCAGAGCTGCTGGACCCTTGTGGATTCATTCACAATAAGCCCCTTTTGAGCCCTCACTCTCCCTGCCTCATCCTCCCACCTTGGGACCACCCTCACATTCCCCTGCATTTCTGTGCGATGTTCCAGGTTGGGTTTTGGAAGCCAAATAGTGTTGAAGGAGAAGGTGATGAAAACAGGTTTTTAGTAAGCCTTTGTCTTCCTGCCTGATCAGCAGAGCTCAAGATGTACAGGCAGGTATCTTCCAAGCTGCTGGAATGAACTAGAACTTTGGGGTTATGTGTGTGTGTGGCAGACGTTCTGTTGGCTTTCAAAATCTCAACCACTCAGCATTTCCCAGGTTCCACGCTGCCACTTTGTAGGGCTTTCAGCAAGACTGTGGAAGACTGAGTGGTAGAATAATGAGGTTAAGTCAATGCTTTGGTATCAGACCTGCCACTCCTGGCTGAGCGGCCTTTAACCAGGCTGCCTGGCCTCCCAAGCCTGGCGTCCTCCTGAGAAAGTGGGCTGTGTCACATCTGGTGTGTGCTGAGAATTGACATAATACAAAACTGTCTGCAGTCACAGTAAAGAGGGTAGTTGGTTCTGGAATCAGAATGGCTCGATCAAGATCCACTCTGTCTCTTCCTAGCCCTCTGACCTTGTACAGGGTATCTATTTTTTTCTAAGCCTCACTTTCTCTGCCTGTACAATAGAAAAACAATAATACCCTTTTCCCCTATAGGTCAATTAGAGTAGTGTCACACTGATCTTGGAATTCTGCTTTATTGTCTACGTGACTTCTCACTTCTGTAAGTTTCGATCAGCAAGTTTTTTTTTTGTTTTTTTTTTTTTTTTTGTTTGTTTGTTTGTTTTTGAGACAGAGTCTTACTCTGTTGCCCAGGCTGGAGTGCAGTGGTGTGATCTCAGCTCACTGCAACCTCTGCCTCCCGGGTTCAAGCAATCATCCTGCCTCAGCTTCCCAAGTAGCTGGGATTATAGGCATGTGCCACCACCCCCGGCTAATTTTTGTGTACTTTTAGTAGAGATGGGGTTTCACCATGTTGGCCAGGCTGGTCTCGAACTCCTGACCTCAGGTGATCCACCCGCCTTGGCTTCCCAAAGTGCTGGGATTACAGGCATGAGCCACTGTGCCCAGCCCTCGATTAGCAAGTATTTATTGAGCACTTGCTACATATCTGCTACACCACAGCAAACAAATGAGTAAATGCAACAGGGTGACGTGACAGAGTGTGACAGGCTTGATGGCTGGTGGGGTGGTTTTCCTGAGAAGGTAACTCTTCAGCTGAGATCTGAAAGATGAGAGGAGGCAGGGGCAAGTGTTCAGAAAGAGGGACAAGCAACAGAAAGCCTCAAAGAGAGCAATCTTGGCTTAGAAGGAACAGAAGTGCATGTGATCAGAGCCACTCGCAATGGAGAGGGGTGCAAAACAGGACTGGGGTAGGAGGCAAGCTCAGAGGGTCTTGAGGGGCCATATAGAGAGTTTGGACTCTTAATTACCTGAGAAACAACTCAAGGGTATTAAGCAGTAAAGTGACAGGATATTCTGACTGCTGCGGGCGGATGGACCATTAGGGAGCAGAAGCAGACCACAGAGACCAGCTGGCCTTTTAGCAGTAATCCAGGCAGCATTGACCGCACCATGAACTGCAGGGTGGCAGTGGGGGCAGAGAACTGCACATTTGGATATGTTTTGGAAGCAAGGTGATAGGACTGGGTGCTGGATTAAACGTGGTGGTGGTATTGGCAGGTGGGGAGATGGTACAAAAGAAAAAAGAAAGAAAGAACCATTGCTAGGAGACTGGACTTAGGCAGCTTGGGACTGACCTCATTCGGTTGGAGGGTTGGGAAATGAAGAACATCTATTTTAGATGTATTTGGGGATATTATTAGAGTTAGAGCTGCTAACCAAGTTGACAGGTTTCTCCTAACTGTTGCCGCTCTCCCTCGCTCGGCGTTTCATTCCAGGAGTGAAGTCTGCAGAAGTCATACAGCAGCTCTGCCCTCTGACCCGACAGGTGCCTGCTGCGGAGTCCTTCCCTGCATGCTTTTAGCTCTAGTCCCCAGACTCACTGCCCCTACTCTGCCACTAGGCCTGGGAAGGAACAAATTGGTTTCCATAAAATTCTCAGGATGAAGTTGAGAATGGGGTAGGACATGGGTAGTGTCTGTAGCCACCCCTGCTATGGAAGCACTTAGTTTGGGGAAGGTATCTGTCAGCCTCTTCACCCAGCTTCCAATCCCAGACAGCAATGATTGATGTGGAGATGAGTCACATCTGAGTCAAGAGAGCTTTGTCCGGGGCTTCATGGCACAGATTGGATCTTTTCGGGGATGGTGTTTGTCTGTCTGTGTCATCAGCCTGAGCTGGAACAGCCTGAGGTTTTGGTGCTCAGGATGTGTGTTTGTCTTGGCAGCTGGGACGACAGCAGCTCCGTCAGCAGCGGCATCAGCGACACCATAGACAACCTCAGCACTGATGACATCAACACCAGCTCCTCCATCAGCTCTTATGCCAACACACCTGCCTCCTCTCGAAAAAACCTGGATGTGCAGGTGAGGAACACAGGCCCTCCCAGGCTCCTCCAGCAGCCTCTGGCAGCAGGGAACCTTGGGCTTGTGGGGTAAGAGGGCCATTTGGGGCAACCAGAATCTCCAGGTTGATGAGATGAGGCCCAGCCTCCTGCCGCCTCTGCTCTCACCTCCTGACCCTGACCTGTGTCCACAAGGGAGGGGTCAGGCAGCGGATGGTGGACACGGGAGTAGGGAGGCTTCACCACCCTCACTGTGTGGACTTGATGAAATCACTCTTCCTCCCTGGACCTCGGTTTCATAATTTGTTTAAAAACAAACAACAGAAAAGGATGTGGGACTTTAGCAATTTTCAGCCCAGAGTGTGTGTCTCTTATTTGCCGCAGCAAGCCACTGCTATCCAGGGGCACGTGTCTAATCCCTGTAGGAGGATGGGGTGGAAATAAAGATTGAGAACCCTGGACCGGAAGGCCGGGATGTCCTGACCTGTGGTTGAGAACTCTGTCTCTGGGTTACATTCCCCTGCTGACGTGTTTTATTTGGCCCACAGTGTTACCCTTCTTTTAAACTAGATTCCCTGTCAAATTTTTAGAATTATATTATTTCACATGAAAATGTCTTCCTGGTTGCTCTTGAGAAAAACAAAGATATTGCTTCCTTGAGCCTACATTCTCCATGTGGTGACAATCAACAGATGTCCCAGTATCCAACCCCTTAGACCTGCCACTCCTGCTCCAGTGTGCACAGCTGCTACCCTGCTGGCCAGCTGTACTCCTTAAATTACCTGCCTGACCCCAAGGCACTGGAGTTTTCCATTCCTACTTTAAGGCTTCAGATTTCATGTTTCAAATGTGGTGTAGTTTCATGTGGACACGTTCACTGACCCTCAGACCATTCCTTCATGATTGGCAAGGGATGGTTCTGAAAGGCCCATTTTACTAGTGGAAACGTAAAGTGCTGTCCTCACAGCTTGTCCCCAGTTTGGGACTGACCAGCACCAGAACTGGCCAGCTGTGGTGGCATTGGCGTCGTAGGCTGGAATCTTTTTCATGATTGATCCCTCCCATTTGCAGGCGCCACCCCTCCCCACCCCCCATCTTTGGCGAACCCTTGGAGAAATCTGTTTGGGACAAAGTCTCTCAGAGCAACCTTGCGGGGAGGCAGAACTAGCACTGCCCCGTCTTTCACTCCCTTCCATAACCTCTTCCTTTCTCAGCAGTGCTTTACTTCATACAGATAGGAGCTGATTTGGAAATCTATTTTCTTTTAAAGGTATCTCTTCTTTGACAATAGGGCTAAAAAAAAAAAAAAGGATGTATCAGAGTGTGGGAGTAATTCTGTCCCACAGAAATGGAAACGTTTAATGCCTGATGAAATACATTAGGTGTTGCCCCTGGGATTCCCAGTTACTTCTTGTATTCTTCATTTGAGCCAGACTTTCTGATTATTGTTCAGAAACCCAACCTAGTGACAGTGGGTGGTGGTAGTTGTTTTAAGAAACAAAAACTACCCATATGACTAGAAAGGGGGCCATGGGTAATGCTCTGTATGTTAATCTGAGCAGTGGCTATGTAAGTATGTTAATTTTCTAAAATGTATTCAAGCTATGTACTTAAGATTTGTGTACTTTACTGTACAAAAACCAAACAAACAAAACCTAAGCCACACTTCACAAGCCGATCACTGTTTCATCAGTGATTAGACGCAAGTCAGAAGTGCCCAGCCAGGCTATGCTCCTGCCACCAATTTTCCTTTCCTTGTGAACACTAATTTTTTTTTCCTGAGGCTCATTGTATATTCAAGATAAGAACAACCAGACTGTCCTTAGATACTAAGGAAGGAACCAAGGAATTGCTCACCCTGCATCTACATATTCAGGAGGCAGGCTATTAGAGGTACTGCAGAGAGAGAGAGAGAGAGATCCATGAGGTTTCCATTTTTGACTTACAAGGTAGGAGAAGCTTGCTCCTGAGATGCAGGTGGAGCCAGTAAAACACTGTACTGGAAGAATGTCCTTGCCTTTGTTCCCTTCTTGCAAAGCTGGAATTGAAATCTCTGGTTCCACATTGATAAACAACTCGGATTTGTACATGATTTTCTAGCTGATACAGTCGCCCCAGCTCTTTAGACCAGCTCTTTGCTTTCATCTTGTAAATGTCACATCAGAAAAGGCTGCAGGATTCTGCACAAACATGCCTTTTGATCAAGATCAGAAGTTATTTTAAGGGATGTAAATGGTTTACTACTCATTGGGTAGGTTTTTTTTCCTATAAAACTACCTGAGTTTAAAATGTTGAAATGAAAACTAAAAAAAAAGTAGGTCTTAAAGTAAACTAAATGCAGATTACACCAATAGTTACTAAGATTTCTAACGCAATGGTTTCTTTAAATGGATTTTTAGTGACATTCCTTTTGTTCCTGTCCAGGGAGCATCTCAAAATATTTGAATCAGCATAATTCACAGGCTCCCATCCTCCTCCCTCATATCACGCTGAGGAATGCTAAGGGCCATTACTCCTGTCTGAGCGGCATCAGGCAATGGGAAGATGTGCGTTGTACCCTTCCCAAGAGCTGCGCCTTCTATGCTGTGGCTCATTTGGGTTCCTGTCACATACTGGTTTACCCTGGAACAGGTGGGCAGCACACAGTCTGCCAGGCAAGGCGTGGGGAGGCAGGGAGAAGTGGCTCAGCATGTCCATCAGGAAAGCAAATTGAGGACAGGTTGCCTGCCTAGGTTTTTGCTGTTTGAAAAGCCTCTGAGAAATAACTAAAGCATCTCAGGAACAGGGAAGTTATTGTCTGGAAAACCTAAGAAACAGCCTCGTATAGCTGATTGAAAGAAGAGGAGACGGATCATTGGGAATGGAGATTCCTTTTGTCTGTGAGGGACTCCGCTATCACTGGGGACATTGAGGAGCAACGGAGAATGCCCCCCACAGAGCACAGGTGCCCAGCTGTCCAGCATCAGCTCCTGTGCCCACTGTTTCCTCAGGGCCAGGCAGAGAATCCCCTGCTTGAGGCCCAAGAGCCTCTTGAGCAACTCCTCCAGGAGAGCTGGTGAGTCCGGTTGGCCAAGCAAATTGAGGTGTCAGGGAGTAGGTGTGGACCTGGAAGCCACATGATCTTGAGTTGTGCTCCTCACTCTATGACATCCTTGGATGAACTAAGCACTCTCTCCGAGCCCCTGCCTCCTCATCCATAACATGGCACTAATTAGATGCACCTTCAAGGGTGAGTGTGAAAGTAACAGGGAAATGCTTTATCAGCACATGCTTCCCTAGGTGCCTGAGACTGGATGGTTCCTCAGAAGTTACTTTCTTTCCTTCTTCCTTCCCTCCATTTCTCTTATCTCTCCCTCCCTTCCTCCCTCCTCTCCTTCCCTTCGTCCCTTCCCAGCCCCTGCCACCTGGGTTAACTGTTCCTCTGCCTCCAGCCTCCATTCATGGCAGTTAACTAAAGGTTGACTACGTTCTTAATATATTTTGTTTGTAGTCTCAAAGCAACTCATCTTACTTTGCAGTATTTTATTTTGAGGACAGATGTTGGTGGCAAAGGGCTTTAACAAACACACGCAACTCCCTCACATATTCATCTGTACATTCAGTATTTTCTCTCAGTTCTGTGGAAGGCACCATCCCAGGTGCTGAGGAGCAAAGATGCACACATCAAGATTTCCTCTCATTTTCAATGCCTGTGAAATGTTTAATAACATATGCGGAGGAAAAAGATAATTCCATGTCAGTTTATTTTTTGCTACTCAGGGAAATAAAATTCTGAATTATGTGGCAAGGATTCCTGTCTTGTGTGGCCTTGAGTGACCCTAGAGCTCTCTAGATGTTGGCATGGATGTAGGGATGGGGTTTGGCTGGGGGTGAGGAGGGGTGCCCCCTTCTGCTCACCCGCTGGGTAAGTTACTTTTCCTCTTCAGCCCTGTATTTTCCTGATGTGTAAAATGTGGATAATAACACAGCCTGAGAGGATAAGATGAGTTCAGGATGTATGTGGAGGGACACAGTGCCTGGCAGGATGACTGGCAGGCGATGATGTTGATGCAGATAATTATCTCCATGGTCACTGGGGCTTAAACTTGAGCCAGCTCAGCATCTAGATCCGCAAGGGATATGGCACAGGGAGGGAATATCCCTGCCTTCCAAAGGCCTGTGGCCCAGTGGCAGAAGAGACAAGTACCTGTTCTCCCATAATGCAAGACAAAGGCAGGATAAATGCTAAAGATGGACAACAGAGTGCTGGGGATTTTCAGAGGCAGGAAAGTTGGTAATGAATAGAACCACTGTTTATTGAGTCCCCCCACACTGAGTTCACTGAGTTCACCATCAATGCTGTAAGAGACCTATTTATCATCCATGTTTTATACATGAGTTAATAAGTTCAGATAAGTAGGGCAATGTCTTCCAAGGTCATGCACAGCAAATGAGTGGCAGCACCGAACACTTGAACCCAGATCTGTCAGACCCAAAGCCCACACTCTTCCCCCACATCATGCTCCTCAGGCCTCACCTCTTGCTCTCAGAAGACTGGCCTCCCTTCTGAAGTCCCTTGTGCGTGGCTTCTTTCCTCACCTTCCCATGTGGATATCGAATGACTACATAGACTTCCAAGAACAGGCAGAAGAAAACCCTTCAGAAAGGAGGTACCATTGAGATGGAAACAACTGGCCGAGGCATGGAGGGGAAGGCAGGATAGAACTCTTCGTACGTCCCCATGTGGATGTCCTGTTGGCTGGTTCCGCTGTTGCGAGCTCCAGGAACAGAGAGGCTGGGACTTTCTCGTTTTTTAATCCCAAGGGGTGCCACCTTATAGTCCGGCATGTAGCTCATGAAGGATTCAGAGTAGAGCTGGGAAGGTGACCACCCTGGACCAAGCTAGGGAGATGTGATGGCTGGATGATTGTTCTTTCCAGAGAGAGAAAGTCAAGCCACATTCCCAGGCCAGGGGCATGTGCGCTGTCTCTGCCACTGATGGAAATGGAGTTGTATGGGTCCCACCTAGAGGCTAAGCTAGAGCTGCTCTAGAACTGGGGTTGGGGAGCCTGCCAGTATGGAAGGAGAATCTGCTGGGTATAGCTATTAGGTGCTACTGAGTATGCACAAATGTATCATATACCTCGACTTATCCTTAGGGAGGGCAGTGTGGCATGGTGGTTAAAATGTGGGCTCTGCAGTTAGACTCCCTGAATTCCCTGCATCTCTACTTCCTCACTATGTGATCTTGGGAAATTTTCTTTTCACTGTTTGCCTCAGTTTTGTCATGTAAAATTGAGACTATTAACTGTAATTTCCTCATAGGTTTTTGATAAGGATTAAATTTAATGATACATATCAAACACTTTAGCTTAGTGCCTGGGACGTAGTAAGTACTCAATAAATTGTAGTTGTTATGCTACTAGTATTAGCACCATTACAGTTTGATTGGGGGGAAATAAGTATAGGAACATTAAAAGAATAAATAATGCAGTAACCCAGGATGTGGCATGTGCTAAATTTTCAGTACCTCTTAGAGCATATTAGAATATGTTAAAATGTACTTGAATGTAAGCTCCATGAGGTTAATGATTTATACTTGTTCATTGCAGTATTCCTAGTGCGAATAAGCTTTCCTGGCACGTAGTGGCACCCAATAAATATTTGTGAAGTGAATGTTCCAAAGCCAAGTTATTTTCTGCCTCAGGACCTTTATACATGTGGTTCCCTCTCCCTGGTATGCTCTGCCCCAAACTCTTCTTTTACTAAGTAAGTTTCTTTTCTTTCTTTAGGGTACTTCTTTTTGAACTGATCACTGTCGCCTACCCACCTCATTGTCATCTAAATTAGGTCAATGTCTATATTTATTTCTCAGACTTTTTGTCTTTTTCCTTATAATAGTCTTCGTAGTCTACAATTACACCCTTGTTTGTGTTTATTTATTCTATCTCTGCCTGTTTCACTGGATCGTAAGCTCCACCATGGGTGGGAAATCAGTCTTATCCCCAGATTCTCTGACCCTCCGTGGTGCCTGGCAGACAGCAAGCATGGAGTAAATTCTGGTTGGATGAATGTACTGGAAGTGTTTAGAGGAAGGAAACTGACCTGAGGTAGTTGGGACAAAGAATGGGCAACTTTAGTTTCTGTAAGATTGAGATAAAGATAACAGTACTTGAGTACTTGTGTACTTACCCTTTCTGATTAAATAGAGGCTGAGATCGGATAAGATAATTTTGCTAATGTCTGTTGTGGCCTGAAAAGCGTGTGTTCCTTGGCTCCTTCCTAGGCTCATTCATTCGCTCATCAAGCTTTGAGTGAGCTCCTGCCCTGTGCCCACATGTAGGAACTCCCCTCTCTCTGTCCCTTGCCACAGCTGAATGATGAGCTTCTCATAGCCAGGCAGTGTGTGTTTGTCCTCCTCATATCTCTAGTGACTAATACTTAGCTGGAAAAAAACAAATGAAAGAACTCATAAGGTGTCTGTAATGGATGAGTGGAATTCATAAGGGGAGAAGGGGTTGGGGTGGTGTTGGGGAGGCGATTGAACTTGGGCTGCCTATCTGTTTTTAGCTTTTATCCCATTCAGCCATTGTATTCCATGGAGGAAGGCATTTCTTCCACTCTTGGATGACAGGCGTTAGGCAGATTCTTGCCAGGTGTTCATTTTAATTTCCTATCTTGCCTACTCTCGGTAGTTAAGCATTGCAAATATGGGACTGGTATCTTAGTATACCCACCCTGAAAGCGCTCCTGACCTCCCTTCCCCATTTACCGTGCTGCTTCTCGCTACTGACATCCTCCAACTGGCCTCAAACCCCAGGAGGCCTCCAAAGCATTCTGGTCAGCTTTATGCCTTTTAGCTGCAGGAGATCATTAACGTCACACTTCGGTCCCCTTCTGGGTTTTATGGCCAGCAGGTCAGGGCTCTTCCAAAGAAAGCTGGCTAATTATATCCCTTGTCAGAACAAAATCCCACAAGGGGAGCAAAGCAGTGGCATATAAATAATGCTGGGGTCGGAGCAGGCATCATTGGCTCTCCGCATTTGGGGGAAGTAGCATTTGAGGATGCGCTTCCCCTCAGCTCCTGGCTCTCCCTGATTTGCGTAGAACCAGCAGCCACCCTTGCTCCCTTGCTTGGTGTGTTAGATCCAAAGATCTCTCTGCGGTGCAGTGATGGGAAGAAGGCAGAACAAAGGGAAACGGGCCAGGAGACTGGATGCTGGTTAGAGATCAGCCGCCAGAGTTGGAGGAGGCTTGTTCAAGTGGCAGAAAATAGGTGGTGGCTGAATTCCCACTGCATCTCCATCTGCTCTGCCCCTTCCCCTCGCTAGGGCTCTTTCCTTCTTTTTTCCTGGGCCCCTTTTCCTCTCTTCCCTCACTCCTTTCTTTTGCTTTTCTTTTCTTCTTTTTTGAGACAGTCTCGCCCTGTCATCCAGGCTAGAGTACAGTGGTGCGGTCACGGCTTACTGCAGCCTCCACCTCCCCGGGGTGATCCTCCCACCTCAACCACCCGAGTGGGTAGAACTATAGGCGTGTGCCACCACACTCAGCTAATTTTTCTATTTTTTGTAGAGATGGGGTTTTGCCATGATGCCCAGGCTGGTCTTAAACTTGTGGGATCAAGTGATCCTCCCGCCTCAGCCTCCTAAAATATTAGGATTATAGGCGTGAGCCACTGTGCCCAGCCATCTCGTTCCATTCCATTCCAGGGATACATTGATATTATTTACTTTTTTATTTTTTTTTCCAAAAAAAAAAAATCAGTCTTTCTAACAAGATAACCAGAGTACAAAAGTCCAAACATCTTTAAAGTAATGCTTATTTTTCCCTTAACTACTCCAGTGTTTTGGCATTTTTGCCTTTGGAGTGAGGGGCTTCCCAGCCTGGGACTGGGGAAGGACTAATTCAGAGAGTCTCTGTCCACAGACTGATGCTGAGAAGCACTCACAGGTGGAGAGGAATTCCCTGTGGTCTGGTGATGATGTCAAGAAATCAGACGGAGGCTCAGACAGCGGCATAAAAATGGAGCCAGGTTCCAAGTGGAGGCGGAATCCTTCTGATGTGTCTGACGAGTCCGACAAAAGCACGTCGGGCAAGAAGAATCCTGTCATCTCCCAGACAGGCTCATGGCGGCGAGGCATGACAGCTCAGGTGGGCATCACCATGCCAAGGACGAAGCCTTCAGCCCCGGCAGGCGCACTGAAGACCCCAGGAACTGGTAAGAGGCCGGGGCTGTCTTGGCCCTACAGTTGACATTTTGAAAACCAAAGCCATAGTTAACTCTAGCAAGGACTTGACATTATATATTTTGTCTCAGGATTTATACTCTGCTAACAACGAGCTTCCATAAACTTTCACATCCCTACCTTTTTCTAAGTGGAAATAAGTAAGCATGGGAGCCTCTTAAGCTCTGAAGATGGTTCGGCTGCTGAGACATACTGAATTGGTTTAACTAGACACTGGGTGAGTTAATGCAGCCAGTTCAGGCTATTCAACAGCATGGGTTTATGAGCTGTGGGTGTATGGTGAGTTGATGTTGTCCCTGACTTAGGGAATATTTATAAACAAGGGCAGAGGTATCCCCTGGACATGTTAGGGACAGCGCTTTAATGGACAGAGGGTGAAAGATCAGGAAAGGCAGGGGGTTCTTTCCCCCCAGACATATCAGTGATTGGCTGGCTTTGCTTTATCCTGGGTAAATTTAGACTGCTTTGCAAATGAGTAAAATTATTGACATTTCCTAAAAGGCTCACGGTACATTAGTAGACTATATTATTTTTATAAAAAGCTCTTTCCTCTGCCTCCCCAAGGGAAAAGTGAACCAGCTCTTCAGAGGAGGAGAGCATCTTAAACAGACGAGATGGATGAGCTGGCTCTTGGCTTGCAGGCTAATCTTGCTGATCTCTCTCTTAGGAAAAACAGACGACGCAAAGGTGTCTGAGAAAGGAAGGCTTTCTCCTAAAGCCTCCCAGGTGAAGCGCTCCCCATCAGATGCAGGCCGGAGCAGTGGTGACGAATCCAAAAAGCCCCTCCCCAGCAGCTCTAGGACACCTACTGCCAATGCCAACAGCTTTGGGTTCAAGAAGCAGAGTGGTTCCGCCGCCGGCCTGGCCATGATCACAGCCAGCGGGGTGACTGTCACCAGCAGGTCAGCCACACTGGGCAAAATCCCAAAGTCATCTGCACTCGTCAGTCGGTCTGCTGGTCGGAAGTCAAGTATGGATGGGGCTCAGAATCAGGATGACGGGTATCTAGCCCTAAGCTCCCGGACAAACCTTCAGTACCGGAGTTTGCCGAGGCCCAGTAAGTCCAACAGCCGGAACGGGGCTGGGAACAGGTCTAGCACCAGCAGCATAGATTCCAACATTAGCAGCAAGTCCGCAGGCCTGCCAGTGCCCAAACTGAGGGAGCCTTCCAAAACAGCCCTAGGCAGCTCTCTACCAGGTCTGGTCAACCAAACAGACAAGGAGAAAGGCATCTCATCAGACAACGAGAGTGTGGCTTCCTGTAACTCGGTGAAAGTGAATCCGGCAGCCCAGCCTGTGTCCAGTCCGGCTCAGACCAGTCTCCAGCCTGGAGCCAAGTACCCAGATGTGGCCTCTCCCACACTCCGCAGGTAAGTGAGTACATAAATGGTGCAGAGCAGAACCAGAATACAGGGAATGGATTTAGTAATTTCCTGTTTCTTAGTTGAAGCACCCTCTGTTTTTCTCCACTTTAGTCCTCCAGTAAAGCTGTTTTGTCAGATCAGGCCGGCAGTTTTGCAGTTGACTATTTTCCCATGTTGGGATGAAAAACTTAGGCCTCTGGAATCAATCATCTTAGAATCAAATCTTAGGTCCATTTTAATTAGCTGCCATATAACCTTTTTTAACAATTCTGCCTTAGTTTCCTCACCTGTAAAATGGGGATGAAGATACTTTTTTGTCAGGGTTTTTGTAAAGATACATCTTTGTAGCTGTGTCTGGTCGTAGTATGCACTCAATAGAAGTTAGCTACTGCTGGGCACCGTGGCTCACGCCTGTAATCCCAGCACTTTGGGAGGCCAAGGCGGGCAGATCACGAGGTCAGGAGTTCGAGACCAGCCTGGCCAATATGGTGAAACCCCGTCTCTACTAAAAATACAAAAAAATTAGCCTGGCATGGTGGTATGCACCTGTAGTCCCAGCTACTCAGGAAGCTGAGGCAGAAGAATCACTTGAACCCAGGAGGCGGAGGTTGCAGTGAGCCAAGATCACACCACTGCACTCCAGCCTGGGCAACAGAGCGAGACTCCATCTCAAAAAAAAAAAAAAAAGAAGTTAGCTACCATCCAATCCAGAATGAGGTCTTGATACACCCTTGGACCTAGGTGGGTAGCTCAGGGGAGCAGATACATTTTTTTCTTGTGTTAATAATTCTTCAGCTGAGCTTCCTCATTATGGCAGGCAGTGATCTTGACCAGCTCCTTCCTTTACTCAAAAAGCCCAGTGTCCCCACATATACTTTTACGCTACTCCGGAATTCCAAGTCAGTCTGAAATTTTAACTTCCCCCTCCCCATCACACACACACACACACACACACACACAAACCTCTTAAAGAAGAAATATTTCTGAAAAAGAGAAGTTGATTTCCTGTTACCTTAAATAGACATCATTTCCCCACATTTTCACACTGGGTGGAAGCTCTAGATATAAACAAATTATTCACTTGTTTAAAGTTTCTTTTAAATTTATTCAGCTTTTGCCTGTTCGTATTATCTTATTATAATATCCACTGGACCATTCTCAAACTGCAACTGCTAGGTTACAGTTCATCCTACTTTCCCAGGAAATTTCTTATCATAAGAAAGAATAAGTCCCAAGAAAAGAAAATCAAGCAGTGAGAAAATAAAAATTATATGCACATGTACATATCTGGGGATGAACAGGAATGTTTGAAAAGACTTCAGAAGAAGCATTCCACATGAAAGGTATAATGAAGCAGTTCACTGTTCTTTGTCCAGACTTGATTATTAGAATTTCAGTAACGATTTTTTTTTCCAGGGGTAAGTCTGTTGTGCTGCTCTTTGTTGTTTTAACAGATTGCCTTGTAAATGAAAATGTTCTCTGTTTCTTGCCTCAAGTATTATATGTAATATTCACTCTTTGGTATTATAGATTTCCTTTACTAACTACAAAGGCATTTTACTAGACCCTTAGGCTAGTGTAATGGAATGCTTGAAAATGCATGCAGCTCCTACGGCTCTACATTGAACACCTTTTAGCCAATTCCTGGTAAATTACATTTCTTCCTAAATCGTTAAGGTATTCTTAGTTCTCTTGATGTGTATTAGTATGGTGAAGAAAAATCTTTGGTGAATTTGATAGATAACTCTCTTCAAATGATTTCAAGGACTAACAGACCAAAGATTAGACTTTTGTATGTAGTCATGCATAGCAGAATGAGGAGCAATATGCAAAAGTCAGAAAAAAAAGTGGATGAGATTTGGGTTTCCTAATAATTGGAAGTGCTTGGCAATGGAACAAGTTACCCTTTGAAGTAACGAGGTCCCTGTCATCACTGGAAGTATGTAAGCATTCTAAAGCCAAGATTCTACATTAGGATATTTCATTCCCTGTTGTCACCAGGCACAAAGTGTTTCCTTTCTGCCACCACCCACTGTAGTAAGGATTGATTGATTGATTGTCTTTACAATACTTGAGATTTATAGGACTGTCTAGAGAGGGCAGAGATCAAACTGTCACGACTTTGAGCACCCAAGGCCACCTGCATGTCAGAAATACATAGTAGTTTTGTCACTTGTGAGATACTTACTCAACACAGGTTTCAGTGAGTGTAATAGAGCCTTTGCATTACTAGAATGTGGACAATTCTCTGACTTAAAGATAATTTCAACATTCTACCAGAGAGTTCTCTGCCAGTGGAAGAGGGGGCATTTATGTCATTCCTTGTAGTCTGATGGCACATTTTTGGCCACGAGCAGGGGAGATGACATAGAATAGCATTTCTGTGTGTCTGTCACAGAGACACAGTTCCCACCCAGTGTGTCTGGTCTAATGTCTTGTGAACCAAGCAAGATTTCCATGTATGTCACTGGATAAGTAAGCTCTCTGGCTTCAAAAGATACATCTTTCCAGTTGCGTTTTCTATTGTGGATAAATCTCTGAAGACATTTTTCCTAGGCCCCCTCCAGATCTAAATTCATGCTCTTGATTCTATGTATTGTGCTCAGAGGTCAAGAAACCAAATCCCTTAGAGTTGAGCTGTCATAAACTGTGTGCCTGCTTTATGCCTGGGGCCGCAGAGACAGAGATGATGAAGACAACCATCTTCCTGGGCCAGGGCAGTTTTCTAGTTAGTCTATCTATTGAAAGAAAGGGAAGCAAGATCTTGGCCCAGTGTCATGTGAATAGGCCTGTAGAAAATTATTACTCATGGCTCTTTGGCTCAGATGGAGTCAGAGTCTCAGCTGCAGCTTAGAATTTGAAGACGGCAGCCTGTGATGCACTAGTGTCTAGGCCCACTTTATGGCTGACCTTTCCCTGAAGTACCGTTAGCCATTTCAGTAGGAATGGCTGTGCTTCCTTCCCCAGGAATTCTCACCAACTCCTCTGCCCTACCCTTCTTTAACAGTCCGGTGCCCCTTGGCACTGGGTGTTCAACCTACACAACCCTTTGTCTCTTCACAGACTCTTTGGTGGGAAGCCTACCAAGCAAGTGCCCATCGCCACAGCTGAAAACATGAAAAATTCGGTGGTCATCTCCAATCCTCATGCCACCATGACTCAGCAAGGTAACCTAGACTCCCCGTCAGGCAGTGGCGTCCTGAGCAGTGGGAGCAGCAGTCCTCTCTACAGCAAGAATGTGGACCTCAACCAGTCTCCGCTAGCCTCCAGCCCCAGCTCAGCCCACTCGGCCCCTTCCAACAGCCTCACCTGGGGCACCAACGCCAGCAGCTCCTCCGCAGTTAGCAAGGATGGCCTGGGCTTTCAGTCTGTCAGCAGCCTCCACACCAGCTGTGAGTCCATCGACATCTCCCTCAGCAGTGGAGGGGTCCCCAGCCACAATTCTTCCACTGGCCTCATCGCCTCCTCCAAGGACGACTCCTTGACTCCCTTTGTCAGAACTAACAGTGTGAAGACCACACTGTCAGAAAGGTTGGTGCTGTGCCTCTGGCTGCCTTTCTCAGAAAGACACCCTTCCAAAAATAAAAAGATTAGCTTAGGAATCCCAAATGTCGAATAGCCTTTGCCTGTAAGATTTCTCTCTTTCTAATTACTGCTGTCTTTCATGGGGAAGCCACTTCAGGATGGAATCAAGCTTGGCTCTGCTCCCTGTTATCTTTTCCTCTGTGGTTATTTTTGGTGCTTGGAGCTGCTCAGTCTCTCGGGGGCAGATTTATGCTACCATTTGAAATGGCATTCAGCTTTTGAAATCCTTCAGTTTTATCCTGTTTGTTCATCAACAGCTTCTTTTCCCTCCCCTTGTAATTGTGCAAGCAGAGCAGGTGACTGGGTGCAGACATGGAGTGTTTAGTAGGATGCTCTTTAGACAGCTGGGTAGGTTTGTTGTCATTGTGGCAAACACCCTCCTCCTGGACTGATAGGAAATCAAGAAATTAAAAGTGTTCTCAGAGCCCTGGATTTCTCTGCAGCAGGGATAAATGTGTCCAGTTTCTGCATATAGGGAAGAAAGCGAGGATCAGCATGGGGAATGAAAAAAATGTATATAACAACACCTCTCCTTTCTTCCAAGCTAACGTTCCTTCTCTTGTTTTCTACCTGCCTGGACTTCTAGCCCTCTCTCTTCCCCTGCTGCTAGCCCTAAGTTCTGCAGAAGTACTCTGCCCAGGAAACAGGACAGGTAATGACATTGCAGGCCGGGGACCAACCGAGCCTCTAGGTTCTTCTGCCCATTCGTTGTCAAGCCAGATGTCTTGTGCGAGGCTGTTGGCCTAAGCCACCTGCTTGTGTTTGTGGCTCTAGTGTACTCTGTGACACATGGACATGCCAGTGAGAGTCTGTTCCTCTGTCTGCTAAAGCCCAGGGAGAGGTGGAGTTGGGCTGGCCTCTTCATTCCCATTTTGGGAAGGCGACCTTAAACCCTGCCACTTGATCTGGGGCAGCGGAAGCTCTCGCTTGCATCTCTTGTGGCCTCCTGTGGCATGTTCCTGCTTTTCAGCTTCCTTCCCATTCCTTTTGCCACCCCCAACCCCAAGCCCAGAAATGACCTGCCACCCACTGTGTAGCTTGGCCCTCACCTTTGTCTACCCCTCCCCATGCAGCTGCCTCTTCTCCCTTTCAAAATCCTTTGCTGAAGTTTGGCTCATTATGTCTTGCAGACTGTTGTGTTCTGTGTGCCCATTTCCTGCGATGATAATGAAAAAGAATGTGTAGAGTATTAAGACTTTACAAATGTACACGCTTGTGTTTGCCCCCAGCTGTAGGTGGGCCTCAGAGATGGATACTGTCCTTAATTTTGTGGGGGAGTGATGACCTGGCCAAACATAACAAACAGATGTTGTCTCCTGCCAGAAAAAAAAAAAAAAAAAAACCTTCACCCCATCAACAGTGAAAACTTTGTTTTTGTCAGCTCACAAACCAAGCCTTTAAACCGTTGGTCTTTAGAAATCCAAGTGCTTTGACTTCATCAGCCAGCAAGTTGTAACATGCCCCACCCAGGACTCAGCTCCTAGCTATGCCTGGGCCGCAGAAATTGAGAGGGACCTGGAATTCACTTCGTTACAGATGAATTCCAAATATGCAGACTGCTGGCCTCTTGAAACCTCCAACAAGTCTGTTCTCCCATTTGAAGTCATTGCCAGTGGCATTTAGGGGGTGGGCCAGAGTTAGGGGTGCAGGGAAGTGGGCATCCCTCTCTCTGAGAAGCCGTGTTGGTGCAGAGAGTGCCCCTGGGCAGTAGAAGGCACAGGACCTCTGCTTTGAGGTGGAGCAACCCCTGAATTTTGCTTTGAATCTGTGGAAAACGAGGAACAATTGGGGTTAAGGGACTCAGGCCTCCTGGTGACCTGGGGTAAAGTATGCGCTGGTGTCAGCTCAGGCTGAGGATTGGGTTTCTTTTGTTTTCCACGGATGTGGATGTGTTGCATTGCACGCCTAGCTGGATAAGGCACTTCCTGGTGATGTGCACCTCTTTCTCCAGGGCCCTTCAGTCCCCTCCCTAGCTTTCCCTCTCTCTGCCTTCTGTGTGCTGCTCTGAAGTTCTTATTTTTGTTTTAACTTTCCTACAGTGACCCGCACCTTGATAGGAACACTTTGCCTAAGAAAGGACTCAGGTATCTGTGTTTCCTCCTTGCATCTGTGCCATCTGTTGTGGCTTTGGAGCTTGGCTGTGTGACTCCTTCATGGCTGGTGGGGGTTTGGGCTGGGCTGGGGTCCCCGCTTTGACCACCACAGCAGGACCTTTTGGATGACGGCTCCCCTTGCACCCTCTCGTTCTCACTCTCCATTTGTCAGCTTATTTGCTTGAGCAGGGGCTGTGCTTTTTCAGGCTTAATGTGGTAAAACCATCTCATGAAAAACATCCCTGGGCAAGCCCAAGGAGCAGTCATTACTGCTTCTGGGGCCAATGGGTTTAATTTCTGAGCACTTCACCATGACCATTCTGTTAACATGGCTGTCTTCCAAGAGAAAGGACATGACTTATAGCATACTGATTTGTAAGCTAGGACAAGAGCACAGGAGGCAAGGAATATTTTCCCCCAATTTGAAAATATTTAACTTTTCTGCCCATAAAAAATTGCTAGACAGATACTTTGCCCTTGTCTAAATATTCTAATGGAAAATTGGTCCACTTTCATTGCCCAACAAGACATGGGTGTGATCATTTTTTGGTGGATAATAAAGAAAAGACTCCCAGGAAGGACTGTCCTTCCATTCCTGGTAAGTGGTGGCTCAGGTTCGTTTTTGGTGCTAGTCCTGGCAAAACAAGATGCTATAAGTCACCATTGCTCACACCATCTATATCACTTTGCCAATCAGAGAAAATTCAGTTTGCTAATGCCTCCCCTGTGATCTTGCTGTCTTATGGTTGCAGCCGTCATTTCTTCTGCTTTCTAAACACCACATGCCCTGTAGCATCAGCTTCACCCTGCACTAAGCATTAAGTGCTTTCGCATAAAATGGGACTTGGAATGAAATGTTTCATTGCTGTCATGTATGTCTATAGTTAATAACCTGCAGCTCTTAAGACTGAGAGCATTTTGAACAGTAATGTGAGGTAGGTATCAATGCTTCCTTTCAATGGGATCCTCTGAGTAAAGCCAGTTCTAAGAATCTAAGAAGGAAAGTATTAAAATCTCCCAACAGTCATCCTGCAGGAAGTTGTTGAGCAGTGTGGCCTTAGAGGGGGCCTTGGCAAGGCCTTTTGTACTTACCAGTTTCAATCGTGCCTATGAGCTGCTTGTCAGCAACCATGCCAGATGCTTAAATCATGGCCACTCTCACTGTGAGTTTGACTTTGATGCCCCACTGGTGCCCTGAGAGAAAGCTAACTTCTAAATGTTAACATTGTGAAATGGTGTGTATACTTCTGTAGCAGATCTAGCCTATCAAAATTATGTAGCTCTGGTTTTTTAAAAATTCAGAATAGAGATACATGACAGGCTATTTTCAGGCAATTGATGTGTCCTGGAAAGTTGCATGTCTGTCAGATATAGTAAAAACATTAAGGAGAAAACATTTCTGTGCTCCCTCTCACTCTGATTCTTCCTGTGTAGCTCACCCACTCCATACACATGAACATCCAGTACGAACACACTGACAACATCTTTCCTTAAGCCCAAAGAATCCCCCTATTGACATAATCAGTAGTCACTCCATAATATATAAGTCCGAGGATACCCTGGCCACTTGGCACTCAGAAATTTCAGATGCAGGCCAGGTGCGGTGGCTCATGCCTGTAATCCTAGCACTTTGGGAGGCTGAGGTAGGTGGATCACTTGAGGGCGGGAGTTCAAGACCAGCCTGGCCAACATGGTAAAACCCTGTCTCTACTAAAAATACAAAAAATTAGCTGGGCATGGTGGCACATGCCTATAGTCCCAGCTACTCGGGAGGCTGAGGTGGGAGAATCACTTGAACCCAAGAGACAGTGGTTGCAGTGAGCCGAGATCATGCCACCTTTCTCCGGCCTGGGCAGTAGAGCAAGACTACGTCTCGAAAAAAAAAAAAAAAAAAAAAAAAAGGAAAGAAATTTCACACGCTACTTATGGGCATAATGAAAAGAACATGCATTTTAAAATCAAACATGGATTGAAATCTCAACTCTGTGACTACCAGCAGGGTTCTTACCTTCCCTGAATGTAAAATAGGAATAATGGCATCTGCATTGCTGAGTAGGTCTGAGGCTTTGGTAAGATAATGCACATGAAGGCACCTAGCACATTGCAGATGTTCAATAAATCATCACCATATACATTTCAGAATAAATGAGGTGGTGGACCACATAACTTCTGAAGACCCTCTCCTATAAAACTCAACAATTTGGGGTTGCTTTTATGAAGATTTGTTTGTGCTCTATTACAGCAACTACTATAAGCATCAGTGTCCTCAAACCTTGCTTTGTATGTCTGCTTTTTCATATGCTGTGATTCATGGTCATTTATTTGTGTTGTAGAATGGCAGATGCCATGAGTTGTCTAATTAAAACTCCCTCAAAGCTCTAACAGCAGCTCATTTTGTTGCTTCAGTCCTGTCAAGGTGGGGGCTTTGACGTGACACTGTCATGAAGCAACATGTTACAGATACGCCCAGTGACGGCTCTTCTGAGCATTTACCAATCTTCTTCCCTTTATGTGTTCCCTCCAAACTGAAAGGGAGTAGTCATTTTCCCCAAACACAGCCAAATAGAAAAAAGGTTTTGAGAAACTTCATAAGTTTCAGGACGTGTAGTGATCTGATTTTAAAAAAAATCATCTTCGGATATATGTTTTCTTTTTATATATTTACCATCAGCTCCACAGAGTTCATTTTAATAAGCATTGTTCATAGTTAATTCCGGCTTGATTTCTGTCTGTCCAGGTATACTCCCACCTCCCAGCTTCGCACGCAAGAAGATGCAAAAGAATGGTTACGGTCCCATTCTGCAGGAGGCCTTCAGGACACCGCTGCCAATTCCCCCTTTTCCTCTGGCTCCAGCGTGACTTCTCCCTCCGGAACAAGATTCAACTTTTCCCAGCTTGGTGAGTAGCCACTTGTCATTACCTATGTTGATCAGCTCCACAGGGCAGTGGTTATCTTATATACATAACATATTTTTATTTCAATAGTTTTTGGGGAGCAGGTGGTTTTGGTTACATGGGTAAGTTCTTTAGTGGTGATTTCTGAGATTTTGGTGCACCCATCACTTGAGTTATCTTACATTTTGAAATAGACATATAGTCACATCCCGCTCAGTGTCTGATTAGCCCTCGGCAATATAGATCGATTACAGGGGATTGACAGAAAAATAAATAGAGAAAATAGTAAAGTTTTTGATACTGTAATCAATAATTTTCTTTATTTGGTTGATATTGGTAGGGCTATAGCAAAGAACATGTTATCCCATTCTTAAAAAGAATGCATTCTTTTTCTAAGACCTCTGAAGAAATAGATTTTATCGCATATCCCATGTTAGGTCATCCTCATTGCTTTATTAAGTTGGAAATAAAAGTTAAGTTTTGATTGAATAGGTATTCTTAACAATGCCTACTTCTGACATAATGCTTTGACTGGCACAGTGGGGAAAGGAAAAGAATTTGTGTCACAGTCCCTGCTGACATGTCAATGGAATTCTTTTTCAGGAAGACAAACACATCAATGCACACCTATATAATAGAGTAAAAGAGAACAATCCAGAGCTTTATATGAAATCATGTAAAAGCTGAATATAATTAGATAGCAAGCATTAGACACATTTAGAAAAAGGAAAGATTAGTGCTGGCTGAAGTTATAGGCAGAGGTTATGTGAAGGTGGCAGAGTAGGAGCTGAGCCTTGAAGGACTGATAGAGGGTGAGAAATCTTTTCTAATCTCATCTCACTCTTTAGAGAGGCAGGCTTTTCTGAATATAGTGAATAACAAATTCAGAGTCTTTAAGGATAGAGGTGGCTTGTAATCAAGTGAGGTTTAACACTTCATTTCTGATTGACTAAATGAGTACCTCTGAAAATATTGCACATGACTCAAATGGACAGGATTTTCATAAGAAAGCTAGTTTTAGCTGAGACAAATGTACCTTCCTTGCATTGAAACTCTTTATATACCATTATTAAATGTCCCCCATCTGAGGCAATGGGATCTGTGTTCATACTGTTCTTTCCCAGCCATAACTCTTTGAGGCAAGAGATTCTTGTCATGCACAAATGCTTCCCATCTGATCAAAAGCCTGATTGGACTATTTTGGGCTTTTGGCTTTAGAGAAAATCATTCCAGATGAGCCTGGGGAGTAATTAGCTCATGCCTGGAAGGTGATACTGGCCTGTCTGAACGTGCCAAGTTGGAAAGCTGAGGCCCAGAGCCTTGCTTTGGAGCTGACCTGCCTTTTTACTCTTATTTTTAGCTCCCGGTGTGTAACTCAAATGCTGATGGGACTACCTTTTAGAAAACAGATGGGAGAAGAGTTGGCAGAAACACATGTGGCTAAAAATAAGCAGTCTTCTCTTTGTCCCCAACCAGGATTTGAACAGAGACATGAATGTCTAACCTTTTGATTCTATTCCTTTTATTCCAGCGAGTCCCACCACTGTCACCCAGATGAGCTTGTCCAACCCGACCATGCTGAGGACTCACAGCCTCTCCAATGCTGATGGGCAGTATGATCCATACACTGACAGCCGCTTCCGGAATAGCTCCATGTCCCTGGATGAGAAGAGCAGAACCATGAGCCGTTCAGGCTCATTCCGGGATGGGTTTGAAGAAGGTAAGGAAGGAAAGGAAGAAGGTAAGGAAGGAAACTTCCATCTCCCAGGTTACTCAGTGTAGTTAAGGGTCCTCTATGCTAAGTTCACTTCCTTAACCTGAGAGCCCACCTATAAGTGCTCCCACCTCTCCCACCTACTCTGGGGGTCAGGGGTGGGGATCTCTGAAGAGTAAGGTCTGGCCTGACCCTTAATTAACCTTCCAGGCCTTTGAGGAAGAGGCTGCTTAAAAATCACTGGTGAACCATAGAGCTGACTGAGGTCCGCTTTAGGCTTCTCCCTCCTGGACTTGGGCCACAGCTTCTTGGCATGCGCCTCCACCTTGAGGCTCAGCCACCGGCTCACCATCTTGGCAGAGAGAACTACTGGAGAGTTCATTTCCCTGTGCTGACATGCCCCTGTAGCTCTGGGGGCCGGGCAGCCACGCCTTTCTGCTCTGCTCCAGAATTTTTCATCTCCTTTCTCAAGCACTGGGTTTTTAAGTGTATTGTTTTCAGTTATGCCCTTTTCTTTCTTTGGTTGCTAACTGAGAATATTTGGGGTTGGATTTTTATGTTTGGTTCATTTTAATCAGAATCATGGGAGAAAAGTTCTGTGGACAACTTTGTCAGCCGTCTTCACAGCTCACTTCATTTCTCTCTTCCTTTGTTCCATCACGCAAGGTATGAGTTAGGTGAGTAAGCAGTCAAAATTCTGTGGAGGATATCATCCCCACCCCATGAAGATGGGGCTGATGGGACATTGGCGGCAATGCTCATTAACCAATGATAAGAATAGGAGTCAGACTAGCAGAGTTTAAATTCCAGCTCCACTGCTTTTTAGGTATATGATTTTGATCAAGTTGCTTCACCTCTCTGTGCCTCTGTTTTTTCATGGATAAAATAGGAGTAATAATAGTATTCAGCTCATGGAATTATGAGAATTAAATGAGATAATACATATAAATGTTAACACAATAATGTTATTACATGTCATGGCCTGTAATAACACAGCCGTAAAGCTCTAATAACATAGCTGTAAAAACACAGCTTCAGCATTGACTTCCTGGCAGCTCAAAGTCCCCAGCCAGAGAGTGGGGAATCTTGGAGCAAACGGAGCCTAGTCTGAGGACTATACATCTGGTTGTCCCTTTGTTGCCATTGAAAAAGCAGAATGTGGAGGGTGAGTTATAGGTGCTTCCCGGTCCCCATATGAGTAGGGAAAAAGGGCCAGCATCCTCCCAGCATGAAAGAACAAACAAATTTGTGATTGTTTAGGAAGTTTCAAGTCAAAAGGGAGAGAAACACAAGGCACAGGATTCTGCTTTTGCCTAGTGTTCTTTTTAACAGAAGTTTTAAAGAATGTATTTACAGAGCAATTGCCCCCTGGTTTATTTTCTTGGTAACTTAATACTTTGCACCCTGATTTATGTATCATTTGCATACCATGACATTCAGTGAACAGGCACAAGTCTGTAAATCCATATATGGGAAGCTGCTGGGACCAAGGATTAAGGAGGGGAGAAGCCTGAGTCACTGAGGGGCATTTGTGAGATTTAAGAGCTAGAAATTAATGCTATAACTGCTCAGAACAGTGATAGTAGAGAATATATTGTGATCCTAAGGTGAAGGAAGTGGCAGTTTGTCTTGAACTTCTTTCTAGTCAGTGTACTGGCCAAGCATCGCCACAGAGCATTTCCCAACCTCCCCGGGAAGGATTTGCATATGGAGTTTGTCCCGCACTGTATTCCTCTTCTCTGCCATGTGTCTTCCTGAGTGAACCACGTCCAGTACTGAAACTTGTCCAAACAAGCACACTTCGCCTCATAAAGGTCCAGGACCATTACAGTATCGTCATCAGATAGCTTTTATTTATTCCATCTGGAATCAAGCTGGCAGACAGCACAACTGTGGAATATCTGGGATGTCAAAATGACATTGATAAAAAGTGCTTGCCCACAAGCAGTGTCTAGACTTTTGTAAACCTAATGATTCATGGTGACATGGAACTGAAGCACAGAGGTAAAAGTCAAACTTTAGGGGAATGGATAGGGACCGCTGTCAATACACTGTGAATACATAACATTATCATCTTTTGGAAAATATGGCATCAGATTGATTTTATTTCTTCTAAGGTTATTACATTCAAAAATAAAATAGAGTTTGTGTAATTAGGTTTTTAATTCCTTTCGTTGAAATTCCTTTTTTTGAATTTATTAACTCCCAGTATTGCAGGAGCAGTTGGAAGAAAATTGACATTTCATGTTTGGACCAAACAGAACCTCCTTGTAATAATCAGTTAGGTGTATTATACGCCATAAAGCAGAATAGAAATTTAGGAAGAAGTAGCACAAGTATTTGTGTGAGGTTTTTGTGCAATTTAATTAGCTCTTTCCACTTTGAAGGAGTTTTAGGAATTATAAATATGTAGATTAGGTACAGGCATGGCCAGATGCAGCCTTTCAAAGGTGTTTCAGGTAAATTACTTTCTATCAGATGCATTATGCGATCTTAAAGTCAACTTTAATAGCGTACATTTAAGGGGATGCTTGAAGCATTATTAAAATGGATTCTAGAGAAAAAAAAATCCCATGACTTCACCAATCATCACTAAGAGCTAATGCAGTGAAAAACACAGAAACCCTCCACCCTATCAATTTATATGGAATCCCCAGGAGCACAGAAGCTTATTAATCAAGAAAGCTTGTATTGCAGCATGCTTGTGTATCTAGGCCCTGAATTGCTGAAGTGGTTCAAATCCTGGCACCTCTACTGTTAGCAGTGTGATTCTGAGAAAGGACTTGACCTGCTCAGCCTGTTTCCTATTCACTGAAATGTGAAAAATAATTGTACCTGCTTTGGAAAATTGAAGTGAAGATTAGGTGAGATGAATCTTGGAAAGCATTTAACAAATAACTTTGAAAGGGGAGTATTGTAAGTGCTCACTCAATGGTAGCTATTGTTATAATTGTCATATTATAGCCTTCTCCCCAAGGGCCATTATCATCCTCATTTTTTTAATGGCCAAATTGAGGCAAAAGTGACTTGAAGACTTTATGCAGCCACAATGATGTCTTAAGCTTCTTGATTCCAGTCCCTCTTTCTTTTCACTCAATCCTACCTTGATATCTGACTCAGTTGGGTTTTTTTTTTTTAAACCTGTCTGAGGCAAGCTCTGATCTTTCATCAATGTCTTCTCTGTTTTGTGATGCTTCCTTTGCTGGTGGAGAGGCAGGGCAGTCCATTAGCCATCAGCACTGCATTTCATTCTTCTGACTCTTTCCACAGTACCCAATTGTGGAATGAGAAGTAGATCGTGATGCCTAGATCCACATTCTCTTTCTGCTCCTGACTAGCTGTGTGTCTGGCCACGTCACTTAACCATTCTGAGATGTAATGTACTCTGTTGTTGATTAACGGTGGAAACTCCTGCCTAGTCTGGGATTGTTACCTGCAGATTCTCTGTGATGAGGGTCAGAGGCACTTGATTGCTTTATTGGCTGGAATATGCCTAGTTGTTTCATTCTATCTAGTGTTTTCACTCCTACTAAAGCATCTTTCTTCTCAAACATTCCTAGGTTGTGCCCATGTGTTGACTGAATGAAGGGACTAGGACACCATTCTAAAAGACACCAAAAGGCTCTTTAAAAAAAAACAAACAAATGAAAAAAGAATCAGAAACCAGTACAACAGATTACTCAAAGGCAGAGCGATCTCCGGACTTCTAGTCAGCAGATCCTGTTCTTGAATTGCTGTGTGACCTTAAACAAGTCATTTCACCTCTCCGAGTTTCAGATTTCTCAATGGCAGAAGTGGCCTAGATATTCTCTATGGTTCCTTGTAGCTGAAAAAATGTGAGGTATAGCTATAGGGAGGAAAAATATGTAGCCTGCTTTAGCTGTTTAGCTTCTGTAACTCCCACAGGCATTTTGTTGTCCAAAAATAACCACATTGCACAACCTAGGCTCTGACCTGGCTCAATTCCCTTGAAGGAGGCCGAACTGCAATGGTTCAGGTAAAACACATTCAGTTTTGGGTTGACTCAGAAAATCAAGGATCTGTCTCTT